>NC_000006.12:87648261-88273261 GCF_000001405.40 Homo sapiens | reverse complement strand
GGCGCAATCTCGGTTCACTGCAAGCTCCGCCTCCTGGGTTCATGCCATTCTCCCGCCTCAGCCTTCCGAGTAGCTGGGACTACAGGCTCCCGCCACCGCGCCCGGCTAATTATTTTTTATTTTTTAGTAGAGACGGGGTTTCACCGTGTTAGCCAGGATGGTCTCGATCTCCTGACCTCGTGATCTGCCCGCCTCGGCCTCCCAAAGTGCTGGGATTACAGGCGTGAGACACCGAGCCCGGCTGAGAATCTTTTAATTCTTTTTATATTCCACTGTTGTTTCTGCTTGCAAAAAAAAAAAACCACTCTGTCCAGTTTAAATAAAAAAGGCAATTTATTAAAGCATATCATGTGTCTTATAGAAAAATCCTGGAGAGTCAGAGTAAAACTCGGAGGCCATGTAGCTGTGGCCAGACACTGAGGTGCAGCTCCCACCACCATGCCAGGCCTCCCGCACCTCTGCTGGGTCTGGTTAAATGTAATATGTCACACCACTCAACCCAGCTGCTTAGCACTGACAGCCGTTCTGATTAGCTGCTACCCCATCACACTGAGTTTAATATTTTTAATATCACTCATGTTTATAGATACAATGTTCAAAGATAGAATTAATCCATTATATTACAATTTATGTACATATATATGTTTGCATGTGCCTAGAAAATATGGTGTCTCTGGGGATTGAGATTAGGGTGAGGTAGAGGTGAAAGAGAGGACTTAATTTTGACTTTATATGTTTCTGCATTGCTTAAATTTACAATAAGCACAGATTCCTTCTACAACAAGCAGCCTAAAATAAAGAAGTAAGTTATTTAGTTCTTTAACATCAAGTTATTTTTATGTTCATGGACTATAGTTTATGAGCTATAATCATTGACTATTAGAATTGGAAGAGGCTTAGAGCTCAAGTGCAACTTTCCTAACCAAAACCCATAAAGGACACTCTACATTTACTGTCTTCAATGCTTCATCTTGTGGTTATACTTAAAATAATTTAGACTTCATTTTTTTGTTAAAAAGCATCTTTATTTCATTTAATTTAATCTCACTATGTTCTATTTACTCTCGGTTATTTTTCTCACTTGTGTTGTCATAGGAAAACCAGTGAGTTGGGCTTTGTCCTTTGGGGTGGGATAAACCAGCTTCAGCCTGGGCAATAAGTAGCACCCCATTTACTCTTGACTCCCTGGACTGACTCCTGCCATTACCACAGCACAAAAACTGTTATTGGAAAAGGTCACCATGGCCTTGCAATTGGAAGTTCCATGGAACCTTTCTGTTTCTCAACTTACTTGATGGTTTAGCAGTAAAAATCAAATTGGCTGCTCCTTTCCTCTTTTTTGGTCTCCATAATGGCATTCCCTCCTAGAGTTTCTCCCTCTCCAGCTGTTCCCTTTCAGTCCCTTTTGTTGGTTCCTCTCTTCAGCTGGTTCTTCTTCATTCTCTTCTGTGGCTCCTCTTTACACAACTCTTAAACTCTCCCCTCCTCTCCTTGTTTATAACCATGATCTCACTCATTCACATAGGACTTCAACAATCTTCTCTCATCTTTTGATCCCTGAATCTGTGTCTCTAGTACTGATCTCTACCCCCATCCACACCGCTGGGTTATTCAGCACTTCTCCTTTGGATAGTTATAGCAATATCCTGACAGGTGTCTCTGACTGTGGTCATGTTCCTGGTACTTTTTTTTTAAATATCGATTCCTTTGAGTGCAGGAACAGAGAACTAGTCAAAAGCTACAAAATGGTTGGACTTCAAGAAAATGGGCGCTAAAGGGTGTTTCTGCATTTAAAAAGGTTCAGCAGACTAGAAGGAAGAATTTGCAAATTTGCAGATCTTCATCCTGATATCTTATCATAAATGTGACTTAGCCACACCCCTTTCTAACTCATTAGAAATGCAAACTTTTGCCTTGTTTCTTAGTTTTTAAAGAGAGAATATGGCTCTGTAAACTCACATTTTAATTTTCCTTCCTGACCACAAGTGTATGGAATTGCATTCATTCTACTCAGACACACTATAATTTGTTTATACAAGGCCATATTAATTATTTGTTTTTTTTTTCTGTCTTATCCTGACTCTTTCCCACTTCCATTTCCATCAAAAGCATTGACTCTCATATGTGTGATATATATCCTTGGCTAGTATATGACTCTGAAAAATATATAGTGTTGCTTTGTGTAGGTCTCCATTTAAAATCTATATAAATGATGTTATATTATAGCTCTATTTACTTTTTTACTCAACACTGTTTTTACACTTCATGTTTCTCTGTACACATCTAGTTCTGCTTGCTACGGTTCTTTTGGTGTATGCATCCATCATATTTTACTTATCTTTCTCATAGTGATAGATGTCTGTGTGGCCTCCAATTCCCTGTTCTCAAAACAATACTGCAACAAACAACCTTGTATGTGTCCATTTATGGACTTGTTAAGGGAGAATGTCACAATTAGTCACATTCATATTCTGCTTTACATAAACAGAAACAAGATTGGATTGCTGGATATATGCATAATTAATTATACTAAATATAGCCAACTCAATCTCCAGAATGGCTTACCAATTTACATTTCTACCCGCAGTGCCTGACGGTTCCCATTTCTCTAGATCCTTATCAATACTCATGATACTGCTCTCTGAGTTTTGCCCAAGTGGACTCTGAATATAGCTCATCTTTTTAAGTCACTTCATCCAGAGCTAAGGTTTGCCATGCTTGCATTAGGTACCTGTACCTGACCCAATCATGTGTAGTGAAGGGTAATGTCACATGGTAGATAATATAGCTCATTTGCTTTCAGCAGGGGCAGTGGGTGGGGCAGCTTCTCCTAGAAGGGTTCGTGGATAAGGTAAGACAATGCCCCCTTTTAATTCTCCCTTTCAGTATCCTCCATATTTTTTGCAAGAGTGATCATATAAATCTGCTCTGCTTGACCACGTCGAAAGGTCATGCCCACAGACTAAAGGTTACCCTCTTACATTAAAGGCCATGCCTCTAGTCTATGCCCAGAGACTAAAGGTTATGGCCATAGATTAAAGCTTATGCCATAGACTAAAGTTCATGCCTATGTACTAAAGGTCATACCTGTGCCAAACTCCTTAGTATGCTCCACCATCTGGCTCCTAACTTCTCTGTCCACCCTGAACCCTGTGGTTTTCCTATCACGCCAGACTGTTCTATACCCCTGTGTTTTTCATCTACTGATTCTTGTTCTTGGAAATTCCTTTGGTTTGGAATGGAACAGTGGTTGGAAATTCCTCCAACTCACTGTTCTTCTGAGGTCCTCTTGACAAATTCTTTTTTTTTTAAGCCCTGACTTTAGACTCACAAACCTTAGAAATTACTTTCTGCCCACTCCAACCAATATGCCTCCTTTGCTTGTCCTGGGTCTCTTCAACTTTCCCATGACAGCATCTACCCTTTCCTGCACTTGTTTATGCTTCTGTCCCTTCCTTCTTGGCTGCATGCTCTGTGAAGGCAAGGACAGCATCTTATTTGGCTTTTTATTTCCAGAGCCTAGCACAGTGCCACAGTCTACTGAGTGCTTAACAAATGTTTTCAAATGAATAAATAAGCCACTTATTTTATTTTATAGAGTAATACATTAGAATCTGGGGAGGTTATATGACTTTCCCAATGGCATACAGATGGTTAGTAATGAGCTGGAAGCAGACCCAGATCTCTTGATTTCTACTTCTTTCTACATAGCAGGGAATGCTATGGAGAATTCCCTGCATTTATCCTAACTAATTGCTTCCATTCTGCAGGGTAAGAAGCTGAAAAATTGAGAAAATCTCCTTCCCAATGCCAGGAAACATTGGAGCATATAGTGCTATCCAAACTTTCCTTTGGATTTCCCCTTTCCTACTAAAATATGTTGGGCTATATAGAAGCAGAACTGCAAGTATCAGTTTGGATTATAAATTATAGGAAGAAATTCACCAGGGATCCTCAAACTAAGAGTAGATATTCCTTAAATCAAATATTATATACAATAATTTTCTAAAAGCTGACATCAATGATGAAGTATTTTTCTCTTTTATTTTACCCTTTTTCCTACTGTGTCTTGATAATTTATCTGAGCTATAGCAATCAAAGTCATTATTTCTGTCAAGAAACTTTGCAGAGGAGTTTACAATATGGCATGTACTATTATAAAAGTATGTCCCTTTCAGTTTTCAAAGGGCCTTGAAGTGTTCTGCAGAAATTCTCCACCCACTTCAGTTCTTTCCTTGACCTTGAGAAAGTACCATAGACCTCCTGTGAGAGCTGAGGAAGAGAGAAATCACTTCTTTATTTTTCCATCCGTTCCAAGTTATTCCGCTGGAGCTGGCAATGAGTGTGGCCCTTAACTCCAGGCATTTTCCCTGCCACTTTAGAAATAGGATAGACAGGTGTCAGAGAGAGTGTGGGAGTGTGGAAGCTTCAGCAGCAAGACAAAGGGACTGCTTTGTGGCTTGCCGCTTATGCCTTCTCAATTTACACAGGTCTGCGGAAGGGTCGTAGCTCTCCACAGCCCTCAGAATGGAATTTATTATCTCTGTGACGAGAACCAGAGACAGAAATAACAATGATTCGTGACAACTGAGGGAACTCAGATGCAGAGAGGCTATCTATCCGATCATGCAAATCCTGCAATAGAATTGGGGACTTCTGATTCTCCAACGAGATTTTGCCCACTCAGGGTGGCATGGCCAGAGACCACTTCTGATTCTCAGCTTGTTGTTTCCTGTCACTAGGAAAACAATTTCCCATCGATCAAGAGTGACACACGGGCTGGTAGCACTAACATTTATAACCGTCAGAGAATAGTACTGTTTGTTCACATCAGAGGCAAACTAGAATGCCATTATTCATGTGTATCATTTAAATACATAGCAAAGCTCTTTCTGATAATGTCCACAGAGAGTTTTGGTAAGAAGGGCCAAAGGCAGAGGAAGTAGGAGTTGGTGGTGGCAGTGGGACATGTGCTCATTGTTTTGTTTTTAACCTTTAATAAAATGATTCCCAAAGCAAAACATTCGAAAACCACTACATTAAAAGCATCACATTTCCAGAAGCAATTAATGTGCTACCTCATCATGAAAGAATGATCAAAACTATTGAAAGTCTAAAAGATAGACTCTGGAACTCCAAGTTTAGGCAAATATTAATGTATAATTAAAAATGTGTTATGTAATAAATTATACATGTAATTTATTTATATCACTTAACATATATTAATTAACTAGCTAATTGGCACTATAGTTATCATACATAAAGAAGAGTCTTGCCCTTTGCCCCAAATGTAGTATATATAGTTTAAGATATTTGGTAAGGTTTGTTTGTGGAGAAGAATTATTTGTGGATTCATAGACTAATTTAAGTGGGCCAGTTAGCTCTATCCAAACAAAACATTAATAACTATTCAAAACTAATAAAAATATTTCCTCAATTTTATAAAAATCAGTTTCAACCATGGACATATGTGATAACCATACACACATAAACATAATCTTTAAACATAACAATAAACATAATCTTTAAATTCAGTTACAATCTCTTTTGCTTTATGCAGGATTTGGTGATTTATAAAGGCAGAGAAAAATGGAAAAAGCGGTCTCCACTTAACCAATATTTTAGTTGTTTTGTTTAGTTACAGGCTGAACCAATAAATCTAATGTAGACATTTTATTTTTGTCTGAACACGGGCAGTTTCCATTTAAGTGGAATCTTTATATATAAAGAAATGTTCAGAAAACTTTTAATAAAAGTTGGTTATTTCCCAACCCAAATGTCCATCAATGATAGACTGCATTAAGAAAATGTGGCACATATACACCGTGGGATACTATGCAGCCATTAAAAAGGATGAGTTCCTGTCCTTTTTAGGGACATGGATGAAGCTGGAAACCATCATTCTCAGCAAACTGTCACAAGGACAAAAAACCAAACACCGCATGTTCTCACTCATAGGTGGGAATTGAACAATGAGAACACTTGGACACAGGAAGGGGAACATCACACATTGGGGCCTGTTGTGGGGTCGGGGGAGGGGGGAGGGATAGCATTAGGAGATATGCCCAATGTAAATGACGAGTTAATGGGTGCAGCACACCAACATGGCGCATGTATACATATGTAACAACCCTGCACGTTGTGCACATGCACCCTAGAACTTAAAGTATAATTAAAAAAAGAAAAAAATAAAAATAAAAATAAAAGTTGATTATTTCAACTTTCATTTATGTCCTTAATTCCTAGATTACATAAAAGTTGAACACATATATTAGGCTCTTCATGTTGGAACCATCTGAGGATTGCAAAGTGTCTACTTTCTATTGAAATGCATTTCAAAAGAGGGAGTTCATTTTTTTCTCAGCTGAGAAAAAGGAGGCCTTGATGAGATTCTCCATGTAAATCTACAGTTTCTTAATCATAGATTAATTATGGAATAAGGCAGATTTTGAAAAGTTATTTTATGCAGTTCAGTCCAGTACATTCTGGACAGTATTTCACCGAGATCACCTCTAAATCCTAAGTCCTTTTCAATCCTTAAAATTTGCCAAAGAAGGAAACGTTTTCAGTTCGGTTGGTAATTTATCCCAAAAGACGAGATCGTCTCTGTGACATGGTAAATCTTCCAGTGTACAAATGCTGCCATGCCAGCTCCCAAAGCCAGCCCCTGGGAGCACTCCAGGCCCTTGTAGACTCTGCTATATCTGTCAGGATCATGACATCCTCAATAGGTAGAGTGATCATGTTTCAGTTCTGGGGTCTCCTTCCTGAGAATTAAAGAAGCAGCTCTTTAGCCTCCATTTTCTCCATGAGCCATTTGGAATCTTTCAGTCTGGAGTCTGCCAGAATGTTCTACTTTTTATTTCTCCTCCTTCTTGGATTATGACTGTGGGCCCCAGGTGCCAAGCTGTGGAACATAATTGTCTACTGATGGTGACATCTGGTTTGTTGGCAGGCTTCTTCCTGAGTTTTTTTTTTTTCCCAGTGAATAAATGATAGCTTAGAGTTGGGTTATAATAGAGCTTTGTCTCCTAACATGTTTGGGCCAGGTTTATTTCAAATTCATTAGCTTATGCTAAGAGTAAACTATGAACCAATGATAACCCTGGCTGCAAGTTACTCTTCAGAAAATCTTGTATCTTTAACTAGCTTGGAATATATTCTGCAGCTGATTTTTAAAAAAACATTTTTCTATTTCCAGAGGTGGAAAAGTAAGGAAGATTTTTCACTCTTTACAAGTGAAGGATCAACATTTACAATTGTTAAGTGCTAATCCAAAGTAGAAAGAGGGTGCTTTTGTGAAATTTTCCCCAGAGAAAAAATTTACAAAAGACTTCTGAATGTACATAATATGGGCATAATCCAGGCATTCTTTGTACAATCTAGCCATTTTTGTACTTATTAAGATACTGTATTCACTATCTGTATCATAGTTTTAATATTTCAAGGTTGTCTATGTCTAATCATCATTATCTGTGTCTTGGTCAAATTGGCCAAAAACTGAAGAAAAATCATGGGTGCTTACAAAAGACAAAATAGTAATCAAAGTTACTATTTAAAAACAAAATTCAAATATTCCTTTTAAAGAAGAGAAAATCAAAGTGCTAACTACTTCAGTAGCAGAAATATTAATCCCAATCTTCCTGGTACTATAATACGCAATGCTTCCCTCTTTTAGTTTACATAAAGGCCATTTATTAACAGAAAACAATAATCTGAGGAGTCCTGTTCACTGATGGTGACCATGGTGACCCCCCTTGCTGCAAGTGCTGTCAGAGGGGTTGGGGGTGACATCCTCAATTTGCCCGATCTTCATACCCAAGCAGGCAGGGACTCTGAGGGCTGTCTGGGCCCCAGGTCCAGGAGTTTTGGTCCTATTTCCTCCTGCGCCCTGGAGTTTGATTTGTAGGGCAGTGATGCCCAGCTCGTTGCACCTCTGGGCCACATCCTGGGCAGCCAACATGGTGACTCATGGCAAGGATTCGTCTTGGTCAGCCTTTGCCTTCATCCCACCAGTCATGCTGCAGATGATTTTCTTGCCAATGAGATTGGTGACATGGACAAAGGTGTCAGTGAAGGATGAAAAGATGTGAAAGGATGTAAAGAGTGCATTACACGTATCTTTTAAAGAAGCGAAATTATATGCTACAAAGCTCAATACTAATAGACTGTCACATTTCTATTTTCCAAAATGGCATGTTTGCTATTTATTCTTTTATTAAAGAATGGATAAAAATTACACTAAAAACTAGATAATATTACTTTGTGGTATTATTTGTCTACAAACAATTCTTAAGGAGATAAAGTTAGCTGATTTAGAAAATGTGCAATGCCACAAAGCTTACTACTTGCATCTGTAAGGTTATATTTGCCTAAACTTTATTCCTAGTAAATATCAATTATGCTGGTTCTGTAAAGTCTAGAAAGCAAATGCAACAACTAGAAGGGTCAATAATAAATTTTATCACCTTTTAGAGCTTTTAGGCTAAACTGTGAAGGGCTAAAAAGATTTAGTATACAAACCAACCAGACTTAAATAGGGGTATAGTTGTAAGTGGAATCCATCTCCAAAGAGGTAAGCAGATAGTCACAGGAAATAGTCCAGAGCAGAAGAAAATAGTAGATAAAATGTTCAATATTCAAAATGTTGCAATATTCAAGGGAGGAAATAATAACTACAGAAAAATATCTTGAGGAGGAAGAAAGGAACTTTAGAAATACCACAGGAAAAGAATAGTAAATGTGGCAATTGCCCAGACACAGAATGGAAGAAAGGGAGATTTAAAGGGATTATAAAAGACTTTTCAAAAAGGTTAGAGAAAGGCCAGGTGCGGTGGCTCATGCCTGTAATCCCAGCACTTTGGGAGGCCAAGGTGGGCGGATCACGAGGTCAAGAGATAGAGACCATCCTGGCCAACATGGTGAAACACCGTCTCTACTAAAAATACAAAAATTAGCTGGGCGTGGTGGTACGTGCCTGTAGTCACAGCTACTCGGGAGGCTGAGGCAGGAGAATCGCTTGAACCCAGGAGGTGGAGGTTGCAGTGAGCTGAGATTGCACCACTGCATTCCAGCCTGGCAACAGAGCAAGACTCTGTTTCAGAAAAAAAAATGTTAAAGAAAAGAAGATAGCAAACCTTCAGAATGATGAATGTGACTCAGGATTCTGTAATAATATCTTTGAGACAGGCCTCAGCTCTTTCCAGGAACCTCTGAACAATTCAAGAGCTGAGTCTACACATGGTCCTTTCACCTCCTCACCTTCGATTTTCTTGCTTCTCCTTTAGCTTCCATCATCTCCTGAAACGGCTCTGCAGAGGCCACCTGGGTCTCCTTCCCAGTGGCATTTTCTCACTCACTTGCCTGTCAGCTGGCTGCCTAGCAACTCCTGGGCATGCTTGTCTCCCTCTGGCTTCCACCCCTCTCAGCTCTGCTGCTTCTCCTCCTGCCTCTCAGATTGCTCCTTCCCTGGCCCTCCTCCCTCCTTCTGCCCTGCAGCATCAGTGTCACTACCTCTCTTCCCTCTGTGCTCTTTCCCACGGCCATCTTATGCAATTTCAGGATTGCAGACACCTCAGTAAAGATAGGCCTCACCACATCATTGCCTCACTCTGCCTCCTTCCCTGAGCTCCGCTTTCACATTTAGAGTCCACTGCCAGACTTTCACCTGGATGTCCCACTAGTACCTCAAACTTAAAGGGTCTGAAAAATAATTATCTCTTCATCATAAAAGCTGCTTCTCATCCTGTTTCCTAACCTAACACTTCTCCCTATCACGGTCACTGAAGCTCAAAAAGATTGATTATCTTAGATTGCTCCCTCTTTTTTAGGCCCTAGAGTCCATTGTCAAGCTAATTCTGCTTTTGCAATATCTCTTTCCTTCATTGGCTATCATTGTCACCACTTTGTCAGGGCTTCTGTAACAATAACTTCCTTATTGTTTTTTCTGACTCCAATATCTCTTGTAGTATGAACTGATAGTATGATATGAATAAATACTTACTGAATTAATAAGTAATTTCAACATTCATTCCATCAAAAGCTATTTATCAAATGTCTGCTATGTGCTAGACAACAGTCAATGAAGATGAAGGGAGGATAATAAAAAGTTCTCACATTTAAAAAAAGGAATATCAAGTATTTATTTAAAGAGGAATTCTGAATTTCTAATCTTGTAGTCTCATAGATAAAAAGATTGAGAAATATGGTTTTATTTGTAGAAATATAAATACAATGAAAAAGAGCTTGTTGATGGTAATATTAAATAATGTTAAATAATGGAATAGGATATTATAATTGCTTATAGATTCTCCTTTCTTGAACATTTCTTAAAAAGCAATTGATTACTCATGAAATAAACACTAGATTCAGGACTAAAACAAAACCATGCTAATAAGACTCAGTGTCCCTACTGATCCATTTACTCTAGTCTGTTTTGTTTCAATTGGTTTCCACACTGGGATCTATGTCTGTGGGCGACCTCTTAGTACATTTGCTGAAGGCAAATGTTTCTATTTTCTTTGTCTATTGGTAACTGTAGAAGGATGTGGATATTGCTCAAAGGGAAGTAAATGGCTTTAAGACTCTGTTTAAAAACCCAAAGTTCTTTGTTTAAATGCTGTTTTGAATAGTTCATTATCAAAAACACACTTCTGCTTTCAGAAAACGCCCAAGGTCTGCATCAAAGGCACGCTGCTGATTGCAAAGGGAAGGATGTGGTGCAAGAGTGAGCCAAGTTTTGATTATAAGGAATGGGGAAGGCTTCCAGTTAGTTAATGAAGCAACCTGCTAACAGTCTCCCGGTTGGAAAAAGTCATCAAGGACTTTCCTTTAGTGAGACAGCACGATTTGATTTCTCTCGCTCTGTCATGATCAGAAGGTTTTTACAATACAGTGGGATGTTGCGGAAAGAGCCTCATGGCATTTGCCATCAGGCCTGGGATGACTTCCAGTTCTATTCGCTTAATCCTATTTTAACCCAAGTAAGCCAAACTCATTGAGCCTCAGTTTCCTCACTTACGACATGGGAAAAAACAACAGTCACTCAGTTCTCGCTGTTATTGTGAAGACTTCAAATATGTCAAAGGGCTTCATGAACTAAAATACTGTAAATTATCAATGCAAATATTAACTCATATTAATTAGAAGGAAAGTGCTGAGAACCAAAAGTTAGCATTTTTGGTTAAACTTATGTCTAAAAACAAGTTTGACAGACAAAATGTGTAAGGAATAGTAAGAGAGTTTGTAATCATATTTAAGTGTTTATTTAATTCCACCGTGAATGGGAATTATTTTTAAAAATAAATTCTGATCTACACCTGTGCTGGGCTCTGAAATCCACTCATAAACTAGCTTTTGAAATGTACAGCATGTTTTCCCATAGAAACAATGCTATAAATTGTGGTTAAGTTGCCCCAGCACACCCTGTAAAGACTGCTTTACCCAAAAGTAACTGAAATGCCAAGTTTTTGCAGGTTAGTCTGTGACCCTAACCACTCCATGCAGTGTCTCTACGCAGAGGTTTGGGGACCATTTGTGCTTCTGCTGTTGTTCCTTGGAACATCGGAAGAAGGAATTGTGGAGACTCAGACAGTGGCTGTGTTGTCTCCATGTCCCCAGGGCATGCTCAAAAGGAGCTATCCATGTTTGGGAATATCTGCACACCTGCCTACCCTTCATCTAGCATACATCATCAGCACTAAGAGTCCACATCTCCTGTCTATTCAACCTAGATTTCCTGCTTGGCTTATGGTGAATCCTTGAAAAAGGTAAGCCTTGTGGTGGAATCACATTCATTCCTGCTGCTCCTATAGCAACTATCTTTTTCCATAAGGAGATATGACCATTTAAGGAATGTTTCACTCTGCCATAGATCCAAGAAACTTCAGATCACGTGGGGAAGGGCAAGAGGAAGTAATTAAAGGGCTTGGATGGATATCTCCTTCCTCTCAGAAACTTTTTTCCCGGCACAGACCAAACAGACACATGAGTTAGTATTTTCAGTGGGAAGTTTGTAAATTAGAAGTCCCCATGTGATGTTCCTTCACTGCAAATTCTTGTGTTATTTTAATAGAGGGAATATTTTTGCTTTTTATAAGAACAATCAAGGAAAAGCACACTTGTTAATCTCAGCTAATTCTGGCTCAATTATAAGGCACCATTTTGATGGCTGTAGTAGTATAAAATGAAAAGAAAAATATCTTAAAAGATACAGTTCCATGATGAGGCAAACGAGCTTGTCTTACAAGTCTAATATACATAAGTCTCATGATTTCAAGTCAACAGATGTAGAAGAGAAGAGGCTGTGAAAAATCTTATGATTGGAAATAGCTGGGCTAATATTTTCAGCATGAATGATATGACAGTGATAGCTAAATGACAGAAACTTCCAATATCCCATTTCTTGAGTGGTTACAGGGTTGCCTTCTATGGTTGTGCAGTTAGTGCACTGAACAAAGTGGACTCATCTAAGTGCTAGTGATGCCCAAATCCTGTCAAGCACCCTAGTGCAGGGCTGAGCTGGGAGAATGAGACCTCTTGATATTTACACTGAGGTGCTGTATGTGCTAGCTACTACCCTGCTTAGCTAAAGCCAAACACTGTATTTATCCACCTGCCTGCCAGGAGAAAAACAGTTGCAGCCAGGGGATGTACTAAGGGAACTAGTAAAACCATTAATCTCTGTTTATTCTAAACTCAAGTTGACACTTTAAATTTTTATTAGGGAGGGAGGAGAGAAGTTAATATTTTTGAGTACCTGGGATGTGGCCGGCACTGTGCTACTACATCAAAGGCTGCTGAATTGTTTTAACCAAAGTGGGCAAAGGCAGTGGAAAGAAATACAATCAGCTGATAATTACATTTTAAGTGCTTAAATTAGCATATTACTTTCATAGCATTAGAATAGACTTTACCTTATTTATCACGATAGCTCTGTGAAAGAATTGATATTATCTACATTTGACAGATGAGGTATAGAGAGGTAAGTGACTAATAAACATTTACTAGTGGAATTACTAATAGATTTGACCCAAGAATCCAGCTCCTGAATCCTGAGCTCTTTCCAACATGCCATTAAAAGACACATTTAAGTAAACTGGAATCTACAGACTGAATTCTAGAGTGGGAAGTAATGTGTAAGGTTTGGGGTTGGTGGGAGAGAGGCTGCAACTGGAAAAACATTAGTCTTAAAAAATTTCTTAAGTTAACATAAACAAAGGTGAACTATAGCTTGGACTTAAAAACAATATGAGTAAAATGGTCAGAAATGTTCTTAAATCTTAGGGAGAGAAAAAAGCTCTCTCAAAACTTTTTCTGTATCAAGTGCCTCAAAAAAAAGTCTTCTGAAGGCAAGGTGGAAAAAGCCAGAAAATGACCCAGATTCAGTCTCAAGGGGAAAAGAAGCGTCAGCCATTAAAAGCGATATGTGCATTTAACAATTTAGACTGTATTTCCATATACAATAACAATATTGTTATTACATAACGATTTTTTTAATTATACTTTAAGTTCTAGGGTACATGTGCACAACATGCAGATTTGTTACATATGTATACATGTGCCATGTTGGTGTGCTGTGCCCATTAACTCATCATTTACATTAGGTATTTCTCCTAATGCTATCCCTCCCCCCTTCCGCCTCCCCCCACCCCATGACAGACCCCGGTGTGTGATGTTCCTCACCCTGTGTCCAAGTGTTCTCATTGTTCAATTCCCATCTACAAGTGAGAACATGCAGTGTCTGGTTTTCTGTCCTTGTGATAGTTTGCTCAGAGTGATGGTTTCCAGCTTCATCCATGTCCCTAAAAAGGACATGAACTCATCCTTTTCTATGGCTGCATAGTATCCCGTGGTGTATATGTGCCACATTTTCTTAATCCAGTCTATCATTGATGGACATTTCGGTTGATTCCAAGTCTTTGCTATTATGAATAGTGCCACAATAAACATACGTGTGCATGTGTCTTTATAGCAGCATGATTTATAATCCTTTGGGTATATACCCAGTAATGGGATCTCTGGGTCAAATGGTGTTTCTAGTTCTAGATCCTTGAGGAATTGCCACACTGTCTTCCACAATGGTTGAACTAGCTTACAGACCCACCAACAGTGTAAAAGTGTGCCTATTTCTCCACATCCTCTCCAGCACCTGTTGTTTCCTGACTTTTTAATGATGGCCATTCTAACTGGTGTGAGATGGTATCTCATTGTAGTTTTGATTTGCATTTCTCTGATGGCCAGTGATGATGAGCATGTTTCCATGTGTCTGATGGCTGCATAAATGTCTTCTCTTGAGAAGTGTTTGTTCATATCCTTTGCAAACTTTTTGATGGAGTTGTTTGATTTTTTTTTTTTTTTTGTAAATTTGTTTAAGTTCTTTGTAGATTCTGGATATTAGCCCTTTGTCAGATGGGTAGATTGCAAAAATTTTCTCCCATTCTGTAGGTTGCCTGTTCACTCTGATGGTAGTTTCTTTTGCTGTGCAGAAGCTCTTTCGTTTAACTAGATCCCATTTGTCTATTTTGGCTTTTGTTGCCATTGCTTTTGGTGTTTTAGACATGAAGTCCTTGCCCATGCCTACGTCCTGAATGGTATTGCCTAGATTTTCTTCTAGGGTTTTTATGGTTTTAGGTCTAACATTTAAGTCTTTAATCCATCTTGAATTAATTTTTGTATAAGGTGTAAGGAAGGGATCCAGTTTCAGCTTTCCACATGTGGCTAGCCAGTTTTCCCAGCACCATTTATTAAATAGGGAATCGTTTCCTCATTTCTTGTTTTTGTCAGGTTTGTCAAAGACCAGATGGTTGTAGATGTGTGGTGTTATTTCTGAGGGCTCTGTTCTGTTCTATTGGTCTATATCTCTGTTTTGGTACCAGTACCATGCTGTTTTGTTTACTGTAGCCTTGTAGTATAGTTCAAAGTCAGGTGACGTGACGCCTCCAGCTTTGTTCTTTTTGCTTAGGATTGTCTTGGCAATGTGGGCTCTTTTTTGGTTCCATATGAACTTTAAAATAGTTTTATCCAATTCTGTGAAGAAAGTCATTTGTAGCTTGATGGGGATGGCATTGAATCTATAAATTACCTTGGGCAGCATGGCCATTTTCACGATATTGATTCTTCCTACCCATGAGCATGGAATGTTCTTCCATTTGTTTGTGTCCTCTTTTATTTCCTTGAGCAGTGGTTTGTAGTTCTCCTTGAAGAGGTCCTTCACATCCCTTGTAAGTTGGATTCCTAGGTACTTTATTCTATTTGAAGCAATTGTGAATGGGAGTTCACTCATGATTTGGCTCTCTGTTTGTCTGTTATTGGTGTATAGGAATGCTTGTGATTTTTGCACATTGATTTTGTATCCTGAGATTTTGTTGAAGTTGCTTATCAGCTTAAGGAGATTCTGGACTGAGATGATGGGGTTTTCTAAATATACAATCATGTCATCTGCAAACAGGGACAATTTGACTTCCTCTTTTCCTAATTTAATACCATTTATTTCTTTCTCCTGCCTAATTGCCCTGGCCAGAACTTCCAACACTATGTTGAATAGGAGTGGTGAGAGAGGGCATCCCTGTCTTTGCCAGTTTTCAAAGGGAATGCTTCCAGTTTTTGCTCATTCAGTATGATATTGGCTATGGGTTTGTCATTAATAGCTCTTATCATTTTGAGATACGTGCCATCAATACCTAGTTTATTGAGAGTTTTTAGCATGGAGGGCTGTTGAATTTTGTTGAAGGCCTTTTCTGCATCTATTGAGATAATCATGTGGTTTTTATCTTTGGTTCTGTTTATATGTTGGATTATGTTTATTGATTTGTATATGTTGAACCAGCCTTGCATCCCAGGGATAAAGCCCACTTGATCATGGTGGATACGCTTTTCGATGTGCTGCTGGATTCAGTTTGCCAGTATTTTATTGGGGATTTTTGCATCCATGTTCATCAGGGATACTGGTCTAAAATTCTCTTTTTTTGTGTGTCTCTGCCAGGCTTTGGTATCAGGATGATGCTGGCCTCATAAAATGAATTAGGGAGGATTCCCTCTTTTTTTATTGATTGGAATAGTTTCAGAAGGAATGTTACCAGATCCTCTTTGTACCTCTGGTAGAATTCGGCTGTGAATCCGTCTGGTCCTGGCCTTTTATTGGTTGGTAGGCTATTCATTACTGCCTCAATCTCAGAGCCCGTTATTGGTCTATTCAGGGATTCAACTTCTTCCTGGTTTAGTCTTGGGAGGGTGTATGTGTCCAGGAATTTATCCATTTCTCCTAGATTTTCTAATTTATTTGCTTAGAGGAGTTTATAGTATTCTATGATGGTAGTTTGTATTTCTATGGGATCAGTGGTGATATCCCTTTTATCATTTTTATTGCATCTATTTGATTCTTCTCTCTTTTCTTCTTGATTAGTCTTGATAGCAGTCTATCAATTTTGTTGATCTTTTTACCAGCTCCTGGATTCATTGATTTTTTTGAAGTGTTTTTTGTGTCTCTATCTCCTTCAGTTCTGCTCTGATCTTAGTTATTTCTTGCCTTCTGCTAGCTTTTGAATGTGTTTGCTCTTGCTTCTCTAGTTCTCTTAATGTGATGTTAGGCTGTCAATTTTCGATCTTTCCTGCTTTCTCTTTTGGGCATTTAGTGCTGTGAATTTCCCTCTACACACTGCTTTAAATGTGTGCCAGAGATTCTGGTATGTTGTGTCTTTGTTCTCATTGGTTTCAAAGAACATCTTTATTTCTGCCTTCATTTCGTTATGTACCCAGTAGTCATTCAGGAGCAGGTTGTTCAGTTTCCATGTAGTTGTGTGGTTTTGAGTGAGTTTCCTAATCTTGAGTTCTAATTTGATTGCACTGTGGTCTGAGAGACAGTTTGTTATAATTTCTGTTCTTTTACATTTGCTGAAGAATGCTTTACTTCCAACCATGTGGTCAATTTTGGAATAAGTGCAGTGTGGCCCTGAGAAGAATGTATATTCTGTTGATTTGGGGTGGAGAGTTCTGTAGATGTCTATTAGGTCCACTTGGTGCAGAGCTGAGCTCAAGTCCTGGATATCCTTGTTAACTTTCTGTCTCGTTGATCTGTCTAATGTTGACAGTGAAGTGTTGAAGTCTCCCATTATTATTGTGTGGGAGTCTAAGTCTCTTTGTAGGTCCCTAAGGACTTGCTTTATGAATCTGGGTTCTCCTGTATTGGGTACATATATATTTAGGACAGTTAGCTCTTTTTGTTGATCCCTTTACCATTATGTAATGGCCTTCTTTGTCTCTTTTGATCTTTGTTGGTTTAAAGTCTGTTTTATCATAGACTAGGATTGCAACCCCTGCCTTTTTTTTGTTTTCCATTTGCTTGGTAATCTTCCTCCATCCCTTTATTTTGAGCCTGTGTGTTTCTGCACATGAGATGGGTCTCCTGAATACAGCCCACAGATGGGTCTTGACTCTTTATCCAATTTGCCAGTCTGTGTCTTTTAATTGGGGCATTTAGCCCATTTACATTTAAGGTTAATATTGTTGTGTGTGAAGTTGATCCTGTCATTATGATGTTAGGTGGTTATTTTGCTCATTAGTTGATACAGTTTCTTCCTAGCATCAACGGTCTTTACAATTTGGCATGTTTTTGCAGTGGCTGGTATCAGTTGTTCCTTTCCATGTTTAGTGCTTCCTTCAGGAGCTCTTGTAAGGCAGGCCTGGTGATGACAAAATCTCTCAGCATTTACTTATCTGTAAAGGATTTTATTTCTCTTTCACTTATGAAGGTTAGTTTGGCTGGATATGAAATTCTAGGTTGAAAATTCTTTTCTTTAAGAATGTTGAATATTGGCCCCCACTCCCTTCTAGCTTGTAGAGTTTCTGCTGAGAGATCCACTTTTAGTCTGATGGGCTTCCCTTTGAGGGTAACCAGACCTTTCTCTCTGGCTGCCCTTAACATTTTTTCCTTCATTTCAACCTTGGTGAATCTGACAATTATGTGTCTTGGAGTTGCTCTTCTTGAGGAGTATCTTTGTGGTGTTCTCTGTATTTCCTGAATTTGAATGTTGGCCTGCCTTGCTAGGTTGGGGAAGTTCTGGATAATATCCTGAAGACTGTTTTCCAACTTGGTTCCATTCTCCCTGTCACTTTCAGGTACACCAATCAGACGTAGATTTGGTCTTTTCACATAGTCCCATATTTCTTGGAGGCTTTGTTCATTTCTTTTTACTCTTTTTTCTCTAAACTTCTCTTCTCGCTGCATTTCATTCATTTGATCTTCAATCACTGATACCCTTTCTTCCAGTTGATCAAATCGGCTACTGAAGCTTGTGCATGCGTCATGTAGTTCTCGTGCCATGGTTTTCAGTTCCATCAGGTCATCTAATGTCTTCTCTGCACTGTTTATTCTAGTTAGCCATTCATCTAATCTTTTTTCAAGGTTTTTAGCTTCTTTGCTATGGGTTCGAACATTCTCCTTTAGCTCGGAGAAGTTTGTTTTACCGATCTTCTGAAGCCTACTTCTGTCAACTCGTCAATGTCATTCTCTGTCCAGTTTTGTTCCATTGCTGGTGAGGAGCTGCAATCCTTTGGAGGAGAAGAGGCACTCTGATTTCTAGAATTTTCAGCTTTTCTGCTCTGGTTTCTCCCCATCTTCATGGTTTTATCTACCTTTGGTCTTTGATGGTGGTGACCTACAGATGGGGTTTTGGTGTGGATGTCCTTTTTGTTGATGTTGATGCTATTCCTTTCTGTTTGTTAGTTTTCCTTCTAACAGTCAGGACCCTCAGCTGCAGGTCTGTTGGAGTTTGCTGGAGGTCCATTCCAGACCCTGTTTGCCTAGGTATCACCAGTGGAGGTTGCTGAACAGCAAATATTGCAGAACAGCAAATGTTGCTGTCTGATCCTTCCTCTGGAAGCTTTGTCTCAGAGGGGCACCCGGCTGTATGAGATGTCAGTCAGCCCCTACTGGGAGGTGTCTCCCAGTTAGGCTACTCGGGGGTCAGTGACACACTTGAGGAGGCAGTCTGTCCATTCTCAGATCTCAAACTCCATGCTGGGAGAACCACTACTCTCTTCAAAGCTGTCAGACAGGGATGTTTAAGTCTGCAGAAGTTTCTGCTGCCTTTTGTTCAACTACGCAGTGCCCCCAGAGGTGGAGTCTACAGAGTCAGGCAGGCCTCGTTGAGCTGTGATGGGCTCCACCCAGTTCGAGCTTCCTGGCTGCTTTGTTTACCTAGTCAAGCCTCAGCAATGGCAGACGCCCCTCTCCCAGCCTTGCTGCTGCCTTGCAGTTAGATCTTGGACTGCTGTGCTAGTGGTGAGCAAGGCTCCGTGGACGTGGGACCCACTGAGCCAGGTGTGGGATATAATCTCCTGGTATGCCTTTTGCTAAGACTTGGAAAACTCAGTATTAGTGTGGGAGTGTCCCGATTTTCCGGGTACAATCTGTCACAGCTTCCCTTTGCTAGGAAAGGGAATTTCCCAACCCCTTGCGCTTCCCAGGTGAAGCAATGCCCTGCCCTGCTTTAGCTCACCCTCTGTGGGCTGCACCCATTGTCTAACAAGTCCCAGTGACATGAACCTGGTACCTCAGTTGGAAATGCAGAACTCACCCGTCTTCTGCGTCACTCACGCTGGGAGCTGTAGACTGGAGCTGTTCCTATTCGGCCATTTTGGAACCCTTCAGTTCTCCATAACAATATTAACTTGACCTAGCTGATTGTAACATATTTGTTTTCATGGACCAAAATACTTAAGATGGCTTCATGATTATGAATAATAAAATACACGCCTAAACCATCCTAAAATTATGGAATACACCTCAGTAATACACACAACTTTAGAAAATAGAAGCAATTTAGCATTTCAATATGGTAAGTAAATTCAGCTCACCAAATACAGGCTTAGTTAAAAACACAACAGTAGGCCAGGCGTGGTGGCTCACGCCTGTAGTCCCAGCACTTTGGGAGGCCGAGACGGGGGGATCACGAGGTCAGGAGATCGAGACCATCCTGGTTAGCACGCTGAAACCCCCTCTCTACTAAAAATACAACATTAGCCAGGTGTGGTGGTGGGTGCCTATGATCCCAGCTACTTGGGAGGCTGAGGCAGGAGAATGGCGTGAACCTGGGAGGCGGAGCTTGCAGTGAGCCAAAATCGCACCACTGCACTCCAGCCTTGGAAACAGAGTAAGACTCTGTCTCAATAAATAAATAAATAAATAAATAAAAATAAATAAAAACACAACAGTAGATTAACTGTGAGTTGAATGTTTCAACCTGATTTCTCAGAAACCTTGTTCAATTTCAACATGGCGTTTCATCATAATACTGACCGCACTTTTTCACTAAGCCTGTATTTAAATGATCACTTGATTAGTGCACTGTGAGGGCGAGGAATGATTCTGCATGCTTACCATCGTACCTCCATCACACTAACTGGCACAGTAGACACTCAATGTTTGTTGAATAAAAACAGCAAATAAACAAGCAGATGGATCACTTCAACTAAATAAGTTAAAATACAGGTATAAAACTTCCACAAAGGCAGTATATCAATGTTGTATTAGACACATTATTTAAGTAACTGAAATAAAATGAAGGAAAATGGAAGTTGAAATATTATTGAGATAAAAGTAGAACCTCTGCCAAACCAATGGCCATTCCCCTGGCAAAGATTCAATGAGTTGACTGTCAATCCAATTTTATTATTGTAGGAACAATGGACTATTTGAGAACTGTATTCTATTAAATAACTTTGCTTTGTTAAAATCCAAAGGCTTTTAATTGGGCTGATGTTAGTCAGACCCAGCATCTTTCTATCCATCCTTCCATCTGTCTATCTTTTCATCCTTTCATCTCAGCAATGGCAGACACTTCTATTCTTCTATTCACCCATCAACCCATCCATTCTTTCATTCATCCACTTTAACACCCAACCACCTTCAATTCATCATCCTCCTGTCCATCCGGTCACCCAGCCATTCATCCTTCCTGCCCTTCTTCCATCCATTCACCCAATAATTCCTTTGTTCTTTCTCCCCAGCAAAAGTTAATTGCCTGTTGATAATTAAAAGATGTGAATAAATAACACTGGAAATCAAGCATGCACGTAATTATGTAATTTCAGGCAAGTTAGAGAATGTTCAACTACATCATTTACTATGGTCCCGGTACTCATCTAGTTTATCATGTTGTAGTTCCTATCTAAAGATAATCAGCTATAATTACCAAGACTAATTCAATAATATTGCATCTACCCATTGCATTACTTATATACATTATAGAAACTGCCATTTTAGTTTCTGACAGTACATTAAATCCACCCCATCTGTCCTGATGAAAGTGTTTTATTATTAATCTTAGAGAAGTTCTTCCCACTGCTGCAACATTTAAGAAACACGTTTGTTTTCATTATTCAGTTTTGCGGACAGAAATAATTTTTCCCTTTTCTATAGTGCTTTACAGTTTACAACTCTCTTTTTATAGATCCATCATCCTTGATTCTCAATTAAAAGCCAAATTCAATGTTTTGCATATGTTTTGCTGCAGTTCTCATTTCATCTCAGGTAAGCCAGTCTACCCCCTCTCCCCTCCTGGGACATGCCCCGTTGCTGTGTTCATTAACTTTCCCCTGGTGTTTGTTTGGATATTCAGATGATGATGAAGTGGATGTTGTTCTCATTATTCCTGCCTCAGGATGTGGTGGACCACCATCTGCAGCTGCCGTGTAAGTGATCATCTTGGCGCTGACCCACATGCCACCTTTGTAGTCATGAGTATTCTATCCGAGAGATGCCATCTGGTTTTCATGGAAGCTGGTGGAAAAGTGGGGGTCTGTGTTTCACTGCAGAGATGCGTGTTCAGAGAAAAAAACTGAACATTTTCTGCTCCCATTAGGGACAGAGCATCAGCTGTTGTGTTCTTTGCATCAAATTTTCTCATAGCTTATACTTTCCCGGTTAGAGTTCTGTTTCATCAGGCGTGTTAAGAAGCTCTCCACACTCTATGGAGTGGGGCTGGGACGTGAGGTTGGCTAGGAGAAAGGGAGATGAGAACTGCTCCAACCACAGAACCTGAAGATCTAACACGATTTAGCCCAATACACTGATCACTAATTGTTAGTTTTTCAGATGCAGACAACTCCTTGAGGTTATACTCTTTATTTGTTAAAGTTTTATTCAGAAATAATTTCAAATGATGGAAAAATTTTAAGAACTGCACAGAGAACTCCTTCACCCAGGTTCATTAATGGCTAACATTTTGGCACTTTGCCATATATATATATATATATATATATATATATATATATATATATGGAGAGAGAGAGAGAGCCATATATACATATATATGGCTATATATATACATACATATATAATTTATATATATACATATACTATATACATATACAATATACATATATACATATACAATTTTTAAAAATTGTGCCCCATTTGCCTCTAAATATATCAGTGTATATTTCCTAAGACAAGGTATTCTTTTACATAACCACAGTGCAATGATCACATTCAGAAGATTTAACATTGATGTAATTCTATTATTTAATACACAGCCCATGATTTTAAGACTTAAAATCAATGTTAAAATTACAAAAATTTGCCACCATGTTTTTGCTCTTAATCAGGCTGATAAAAAAAATATTTAATAGCTCCTCTTGTTACATGGCCTCCACTTCTATGAAACTTGGCAACTTTTGAATGCCTAGTACACTTGCACCAGCTTATAGCACAGAATAAGAACAGAACAAATAGAGGAACACAATATTACTTGACTCCTTACTGAGCCCTGTTTGTAGAAAGAAGTTCTTTCTTTATCCTACAAAGTGTTTCTTAGATTTGGACATATGTCCATTTCTTATTCTTCTCCTTCCCTTTTTGGCTCCACTCATCTAGAGCAAGGTTGGAGCCAGAGGAAGAATCCTAGATGGTTTTATTTTTTTCTGCCATACTCTGGATTTTCTGCCCAGCTCCTACTCAAGCAAGGAAGTCTTGTCTTCAAAATTGTTTCTTTTTACTCAGAAATTCACTCAGTCCTTTGATGATCAAAATCTCACATGACAGGATTTAAGGAGAACAACTGAACAACATTTTTTAAGACTCTTTACGGTAGCATCATTGATTTTCCGAAAGCCTTCAAAAAGAAATGCATAAAAATAAGAATTATTTATAAAGGTATCTTTTTCATAATCAGTAACTATTCATCTCTTCTATTAGATTTATCAATCACAAAGAGGGAAACAAATCTGAATGTAGCTTGCAATCAAGAATACTGCAGAAAGCTGCTTTTGGGAATACATACATTCTTACCTAATTCCTACTTCCCTATGAATTTTCTTCACTTAGTGCATTTGGTTTTAAATTTATGGCCTGTTTTTACCATTAATTTATTTCCTTGTTTACTAATTTATCTAGATAAAGGTCTTGAAACTGCAAAACATAATGATGATTCATTCCAAATATAATTTCTTATGTTTACTTTGCAATGATAAAAGCTAATTTCATATTTCAAAAAGAATGTTTTCTTACAAAATACCTTTTTTTAAAAAAAAAAAAAAAGGTGAAACATTGAGATAAAAGACCCCAATTGGCAGAATAATTAGTTGGTCAACTGCTTTTTTATCACATAAATTACTTTTCTGTCAAGTGACAACAAATGTAATTTGAACTGAGATTAATTACATAGTAATGATGCTTAACATAATTGGTTAAATAGAGGAATTTCTTATGAAATGGTAGATTCTTAAATTTATACAAATAAGACCAGATGGTGAACAGCTAGTTTTAATTAAATTAGGTTTGATAATTATAGATGATTAATTTTAGATTTGACTCAGATTAGAAAGAATACATTAAGGAAATTATTTTTAGTTTATCAATAGAATGATAATGTATTGTGATGATTATAAACACTGATACCTGGGATCAAATTAATAATTTCTTAATTTCACTTTGATAAATAAAACCTTGGAAAATGTTACTAAGAAAAGTGATAGGATCGCTTTCCTTGGAGGCCTTTATGATGCAATCAGAATCCTGTGTTTATAAGAGGTTAGGTGTTTTTCTTTATAGAAACAGGAGTGGAGGGGCAGTGTGGTAGGGGTTTAGGGATGAACTAAATGATTTCCCGAAGATATTTCTAATTCCTGAATGTGATGACTAAGCTATTATTGTAGAATTAGGCATGGTATATGTATCAGACCAAAAAAAAATGGCTTCTGAAAAGGATATAACAATCACACAAAAGTAGATATTGTAAAGAAAGGGTTTTTCTTAATTTTCTTTCCATTCGGAAGATATTTTCACCTGGCTTATCGTATGAACTCTGGCACTAGAAGTCTGTGAATTGCTTCTAACCACAGGAACTATGTGTCACTCATCTGTGAAAAAGTCTGAATCTGAAAGTGCAAAAAAAAGATAAGGTTGGCTCACTGAGGGACCTACCCCACACTAGGTAAAATTCATTTTCCTTCTACATGGATGGCTTTTGTTTATATTTGCTTGTTGGCTCATTCATTTACTCATTCATCAAATATTTATCACATACAAAGCTCTGTGTTGGTGATATGATTTTATTAGGCATTTGCTTTCAAAATAAAAGACTGTGAATACAAGAGTTAGATTTCTATACTTTTATTGTCTCCATATGCTTTCAGCAACATGTCTTCAGCTGCTTTTACTATTTTCTCAAACAGGAATGCAAATCCTAGGTCCAGCTCAAAATTGACCTCATAATGAAATTGTCTGAATATTTAAATGGCCCACCTAGAAGAAGAGTGGCTGAGGCAAGATCTCCAAATGAAAGCATACACACAAAATCCCATGCATATGGTTTTGTGTGTGAGGAGACAGGGTAAGGCCATATGGCTGTTTCAGGGTAGCTTCCCAGGGAGGCCCCACCATGGAGCGTGGGGAATTAGACCCTGGTCCACTGACTTTTGCAGGCCTGACCTTGGCTGCAGCAAAAATTTACTTTAAAAACTATACTAGTGGTTTTAACTTACCTGAGACTAGATGCCTAAAGCCAGCTAGAATAACCTTTTCATTTTGGGATAGGTCCGCTAAATCTGCCAGATTATAGACTAGAAGAATGCTTCCCTAAATATGAGATTAGAACAAAGAGAGTTGGATTTCTTTTTTCTTTTTTTCTTTTTAGAGATAGGATCTCATTATGTTGTCCAGGCTGGAATGTAGTGGCTATTCACAGGCATGATCATGGCACACTACAACCTCCAACTCTTGAGCTTAAGCAATCTTCCTGCCTCAGCCTCCTGAGTAGCTGGGATTACAGGCACATGCCACCATGCCTGGCTAGGAGAGTTGAATTTCTTGACATTTCTTTTTATATATTTGTGTTACACAAGTATTGCAGAAAATTTGTAAGATATCAAGAGACAGAAAGGAGAAAAATGACTTTCAATCTCATCATCCAGTAACAACTACTGTTAACATTTTGGAGAACAACCTTCTAAATACATCCTATGAATATTTATTTTTGTTGTACAAAGAAACAGGTGGTCATGTATACACAATTTTGTAACCCAATTTTTTCATTGGATAACATATTGTGATCATTTTTCTGTGTTAGTATATATATATATTTCAGAACAATGACCTTTATGGAAGGAAGCACACCATTTCATAACATAAGCTTTATTTAGCCAATCACTTATTTTTAGACTTTAAAGACTCTATTTTATTTATTTATTTTTTTAGCCTGATAAACTCCCCTGTCTACTGTCACTGAGTTTCTGTCCAGAGAACAAGGGCTATTCATCTGTAATTGGATTACCCTCTGGGCAGCATTCATGAAAACAGCAAATCTAAACTAAATTCTTCTCTCCTGCATTCATTTTTTTCTGCACACTTTCCATTATGAAGTGATTATAGCTTATGAAGTAAATTGCAAGTTAGTTACCACCTGGTGACATAAAACAGCACTTTAATTTAATCAGTAAATGATATTAAAATCACATGGACTGAAAATAGATTAGTACAGAAAAGATATCTCAGGTCAATGGCTCAAAACATTGGGCTGCATGTTAGAACAACCTGGGAGGCTTTTTAAAATCCCCATACCCAGGCCTCACTATAATCTAGTTAACGCAGAATCTCTAGGTTAGGGTTCTGAGCACCAGTCAGTATTGCCGAGCTCCTGAGGCTCCCAAGTGCAGCCAAGTTTGGGAAGCACTGGTTCTATATTGAGTACCCCTCTTTCTGAATGTGAAGTTTCTTGTGATTCCCCTGAACCTTTGAATCAAATAGTGATGGAAATGAGATGGAGGACTGAACCGAAGTGGGAATCAGCAGATGAAGAGGGAAGTCCAACAGAAATGCTGCCTCCTCCCTTCTCCTGAGGCACAGACTGGGGGTGTGGCAGGGCAGCAGCTGTCCCTGAGATTCATAGATAAAGCCTTGACTTGCAGAAGGGATAAGCTGTGCTTTTGATAGTGACAACAGCAACAGTAGTGGTAGCCTCTACAGTCGCTGAGTCATTGAATACTCAAGTCAGTTATATGAGCCTGGTGCTTTGATCATTTCAGACTATAGAGGTAAAAAGTACTCACATGGAGCCTGATGTCTGGTTTGCTGTCCAAGCTCAGCCTCCTAAATCCATGTAATCTCCAGGAAGGTACTTAATTTTACTGTGCTTCGGTGTCTGCCTCTGTGAAATGCAGATAATGATAGTACCCATCTCTATGTTGGAAAGAATTGATACAATTAACAGTCAAAGAGATTTTAGAAAATCTCTTGGCACTTATCAAAATAATAGAAAAGTGGTTCTCAACCAGAAGCAATGTTGTCACCCAGGATACATTTTGCAATGTCTGAAGATATTTTTCGATGTCACACTGGGGATGGGAGGGGATGTTACTGGGCATCTAGTGGGTAGAAGCCAGGGGGTATGGCTAAATATCCTACAATGCATAGGACAGCTCCATGACAAAGAATTATCAGGCCCCAAATATGAACAGTGCTGAGGCTGAGAGACCCTGCAGTGGATGTTGGCTAGTCAGTCATTTGTACACGAGGAAAGTAAGGCTTAGTGAGATTAAGCAATTTATCTAAGGCCAAAGAGCTGGTGGAGCTAGGACTTGAACCAAGTCAGAAAGTACAGATTTGTCTTTATCATGCTATGAGGACATGGTCCATGGATGTGGGACTTAACTTCACTTTCCTAAAGTGTGGGCACTTCTTAATCTTTGCCCTGGATTTTAAGTCGAGGTCAGGGCCTTGGGTTTTGATCTACTCATGACAGTTTGTGTGTGTTTATTTGTATGCATGACAGAGAGAGAGAGAGGCTGTGTAGAAAACGTTGACAATCTTCACTCACTCTGCTTCCCATCACCTCTCACCCTTCCACCTTTATCAAAGACAGAAGGAAAAAGAAAAGAAAAAGGAGTGACGTAAAGGGTGATATAAATGTCATTATAGGCTGTTTAGGATAGGGATGGATGTGTGCCTTCAAAAAATGTAGGAGTGTACGCAATTTCATCCTTCCCTGGAATCGCAGCACACTGCATATGTGTCCCTGCACATTTATTGATGCAGACAAACCGTCCTCATGGACTTAACTACAGTTCATATTTCAATTTCTAGGCTATTTCATTCATTCTCCAAAAACTGAGTAGACAAGAGCTGTAATGAACAGGCTGGTGCATTGTAGTAGGTCTCCACAGTTCAGACAATTCAAAAGCCAGTGAAATTAATAAAAGGTACATCAAAGTGTGCTTTTTCCATCTGTTAGAGAAATGGGAAATTATGTAACACCTAGTGCAGAGACTGTAATAAGACAGCACTAAGTGACAGACTTTCTTTGCAAGTTTATGATCACCTCTGGGTACCCATTATGGACCTTAATGAATTCTTCTTAAACCATCATTTTCGCTGGACGCTTCTTGGAGCAGCTCTCAGGTTGAGACACAGGCAGAGCGTCCGCCCTGGTCCTCACTCCAGTCCTGCATCCCTTTTGTATGGTACTCATTCTGAAGGACTCTTTCTGCATTATGTATCTCCTAGTACAAATCTAATTATTCACCCGCCTTTCTGTGTTTTGAAAGCTATATTCTTCCTATGCCCATTTTTCAGGCATATCAGCAGTGTAAATCAGCACATCTTCCTGGGTTGATTTTCTTTGTGAGCCAGAAGCCATTTGTGATATCTCTGCCTTGGAGTGGAATTTGAGCTTTTTCATTGTTGAGTGTTGCAGAGACTATTTTAATTTCCATACAGTAGGTATTCTTCCTTTCACTTGTCCCAGATCTCAGTTCGTTTCTATAGAGAATTCTGTGTTTGATAATAGCCTCACTTGCAGGATTTTCTCAAGTTTCCAAATGCCAGACTCGGTAAGTATGAAATGCATGTACAACATGACAGTTTTTCAACACTTCTGGAAAAGGCATAATGCTTTAACACAGGAGTAAAATTACCTGTCTAGTAATGGAAAATAGAGAGCACAATGATCACTGCTTTTCATCATAAAAACATTCAAAAAAAAAAGAAATACAACAAAGACACTGCATTGCAAATGGCCTATGTCTTACAAATGTAAAAAGGAAATCGTATGTAAACTAAAATGGTAATATTTCATGCCATAGTATGCTTTTAGCACATTGCAAAACTGTAATCAGTTACAGAGTATTAAACTGATATTTTGGCTGGGTGAGGTGGCTCATGCCTGTAATCCCAGCACTTTGGGAGGCCGAGGCAGGTGGATCACGAGGTCAAGAGATGGAGACCATCCTGGCCAACATAGTGAAACCCCGTCTCTACTAAAAATACAAAATTTAGCTGGGCCTGGTGGCACACGCCTGCAGTCCCAGCTACTTGGGAGGTGGAGACAGAAGAATTGCTTGAACGTGGGAGGTGGAGGTTGCAGTGAGTGGAGATCGCGCCACTGCACTCAAGCCTGGTGACGGAGCGAGACTCTGTCCCAAAATAAAAAGAAGAAAAAAAAGTGATATTTTATAGAAATGTAAAATAAATGTATTCAAATATTGAGAACACTGCAAACTTTCTTCCCATCCTGGATCAAATATAAAATTAAAACATATTAGTTTATTAGAGCAATACGAGCAGACTTATTTTTCTTTACTTATTTATTGTGAGGTGAGAAAACATTATCACAAGGATATGGTTCTAAGCATGGGTCCGTATATTTTTATTTGATTAATAATAATTAAAAAATAATTATCTTACAGGTTTAAAAACTTATTTTAAAAGATAGCTGCTCTGTTAATTTTATACTTAATAAATCAATTTGCACTTTGGGCATTTTATATTATGCTCATTTATTACATGTTTGAATACAGAAGATTAAAAATGTCATTGTTGGAAAATAAACTTATCTGAGTATTAAAACTAATTACAAATTTTAATAGATTTACCCAATTAATTGAAAATAATCCAACCTCTAAAGTGTCTCATAAAAGTAATAAAATATTCAAGAGTAGAAATTAAAATTAAATTAAGCTAAAAATAATGTTAGTTGTGAACAAATGTGTTAAACTTTTACATATAGTTATAAAGGTGAATTTTAAACAAAAGTTATACCCTTTTAAAAATTGTTATATAGATGTATATGTATCTATACATTGAAATCACTCAATGCACAAGATTAAAAATTATTTTTCTTATTCAAAATATAGGAAGAAAAATTTTAAACAAATTATTAAAAATTAAGTCTCAAATTATAAACAAAGTTATAATGAAAAAGATTAGTTATAAAGAAAACTATAGATAAAAGGGATATATTTTGTCTAATAATGCAAATCAGATTGTTTTAAATGACATTTCATGCTTACTTGCTTGTTTGGATCAGGAAATATTTTGTAAAACAAACAAAATGTTTACAGCCAATGAACTGCAATTTTATTTTAACTCAGGACTCTAAGTTTGGAATGATGAAATATAAATTACATTTTAAAATTAGTTAATTTTGGCCAGGCGCGGTGGCTCACGCCTGTAATCCCAGCACTTTGGGAGGCAGAGGCGGGTGGATCATGAGGTCAGGAGATCGAGACCATCCTGGCTAACACAGTGAAACCCTGCCTCTACTAAAAATACAAAAAATTAGCTGGGCTTGGTGGCGGGCACCTCTAGTCCCACCTACTCGGGAGGCTGAGGCAGGAGAATGGCGTGAACCCGGGAGGCGGAGCTTGCAGTGAGCCGAGATCGTGCCACTGCACTCCAGCCTGGGCGACAGAGCGAGACTCCATCTCAAAAAAATAAAAAATATAAAAAAATAAATAAAATAAAATAAAATTGGTTAATTTCCTATAGAACTATCCCATACCTCCCCCAACATTCCTTGTTGATCCTAAACACTTAGGTGTTTTTTCTTACTTTTGACTTTGTATACATGAATGAATTTGCATATATCCTTTATGATTTGCTTTTTCATTTTGTGATATGTTGTTGAGACTCATTCATATAGCTATAGTTCATTCATTTTCACTGTTGTGTGTTTTGCTGCGAAAATATATAACACCATGATTTATTTATCCATTTTAGTATCAGTGGGCAGAACCAATGACAAAAACCACATGATTATCTCAATAGATGCAGAAAAGGCCTTCAACAAAATTCAACAGCCCTTCATGCTAAAAACTTTCAATAAACTAGGTATTGATGACACATATCTCAAAATAATGAGAGCTATTTATGACAAACCCACAGCCAATATCATAGTGATGGGCAAAAACTCTGTTCAAAGCATTCCCTTTGAACACTGGCACAAGACAAGGATGCCCTCTCTCACCACTTCTATTCAACATAGTATTGGAAGTTCTGGCCAGGGCGATCAGGCTAGAAAAAGAAATAAAGGGTATTCAGTTAGGAAAATATGAAATCAAATTGTCTCTGTTTGCAGATGACGATTGTATATTTAGAAAACCCCATCATCTCAGCCCAAAATCTTCTTAAGCTGATAAGCAACCTCAGCAAAGTCTTAGGATACAAAATCAATATGCAAAAATCACAAGCATTCCTATACAACAATAACAGACAGACAGAGAGCCAAATCATGAGTGAACTCCCATTTACGATTGCTATAAAAAGAATGAAATACCTAGGAATACAACTTACAAGGGTTGTGAAGGACCTCTTCAAGGAGAACTACAAACCACTGCTTAAGGAAATAAAAGAGGACATAAACAAATGGAAAAACATTCCATGCTCATGGATAGGAAGAATCAATATCGTGAAAATGGCCATACTGCCCAAAATAATTTATAGATTCAATGCTATCCCCATCAAGCCACCATTGACTTTCTTCACAGAATTGGAAAAAAAACACTTTAAATTTCATATGGAACCAAAAAAGGGCCCGCATAGCCCAGACAACCCTAAGCAAAAAGAACAAAGCTGGAGGCATCATGCTACCTGACTTCAAACTATACTACAAGGCTACAGTAACCAAAACAGCATGGTACTAGTACAAAAACAGATATATAGACCAATGGAAGAGAACAGAGGTCTCAGAAATAACACCACACATCTACAACCATCTGATCTTTGACAAACTCGACAAAAACAAGCAATGGGGGAGGGATTCGCTATTTAATAAATGGTGTTGGGAAAACTGGCTAGCCATATGCACAAAACTGAAACTGGATCCCTTCCTCACACCTTATACAAAAATTAACTCAAGATGTATTAAAGACTTAAACACAAGACCTAAAACCATAAAAACCCTAGAAGAAAACCTAGGCAATACCATTCAGGACGTAGGCATAGGCAAAGACTTCATGACTAAAACACCAAAAGCAATGGCAATAAAAGCCAAAATTAACAAATGGGATCTAATTAAACTAAAGAGCTTCTTCACAGCAAAAGAAACTATCATCAGAGTCAACAGCAACCTGTAGAATGGGAGAAAATTGTTGCAATATAGCCATCTGACAAAGGACTAATATCCAGAATTTACAAAGAACTTAAACAAATTTACAAGAAAAAAACAAACAACCTCATCAAGAAAATGTGGCACATATACACCATGGAATACTATGCAGCTGTAAGGAAGGATGAGCTCATGTCCTTTGCAGGGATATAGATGAAGCTGGAAACTATCAGTCTCAGCATACTAACACAGAAACAGAAAACCGAACACCACATGTTTTCACTCATAAGTGAGAGTTGAACAATGAGAACACATGGACAGAGGGGTTGGGGGGCGGTCATCACACACTGGTGCCTGTTGGAAAGTATGGGTGTGGGGGAGGGATAGCCTTAGGAGAAGTACCTAATGTAGATGATGGGTTGATGGGTGCAGCAAACCACCATGGCACATGTATACCTATGTAACAAACCTGCACGTTCTGCACATGTACCCCAGAACTTAAAGTATTATATATATATTATATATTTTATATATATATATTATATATGATATATGATATATATATGATACATATATATATCAGTGGGCATTTGAATTGTTTTCATTTTTTCTATTACAATCAATGATATAAAGAGCAGTATTGTACATGTAACCTGGTGCACATGGGTGAGAATTTTTCCAGGGTTTACACCTATGAGTGGAAATGCTGGGTTGTAGGGTGCATGCATGCCTCAAATGTTCTAGGTAATACCAAACTGTTTTCCAAAGTGATTGTGCCAGTATATGTTTCTGTCAACATGAAGGGGAGTTACTATTATTCCACATTTATGCCAGTACTATGGCTGACTAAACTTTTTCATTTCTTTTACCAGTCTGGTAGCTGAAAAACAGGATTTTATGGCGGTTTATTATCTACATTTTCATGATTATTAAGGAGATTTGTCTTTTCATACACACACACACACACACACACACACACACACATATATATATATTTTTTTCCTGAGACAGGGTCTCACTATGTTGCCCAGGCTGGAGTGCAGTGGCACAATCTTGGCTCACTGCAGCTTCAACCTCCCAGGCTCAGGTGATCATCCTTCAGCCTCTGGAGTAGCTGGTGCTTAGGTGTGCACCATCATGACCAGCTAATTTTTATAATTTTTGCCAAGACAGTTTTTTGTCATCTTGCCCAGGCTGGTCTCGAACTCCTGGGCTCAAGCAATCCACCCACCTTGACCTGCCAAAATGCTAGGATGACAGGCATGAGCCACAGAGCCAAGTCTTTTTATATATTAGTATAGTACTTCATGTTCCCTTTTCTGTGAAATACCTTTTTTTTGCCCACTCTACTATCTGTTTATCTCATATATATGTATGTGCATATATATATGGGCATTCTTTATATATTCTATATTCTTGTCTTTTGTTATACACAGCGATGTTGAGCTGCAATGTATTGGTAGTGTTGTGATGTGATAGTGGTTTATTGTTGGCATCCTTTTTTTTTGAGACAGTCTCACTCTATCACCCAGGCTGGAGTGAAGTAGCACAATCTCGGCTCACTGCAACCTCTGCTATCTAGGTTCAACCCATTCTCCTGCCTCAGCCTCCCCCAAGTAGCCTCAGCCTCCCCCGAGTAGTAGTACAGGCATATGTCACCACACCTGGCTAATTTCCATATTTTTAGTAGAGATGGGGTTTCATGTTGGCCAGGATGGTCTCGAACTGCTGACCTCAAGTGATCCGCCCACCTTGGCCTCCCAAAGTGCTGGGATGACAGGTGTGAGCCAGTGAGTCTGACCATTGGCATCTATTTTAATTAGTGATGCCTACACTACACTTGTTATTAAATATTTTGAATAACATCTTTATTTATATGTGCTGCAAATACTTTCTTCCAGTTGGTGCTTATCTCTTCACTCCCCTGTTTGGTGTCTTTCTAGGAAAAGAAGTTCTTAATTTTAATGGAGTCAAACTTATGAATCTTTTCCTATTAGGGTTGCATATTTTTTGTAACTTGGTGAAGAAATCTTTTCATACACTGAAATTTCAAAATTTCATAAACATTTTATCCTGTATTTTTTCCAAAATTTTTAAAGTTTTGTCGTTCACATGAAAGTCCTTGGTTCATTTGGAATTTATTTTTCTCTATGTTGTGAGGTAGAGATATGTTTTCAACTTTTTCTCTGTACAGCTGCTCCTTAACTTATGATGGGGTTACATCCAAATAAACCCATTGTAAGTGGAAAATATTGAAAGTGAAAAATGCATTTAGTACCCTGATAAACCCATCATAAAGCTGAAAAAAGCCAGGGACCATCTGTAGTTAACAGATGGTTCTAGCCCTATCCTCAAAGACGTCCAAGTTGCACCTAACTCCCCTTCTCCCTGCATTAGCTTTCTTTCTACCAATGTTCAGAAGGGCCCTGCCCACTGTCTCTATCGCTATTTCCGACTGATGTTGCTACAGCCTTTAGTGCTCATTTCCATTGATTTATTTTCATTTTCACCCTGCTTCTCTCCTATCTATACTACTTACTTCTGGGCTCACATCTAAAGATCTACCTTTTAGAGACATTGGCCACTGGTCAGGAAATTCCTCCTTTTACTATGCAGTGTTTTTGTAATATTTAGGCCTTTGGTTCTTGAATTGGTCATTTATCTCTAAGCATCCAGGAACTTTTCATTTACATTCTTCTCTCTCCTGACTGCTTTTGGAAGGCTGGTCTCCAGAAAGTGGTGGTGTCATTATGGTCTCCTGCAAGATTTGAAGGAGAGACCTAACACATAATCCAACACCCCTGCTCTTCTGAGTGATTGACAGGATACAAATGGGCCTGAAGAGGCGAGCATTCTTTTCACTGTGACCCCCTAAGTATCTGCCACCAACTGAGAGATGGCAGGCCCAGCAGCAGATGCCAAGATCCAGTGACTGTGGCCAGGTGATGTAGCATAGTAGACAAGAGTACTGATTTGTTTATGGCAAGTGAAGTTTACTTCCCAAATTAGGTAGATAGTGACAATGTAACTTCTTCCTGAAATGGTCAGTATCTCCTATCCTGGCCAATTTACTATCTAGAAAGATCAGAGCTGGCCAGCAGGTAAAGGACTAATCTTCTGGGCAGAGGCTGATGAGTGGAATGTTCTCAGCAAAACCAGTAGGAGGCAGCCAGTCCTAGGGGATCCAGCTGAAAGCCTCAAGAGACAGCCTTCATCAGAAGGCAGGACAAAATGCCACAGGAGTTTGACCACAGACTACAAGAAGTCAGTTTTCTTCAAGGGACAAGGCAGCAGGGATCTAGGACTATATCTCAGAGACAGGAGTCTCTTCCCCAGAAAACGTGAGAAACAAGTCAAAGTTGAGCAGCTAGCTGTGCCTGCTAATCAACTCCTTCCATGAGAAATGAAAGTTCTCATGGCTTCTCTCTCCTGCTAGCTCACATGTTGTTGCATATTTTCTAGAAACATATGTTGCCCCTATGAGATTCACATTTATGTAGTGGTTTCCTCATAAGAGTAAAAGAACACAATTATAAAAACAGCTCCCTCTGGTACTTTACTCATGTACTCTGCCCCCACTCCCACAAAAAGCCAAGATCAGAAGGATTAAATGGTTTCAATTGCTCTGGAAATGATTACACTGACCAAATTATTTAAGTTTCACGATCTAAGCTTCAAGACTTGCCCAGAACACATACTCTGATTGATATTATACAACGATTTATTTTATCATGTGTTAATTCAACAATCCTTTAATGGGCGTCTTTCCCATGCTAAACAATGTACCAGGACTTGAAAAGGAAGACAAACATTGGGTGTACGAAATGGGAGCAAAAAGTCTTCCCAACACTGGTCATTTAGGGGTTGTACAGCATTTGAAGAAACAAAGGCAATTTTTATGTGACAGGGGAACTCCCTCAGAGCCACAGGAAGACTGATAAAATAAAAAAAATCTCTTTACTCTCTGTGGGCTACTATATATAAAAGGTTGTCAGGCCAACTTTATAAAACTCAAAGACCCACAAAAGCTGCATTACAGAGTCATGAATTCATTTTTGAAAATGCTAAGATGAACAGATAAACCAGTGAATTATACGAAAGTCACTTACTGTTATACATAACATTATAAAGAGGAGAATTTCTTTTCTAAATCTTTGAATGACTTGCAGAGTATAGCCACCAGCCCTCTGCACGTGGAATTGTGCTGCACCTTGAGAATGTTTGTTCAAATAGAGGCAGGACAAAATGTGAACTTCACAGGTAGCCGTGAAATGCTCTCCCTTTCCCAGCACACTATCTGCTTCATCCCCAGCTCTCACTTTTACTGGCTAGAGTGTTTAACATTGTTCAAGAAAAAGTGCTCTCTTATTTGTAAGACATAATGTACTACTGACCGAATGGTCCTGCTTTTTAAAGACAAAGTACTTGTCTGTTTGAACATGTTTAGTTTTGGATGCATGCCATTCAATATTCAGCTTGGAGTTAATAAGTGTTGGGGCACAGTGTCCGTGACTGAACATTTACATAATGGATATTATGTCCTTTTGGCTCAGTAATCATCTAATAACTTAATATTAAATAATGATTTCCAGGCTGCTGAGCACATGGTGAGTATCCATCCTTCATATTCAGGGCTTAATATTCTCCTAGCTTTTTTCCACGCTTGAGACCCAATAATATGCCTCATGGGACAATAAAACATCAGGATTGACATAGTGCATTGAAGAGACAAATGTTCACGGAGTAATTGTGCAGCTCTTGTACACTGATAGAAGAAGAATCTTGCCTTCTTATTATGGCTTCTTCTAAACTATCAAAACATTACCCAAAAAAGCCCCTCTTCCTGCTGTTATGTCTTATATTATTATTGGTCCCGTCAGAGGGTGACATTCTTGTGAGACTAATAATAATAACTATTTTTAATAGTTAATGACTAGTCCACATTTGTAAAATAAATTGTCTTTAAGAGGACATTGTTACAGTTGTAGAAAGTGGTTGACCCAATAGCCAATGTTTATAAAACATCTTGAAAATGAAGGCCACCACACAGGCAATAATCCAAAGGATGTTGGTATTCTTTTTCCAGCTTGTGAACATTGCACATAGGAGTTTAGAGTCAAAATTCTTCCAGGATACCTTTCCTACCGACTTGTCATTGGTCTAGTACCACTATATATGTAGGAGGTAAGTAGAGGCCATGGAATATGTTGGGGAAGAAGAAAAATGAAGGGCCAAATAAATTAAAAATGGGGATATATGTGCTGTAGATAAACCTTCCCTAACAATTTTGCCAGGGCACACCTTATATTTTAATTTTCTTTCATAATTTATTTTTGTTAACATAAAAATAGAGTCATCTTCCAGATTAAGGGAAGGTTGGAAGGAAAAATATATCACTTTATAATCAAAAGGTCTCAGAGTCACTATCTTAACCCAGTGATTAGTCTTTGTATGACTGATGGTGAGACATGAGATGGTGTCTGCATCTTGTGGTGATGCAACGTGAAGGTCACTGCTCTAAAGTAAAGCTTGATCTAACTTTAAGTTTATGAGAAATACATGGGATAGAAGAACAAATTAAATGAGATCATGAAGAAATGGTAAGGCAAATCCAGGAGGTGGGACATCCTACAGGATAAGTGGCTTTGTTAATTCAACAAATCATTTTTAAAAGTAGGGAGGGAGGTGGAGCATGGACTCTCAGATTAAGGAACTTCAGAAACATACAACCAGATGGAATAAAATAAAATGTGTATTACTTTAGCAAATCCTGGTTTAAATAAGTCAGTTGTAAAAATATATTTTTTGGATAAGTAGGGGAAATTTGAGTGTATATGGGATCTTAGATGTTAAAAGGAAATAATTGTAAATTTGTTAGATGTCATAGTGTTATGATTCTGTAGGAAAATAGTCTTACTTTTAAAGAAATGTATACTAAACAGTTTAGATTGAAATGTCTTGACATATGTAGTTTACTTTATTTGTTGTATCATTTTATTTTAAAATTAGCAGATAAAATTGTAAGTATTTATCATGTAAAAAAAGATGGTTTGAAGCATATATACATTGTGGAATGACTAAATCTAGCAAATTAACATATGCATTACCTCAGGTAGTTATTATTTTTGTGGTGAGAACACTTGGCATCCACTCTCTTAGCATTCTTTAAGAATCAATACACTAACCATAGTCACCATGTTGTACAATAGATCTCCTGAACCTGTTTCTCATATCTTACTGAAATTTTGTATCCTTTGACCAACATCAGCCACATCCTTTGACCTCAACTGTCCCAGCCTCTGATATCTACCATTCTATTGTCTGCTTCTATGAGATCAACTTTTAAAGATTTTACATATGAGTGAAATCAGGCAGTATTTGTCTTTCTGTACCTGGCTTGTTTCAGTTAACATCCTCCAAGTTCGTTCACATTGTCATGAATAACAGCATTTCTTCCTTTTTATGGCTGAATGGTATTCCATTGTGTATATATACCACATTTTCTTTATTTATTTGTCCACTGATGAACACTTAGGTTGATCTTGGCTATTGTGAACAATACTTCAATAAACATGAGAGTACAGATATTTCTTTGGCATACTGTTTTCATTCCTTTGCATATTTACTCAGTAATGAGATTGCTGGATCATATGGCAGTTCTATTTTTAATAAAAAAATTATACTCTGGTTCACTGTAATCTATTTCTAATTTTTTGAAGAACCTCCATACTGTTTTCCATAATGGTTGTACTACTTTACATTCCCATCAGTAGTGTATAAGGGTTCCCTTTTTTCCACTTCCTCACCAATACTTGTTATCTTTTGCCTTGATAATAGCCATTGCAACAAGTATAAGGTGATCTCTTGTTGTGGTTTTAATTTGCATTTTTCTGATGATTAGCGATGCTGAGCTTTTTTTTTCATATATCTGTTGGCTGTTTTTATGTCGTCTTTTGAGAAATGTCTATTTGGGTCCTTTGTCCATTTTTTTAAATCGAGTTATTTATTTTCTTGCTATTTAGTTGTTTAAATTTCTTATATATTCTGAATATTAACCCGTTATCACATATATAGTTTGCAAATATTTTCTCCCATTATGTAGATTGTCTCTTCATTCTGTTGATTGTTTCCTTTGCTGTGCAAAAGCTTTTTAGTTTGATGTGATTTCATTATTCTTTTTTTTGCTTTTATTGCCTGTTCTTTTAGGGTCATTTCCAGAAAATTATTGCCCAGACCAATGTCATGAAATTTTTCCCCAATGTTTTCTTCTAGTAATTTCGTAGTTTCAGGTCTTACATTTAAGTCTTTAATCCATTTTGGGTTGACTTTTGTGTGTGATGTAAAATAGGGATTCAATTTTATTCTTCTATGTGTGGATATCCAAATTTCCCAACACCATTTATTAAACAGACTGTCCCTTATCCATTGTGTGTTCTCGGCACTTTTGTTGAAAATCAGTTGGCTATAAATGTGTGGATTTCCATTTGGGTTCTCTATGCTGCTCCATTTGTCTATATGCATTTTTATGATAGTGCCATACTGATTTGGTTACTCTAGTTTTGTAGTAAATTTTAAAGTCTAGTAGTGTGATGCCTCCAGTTTTGTTTTTCTTGCTCAAGGCTGTGTTGGCTGTTGAGGGTCTTTTGTGGTTCTGTATATTTTAGGATTTTTTTTTCCTATTTCTGTAAAGAATGTCATTGGTATTTTGATAGAAATTGTATTGAATTTGTAGATCACTTTGGGTAGTATGGACATCTTAGCAATATTAATTCCTCCAACTCATGAACATGGAGCATCTTTATATTTATTTGTGTCTTTGTCAATTTCTTCCATCAACATTATTATAGTTTTTAATGTAGAGATCTGTCATCTCTTTGGTTCAATGTATTCCTAAGTGGGTTTTTTATAGTTATTATAAATGAGATTATTTTCTTGGTTATTTTTTCAGATAGTTCACTGTAAGTGTATTGAAATGCTAGTAATTTTTGTCTGTTAATTTTGTATCCTGTAGCTTTACTGAATTTGTTTATTAGTTCTAATAACTTTTTGGTGGCATCTTTAGGGGTTTTCTATGTATAAGATCGTACCATTTGCAAACAGAGATAATTAAACACTTCTTTTCCTATTTTAATGACTTTTATTTTTTTCTCTTCCCTAATTGCTCTAGCTAGGACTTCTAATACAATGTTAAATTGAAGTGGCAAGAATGGACACCATTATCTTGTTCCAGATATTAGGGGAAAAGCTTTCAACTTTTCTCTGTTGAGTATAATGTTAGCCGTGAGTTTCATATATGGTCTTTACTATGTTGAGGTGCATGTTTTCTATACATAATTTGTTGAGAGTTTTTATTATAAAAGGATGTTAAATTTTGTCAAATGCCTTTTCTACACCTATTGAAATTGTCATACGATTTTTGTCCTTTATTCTGTTCATGTAATGTATTACATTTATTGATTTGTGTATATTGAACCATCCTTGCATCCTTGGGAAAGGTCCCACTTGATTATGATGAATGATCTTTTTAATGTGCTGTTGAATTTGGTTTGCTAGTATTTTGTTGATGATGTTTGCATCTATGTTCAACAGGGATATTAGTCTGGAGTTTTATTTTTATGTACTGTCCTTGTCTGGCTTTGGTATTAGGGTAATGCTAGCCTTGTAAAATGAGTTTGGAAGCATTCCTTTTTTGGAAGAGTTTGAAAAGAATTGGTATAGTTCTTTAAATGTTTGGTAGAATTCAGCAATGGAGCCATCAGGTCCTGGGCTTTTCTTTGCTGGGAAAGTTTTTATTACTGATTCAATCTCCTTGTTATTGGTCTGTTCAGGTTTTCTATTTCTTCATAATTAAATCTTAGTACATTGTATGTGCCCAGGAATGTATCCATTTCTTTTAGGTTATCACATTTTTTGGCATATAATAGTTCATAATAGTTTCTTATGATCTTTTGTATTTCTGTTGGGTCTGTTGTAATGTCTTCTTTTTCATTTCTGATTTTATTTCTCTGAGTTTTCTCTCTGTTTTTCTTAGTCTAACTAAAGGTTTGTCAATTTTGATTATTTTTTCAAAAACTCAACCTTAGTTTTGTTAATCTTAATCTTTTCTATTTTTTCCCCTAATCATTATTTCATTTATTTATGCTTTGATTTTTTTTTTTTTTTTTTTTTTGAGACAGAATCTGGCTGTATTACCCAGGCCGGAGTGCCGTGGCATGATCTCAGCTCACTGCAACCTCTGCCTCTTGGGTTCAAGTGATTCTCATGCCTCAGCCTCCTGAGGAGCTGGGATTACAGGAGTGTGCCATGACACTAGTTTCTGTATTTTAGCAGAGTCAGGGGTTTCACCATGTTGGGCAGGCTGGTCTGGAACTCCTGGCCTGAAGTGATCTGCCTGCTTCAGCCTCCCAAAATGCTGGGATTATAGACATGAGCCACTGTGCCCAGCCTATGCTGATCTTTATTGTTTCCTTCCTTCTACTAACTCTGGGCTTAGTTTATTATTGGTTTTCTAGTTCCTTGAGGTGAAACATTAGGTCATTTATTTGATATTTTTCTTTTTTGTTGTAGGCATTTATTAATCTAAACTTCCCTCTTACAGTTGCTTTTGCTGTATCTCGTAACTTTTGGTATGTTGTGCTTCCATTTTCATTTCTCTTAGAAATTTTAAAATTTGTTTATTCATGCATTGCTTGTTCAAGTGCATGTTGTTTAATTTCCATGTATTTGTGAAATTTCCAAAATTTTTCTTGTTATTGATTTCTAGTTTTACATCATTATGGCCAGAAAAGATACTTGATGCTATTTCAGTCTTCTTAAATATTCTAAGACTTGTTTTGTGGTCTAACATATAATCTATCCTGGAGAATCTTCCATGGGCAGTTGTGAAGAATGTTTATTCTGCTGTGGTTGACAAGTATGTTTATTCTGCTGCAATTGTGTAGAATGTTCTGTATATGTCTGTTAGATCCATTTGATCTATGGAATAGTTTAAGTCTGTTGTTTCCTTGTTGCTTTGCTTTCTGAATGATCTGTTTATTGCTGAAAGTTGAGTGTTGAAGTTCCCTATTATTACTGTATTGCAGTACATCTCTCCCTTTAGAACTATTAATATTTGTTTTATGTATTTAGGTACACTGATGTTAGGTGCATACATATTTACAGTTGTTATAACCTTTTGCTAAATTAAACACTTTAGCATTATATAATGACCTTTTTTTATGTCTTTTATAGTTTTTGACTGAAAGTCTGCTTTATATACATATAGCTACCCCTGCCTTGTTATGGTTTTCTTTTCTTTGGGGTATCTTTTTCCATCCCTTAACTTGGAGGCTATGTCTGTCCTTACAGGTGAAGTAAGTCTCTTGTAGACTGAATATAGTTGGCTTTTGTTTTATAATCCATTCAGCCACTCTGTGTTTTTTGATTTAAGAGTTTAATTCATTTATATTCAAGCTAATTATTAATAGATAATGACTTACTATGGTCATTTTGTTAATTGTTTTCTAGCTGTTTTGTAGATTCTTTGTTCTTTTCTTACTTTCTTGTTATTTTTTTCTAGTTAAGTAATTGCAATTTTCTCTAGTAGCATATGTGGGTTTTGTTTTTGTTTTTTCTTAGATACAAGGTCTAACTATGTTACCCAGGCTGGAGTGTACTGGCTATTCACAGGTGTGATCATAGCCCATTGAAGCCTCAGACTCCTAAGCTCAAGCAATCCTCCTGCCTCAGCCCCCTAGGTGGCTAGGGCTACAGACACACACCACCATGCTTGGCTTCTAGTAGTACGTTTTGATGTCCTAACTTTATTTTTTGTGTATCTACTGTAGGATTTTGTTTTGTGGTTACTATGATACTTTAAAAAAACTGATAGTTATAATAGGATATTTTAAGCTGAAAACAACTTAACTTGGGTTGCAAAAAGGACCCCACTAAACTTTTATTCCACTCTCTCTGCACATTTTGAATTGTTAATATCAAAATTTACATTTTTGTATTGTATGTCTCTTAGTGAGTAATTGTAGTTATTATTATTTTTAATTGATTGTCTTTTAACATTTATACTAAAGATAAAAATGACTTATACATCATCATTACAGTATTAGGGTATTCTGAACTTGATCATGTATTTATTTTTTCAGTGAGTTTTATACTTTCAGATGTTTTTATGTTAATCATTAGTATTCTTGAGGAACTACCTTTAGTATTCCTTGTAAGACAGGTCTGGTTGTGACGAACTCTCTAGCTTTTGTTTATCTGGGAAAGTCTTTGTTTCTCCTTCATTTCTGAAGGACAGCTTTGCTCAGGAGTGCAGTTTTCTCAGTTGTGAGTTTTTGTCTTCAGAACTTTGAATATATAATCTCACTATCTCCTGTCCTATAATGTTTCTTCTGAGAAATGTGCTGCTACCTGTATTGGAACTCCCTTATATGTTGTTTTGTCTTTTAATGTTGCTGCTTTCAGGATCCTCTCTTTGCCTTTGATTTTGACAGATTGATTAAAATATCTTTTTAGGTAGGTTTGTTTGGATTTGGTCTGATTGGAGACCTTAGCCTTCCTGTACTTGGATGTTTACCTCTTTCTCCATGTTTGGAAAATTTTATGCTACTATGTCTTTAATTAAGCTTTTAAGGCTTATTTAATAACCCCTTTATCTTTTTCTTCTTCTTCTTCAACTCCTACGACTCAAACATTTACACTTTTGATGTTGTTTCATAACTTCTGAAAGCTTTTCTATTTTATTCATCCTTTTTTCCTCCTCAGTATTTAAAAATTGCCTGTCTTTGAATTCACAGACTCTTTTGCTTGATCAATTTCACTGTCGATGCTCTCTATTATAGTTTTCATTTTATTCATTATATTTTTCAGCTCCAGGATCTGTTTAATTTTTTTTTTTAATTTTCAATCTCTCTATTAAATTTCTCATACTGATCATTAATCGTTTTTCTCATTTTGTTGACTCATTTATTTGTATTGTCTTGAAGGTCACTGAATTTCCTTGAAAACAGTTCTTTTAGATTTTTTGTCAGGCAGTTCATACATCTCCAATTCTTTAGGGTTAATTCCTGGCATTTTATTTTGTCCCTTTGGTGATGTAATGTTTCACTGATTGCTCTTGACCGTTGTGGCCATGTACCAATGTATGCACATTTGAAGAAGTAGGTACTTATTCCAATCTTCTCAGACTGGCTTTGTCTGAGAAAGTCTTTCAACAGTCAGCTTTGTCCAGAGATTCTGGTCAGGGTGCCTGGCATGGTTCCAAAACCTGGAGCTGCTAAGGCTTGTGCAGTGTTGGGGTGTACTTGAAGCCTGGAAGCACTGGGGCTGACAGTGCTGGAGCAAGCCTGAAGCCCAGGTTCACTGCAGGCAATATGGCACTGGGGTGGACTGGAAGCCTGGGGCTGCTGAGACCTGTCTGCCTCTAGGGCTGTCCAGAACCCAGGGTCATTGAAGTCAGCCTGGTGGTGGTGCAAACTGAAGATTGTTTCTCCTGCACTGGCCTGAAACCTAGGCCTTTGTGTTCACCACTGAGCCATGGTGGTTTGGAGGCTCAGTAGAAAAGTACCAGCCTGGGGTCTGCAGCCATGGAGCCCTTCTTGGTGCTGCTGTTGGGGTCCAAGAAAAAGCCCTGTGCTCACTTCCCTGTCTCTCTCCAAAGTGGACAATATATCTGTCCATACTGCTGCCTGGGACTGGGTGAGGGGTTGATACAGACAATATAAAACTGTTCTCCTACCCTCTTCAATGTATTTTTTCTTATGATTGTGCTACAACTGGGTACTGTAATCTCTCACCTGGTTTCCTTAGTTCTTGTGAAAGTATTTTCAATGTTTGAATAGTTCAAGTTGATGTTTCTGTGGATGAATGATTGTTGGAGAGTCTTATTTCACCACTTGTTCTGTCCTTCTCTTGTAATTTACTAAGGTCAAAAAATAGTTGAAGAATTATGGCAGAATATTAACTGTTGTTAAATCTAGGTGTTTTTCTCTAATTTTCTGTAAGTATAAACATTTTCATAATAAAAATTTAAATATTGTTTCCCCATTTTAAAAATAAGTGGTCTAGGCCTCATATTAGTTCCTTTGAATTGAGATGGCTTTATAATTATTAACCATTAGTACTATTGTTATTATAAAAATAATGTGCGCACACTCTTAAGTGTTGGTGAGTATGGGAGCAACTGGATCTCTGATACTCTGTTGACAGGAGTATGATTTTTTACAACTGCTTTGGAAATCTATCAATATATATTAAAGCTCCTATGTGATACTATTTACATAAAGTTCAAAAGGAAGCAAAAGTAGTGTATGGTACTGAGGGTCAAGGTAGTTCTTACTCTTGGGACAACGCGTTAGTGACTGGAAGCATGAGCTTCTTGGGATACTGATAGCATCATGTATTTAAGCCTGAGTGCTAGTTACACAGGTAGATTAGCTTTGCAAAATTCATTGAGTCGTATATTTATAATTTGTGCACTTTTCTATAGGTGTGTTTTATGTTAATAAAAAGTTTATACTACAAAAAAGTAAATACTACAAATAATGTAAATACTATGTGCATTATAAAAATTCAAATTCAAATAATATATTACTTTCCTTTGGGGATGAATCTTATGTCAAGAAATGGTAAATGATGGCCTCTTATAACTAATTACAGAGTCTACTTCCTAACCCCCCTTTTTAAATAAAAAGTTATAGTTTACCTAAAATAATCTTCCCATCTAATAGATCCATGAATTTAAGACTTCTGTTCAAAAAAGCCATTGTGTAATACCACTATTTGAACATACAGTAGGATGGTATTTTAAGGCAACGATGGCTGCTTCATATTATATTTCCAATGTAATACATTAAAAAATGGAAATTTTAGCATTGAATGTTCACTTTGTATGAATTTAGGTTAGAGCTCTAACAACCAAATTGCAAAGAGATATTTCAGTCTTTTGAGAAATGTCATACCCAAGTGAGAATAAGCCATTATGAATTTTGACATTTTCTGAATTATTACTTTATGTACTATTTTGTATGTTAGAGCCTTATATTCAGATATAATTTAAATGTCAACCAAAACAAGTGTTTTCTGCTATCAATATTAAAACATTTTGATGTGCTTGGAGCATTTGCTTTCAGTTAGGCTTCTAACCTTGCCAGGGTACCATAACAGTTCTGTCTTCTCCATGGTCTGTTGCAAAAGTTACCAGATCATAACCTAATCACGGGGGGCCAGAGGGGAGTGATGTGGTTAGAATTTGTGTCCCCACCCAAATCTCATCTTGAATTGTGATCCCCAGGTGTTGAGGGACAGACCTGGTGTGAGGTGATTGGATCATGGGGGCAGATCCCCCCCATGCTGTTCTCGTGACAGTGAGTTCTCACGAGAGCTGATGGTTTTATAAGTGTTTATCATTTCCTCCTATACACACTCTCTCTCACCTGCCATGTAAGATATGCCTGCTTTCCCTTCCACCATGATTCTAAGTTTCCTGAGGCCTCCCCAGATACGTGGAACTGTGAGTTGATTAAACTTCTTTTCTTTATTAATTACCCAACCTCGGGCAGTTCTTTATAGCAGTGTGAAAAAGGACTGATAGAGGAAGATGAAGTAATTACTCAATATTTTCATCAGTACAATGAGCAAGCACTGATTAAGACTGTGCTGTATGAAGGACACTATATAGGTGCCTAATATTACCCCTGACTAAGCTTGTTTGTACTTATTTTCCAGCAGAAATAATGGATTCTGAATTCCCTATGGATGACAGCAAAGCAGAACTCTCTGTAACTACTGCTTGTCTCTGTCTCCTACTACTTCAATATAACATATTATAGAGACTTATATAAGCAAGATAGGTAAAATAACATTTTTGTGATTAATAATAGCTATATTTTATTAAGCATCTGCTGTATGACAGGTAGTAGCTGAAACATATATTAGTTTTATTTGAATGTGACCTATTGTATTGGTTAAGGTAATACTGGATGCTGTAAGAGTAAATCCTGGCTGGTGCAGTGGCTCACACCTGTAATCCTAGCACTTTGGGAGGCCAAGGTGTGGACCACTTGAGGTCGGGAGTTCAAGACCAGCCTGGTCAACATGTTGAAACTCGGTCTCTACTAAAAATACAAAAATTAGCCAGGCATGGTGGTGCACTCCCAGCTACTTGGAAGGCTGAGGCGGGAGAATTGCTTGAACTCAGGAGGCAGAGGCTGCAGTGAGCCAAGATTGCACCACTGCACTCCAGCCTGGGAAACAGCGTGAGACTCTGTCAAAAAAAAAAAAAAAGTAAATCCTAAAATCTTGATGGTTTAACATGATAAACAATTATTTGCTTCTTACATGATCTCTGATTTGTGGTAGAAAAATATCTCTGCTCTGCATAGTCATTCAGGGATCCAGGATGATGGATGATCTGCCGTTTTCAACACATGGGGCCCTAGATGGCCCTGGGATCAAAATCCAGATAGCACATGGGGAGAGAAAGTAGAGGACCATGCCAAAAGCATTTATGGATCATCACTGCATTATTTCCCCCCCACATTCCCTTGGCTAGAACTTAGTCATATAACCTCACCTGGCTAGAAGGGAGGTTGGAAAATGCAGTCAAGCTATAATCCCAAGAGAACAGATTTGGTGAGCAGCTAGTTTGTCTTTGTCATGTGAGTCTTTTAGGGAAAGAATGATGTATATACACATGATTTGGGGAAACCTAAGGTGGCGGAGAAAGAACTGGTTTTTCTAAACAATCAACCAGTAATCATGTTATGGTTTCTAGGCACTAAAAATACAAAAGAATCATCTCTGAGTTATGAACACATGGAAACTATACAACGTATGTGCAGAGCAGGGACCAGTGAACATATATGTTCAGCAACCGGTGTCATCACTAGTTTACCACAGGTCAAATTTGTGCCTTAGTATTTATGACCACCTTCATTTAGCACCTTCCCAACAGTTTTATGTGCATTGATCATTAGATTTGTATTTTGAGGGTAAAATTGAGAAGCAGTAGTGGGGATACAGGAGAAAAGAAAATAGGATGATAGACTTCCTAGACTCCTGAAAAACCTAGGTTTTTCTATAGTCTACCTTCTTTATCTCTATTCCTACTAGGCAAAAGTAATAAACATTTTTCCTTTCAGATATTTGGTCGCATTGATTGGACTTGCTAATGCTTTTGCCAGTCATCAGCCAGTATGTCAGCTTTAGTGTACACATTATAACCATCAAGCACTTTTGCATTGTTCTAACCTTTTAATCAGTTAAGTAAAGGAACACAACATACATCAATTTAGTTTATAAAAGGTTATTAATTTGTTTATGAAAGCCTATATAAGACATTTGTTTTGAAAAATGGGTTTTTACTACTTCAATATATTCTTAGCAGTAGTAATAGTCAGAAACAGAGTAAAAAACAAGAGTTGGGAGGCTGAGGTAGGAGGATCCCTTGAGCCCAGGAGTTCAAGGATATAGTGAGCTGTGATTGTGCCACTGCACTCCAGCCTGGGCCAGAAAGCAAGACCCCACCTCTAAAAATGAAGCTAGCTAGCAAGAAAGAAAGAATAAAGTCAAATAATACAACAAAGCAACATTTTCACTTGCCAGCCTAAAATGAGATTAAAACAACTTTAATCTCTTTCTTTTAAATGCTTACACACACACACACACACACACACACACAATATGCTGGCAATCAGAAATGCATTAGGAAGAAGGCATGTGATCTGTGGCCTTTCCTCCTGACAACTCCACATAGAAATTTTTTATTTCCTAGTTAACATATATTAATGTGTATGTATATTTTAATAACTGAAAGGAAATCCTAAATTAGTAATATTTTCACTGGCCTATATTGAGGACATTTTCTGACCTTACTTAAGGCTTCAGGGATTTTGGAAGTATTAGACCAGCCAGTTGTACCATGTTACCAAAGAGTACCTGATCTTAGACACTGAAAAATAGAAAGGGTAAAGCCACCAGTCTATGCAATGGCTAAATTGGCAAAATAGCTCCATTTGGTTTGCCTAATGTTTCAAATAAATGCACAGTTTAAGTCATATTCTCTACTGAACACTTTCTATAGTGTTCTTTTAAAAATCTCTAATAAAAAGCTGTGTGCATGTACTTTCTACCTCAATTCGATGCTCACTGTTGCATGAAAGCTGAATAGGATGCCACTTGAGATCAGAATAACATCATTTTCAGAAACACAATTTTTAAAGTAAAAGGGCAATTATTACTATCAAAAAAACTTTAATCTCTTTCTTTAAATGCTAGAAGTACATCATTATACTACTTCATGCCATAAGATTATCAATCAATAGTGATTTACTGCAGGAAAAAAGCCAGAGAATAAGAATTTTAAAGTGACCTATTAGAAGAGTTAGAGCCATATACCACTTTGGTAGAAATTTGAAATAAATATATATTTTAAACAACTATCAGCTAAATTATCTCAATTATTTTTCATCCTACATGAGTAAATTAAATGTCTTAAATATCATACAGTTTGAAGGTGATAAAAGTCTGGGATGTTTTACAGGAATATTTAGAACAAATGTAAATGTCCCATATACAAAAATATAAATGTGAACCAAATCAGCACAGCTTCTCTGAAAAGCTTTTAGTCCCACAATCTTTAGTATTTAGCCTTTATATGTTCTTTATGAGATGGAAAAAGAAAGGTCAGACCTTAATATTTAATTTAGACATTGCCTGTTTACTGTTGTTGGGCCAAGACAACTTTAGGCCCAAGGGCATATGTGGGAATGAGAAGAATTCAAATTGTGACACAAGAATACAAGAATAAAAAAATAAAAAATATGAATAAATGGACTCACTGAAATTCTTTTCTTTTAATTGTACATTTAAGTACAATTAAAATATCAGTTCCAGAGCCTTATGTCAGATATACACACACACAACACCCCACTATCCACATGCAGACCCCCCATTCTCACATGTCACATGTACCAGGCAGACACACACCATAGACAAACACATCACAACCACACAAATGCATATATCACACACACAACAGACATGTGCATACACACACTACACGGTTATACACACATAGCCACACACATATACTATACACTCACACCCCCTCCACACACACATTTCTGTACACATTCACTTGCCAGGCTAAAATGAATAGGTGGAAAAGATAAAGCAGAACATTCCATTATTTCATTACTTTTTCTCCACCATATTCATTAACAAAAATTTGGTCTTGAAATTTCCAGGCCAGGTGCGGTGGCTCACGCCTGTAATCCTAGCACTTTGGGAGGCTGAGACAGGCGGATCACAAGGTCAGGAGATCGAGACCATCCTGGGTAACAAGGTGAAACCCCGTCTCTACTAAAGATATGAAAAATTAGCCGGGCATGGTGGCAGGCTCCTGTAGTCCCAGCTACTTGGGAGGCTGAGGCAGGAGAATGGCGTGAACCCGGGAGGCAGAGCTTGCAGTGAGCGGAGATTGCGCCACTGCACTCCAGCCTGGGTGACAGAGCGAGACTCCATCTCAAAAAAAAAAAAAAAAGACATTTCCAAAATCTCCACCTATATGCATAGGCCATGGTGAAGAGTAAGGCCTTAGATTTGCACTGCATTTTACTACACAACAAAAACTGTGCAGACATATTGTTCTATCTTTATCTTTGCCATTCTGTTCATCGCTTAGGCATATACTATCTCTTATAATATTTCTAGAGTGATTTAGAATTTATACAGTGCTTTCACATAAACAGCCTTATGTAATCCTCACATTGAGGTACTGAGGTAAATATAACTACCCCATGCTGCAGGTAAGCAATCTAAGGCTCAGTGCATTTAAGTTATTTGCCAAAGAACTAGGAACTAGGAAGAAACAGAGCTACAATTCTAAACTAAGCCAAAGACATCTGCTCTTTCTATGTGACTTTCCTGTCTGTACCTTCCCTACAAAGCGGTGCTGTGGATCTTTGGAGGCGTTTCTGCACTTTGAAGTGTTTGAACACTGGATCCTGTTTAAGTTCTAGTTATTTCCACAAGACCTCACTGACACAAACTGTAAAAAGACTAAAGTGCACAGACACAGTCGTGACACCTACAGTTCCCAATTCCATAGCTGATTCATAGGCAGATTGCTCCATTTTACAGGATGGTTGGATATCTTTTCTGAGAAGCTGATCATAGACAGGGACTTTGCCAGCCTTGGAAATGGTCAGTTTTATACTGTGTCAAAGCAACCAATACATTGAAGGAATGGAGATTTCAAAGCTGAAAAGTTTTCTGGTCATATACAATTTTTACACTGCCCTACACAGTGCCTACCACATACTGGCACTTCAAATTATATGTTGTATACATTATGTGTATGAAATTAGGTGGCACTGAAGAAATTAGAAAATTCACTTCATTCGTTTTGCCACCAAGATTTCTTCATAATGGAAGTTAAGAGTCTTTCCTTCTTCCCATAATTCATTTCCTTTCTTCCTTCTTTTTTTTCCCTCCTTCCTTCTTTCTTTTGCATTGGCTAGTTTATTTATTTTATCTTTTAGCAATGAGTTATAGGTACATTTACCTTATGTAAGTGATTGATTCTAAAATTTACAAATGTTGGGGCCAGATGTGGTGGCTCACACCTGTAATCCCAGCACTTTGGGAGGCTGAGGCGGGCGGATAACAAGGTCAGGAGATTGAGAGCATTCTGGCTAACACGGTGAAACCCAGTCTCTACTAAAAACACAAAAAATTAGCCAGGTGTGGTGGCAGGCGCCTGTAGACCCAGCTACTCGGGAGGCTGAGGCAGGAGAATGGTGTGAACCCGGGAGGCAGAGCTTGCAGTGAGCAGAGATCGCACCACTGCACTCCAACCTGGGCGACAGAGTGAGACTCCATCTCAAAATAATAATAATAATAATAAACATAATAAAAGTTATGAATGTCAATTTCCTCTGTGTAAACCACACCATAAACAATTACAAAGATCAGACTACAACATAAGTTGTTCAGGAAAGTATTCCTTTCATGCAGAAAAGAATGACTATGCAGTAATTGAGAGAAGTCTCTGCTTAGAATTCACAAGCTTTCTTTCCACTAAGTCTTATCATTTATCAAAATGCCAGCATAGAAGTCTACTGTTCCTCTTATAAATAATAAGGAATTTACCGCCTCACAATTCCAAATGAAGAAACCTATTGTCTTGCGTTCATTTCCTGAATTTCTTTGCAAACAGCCTCTCTATTTTGGGAGGCTGGACTCCCTTTCCAAAGTGGCTTTATTTTTCTCACTGTAGTGAAGTTATCTAAATTACAATCCTGTCAGCCAGTGAACATTCATATTTGTAGGGTATATTTAGATCAGGGAATTTCCTTGGCTTCTAATTTCTATACATCCAAATATTTATATGATGTTCAAATTTTTGACAATTCATTTAAGGCAGTCATGGTCAATAAATATAAATAATATATAAATAAGAAAATACCACCACGTGGTGGTGCAAAACTGTGCAAATTTTATTATTTGACTCACTTAAACCAGATGTTCTGTTTGGAATGTTAAATTCAAATGTCATTCTTATGCACTTTTTACCACTTAACTAATTGAGTACATAGAGGTTAGATATGTTCTGGACAATTAGCTGTAGGGAAATGTCATAATAGCCATATTATACTTAAAATGCAGAAGAAGAGAAGATAGTGTGCAGTATTTTATTGAGAATCACTTTGAAAGGGGTTGGCTGAAGAGCGGCTGTCCAGGGTGCTGATATCCAGTAACTGTCAAGGGTGGAGCTAAGTGGAACATGATCAAATTACCACCTATTCTCAATTTGTGTATTCTGCAGAGACACAAAGATTAGTAATAGAGTCTAACTCTAGAGATCCTCATGCTGCTTCTCATTGAAGCTTTAACGCCAGTCTTTCAAAACAAAGACACAAAGAATGTGTAGAATTGATGGAGGCAACAGATGTGTATCTCAGGTGCCAAAAGCCAACTGAAGATTTATGTGTATACAATTTAGTAATCATTTATTTCACTGTAAGTAATTGCGACTGAATACATAAGAGTTTCAGCTTTATTTTGGTGGTTAGTAACTACATGATCTCGGGAAATTCGCCTAATCTCTCTGAATATGAGTTCTTTCACCTTTAAAATGGAATAATAATGAGGATATTTCATGATTTCCTTTCATTATCTCTCTCTACTTACCTAAATTAAAGCTCTCTAAGGGCAGAGATTTTTAAATCTATTTGGTTCATTAAACAATCTGTTTAGACTAGTTTCCCAGAACACGGTAGGTATTCAATAAATATTTGCTGAGTAAATGAATTAGAAAGAAGAAATTTTATTAGCTTGAAACTAAAAATGTCCTTGGGTATCACTAAATTCTAGGAGACATATGGAAAAAGGTAGTTAGATAAGTAAAAGTAGAAAAGTAAAACAGGGAAAGAAGAAAGTAAGAATTTAAGAGAAAGGTTATGATGAATAAGGCAAAATTGGATAAAACCAATTAGTATCTGAGTAGCCACTTTGGAATATGTATTTCAGGGACTACAACTCTCCATCCCAGGTCACTAATTTTGATAATGTGCACCTGTTAAAAAACTGCAATAACTAACACTATACTCTGCATTACAGTAGGTACTTTGACCATTTAGGATGTTTCTATGATTTTGTCAGAGAGTCATGCTTTGCCACCTGGGGTAAATACTTATTGAAGATTTGTGTTTCAGAGAAAAAATATCCATCTATCACTGAAGTCTCACCTTTAATTTTCTATCCAAAAACCTTATCTTTGCAGACTGTCCAGTGTGACTCTGGCCTCTGTTTTTCACACTGCCCAGGAGAACTCTGGCTCATTCTTGCCTCTGTACTCTATTCATAATGTTTTTCCCTAGCAAGAAGAGTGGCTTTTTTCTTTTCACCTAACTAAATGCTACACATTTTTAAGGTATACTCAAATATCAGCAACTCTTATGATGATATTTCTCAACATCCCTTAATCTCTCCCATTAATAAGATTTCATACCAGTTAATACTATACTATTCACTTTGTCATTTAAACGTAAATCACTTGATATCATTTAGTTGTTTCTCTTTGCATAAGTGTTTTATTACTATTTGAAGGTAAAGGTATTTCTTATATTTCTATTGTATACTTTTAAATATCAAGTATATTTTTCTGATGCATAGATGGTACAAAATAAATGTAGATTTGAAATAAACTGATTGTTTGAATTTCTCTTCACATATATTCATCTTGAAGAATGATGAACAATTACATCTTGTTCTACACATGAGTTATTTAATGTTCTTCTGGTCAATGGGAGGTTCACTGCAATTTGATATTTTGTTAATGACATATTTGACATGTTGGTGAATTTTCGTTACATATGTGGATGATGCTAAGATGAACTCATTCTTAAAAACCTGAGGGGAGATGAGAATTTGAAAGGCTCTAACTTAGAAATAAAGTCATTGAAAGGGAGCTTAATAAATTAAACAATCAAAAATACATTACAGCATATATTTTTTTAAAATTATATAGGAAATTACTTACATTGAGACACTGAGATAACTAAAATGTCCCCTTCTGGTCCCCACACAGATTTTGACTCCTGTACCTGCCAGTCTGCTCACTCTTACCCCCATTCATCTATCCTGTTTCCCTACCCAGGGCTTCATCTCTATGTTCAGTCCAGTCTCTCTACCTTGGTTCAACATCTTCCTCACATGGCTCTGATTTCTCCTCCTTTTCTTCTATGGAAGGAAAATTATTCTTTTCTGGGACCTCTGAAGGCTTTCCTGATGAGTCCAGGTCACACTAAGCACAATCTTTACCAAACTTTACAAAATATAGTTTCTGTTGAATATGATTTAGCATCAGATTATTCCCAGTCTTATACTAATCTGTGCTTAAACCTTGTTTCTGTAGATAGACGGCAGACTGATCGAATGGATGGAATGCCTAGCAGAAATTGAGTATGAAATAGGTGCACCAAAAAGAGTCTACATGGAAAAAAAAAATGTTCCTCTGCTTGGAATCACTCTCAGTACTGTGCAGTGGACAAGGTCAATAGCAATCTTGTAAAGAGCTAAACTTTTCCTGAGAAATAATAACTGCTCCCACCTATTGAGTTATATTGTAGACACCATTTTCTCAAGTCAATTTATTTAATCCTAACAACTTTATAAGGTAAATATTGTTCTTAAACTCCATTTTACAAATGAAAAAACTGAACTTAAATCCTGCTAAAACCTAATAGCTAGTAGGTGATGATAACACAATTTGAACTCAGGCAGACTGACTCCAGAGCCCTTCCTTCCTCTCGGGAGCTGATACCAGAGTCAAAAAGAGGAATAAGAGGAAACAAACTTCCTGCAATTGCTGTGCTTTCCAGACACAATATGTGGCCATCTTATCCACTATTCAGACATGAGGCACTCTTAAACTAAGATGCAGATCTGATTGCAACACCAATAAAATTTCAAGAGTAGCCAACGACATAAAGATTAATGGTATTTACTGACTAGAAGAAAGGGAATTTTTCACGGGTTGACAAAACCATTCAGAGCAAAACTGTGCCATTCCAACAAAGAAAAGGATAGGAGAAAATGAAGCCAAAGAAAAGAGTGAGTGAGAACGAAAAAAAGCAAGAAATTAAAAGGCAGAAAAGTGGAATTAGGAGAAAATATGATGAAGAGTAAAGGCAGTGACCAAAAACAATGACAGTGAGGAATTGAGATGACCATGATAAAGAGAAAGGGAACAAAACACAGGGTAAAATAGCATAGCTCCTGGGGACTCTGGTTGTGTCAAGCTCTCTTGAAGATATAACAGGTAAAAATGGGACAAGTTCATTTCAACAGGAAAGCCGCAATAGTCCAGCAGCACTGTCTAATAGAATTTTGTGATAATAAAAATATTCGATATTGGCACTTCCCAGTATGGTGGCCACTAGCTACATCTGGCTACTGAACCCTCAAAATGTTACTAGTGCAAATGAGGAATTAAGTTTTTAATGTTTTAAAGTTTAGTTAATTTGAATGTAAATAGCCACATGTGGCTAGTGACTCCAGTAATGAACAGCAAAGGTCTATGGCTTCCAGGCGGCAAAGTGATTCTAGGGACTTCTCTAAAAAAGTACGATCCATAACCCCCTCACTCTCTATATGCTGACCACATGGAAAAACATATGAATGGCTAACACTGAGATTCTGAGTGATCATGAAAAGGCTGTATCATATTCTGTGTACTAAATATGATGGGCTTAAATTGTGTCCTTCTGTACAATTCCTTTGTTGAAGCCCTAACCCCCAGTATCTCAGAATGGGACTGTATTTAGATATGGGGCTTTTAAAGAGGTGATTCAATTAAAATAAGGCCATTAGGGTGGTCCCAAATCTCATCTGGCTGGTGTCCTCATAAAAAGAAGATATTCAGCCACCCAAATTGACAGCAGAAATGTGCATATGCAAAGGAAAAACCATGTGAAGACCCAGCAAGAGAGTGGCCATCTGCAAACCAAGAAGACAGGTCTCAGAAGAAACCAAACCTACTGGCATCTTGGCTTGGACTTCCAGTCTCCAAAACTGAAAGAAAACAAATTTCTGTTGCTTAAGCCACCCCAGTCTGTAGTTTTTTGTTATGGCAGCCATAGCAAATTATTACACTAAAGCAGTTAAAAACAAGTGCAATACAGTTCTAAAACTTCAATGTAATTTAAGTCAAAGGTTTTAGGCTTAGCCTTGGTTTATTTATCAAACCATATTTCTTGACCCACTCTTCAAAACTGAGAATGCACAGAATCTTGCAGTAGAACATTCAAAGGAGGAAACAAATTATAAACTACAATTACCTGCAGCTAAGGAGTATTTTATATGCTACTCAATTTAAATTCTAAAAGCTGTATTGATGACAGTTAAATGGTAGCTGCCTATGCAGGATGACAGGCTTTAAAATGTTAACTCCTCCATGCAAGATTGAAGGGAAATTTCTGGTTGCTAGGCCCTGATTTGGTGCAGTGAAGGTCAGCATTATTAAGCAGGGAATTTGCATTAGTGTCTGGGTGTTACAAGAGCTGCATAAATTACCTATGCAATGGTCAGGTCTTTCAAAGATCCATGCTGGCAGAGATGCTGAGTGTGGGGAAGAGAGGCGAAGGCTCTCTCTCTTTTGCTTGTCAACAAAATATGTCGTCATGTTTTATCTCATATTTTTTCTTAAAATGAATGTTGTTTTCATACATATTTTGTTTTCTGTGATATGCTCTCATTCATCACATGATTGCTAGGCATGACCAGACCTGTAATAGTACTTAGCATCTTGCAGATATCAGTGCATTATGACAAGACTCACTGTTTTGCTGAAATGTGAGGAGCTTCATAGGCTTGCCTATAGCTACACATTTCAATAGAAGTTTTCTATAAATTAGAACAATTGCTACATATTTGGCAGCAGCTGATAAATAGGCAAATCTTACCTAGTAGACTAAAAATGTATAAATGTATTTACGGAGACTCAGGGTTCTTAACAGAAATTTGTTTTCCCCTTATATCATGTTACTGATATACATCTCTAATTATGGGGATTTTTCTCAAGAAAAACCTCATTTGGAATCAGAAAGGAATGATAGAAACTCTTGTATTTTCCTGGTAACCTTGACAGACATAGGGCAAGGGCAAGAAGAGGTATAAGGTCTCTTCAGAACAAAGGATAGCCTAGTTTTCCATGCTCAAGCTCACACAGTCTTCCTGTTGACTCCTCTTTTGGAATCACTGTTAAAATGGTCTCTTCTCCAGGGTGAAATCCTAAGTCGGCAAAATCAGTTTTTCATGCTCCCCACCACTCTTTTGTGTTACTGTTCATAGTGTGAAGTCAGTTCGTTTGGTCAGTCCCCAGTGTCTGCCTAGGCCTTTAGTGTCTCTTTCTTGAGTTCCAATTTGACAATCAGGTATTCTATTGCCTCTATGATCACAAAATTCTAGCCAATAAATAACTCTTGCTAATATATTAAAGGATTATAGTGGATTTTTTAACATTTCTAGGCATCATCTTTGTCATTAGACTCTTCTGGTGACAGTGTTGCAGCTTAAATGAGTAATTTTAATGAATGTAAGTAATTTGACTGCATGGTAAATTATGTGTGTGTGTGTGTGTATGTGTATGTGTGTGTGTGTGTGTGAGAGAGAGAGAGACAGAGAGAGACAGAGAGAAAGAGAGAGGAATTCTCTTTCAGATAGAGCTTTTGTTTCCTGTGAAATCCTACTTCCTATGAAGCTGTCTGAAGTCTCCCTACCTTTGTGAAGGCTTTGTTTCAATCAGGGGATAGTTCATTTGGGGGACTGATCACGGGACATGAAGGGTCCTATTTGTGAGTAAAAAAGGTAGCTTACACCCACAGAGGAAAATGCCCTTTTCAGGCACCATTTTGTAGGTCAGGTACATAGTCTGTTTATCAGAACTAATACAAATACTCGAACCAAATAGACCCAACTTTTATTTTTAGAATGGGGATTTAAAATGTAGTTGAGCTATTCAAGACACCTACATCAGTCAAGATGGGCTAGGGAATGCTTCTGTAATAAGCAACCCTAAATTCTTAGTGGCTTGTTGTAATAAAGTTTATTTCTCTCTTGTGCTATATATCCATCACGATGGGCTAGGAGCTCTGCTCCAAATCTTCTCTCCTCCCAGGATCTAGACTGAGAAAGCAGCCATTGTATCAATTGCCAACTGTCATGCCACAGGAAAAAGAGAGCTCTAGAAGGTCTCACATCAGCAATTCAATGCTTAGCCCAGAAATGACATATGTTAGCTCTGCTCATAATTCATTGTCTGGAGCTAGTCACAGGCCTCACCCAGCCACAGGGGTCTCAGAAATGCCACTTCCATTTTCTTGTGTCTGAAAGAGAGAAAAGCTGGACAGATTTGGTCAACAGTATCAATGACAACCACAGTACTCAAGTGACTCTTTTACTTTGGAATTTTATAAGAGCAAGCATTAGCTGAAATTAACTAGATATGCACAATGAAAGAACTGTATTCATATTACTAAACAGCTAAACAAATGCATAGTAAATTATAAATAAATCCAACAAGAGTGGCCAGAGAAGTATCTTTCTCCTACACTACATTTAGATTATCTTATTTTGTTGTTCTGTCATACAATGTCTGCTTTGGTATTCTGGGCTACTCTATGTCAAACTGTCAGCTTTTATCAGAGCTGATGTATTACTTACAAAGAATTCCCAGTTTTTTATCTCCCAATGGTAAAACTTTAATTTTTAATGCATAGAAACTTTCTTTCTTAATTATATACACTTTAAGTGAATATATATTGCTCTGGTGATTTTTCTTGTTATGTTACACAATAAAAACATGTGATTATGGGAAGCCGTGCAATGTGTTCCCCCCATCTGTGAATGTCTTCCACAGAAGGAGTTATAAATATATATGATTAAATCATATGAACTTGCCATTTTTGCAGGTCAAACAGTTGAATATTTCAATTTCATGTTTCAATCTAATAAATACCTCCATGGCTTTAGATTTTAATAAACATCTTTTCAAGGATGAATATTGTCTTTCTCATTTAGTTATGATCCCTGGTAGGGGTCAATGTGTGGATTACGAATTCAGATAATCCTTTACTTTTATCAAGGTTCTGCTTTTCTTAGTTACATGGTCTTATGTGGTCTCTATAGCCTTCAGTTCCCTTGTGGGCATAAAAGTAATATCATCCTGTTGGAGACATTGTGTGGACAGGATGAGATTGGGGTCGTAGCACACATAGCATGGTCTCTGGCATTTATTGAATGCCCCCAAATGGTAGCTTTATGCATTTTCTTCTCCCTTGCAAATACTGTATACTGCCAAGCTACATTAAAATATGCCTGCTTATAATCAAATTCTGCCTGGAGGTTTCCTGATCAACTGTGCCATGTCCTTTGTGTATATGCTGCAGGAGCACTTGCTCCTATCAAAATGGCCCACTCCATTTAAGGACAGTCAGTCTACAGACATGTTCTCACTGGGCCCCTTCACAGCCTCCACATCATGACAAGTGCCTCTGAGTTCATCTAAGAGGGAGAAATAATCTAGAATAAGGGCTAGAGAGGAATGATAGAAACTCTTGCATTTTCCTGGTAACCTTGACAGACACAGGGCAAGGGCAAGAAGAGGTATAAGGCCTCTTCAGAACAAAGGATAGTCTAGTTTTCCATATTCAAGCTCACACAGTCTTCCTGCTGATTCCTCTTTTGGAGTCACTGAGTCAGGAATGAGGTATGGTAATTTCTCAAATTCACTATTTCTCTTCCTTAAATAATAAATTGCATAGAATGAGTCAGTTAATGAGCAGATGAGAGGACTAGTGTGGGTTGCCAATCACCAGGAATAATTGATATCTGCATATCCCCTTTCTCTTCCCTACTATCATCAAATACATGTTTGGTAAGAATTCAGTGTTCTGACAAGTAACATTCATTCCTATATAGATTGGCATTTACCAAACTGAGAAAGAACTCTAAGAGAGTTTTAAATTCATATTAATGATAAGAAAACATTAGGACAATTCAATTTTCTTCTCTAATAGCTAACTTGAGACAACACATAGAGTTGGTGGAACATCCATTCTAATTTCTCCTGTCTGAATCATGATTGCTCAAAATTAAAGCTCATAGCCACATGATTTGAGATAAATAGGATGTAACCACAATGGCTATTTAAGACACTGTATTTCATATACTTAGAAATTTATAGCACACGGAGGGGGTATTATTTTCAAATTCCGGAATGCATTAAGATATTTACAAATCCTAATATCAATTACATTTTTATGTAATTCCTTTCTTAAAAAAGTTATAAGTACTCTGTGAATAAGGTCTCAATTTTTAAAACACCCTACTAAGATAGGAAGGGATTTGATCTATAATTTTATATGGTGTCTAAGTCACTTTTGAAATAGAAATAGGGTTACTTAAAAGTCAGTAATTTTACAGCTTCTATCACAAACACTTATTAGCATTTTTCAACACTTCATGAACATTGAGGGTTATGGAAAATTAACACAAATTCAACAGGCAAATGGAAATTGATCAATACTAGAGAAATTGATGATAACGTTTCTTTTATGCATGAGAACCAGCTTGTCTCCCTCAGATACTCAGAGGCACCAAGATACCTCTCCACTACCTGGGCTGGGCTGCCTGGCCCTGTATGACAGGCAAGGCCCAGGGCCACTGCCCCGGGATCTATAAATCCATGTGTAACCAACACTCCATTGTGTTGTGGTGGAGCCTATCCTCCACCAGCAACAAGCCAGACCATGGATATAGATACAGTTATGTATCTCTTAACACATGTTCTGAGAAATGTGTCAATAGGCAAGTTCATCATTGTGCAAACATCACAGAGTATACTTTCACAACCTCCAGGGTATAAACTACTCTACACCTAGGCAATATGGCAAAGTCTATTGCCCATAGGCTACAAACTTGTACAGTAGTTACTGTACTGAATACTGTGGGCAATTATAACACAATGCTAAGTATTTGCATATCTAAACATATCTAAACATAGAAAAGTACAATAACAATACAGTATTTTAATCATATGGGATTGTGCAGTCCATCATTGACAGAAACATCCTTATACAATGCATGACAGTAACTGAATGCCATACCTGGAAGCAAGTCGTAGGCTATTAATGTTTCCAGCACAGCGAGCTTTATCAGAAGAAAGAGTCCATGACAAGCTATATCCTTTTTTCAGGATTCCCCCACAGAAGCCTACTGATGGAATCAGATGAGTCACACGATTTTCTCTGCTGGTTCAATAGGAGGCATTGTCTCTCTGCCAGTCTCCCTGTGGGAGTTCAATCAATATGAATTGAATGAATGAATGAACTGACGTGAAGTATGTGGTAGATGATACTAAAAGACTTGCCTTGCAATGGTCATATGGACCTACTGGCACACAAATAATAGAATTTCTGGAAGTTATTACTTTCCCTAGCTGGTGGCCAAGACAATGGCTTTGCGATTGACAGTGCTCCTCTCTGTGAGAAAATGACGGTATGTTCTCTGCCAACATTTGTTCTCATTTGGAATTAAATGGGGCTACAAAATGGGTTTATTCACATAGCATTTTGGGTAAAAATATGAGATAATAAGAGGCACACTCTGTCACTTAGTAATAAACTTTTAATAATCCCAGAATCTGGATTATTAAACCATGATTTGTTTAATGACTTGCCTTTATTATAATTTTCAAAAATGATGATTGTGTTTACATTCATATTTATTTTTCATTGTTATCACATACTATTTATTTAAATTATTTCATTATAATAATAAGCATGACTGGCATAAATACATTTGAGAAATAAACACAACTGACTTTCGGTCAACATCAGCCACAAGAAAACCTTAACATATGAGAGCAGAAATGATTCATATTTGGTCCACAGAAAACACTTCAGTGTTTGTTGGTCCAGCAATATTGGAAGTTCGAGCTGCTCTCAATACAGCCACTTTTAGCCCTGTTGACACAGGTATACTTTAACTTTCTAGGCATCAGTCTTTGTGTCTTTCAACTCCCAACATATTTCAAAGTTCTGTCAGTCACCCCAGATAAGCTTCCCTTATGAAGCTTGAGCTGATGGAGCTAGAACCCGCTACCTGTCTTAGGAAGCTCAAAGAGTGGTAACAGCTCTCTGAAAACAGTGTCATCACCAAGTTTTCCCCTTTTTTCATGCACTTTCTCTATTTCTATCTCAATCTCAATCTTCACAATCCCTTTGTAACTTGAGCAGATGCAGATTTTTCTCATGTTCACTCTGGCTATATGTTCTATTGGCACTTAAGTCAGAACTGAGACTGGAAGAGTTCCTTCTAGCAACCTGTTAAATAATTTTTATACCAAGCTCCTGGTACAAACCTAAGCTGATTCCCACCTTTAAATAAATGATTAAAGTAAAGCAAAAGGTGCATAAAAGATACAAGACAAGTCAAGGCACATCTGGAATGTAAACAGTCTTCTAATCGTTGATTTTATTCGGTTCAAAGCCATCTTCCCACTATAAAAAATTGCTAACCTTTGGGCAGGGCATGGGGGTTCTCGCCTGTAATCCCAACAATTTGGGAGGCCGAGGCAGGTGGATCACTTGAGGTCAGGAGTTCAAGACCAGCCTAGCCAACAGGGTGAAACCCTGTCTCTACTAAAAATACAAAAATTAGCCGGGTGTGGTGGCATATGCCTATAATCCCAGCGACTGAGGAGGCTGAGGCAGGAGAATTGCTTGAGCCTGGGAGGTGGAGGTTGCAGTGAGTCAAGATCATGCCATTGCACCCAGCCTGGGGGAAGAAGTGAGATTCCGTCTCAAAAAAAAAAAAAAAAAGGTAACCTTTGGAGATTTCCCTAATCTGATATATAAGAAGTAATAATTGTGGTCACAAATGAAAACTGTAGTTCCACAGAAAGCAACATTAGAAGTTAGAAGCAACCCTTGGTCACACAAGGCCTGTGCCCTCAAGGTCTGGGATTCTCTTTTAGATAGTTATACTCTTCTTGGCTTGATTCCTCACCCAGAGTCCTGAGAAAATCTCTCTGTTAGAAAGCCCAATAGACTGACATCAATTTTCTCCTTCCCCTTTAGAATTACGTACATAAATTCACATATAAGTATACTGGTACAAAGTGAAAAGAGACAGTGTTATTAAGACAAAGGAAAACCAACGCATATCAAATATTAGACGACAGAAAGATCACTGCAGTCCCAATCCTACAATGCTCAAACAGAATTCCCTAAATGTTATTTTTAATTTCTGGATCAAGGACCTTTTCCTACTGGGACTTACTGTCACCTCTGCTGTGTTCTGTTGGCATGAGCTGCTGCCATGTGGTTGGTTATTTGCCTCCTGTTTGCAAAATTGGTCCCCCATGGTCCACCCCACCCAATACACATGCTCTTCCCCTGCAAGGATGCTCTGGCTAGGCCCACTCACTTTCCTCTTCCGGAGCCTGATCACTTATGCTGAACTAATTCTTGGTCTGCTCCCCTGGAGCCAGTGACCTTTATTGTGCACCTGTTCTGGGGAAAACACTGAAGTGGACAGGACTCTTCTGGTTGCAAATGATAGACAATTTGAACTAGCTAGGCAAAAGGAACAAATGTAAGGCCCAGAATCCAGGATGGAGTATAACTAATGCCGTAAGACCCAGGGACCCACTCCACTAACACTCCATCCCATAGCCCCTTACGGCTGTCTCTCTGGTTTTCCTCACTTCATTGACAAACTTTCTTCTTCCATGTCCTGGAAATATTTTCATGACCAAGATCACATCCACACAGATTTCTGAGAGAAAAAGGTCCTCATCTCTCCCAATTCTGGAGGTGAACAGAAAATTCTGAGAACGATTTTGGCCCATAAGTTATGAGCTCATTTCCTGGGCCAATCACTGGGACCAGGGAGACAGGATCACGTCAGCTCCCATCGTGGGGAGGGAGTGTGGTGCTTCCAGGAAGATGGAGGTTTGCAGGGCAATCCAAACAACAGATGTCCTCCAAAGGCATAGTGCCAATCCTGACAGTAATGGGAGGGAAAGCTAAAATTCTCCCGACTTAGGGAGTCATTACAGGCAACTTTGTTTAACAAATGTCTGCTTTTACACTGAGCTGCCAAGAGAAAGAACTTCTGATGAGACCACCAGCTACCTGGATGATGGGGGGGCCATAGCTAAGGGGAAAACCCTTATACGGTTCAAAGATTTTTATGTCTTGACTTGGAAAGGGGTTAGGAAAGTTAGGTAAAGGTATAGAGTGCAAGTCAGAGCATTTCTGAGATCTCAATATTCTGCTAATACTCGATTTTATTTGATTTGTCATATTTTCTCTCACTATAAATCTTGCTAACCTTTGAAGAGTTCTTGAAACTGGCAAAGAACTAGTTGTTGACAGAAATTGAAGATACACATCTTCAGGAGGGTATATTAAAGGTTAGAGGTGGCTCTGTGTCAGGGATTCTGTGGTACATTTGCTCTTCAGTCTTCTTTGTGGGGAGTTTAGAGCCTGTTTCAGTCCTGGCTTCTGACCTTCCCCTCCTCAGGCATCAGGTCATGGGGCTTCCCCTAAAGGCCAGAGCCTGATTAATCAGAGAATATCAAGCTTCTGATTATTCCTGTTTATACCTTTATGGGCTTGTGACATATTATATATTATCATGTGCCACATAACGATGTTTCAGTCAACAATAGACCACACATACAGCAGTGGTCCTGTAAGATTATAATGGAGCTGAAAAATTCCTATCACATAGTGATGCTGTAGCTGTCGCAACACATTACTTGTGTGTTTGTGGTGATGCTGATGTGAACAAACCTAGAGCACGGCCAGTCATATGAAACTATAGCATATAAAATTTTGTACAGTACATAATACTTGATAATGATAATAAATGACTATATTACTGGCTTATGCACTTACTATACCACGCTTTTACCTTTATTTTAGAGTATACTCCTTCTACTTATTAAAAAAATGTTAACTGGAAAGCAGTGTCAGGTAGGCCCTTCAGGAGGCATTCTCGAAGAAGGCACTGTTATCATAGGAGATGACAGCTCCATGCATGTTATCTCTGAAGCCCTTCCAGTAGGACAAGATGTAGAGGTGTAAGACAGTGATATCGGTGATCTTGACCTTGTGTAGGTCTAGACTAATGTGTATGTTTGAGTCTTAGTTTTTAAAAAAAAAATTTACAAAAAAAAATTAAATAGAAAAAAGGCTTATAGAGTAATCATAGAAAGAAGATATTTTTGTACGGCTGTACAATTATTTATGCTTTAAGCTAAGTGTCACTACAAACAAGTCAAGAAGTTAAAACATTAAACATTTATAAAGTAAAAAAGTTACAGTAAGCTAAGTTTAATTTATTATTGAAGAAAGGAAATTTTTAACATAAATCTACCTTAGCCTAAGTGGTCAGTGTTTATAAAGACAGTAGTGTACAGTAATGTCCTAGGCCTTCACATGTACCCCACCAGTCACTCCCTCACTGACCCAGAGCAACTTCCAGTTCTGCAAGCTCCATTCATGGTAAGTGCCCTATACAGTTGTGACACCTTCTATATTTTATACCATATTTTTACTGTACCTTTCTATATTTAGATACACAAATACTTATCATTGTGTGACAATTGCCTATAATATTCAGTAGAGTAACATGCTGTACAAGTGTATAGCCTAGAAGCAATAGGCTATGCCTTATAGCCTAGGTGTGTTGTAGGCTACACCAACTAGGTTTGTATAAATGCACTCTATGATGTTCACATAACAATGAAATTGCCTAATGATGTATTTCTCAGAACGTATCCCTGTCATTAAATGATGCATGACTGTAATTGAAGGAAATAATTACAGAATTTCAATCGTATCTAATTTCATGTTTACAGTAAAAAAGCCAAACACTACTTCCCTAGAAATAAACTTATTTTATTATCAGTTTTTAATTATGTAATTAATGCATCCAACTACTTCCTCCTGGAATTCATTTTCTTCTTCCTGGCATAGATTCTCCAGCTAAAAGGGTCTTTGAATAATAAGCTTTCTGAGGACTTGTATGATTGAAGATGTTTTACTCTGCCCTCATATATGAACGAGAATTTAGTTGTATATAAAATTACAGACAAAACTATTTCACCTCAACTCTTTGAAGTTGATGCTCCACTACCCCATTGTGTCCAATGATGTTGCTATGAAGTAAGGTTGTCTATACGAGTCCAATTCCTTTAGAAGCAATCTGATTTTTTTCTCTCTTCTAACTTTTAGAATTTTTCCATTTAGGCTTGACATAACCATGAAATATCTGGAATAGGGTTTTGTTACTCCTGTTGTTATTTTTGTTATGTTGTTCTTTGATGGATTCTTTAAATTTCAGGACATACATCTTTCTTTAGGTCTAGAACTTTTCTGGCTTCTACGTCATCAACAAGTATGGTTCCCTCTGCATTCTCCATATTCTCTCAATTTGGGACCCCTAATGGATTGATGTTGACTCTCAAGCCTTGTTCTTCATGTTTTGTTTTAACTTTTCTTTTATGTTGTTCTTCTTATTTTTCCCTTTGTGTTATCTTCTGGGATAATTTCTTGTTACAGTCTTTTACATCGCTAACTTGCTTTTCAATTATGCTTATTCTGCCGTTCACCCAGTTTTTAGCTGTATTCATTTTATTTTTATAGTATATAATTGGTTGTTTTTCATAATCACTCATTGTAGTTTTTTAATGTGATGTTTCCCTTGTTTCTCTGCTGATATGTAATTACCTTATATGGAAGTCCTGCGCTACTTCCACAAGTATAAGTGCTTTCAGTTATCCAGTTCCTCACTTCTTGAGGAAAGTCATCTTTAAATTTTTTAATTTAACTCTGTGGGTACATGAGCTATTTTGATACAGGCATGCAATGTGTAATAATCACATCAGGGTAAATGGGGTATCTATCAACTCAAACATGTACTATTTCTTTGTGTTACAAACAATCCAATTATACTCTTTGAGTTATTTTTAAATGTACAATAAATTACTGTTGACTGTAGTCACCTTGTTGTGCAATCAAATACTAAGTCTTATTCATTCTTTCTGACTATATTTTTGTACTCATTAACCATCTTCACTCTCCCCACTTCACTACCCTTTCCATCTTCTGGTAACCATCCTGCTACTCTCGATCTCCGTGAGTTCAATTGACTTCAGCTCCCACAAATAGGTGAGAACATGTGAAGTTTGTCTTTCTGTGCCTGGTTTATTTCATCTCACATAATGTCCTCCAGTTCCATCCATGTTGTTGCAAATGACAGAACCTCACTCTTTTTTATGGTTGAATAGTACTCCATTGTGTACATATACCACATTTCCTTTGTTCATTTTTCTGTTGATGGACACATAGGTTGCTTCCAAATCTTGGCTGTTGTGAATAGTACTGCAATAAATGTGAGAGTGCAGATATATCTTCAAAATATTGATTTATTTTCTTTTGGGGATGGATCTAGCAGTGAGATTGCAAGATCATATGGTACTTCTGTTTTCAGTTTTTTCAGGAACCTCCATACTGTTCTCCATAGTGGCTGTACAAACTTACATTCCACTAACAGTGTGCAAGGGTTCCCTTTTCTCCACATCCTCACAAGCATTAATTACTGCCTGCCTTTTGGATAAAAGTCATTTTAACTGGGGTGAGATGACATCTCATTGGAGTTTTGATTTGCGTTTCTCTGATGGTCAATGATGATGAGCACCTATTCCTATATCTGTTTGCTATTTGTATATCTTCTTTTGAGAAATGACTATTCAGATTTTTTGCTCATTTTTAATTGGATTATTGGATTTTTTTCCCATTGAGTTGTTTGAGTTCCTTATACATTCTGGTTATTAATCCCTTGTAAGATGGATAACTTGCAAATATTTTCTCCCATTCTGTGAGTTGTCTCTTCACTTTGTTGACTGTTTCCTTTGCTGTGCAGAAGCTTTTAACTTGATGTGATCCCATTTGATCATTTTTGCTTCGGTTGCCTGTGCTTGTAGGGTATTACTCAAAACATCTTTGCCCAGACAAATGTCCTGGAAAGTTTACCCAATATTTCCTTTTAGTAGTTTCATAGTTTGAGGTCTTAGATTTAAGTCTTTAATCGATTTTGATTTGATTTTTGTATATGGTAAGAGGTAGGGGTCTAGTTTCATTCTTCTACATATGGATACCCAGTTTTCTCAGCACCATTTATTAAGAAACTGTCCTTTCCCTATTGTGTGTTCTCAGGATCTTTGTTGAAAAAGGGGTTTACTGCAGATGTATGAATTCATATCTGGGTACTCTATTCTGCTCCATTGGTTTATGTGTCTGTTTTTATGCCAGTACCATACTGTTTTGGTTACTATAGCTTTGTATCATAATTTGAAGTCAGCTAATGCAATTCCTCCAGTTTTGTTCTTTTTGCTCAGGATACCTTTGGCTATGTGGAGTCTTTTGTGGTTCCATATAAATTTTAAGATTATTTTTTCCATTTCTGCAAAGAATGTCATTGGTATTTTAATAGTGATTGCATTGGATCTGTAGATTGCTTTGCACAGTATGGACATTTTAACAGTATTGATTCTTCCAATCCATGAACATGAAATATCTTTCCATTTTTTGTGTTCTCTTCAATTTCTTTCACCAATGTTTTATAGTTTCCATTGTAGAGATCTTTCACTTCTTTGATTAAATTTATTCCTAGGTATTTTATTTTATTTGCAGCTATTGTAAATGGGATTACCTTATTGATTTCTTTTTCAGATTGTTGTTGGCATACAGAAATGCTAGTAATTTTTGTATGTTTATTTTGTATCCTGCAACTTTACTGAATTTGTTTATCAGTTCTAACAGTTTTTTGGTGGAGTCATTAGGTTTTTCCAAATATAAGATTATAGCATCTCTCTGCAAACAAGGATAATTTGACTTTTTTCTTTCCAATTTGTATGATTCCTCTAGCTAGGACTTTCAGTACTATGTTAAATAACACTGGTGAAAGTGGGCATCCTTGTCATGTTCCAGATCTTGGAGGAAAGGCTTTCAGTTTTTCCCCACTTGGTATGATACTAGCTATGGCTTTTATTGTGTTGAAGTATGTTCCTTCTATACAGTTTTTTGAGGGTTTTTATCATGAAGGGATGCTGAATTTTATTAAATGGTTTTTCAGCATCAGTTGAAATGATTATATGGTTTTTGTCCTTCATTCTGTTCATATGATGTAACGATTGATTTGTGTATGTTGAACCACCCTTGCATTCCTGGGATAAATTCCACTTGGTCATTATGAATGACATTTTTAATATGTTGTTGAATTCCATTTGCTAATATTTTGTTGAGAATTTTTGCATAATGTTCATCAGGGATATTGGCCTGTAGTTGTTTTTCTTTGTTTGTTTGCTTTTCTAATGTGTCTTTGTCTGGTTTTCATACCAGGGTAATACTGGTCTCATAGAATGAATTTGGAGGTATGTCCTCCTCTTCTGTTTTTCAGAATAGTTTAAGTGCATATTTAAGTGCATAATATTAGTTATTTAAATGTTCAGTAAAATTCAGAAGTGAAGCCATCAGGTTTTGGACTTTTCTTTTCTAGGATATTTTTTATTACAACTTCAATTTTGTTATTTGTTATTGTTCGGTTCAGGTTTTAGATTTCGTCATACTTCAATCTTGGTAGGCTGTATGTGACTAGGAATTTATTCATTTCTTCTAAGTTTTTCAGTTTATTGGCTTATAGTTGCTCTTAGTAGCCTAATAATCATTTTAATTTCTGTAGTATGGGTTGTGAAGTCTCCTTTTTCATCTCTGATTTTATTTATTTGGGTCTTATCTCTTTTTTCCTTTGTATGGCTAAAGGTTTGTTAATTTTGTTTATCTTTTCAAAAAACCAGTGCTTCATTTCACTGCTCTTTTATATTTTTTATTTCAATTTTATTTATTTCTATTCTGATCTTTATTTCTTTCTACTAATTTTGAGTTTGGTTTGTTCTTTCTCTTCTAGTTCTTTAGGATGCATCATTAGGTTGTTTATTTGAAGTTTTTCTGTTTTTTTTTTTTGATGTGGGCACTTATAGTTATAAATTTCCCTTTTAGTACTGTTTTTGCTGTATCCCATATGGTTTTGTATGTTGCGTTTTCATTTTAAGAATTTTTTAGTTTTCCTCTTAACTTCTTCCTTGACCCACTGGTCATTTGAGAGTGTGTTGTTTAATTTCCATGTGTTAGTATAATTTCCAAAATTCCTCTTGTTATTGATTTCTGGTTTTATTCCATTGTGGTCAGAGAAGATACTTGATTTAATTTCAATTTTTTTGAATTTTTTAAGACTTGCTTTGTGGCCTAACAGATAATCTATCCTTGAGAAAGATCCATGTGCTGAGGAGAAGAATGTATATTCTGCAGCCATTGGATGAAATGTTCTGCAAATATCTATTAGGTCCATTTCACCTATAGTGCAGGTTAAGTCTGATGCTTCTTTGTGAATTTTCTGTCTGGATGATCTGTCCTATGCTGAAATGGGATGTTGAACTCTCCAACTATTATTGTATTGGGTTTTTCTATCTCTTTAGCTCTAATAGTATTTGCTTTATACATCTGGGTGCTCCAATCCTAGGTGCATATATATTTACACATACATGTATACTATTGGGTACATATATATTTACTGCATATATATTTTGGTGCATATATATTTATATATTTAATTTTTATATCATCTTGCTGAATTGACCCATTTATCATTATATACTGACCTTCTTTATCTCTTTTTATAGTCTTTGTCTTGAGATCTATTTTGTCTGACATAAGTATAGCTATTCCTGCTTTGTTTTGGTTTTCATTTGCATAGAATATCTTTTTCCATCCCTTTATTTTCAGTCTATGTGTGTCTTTATAGGTGAAGTGTGTTTCTTGTAGGTAACATATAATTGAGTCTTGTTTTTTCATCCATTCACCCACTCTATGTCTTTTGATTGGAGAGTTTAGTCCATTTACATTTAATGTTATTATTGATAAGTAAGAACTTAACTCCTGCCATTTTGTTTTTTGTTTTCCAGTTATTTTGTGCTCTTCTCTTCCTTCTTACCTTTCTTCCTGTCTTCCTTTTAGTGAAGGTGATTTCCTCTGATGGTATCTTTTAATTTTTTGCTTTTTATTTTTTATTTTTTGTATCTGTTGTATGTTTTTTGTTGTTCTTGTTGTGTTTTTTTTGTTGTTGTTGCTGTTGTTGAGATGGAGTCTCACTCTATCACCCAGGCTGGAGTGCAGTGGCACGATCTTGGCTGACTGCAACCTCTGCCTCCCGGGTTCAAGCAAGTCTCTTGCCTCAGCCTCCTGAATAACTGGGATTACAGGTGTGCACCACCTGGCTAATTTTTGTATTTTTAGTAGAGACGGGCTTTCATCATGTTGGTCAGGCTGGTCTCAAACTCCTGACCTTGTGATCCACCTGCCCTGGCCTCCCAAATTGCTGGGATTACAGGCATGAGCCACCACGCCTGGCCTGTTTTGTTTTTGATTTGAGGTTGCCATGAGGCTTGCAAATGATATCTTATAACCCATTATTTTAAACTGATGACAACTTAACAGTGATTGCATAAGCAAACTAACAAACAAGTAAAGATAAAACTAATGAAAACTCCAACTTTAGCTTTATCCCTCTGCTTTTTAACTTTTTGTTGTTTGCATTTATATCTTACTAGACTATACATGTCTTGTAAAGTTGTAGTTGTTATTTTTGATAGGTTTCTCAACCTTTGAGAAAATATTCATCTTCTAAACAGATTTTGTTTGGTAACTGAACTTCTCTGTGAGATATTCTGTTAACTATCTTTGCACAGCCTGGTGGGGAGAGGCCAGCTGCCCTATTTTCAGAGAGGCAGCTGCCCTGTTTCACTGAAAAGTAACCCTTCGCACACAATGAAATAGAGATGCTCCTGATTCCTCTGGGGCATTGTGGACACCCAGGGCAGTTGCCTTTTCGCTACATCCCAAGCTCCTGTACTCACTGCTCATGGCCTGCTGTGTGTGTATGTGGTGGGGGTCAAGTGATTTTCCAATTAATTCTTAAACCATATGCTTTGCAGTTTTCAAGCATTTATCAATTTCTCATCAAGTCAAAGGCCCCTTAATTTTTATTATGCATATATACTTTTAAAATACATGTTTTAATTATTCATATGGTTGTTATGTGGGAGTAGTGTTTACTAGTTCTACCTCCTACCATTTTAAAACCACAGCTTTTTTTTTAAGGAAACATTTATTGAGCCAACTATGTGTCAAACACAGATAGGCATGGGGATTAGAATAGTGCCCCAAAAGGTCCTTTACTTTTTTTCATAAAGCTTTTTTCCTGCATCTGTAGTGCAGAATTCAGCTTGGCAGGCCAAAAAAAGAAACCATTGAGTTTAGAGAACACTCAGTAATCAGTTCAAAAGGCCAGATGAATTATATCAAGCCAAGTAAGGTGTCAAAAAAACAGACAAGAGATATAGGCAAGAAAAATTTCTCTGGTCCTCCAGTGTCTTCATAATCCTCTCTGTATAGAATGACCATATGTCCCTATTTGCCTTAGACAGTTCTGGTTTATGTCTATTGTCTTGGTGTAAGTATTAATGACACCTTTTCACTCTAAAAAGTTATCTAGTTTAAACTGTAAATTATGCGATTACTCTGTTGAGACACTATGTAAAGAAAATTCAATGAATGAATATCTCTGGTCGGTGATAATACTTGGAGCACTTCAGAACATAGAGAACAGAAATAGCAAGTCATCATTTATTTATTTATTCATTCATTCATTCATTCATTCATTCATTCATTCAATAAAGGTTTGCTGAAGCTCTACCATGTGCCAGGCTCTGTGCAAAACTTTGAATGTACAGTGATGAGCAGCCCAGACACACTCATGGACATTTCCCTGAGAAAAGATTAGCAAACTAACAAGTCTATTTCTAATGTAAACCAGAGACAAACTGTATAATCTCTCAACATTTTTTCCTAGTTCAAGGACTTGATAAAACATTGTAAACTCTCTGCCTACTCAATCATACACTGTCAGGTAGGTATTAAGTTAGCATATCAAAACCACACCATCGTTTGAAAGAGATGTTAAATACTTGTCTACCAAACAAGAACAAAGCAGGACGCTGTGCAGGTAATAATGGATTTGAAGTCACTAGATGGCCTGTTTGGATAATTAAGCTAACAAAGCAAAGCACTGAAAAAATTATCAAAGTTGATGATTAGCATGGTTTGGAATTCAAAGGATAACTTCACTACCCTCATCTTCACTTAGGCACTGAGATAATGTATATAATGGATCGGTCACATGCAATTTTCTAGTCATTATGCACAAAACTGCTTCATCAAATTCCCCATTCAGCATGCACATTGCCAAAAAAATCAAAAGCCAAAAGCAAGTTGCAACCTGCAGCCCCTATTATTCTTTTACTTTTTAAAATATGCAATTCTTTCGAAGAGTTTGAATACCAAGTGTTCTTTTTGTTATTTAGACAAAACTTTGCAAGGAATTTTCCTCATTTTCTAGAGCTCAGTATTCCTAGAAAGTTAAATCCCAGGGGAACTTCGAAAATGTCAGGAGCTTCTTAAGTGGTGTGAAACCCACTTACACCTTATTTGTTATAACCTTTGATATGGAAATAGCAGAGTGGATATATAAAGAAAAAAATCCAGTAACAATAGGAATACATCGTTTGTGATATTGTCCATAGTCAATTCCTGGTCAGATGATACTGCTGAAGATTCAAAAGACTGGGGTTCCATCCCACATGGGCAATTTTTTTTCCTCTATGGATAATGACCTTCACCTTGGTCCCAGATTTTGCATAGATATGACTATAAAAAGGGAAGAACAGGTGAATGTAGAAGAATCAAGGCAAATCTGTCTGCATTACTAGAAAAATAATTCAAAATCAATGGTTGCCAAGGACTATCCAAGTAAATGTAAATGTCTTGATAATATCTGTCAAGATATTAAAGCATGTGTTTTCTAGTGTTTGCACACATATTATAAATCTTAAGCTTCTTTCTTTCTGCCTGTAAACTCACTCTGCTTCTCCTATCATCTGTCTTAGTTAATGGCATCCTGAGCTACCTTAAGTCATCTAATCAGAAAACTAGAATCAACAACCACACTTCCTTTGCCTTCCATATCCAGTCATTTTCAAATCTTCCCATTCTAATCCCTACAGGTCCCAAAATCTATCTTTCCCTTTCCTGTTGTCCTGCCACTGCCTTACCTGGCACCTTCATGTCTTTTTCAGGACACTGTGACAGTTTTTCTTAGATCTCCTGGCTTCACTTTCTGCCTCTTCTGCTACAGGGATATTACTAAGACTGTACACTGATTATGCTTCTCTCTTTGCTCAGAAATCTTCAGTGGTAGTCCTAGCATAATAAGCAATAATCCAGACCCAAACTCACACCTAGTCTCTGGGCCTGCCCACACCCAGGGCATGCTGAAGCATTTGTGCCTCGGACACATTAATTTCCTTGAAGTTTCCATGACTTTGTACACTTTTTCAAAAATCCAGAAAACCTTTCTGCCACTTCCCTACCTAGCAAACTTTTATGCATCCTTCATAGCCCTGCTCAGCCAACCCTCTTCTATGAATCCATCACTGAGTTTCTACGACAGAGTTAAAAACTTGTTTTTCTGCACCCGTAACCTTTGTAATTAATTAATTCCATTAGGGCATACATTACACACTGTCATTATTATTTATGTCTTTCAGAAGACTGTGGAAATCATATTATTCTTTACTATGCCAGCTTCTTGCAGTGTTTGGCAAATGATGTGCTCCTTAAATATTCACTGAATCAATTATTTAGCATTTTTTGGCTAAATAATACAATTGATAAAAGTTAATAAAATTCTTGTCTATAAACTTTTGCAGTGATATTTCTCTTCTGTTCATTCCTACATGCTGGAATATATGTATATGTGTGCAGATGATTTGTGTTAAGGTGTCCCACTGCTTCATGGCATTGAATCAAAGAAAAATCGGAACACTCTGAGGACCAGGTTCTCTAGCAACAGCACTAGAGCGCTAGAGCAGAGAAGAGTCCCTCACCAGGGCCTGCCCTGAACCAGTGCAAGGACAGGTTGTGCTAGCAGGGGCAGCACTATTCCCAGTGGCCTGCACATGTTTGATTAACTTATACAGAGGGAATCTCAGCAGTGGCCTGTCTAGTCATGTCTGGAAACGATGCCTCCGGAAAGAGCTGCCCCCTGCTGAAAGAGATGTCAAGAAGCCAGAAATTTCCTGGAGAGGACTATGAATCTCCAAAGGAGATTCCATGACCTACATGTGGTAGGCTACCCTGGCTGTCCCCATCCTACCCACACCCCTGGCCAGCACCACCAGCATCCTTGTGACCCAAGTCCATCCTGTGTAGCCACTGGCTAGAGTCTGGTCTCGTGGACTTTCAAGGGTTCTTTGCCCCACTCCTGAGTTTACACCACTCTTGGCTAATCTGTAAGTCCCAGCAAACAGAGTTGGAGAAACTGCTTTCTCTTGGTTTGACTTTGAATGCTTTCAAAGTAGTTAGAGATATATTTCCCAAACAAATTGCCTCTTGGCAAATAGCATAGTATCATGCCATAGTTCTCAAAGTTCACTGAGCTCCAACTACTTTCTTCAAGTGAAAGTTGAAGCATACATCCAAAATACAAAACAAAAAGGGCAGCAACACCTGTAGTTAAAGTGGGAGTAGGTTCCCAGAGCCCCACTTGCTCAGCCTCCCTCTGTGTGGGTCCCAGGATCCATAAGTAGTCCTCAGAAAACACTGCTGGCCAGGATGTGATTAAATCCCACCCCAACTCTAGAACCACCCCCAGACCCCTCTCCGCCCCACCCCTCATTTGCTCTTGGCCCTGGCAATCTGCACCCTCTCGAGCTGTCTCCTGTATCGTTCTCACCACAATCACAGCCACACTCCAGCACCTCTTGTTCTCTACCTCTCCTTGACTCCAGGTTCCTGCCCCATTTCTCTGTTCCCCTCCATAGAAAACTCTACATACTGCCTTGACTTTCTTACTTCCTGTTGTTTCTCAAATATACTGGACTCTGTCTACTTCCTTCTCTTTCTATTGCTGCCATTAGGATCTAAGTCCATATTGTTTCTTGCTCCCGACAACTGCAGTGACCACTTATTTAGTCCTTCTGTCTCCACTCTTGCTGCCTAATACCCATTCTCCACAGAGCAGCTAGACAAGTATCTTTAAAGAGTAAATTACATCATAACACCGGATGATTAAAATATTTCAGATGCTGGCCGGGCGTGGTGGCTCACGCCTGTAATCCCAGCACTTTTGGAGGCCAAGGCGGGCGGATCACGAGGTCAGGAGATCAAGACCATCCTGGCCAACACAGTGAAACCCCGTCTCTACTAAAAATACAAAAAAATTAGCCAGGCGTGGTGGCATGAGCCTGTAGTCTCACCTACTCGGGAGGCTGAGGCAGGAGAATCGCTTGAACCCGGGAGGTGGAGGTTGCAGTGAGCCAAGGTTTTGCCACTGCACTCCAGCCTGGGCAACAGAACGAGACTCTGTCTCAAAAAAAAAAAAAAAAAAAAAAAAAAATCAGGTGCATCTCAATGCATTTAGGATAGAATCCAAACTCCTTCCCACAATGTGTAAAGCCCAGCAGGATCTGCCTTCTTTCTATTTCTCCAACTTCAATTCAGGTCATTCTGCACCCACCCCTCAGGCCTCAGCTCCAGCCATTCCCTGAGCCTGCTGTACTCTTACCTGGTCTTTTTCTATTTTTTTTTGTTCAATACTTGCCAAAATTGGTCTCTTCAATATTTTTTGTTCTCACTTAAATGTTATTGCCTCAGAGAATCTGTCCCTGGCCCTTGACGTAAGGGTTCACTTTGTCCTTATTCTTCTTTTTCTCATTCATTCTGTTTATTTCTTCTTGGTACCTACCATAGCCTGTAATTATCTTGCTTCTGCACTTCTGAACTTAAATGTCTATCTCTCCCATTGGGATTCAATTGGCACAAGAGTTGGACATATCTCTCCTGTTCACCCACATGGTCCAGCACCTGGCTCAGACCCTGGCACAGCATCTAACACATAGGTTAAATGTTTAGTTTTTATAACTGCAAAAACAAAGTCCATTTAGGATCATGAAAATAGTTTAAAATTCAGATGTGGTAATGGATGCACAGCTCTGCAAATATACTAAAACCATTGAATCGTACCATTTAAATGGGTGAATTGTATGGTGTGTGAATTAGGTTTGGAGTCTTAGTTTCCATATTTGCAAAACTGAATAACAATACCTGAGAGAGAGAAAAGAATTAATTGCAACTTTCATAAGTTTCTGTTCACCTGACGGTAAACACTTGAGACATCCCTCAGCTGTTACAATTCTCATTTAGGAACCCCTGGAAATCACCTTGACCCTCAAATATCAGAACAGATACCACGCTGACTTTGCTCAGTGGTGATAGGTTGCTGCTGCCCTACTGAAATAGAACTTACAAGGAAAAAGAAAGAGAGAGGGAGAGACAGAATGAAAAGAAGGAAAGGAAAAAGAAAAAAGAAAGGTACACACCAGATCACAGAGTTACAGCAAATCACTAGAACCATACCACTGTTTGCAAAGTTGCAAAGATAAATTTATCTACTTCTTTTGGTATTTCTTTCCTTCAAATTTGTGTTTGTTTGCTTCTTGTACTAGGTTGGTGTCTTAGTCAGTTCAGGCTGCTATAATAGAATACCATACACTGGGTGGCTTAGGCAACAAACATTTATTTCTCACAGTTCTGGAGACAGGGAAGTCCAAGATCAAGGTGCTAGCAGATTTGGTGTCTACTGGGGGCCCACTTCCTGGTTTCTAGAGGGCCACCTTCTTGTTTTATTCTCAGAGAGTAGAGAGGGAGTGAGAGAGCTGTCTGGGGCCTATTTTATAAAGGCACTAACCCCATTCATGAGGGCTCATCTCATGACCTAATCACCTCCCAAAGGCCCCATCTCCTAATAGCACCACATTGGGATTAGGATTTCAACATGTGAATTTTGGGGGAACATAAACATCCAGTTCACAACACTTGAATTCTTCCAGAAGTGAAGCCTGAGGCAAGAATTTGAGTGCACAATGTTTATTTGGGAGGTGCTCTCAGAGAGCATGGGCCGGGCAGTGGGCAAGTGAGACTGGGAAGGAAGAGATAGCAGTGGAGCAAGAGGGGACTACTGCGGGGCTGAGGGGCTCAATCCTACAGGGGTAGAACATACCCTAGCAACATCCCAGAGAGACACAGTTGCCCGCCAGCTTCCCTGCTGTCATTGTGTGAGAGCTGCTCCCCCAGGGCTTACTCCCCAGCACCTTCAGCTTGCCCTGCATGGGCCAAGTGGGCTCCTGTGGCTGAGGCTTGGTCCTTGCAGGAAGACCCCATGGAATGGTGGTCAGGCACCAGTGGGGTCTTCTACATGCCAGACGCAGACTTCAGACACACTCCAGCCCCCAGGCACCATTCAGGAGCAGCCCATGGGAGGATAGGTGTGGGTGGGTGGGCCTTGCTGAGTTTCCTCAACTTCAGACCTTCTTACTCCTCTTCACAAATCCCTTCTGAAAGCTGAGGCAAGATAGAATCCCACCGACCTCCTTATCCAGAGGGTGTTCTTAGTAGCCAAGACAAACTCTGGATTCCATGGTGAAAGTTGCCACTCAGTACAGAGCGTGTGTGGAAATCTGAGAACTCTGGCCTAATCAACTACAAGACACATCCTTTTCTCCTTCAGTCTTTGCTACAACCCCAGTTTAATTCTAAGTTTCCTTACTCTATGAAACCCACACCTCTCAGCATCTTTTATTTCTGACCCATGCATGTGACACTAAGCTACAGGTGTCTCAGGAACATTGTAAAAACTGTAATAACTTTTAAAAAACATCAGAAAAGGCAAGTGACTTACTATAGCACATAAACATGTACCTAACTTTCAGAGATTCTCTTTTTGCACTTGCTTCTTTAAAATCTAAAGTTAAAGCTATGTTAGTCACAGCCGTTAAAATGACCCAGTGATATATTATTGCCCTGAAGAGTCCCCTCATAAAATTAATGTTGCAGTCTTGCCTCTCTGCACACTCGGAATTTCACGTTTGCTTTGTTCCATTTTGATCTTTGTAAGTTATTTTAAAGATTACATGTACCTGTCCTTTGCTGTATTAAGTGTCCTTAGAATGATTTTGGTCAAAGGTAATAAAATTCTACTCTGCTGCAGCTTACTTGTCTTACCTCTTTTATCCATCTCAAATTTCCCGTCCCACTCTACAGAAGGTGCCACAGTGGCAATCCATGCCCGATAGCATGATCTTTACTAATATGGGAAGTGCCCTTGAACCTCAGCAGAAGCCCACATGGGAGTGGAAGGGCAGCACTCCAACACCTCTGAACCCACACCTCAGGGTAGGGGGAGCTGGCCCCACCTTCCCTGGCAATGACAGTGACCTCACAGCTGGTCCCCAGCCCAGGTGGGCAGGGTGCCTTCCACTTTTTAGTTTTATATAGTCTTTGTTAATTCGTTAGCCCTGCTTATCTCACCAATGCAAACGTACAGAGTGGGAACTCTTTCATGTCACAAACACATGAGGCCATCACATGACTGTATCCCCAATCCTCCTGCTGGGCCTTTGTTCATGCCTGGTTCTGCCTGGAATGCCCTACTCTGCTTGCTTTACCCAATATTAAGTTTTCTTTATTCATTTAACAAGGGTTAACTGATATTTGTTATAGGGTAGGCATGTTGCTAGGCCCTAAAGACACAGTGGTATGTGAAATGGACATGTGACCTCTACAGAGCTTAAGTCTAGTGAGAGGAGGGAAACAATGAAAGTGTAAGGTATACACAAGTAAATAAATGTGTAATTACAAACTGAGAAGATTCTTATAAATTATTTTAATGGTGTTATTGGGAAGGTATATCTGTGAAGGAGTAACAGGGGAGTGTGGGGATATAGCCCGGAACAGAGTAGCAGGTTACCTAAGCATGCAGGGCCACAGCTAGCATGGGACCGAATTCTGCAGTTACCATTCTACATGTGTGTGTGAGATCTTGAGTAAGTTGCTTGACCTCTCTAATCCTTAATTTTCTCATCTGTAAAGTGAAGATAATACCATCTACCTCTAAAAGTGTTGGGAAGATCAGACTAATTTTTATAAAACACCTGGTACAAAGAATGTGCTCAGTAAATATTAGCTACTAATTATCACTATTATTAAGCTGAGATTTGAAGACCACATAGAGGGCAACCATGCTAAGAGTTTGGGGAAAAAGCATTCCAAGAAGACGGAACAGTATGTTCAAAGGCAATATAGCCCAGTTTGTTGTATTATCTATCCAAAGACCAGTGTTACTGGAATTGCCTGAGTTAGGGAAAGTCTGCTATGGGATGGGGTGGGAGGTAGCTTTATGGTGGCTGTGTAATTTCTCCAACAATGCTTAGCTGCATTAGTGCCAGCCTAGAGAAGGCAAATGTTGGATACATACAGAATTGGATTTTCCTCTAGAGAATGTGAAAGAGGAAGAGAGGAAAGGATGTTGAAAATGTTTGTAACAGAATGCTTCTGATGAAAGACCATAAAATCTGAGCCAGATAGGAGAGAATAAAAGATAACAGTACCTAATTAACAGAGATAAAATAGGAGAATGACTTGACGGTATCAACTAGAAAGGAAAATTGTTTCAAAGGCACACTTGAGTAAAGTGAGCTAGAAACAAGGGAAGTTAAGGTAGGAAAGTAAGGTCTCTAGATTTGTTGTTTAGGATATAGTCTAATATCCGGGCGTGACAAAATCCAGGAAGTGACTCTGGGATCATATGGCTGAAGGGGGGTAGTGGTCAAGGTAATAGGTGTGGAGGTCAAAGAACAAAGGGGTCAGAACATTGAATGAATTATCCATATGCAGCCCTGCTACCAGCCAATATGGAGACTTTATGCAAATTAGAAAATGGCACCCCCTTCCTCAAAATGTTTTATCATCATCTGCCAGAATCTGTCAAAATCTCTATGCAAATCATTGATGGCGACACAGATGGAGCAGCCTCCTGGACATACATGGCTGTAAGCAGCAGCCCTATTTATGTGTGTCTTGAATCCAGCAAGAATCATAGGTGGTCATGGTGAAAAGGAAGATGTTCCAGGAACCCCGTTTGGCAGTGACAGAAGGGGAATAATCAGAGGCTGTTGGCCGTCAGCAACAAGAAGTGGGAGAGGGTAGAAAGTTCAATGGCAAGAACCTCAGGGGAACAGAGCTTTTACAGGATAGAGAAGGAGTAGCGGTGTAGAAACAAGAAGAGGGTGCAAGGAGAGGACAACACCCTCATCTCCTCAAACTCAGGTATTTGAGATTTGTGAAACAAGCAGGCTCTGCACAGAAAGGCTGTGGCAGATGGTAGGGTCCCTCAATTTCCTAAGATTTAGCTCAAATGTTTTCTCCTCTGTGAAATATTTCCTGATTTTCCCAGCTGGAAATAATTTTTTTCTTCCCTGAAATCTCTAGCAACTAATTTGTGCCTCTTTTATCTCCAGATCTTGTTCTATTTTAACTATGTCATTTCAGTAGGTTCTTACCTACTCTAGCAGAAGGTGTGGTCTTTGGGAGTGGGTCTCTGTCTGATGCATCTTTGTTCTACTATAATACTGTTTCTTCATTTATTTAGTCATGGTAGAGGCATAATAAATGTTGAATGAATGAATGAATATTACTATTTCATTTTGCTCCCAAATCTTAGTAGAATTAATTATGTTTTTGAACTAGCTTTATCTATATTGCACCTAGAATCAATGTAAACGGAATTTGCAGTTTTGCAATCTGGGTACAAGGTACCATATGAATTGTGTTTAATGGTAATGTCTGTCTTTTTCTTTCTTTACTACAACAGACTTTTCCCTTTTGTAGTTTTTGAGTAGCAGCAAGAATTTCAAGTATTAATGATAACTATATTTGATATAATTATCTTTTATAGCTTGTATTGTTATTAAACAACAAAAATCCCATTTTGTTATTTAAAATGATGATTATAAACAACAATCAATTGTGAACTGACAGTTTGTCTTCAGTTCATACAATATTTTTGTTTTGTGAATTTAGAGATCTCATGTGTGACTGTTTCTTCAGTGAATTCAGCTATATATTTTATATTCATAATAATATGCTTCTTCCCAGTATAACAATTGAAAAAATGAGATTCCTCACTCTTTTGAAGACCATAGAATACATAAATAAGTATTTTTGGATTCCTGCGATAGAGGTTATTAATTGCTTTATGTCTAATATTGGTAAATGAATTCCTTATTTGATTATGGTAGAGTGTATTTTTATCCTGGAAGAGCAAATGAAAGACAATTTAAAAATTTCTCCTTTGGTTTCTTAAGACATATACTCTCATTTCTAAAAGCTTTTAAAACTCCTCTCGTCTTATCAACAAATGATGCTAGAATAACCGGACATCCACAAGCAATAAATAAATAAATCTAGACTAAGACTTTATACCCTTTACAAAAATTAACTCAAAAGGAATCGTAGACCCTAATGTAAAAGATAAAACTATAATATGAACCTCCTAGAATATAACATGGGAGAAAACCTAGATAATAACCTGAGTTTGAAGATGACATTTTAGATACAACACCAAAGGCATGATGTGTGAAAGAAATCATTGATAAGCTGGACTTCGTTAAAATTAAAAACTTCTGCTCTGTGAAAAACACTGTCAAGAGAATGAGAAGACAAGCTACAGACTGAGAGAAAAAAAAATTGCAAAAGAGAAAGCTGATAAAAGACTGTAATCCAAAATATTCAAAGAACTCTTAAAACTCAACAATAAGAAAATAAACAACCAGATTAAAATGTGGGCAAAAGACTGAATAGACACCTCACTGAAGAAGATATACAGATGACAAATAAGCATATGGAGAGATACTCAACATCATATATCATTAAGGAATTGCTAATTAAAACAACAATGAGATGCCACTACATACCTATTAAAGTGGCCAAAATCCAGAACACTGACAACACCAATTGCCAGTGAGAATGTGGAGCAGCAGGAACTCCCATTCATTGCTGGCAGGAATGAGAAATGGTAGTCTCTTTGAAAGAGAGTTTGGCAGTTTCTTACAAAACTAAGCATACTCTTACCACAGGATCTAGCAATTGTGCTTTTTGATATCACCCAAATGAGTTTAAAACATGTCCACAAAAAATCTGCACATAAATTTTTATAGCAGTTATATTTATAATTGCCAATATTTGGAAGCAACCAATATGTTCTCTTGAGCAAGTGAGTGGATAAACTATGGTACATCCAGTCAATGGAATATTATTCTGCACTGAAGAGAAATGAGCTGTCCAGCTGTGAAAAAGACATGAAGAAAACTTAAATGCATGTTACTAGTAAAAGAAGCCAATCTGTAAAGCCTGCATACTATATGATTCCAATTATCTGACATTCCAGAAAAGGCAGAAACTTTGGAGTCGGTAAAAGAATCAGTGGCTGCCAGGGGTTAGTGAGGAGGGAGATATGACTAGGCAGAGCACAGAGGACTTTTCAGGGCAGTGAAACTATTCTGTGTGATACTATAATGGTGGATCCATCTCATTACAGATTAGTCCAAACCCACACTATGTATAACACCAAGAGCAAACCCTAATGTAAATTACGAACTTTGTGTGATTATAATATGTCAATGTGGGTTCATTGATTGTCACCAATGTACTACTCTGGTACAGGATGTTGATAGTTGGGGAGGCTGCACATATGTAGGCGTAGAGAATAGAAGAAAAATGTCTCTACCTTCAATTTTGTTGTGAACCAGAAACTGTTCTTTAAAAAAAGTAATATTAAAATGACAGTAACAACAAAATGCTCCTAGCCTTCCACATAAAGAGTATTTTCCTAGCATGGTATGCCTGGCCCTTTTGGACCTGACCTTCAGGTATCTCTTATTTTATCTCCCACCACATCCCTCAATAACATCGTTTGTCCATCCATCTATCTATGAAATATTCATTTATATTCTTTATGTGCCAGATATTGCAAGATGCTAAGGCAAAACAGTTAAGAGACAGACACTATTATAATATTAAAAAAAATAAGTTGTAAACATTGATTTTTTTATTTTAAGATTTTGAATTCTTTGAGGATAGAAATTTTATCTTGCTTACCAAAAAGATAAGTACTCAGATAAAGCTTGTGGTTCAATATATAACTATATACATACATAAATAAAATTTTTCTTCATGACATTTTGAAATTTTGAGTTCAGTTTGCATATTTATATTTCCCTTTGAAAATTTTCCTCAAGTGGGCATTTATTGAAGTGTACATGCACCACTAAATTATTATCCTTACTGTTCAGTAGATCTGAGTTATAAGCCAGGAGGAAAGAGCATGCTCTATGTCACAGCAGAGCTGGCTGTTGCAGCCCAGTTCGTCTCCCTTTGGAATAGCGATAAAGTGTGTATTTTCTCTAACTGCTAGAGTTAACAGAGAAGTCTTGGAAGAGGAAATGGAGCTTCAGAAACAGAGCTTAGTTTTGATTTGTTTACCAATTAAAAGAACTAAGATATCTGAGTCAGTTCTATTTGAGATCATAATTGGCCTTTTTAAAAAACTTAAATAAGGATGGGTAAGGAAAGATATTAAAACAATCGTTAAGAAAAATCTTCAAAATATTTGTTAAACATTTAATTATAAAATTTAATTATAAAAATTTGAAACCCTTACTAGAGTTGAGAAAGTAAAATAGTGAATCTTCATGGACAAGCGCCCAGCTCTAATGATCATCAACTCATAGCCAAATTTGTTTCATCTATAGTCTTACCCACATCTCCTCTTTCTGTTAACCACTTAGATTGTTTCGAAGCAAACTCTATCTGTAAATATTTCAGTACAAAACTTTAAAATAACTCTTTTTTGGCCGGGCACGGTGGCTCATGCCTGTAATCCCAGCATTTTGGGAGGCCGAGGTGGGCGGATCACGAAGTCAGGAGTCCAATACCAGCCTGGCCAACATGGTAAAACCCCGTCTCTACTAAAAATACAAAAATTAGCCAGGCATGGTGGGGGGCGCCTGTAATCTCAGCTACTCAGGAGGCTGAGGCAGGAGAATTGCTTCAACCCGGGAGGTGGAGATTGCAGTGAGCCGAGATCGCACCACTGTACTCCAGCCTGGGCAACAGAGCAAGACTCCGTTTTGGGAAAAAATAAAATAAAATAAAATAAAATAAAATAACTCTTTTTAAAAATGTAACTACAACATTATTATTACACCTACCCAAATTAATGATAATTGCTTGCTATCATCAAATATCCTGTTGGTGTTGAAATTTCTCCTTTTACCCATCATTTCTAAATGACTTAAATGTTTGAATCAGTATCAAATCAAGTTCATGTATTGCAATTGGTTGGTGTGTCTCAAATCCCATTTATTTCATAGGGGTATCTCCCTTTGTCTGTTCCCCTTGCAATTCATTTGCTGAAAATACCTTGGTTTGTGGTTTGTTTGTCTTGTAAAGTTTCTAGACTGTGCTGGTTCCATGCCAGTGGAATAGTTTAACATATTCCTCTATCCTATGTATCTCCTATAATTTGGTAGCTGGCTGCAGAGGCTGATTGGATCAGGTTCAATTTTTGGCAGGAAGATTTTATGAACAGTGGTGTGTACTTCCATCAGGAGGCACATAATATATGATTGTCTCTCTTTTTGTGATGCTAGTAGCTCACGGTAATCATTCCCTAGATCCATTATTTCATTCAAGATTCCAAAGTGGTAACATTCTAAGTATATTATTCCTTCTATAACCATTCGTTAAAATTCTGTAAAAAGAAGGTTCCCCTCTTCAAACATTTGGTTATCCTGTGGTACAGTTCATTTTGGAAAACCAGAATGCTTGATTCTGTCCCTTTATTTAACAGTATCAAAATGATGAATTGATTCCCTGGCATCCTCTAAAGTTGACGAATGAGTATTTTTTTTCTAATGAGCTTTTGCCCCCCAACGTCATTATGAACTTAAGAACTTAAGTGTATTCGATATGCTTCAATTTGAGCATCACATATATTTCATAATCCACTGATTTCATCTTTGGGTGGGTGGATGCCTCCCCAAGTTGGCTCCTGAGTTTTTTTGACATGACTTCAATTGGCTTTAATAGCTTCCCAGCTTTCACATATGATATGCAAGGCTCGTCTTGCCCTTGACCTGAAATCGGCCATTTCTCCAACAAGCCCTATTTTGTTCTAGTGGGAAATGGTTGCTTAGAGACCACTATCTGGCTGGTAGAGGAGTTTATTGGTATTGGATTGGTCACTTTCTAGGCTTTTTAAGTAGATAGAGCTAGTATATAAAATACATTTGTTTAAAAAATGTAAACAAATATGATGGTAAATGCCCTTCACCTATTTTTACTTAAAATATTTAATTTATAGGACACAAATACTGTTGGAGTGACATTATTAAAGACTTCTGAACTTCAAACTATAATAGTAGGAGATCACACTTGAGAAGAGTTCCACCTGGGAAATTGTTCTTCTGATATGAAGTCCCTTCTTTAAACAAAATGCTCCATTAAAATTTTACAAATGAATCTGTGAAGTGTAGGACTGTCCACAATATGAAATTATTTCAAAATCATCTTTAATATTAAAACAAGTATAAAATTATATTTTCTTTAAAAAAAGTAAAATATAGAAAATGCATATAGCATAAAATGATTTTGGCTAAGTATAATGCCACAGAAAATAAATATACTTAAAACACTCTTGAATACTTAATTCAATATCCTTTGTAAGAAATATAAAATTCAGGGAGTATGTTAAGGTTTTTGTTCTAAAAGTTTTAACACGTGAAAAAATATATGTATATAAAATTCTAGTATGAATTTTCCTCTTAAAAAATTTGAATACTCATTTTGAAAAACAGTATTTCCAGAAAGGAAAAAGCTTTCTTTGCTATATTATACACCGTATCCTTAGCCTAACTAGTTTTGCTTCTAGAATAATAGGTGAATTAATTTATAATCTTATCAAATGTCCTGGTTATATCAGATTTCTATCAAGGAAAATATTTTTAGATGTTCTTGTTCATGTCTTTAAGATTCCGTTACATCATGTACATTAGGATTTCTGGGTCCATAATTTTTCAGCATTTTCATTTGCACTAAATGGATGAGAGCAGAGAAGAGCAGAAATAGCTTTACCCCAGAGTCAATTTCCCATACATTCTAATTCAGGAATGTGGAGGAGAGGCAAATTATGACGTCCCTATTTTTGTCACAGTCTCTTGCTCCCCACCATTACCTTCTCGCCTCTGAAAGCTTTTTATCATATCATTAAAAAGACTGCCAGCAATGTGTGCCTATATTCTGGCATTAAACTTATAACTACTGAGAACATGCACATACTTCCCCTCCAGCTAGATGATGAATAAATCCTTAAATGACATAAAAGGAGCCCAGTCACCAAGTTCAGTGCCAACCATTTCCATTTCTAAGTGCCTCTGATGCTACCTGCCTCCTGAGAATGCTGCTCAGCACTGCAATGGAACTAACCTTACACAAAGAGCAGCTGCCAGATGCCTGGACTGCAAGCCGCCTGCAAACCCAACCTGACATGGACAGCGAATGCCACACTGATAATGACACCTTGCTCCGGTGTGGTACCCAGGTTTTGTCACTCCACATTAAGTAGCATGGGGACAGACAGAGAAAGGGCCCAAACATATACATAATACGGAAAATGAATCTTGTGAGTAAAGATGAAAGTCATGTGGGTAATACAGTCTGGTAGGAAAAGGCAGGTTTTTGTTGATGCTACATATGGGCTGGGGCCTGAAGGTGGGAGGAACAGGAGGGAAGATATCCTATGAAAAATAGATTGAAAGTCTAGTCCTTTGAGTTCTGCACTTTAATTTCTTCTCAGAAGACTTTCCTTCATTCCACTTAACCCATTAGTTTAACACAGATTCACTTCAATGCACAATTAAATTTCGCTATAGTGTGAAGGAGTTTAGAGATAAATGACATATAGTTGAGGGAGAAAACATTACAACTATAAGCTTAGGTTAATCAATTCTCTTGGCATGTCTAAAACAATAAATTCTTTCAAGTGGCCCCTGTTGACACTTCTCTTTCAGATGACAAGAACTCCATAAATGGGAAGTTTCATTTCTAATTCAGTGACTTTTTGTTAGTTTCTTTGGCGAAGGGAGAAGGGGAAAAGAGGATAGAGTTATTGACCCCTTTGAGAATCTGATGCTTGCTAAAGATCTGATCTTCTCCCCACAGAGGCAGAGACACAGAGACACATGCATTTTTACACACAATTTCAGAGGCGCATGGACCTCTCCTGTTTTACTTCATTTCTGCTTTCCAGTCCAAGGACAATTTCTTGCCTTTGAGCCCCTTTCTGCTCTGAAAGAATAAAGTCCAGATTGAACCCAGCAACAGAATGATTTATTTTGGCTTCCAAAAAAAAAAAATCATAATCTTTTCAGACCTGTCCTCACCCACCCCAACAGTGGCTGTGGCCTCTGAGTCTACCCAGGACTTTCTCTCTAACCTGACCTTCTGTATTAGGCTGTCCTAGCACTGCCAAAAAGAAATACCTGAGGCTGGATAATTTATAAGAAATGAGGTTTCCTTGGCTCACAGTTCTGCAGGCTAAACAGGAAACACATCACTGGCATCTGCTTCTGGGGGCTTAGGAAGCTTAAAATCATGGCAGAAGGTGAAGTGGGAGCAGGCACATCACATGGCAAAGGCAGGAGCAAGAGAGAGAGTGGGGCAGTGGGGAGCCGCACACTTTTAAATGACCAAGTCTTACAAGAACTCACTATCTGGAGGCCAGCACCAAGGAAATGGTGCTAAACCATTCATAAGAAATCCACTCCCTTGATCCAAACACCTCCCACCAGGTCCCACCTGCAACACTGGGAATTGCATTTCAGCATGAGACTTGAGTGGGGACAAATATCCAAACTATTAATATATCACCTTCTAAAACGCTTTCCTGTGCTTGCTTCCTCACTTGCCATCTCTGGAATACCAGGCTCTTCTCTTAACTGCCTCAATGCTACAAGAAGTGTCCCTGGCACTTAGAAGTTCAGTTCAACCCTCCTTCCCCTTTACAATTGCTCCTGTGGGGAGCCACAGTAATGACAGGATAATGACAATTCCACAGTCTTTCCTAGCAAGCTTTAAACCACTCAAGGCCGCTCCATTTACATTTTAACAGGAGAATCATTAGTCCCTTGATGGAGAGAGTTTAGCTCTTCAATTCACTGCAGCTTTTTTTAAGCAGTGGGGAACATTTTATCACAAACTCAGATAAAGAAGATAAAGTGTGACTTAATAGCTCCCTTCATGCATATATTTCATTAGAGACTACTCTGTTTTCATAGCTACCAAGAATCACATTATTTTCATAACTTGAAAATAAGTTCAATCAGCATATTTCTTATCCAACCATTTACTTTTTCCCACAAAAGTGACAGGATGTGAGAGTTAAGATTCTGCATATTAAAGTCCAAAGCACTCTTGGTTTTTTCTTATTTTTATTGATAAATAATATAGAAAGCTGATTAAAATTACATTGCATAAATATACCTTTATACATGACATGCATAGAATACTTAATTACACATTTAACTATAAATATAAAAATCTTATTTTTCCAGAGGAGAAGTAACTTTGAACAATTCTAATTATTGATGATCTCATTTTAGGCTATATGTACCTTATTACCAAGCACATTTTGTGGTTATTTCCCTTTTTTGTGCTACTTTTTTTCTTTGTATGTCCCTTAAAGAATTATTAAGGATAATGATTACTGAAATGTGTGTCATGTTAAAAAAAAATTATTCTCACACTTTTGTTAAGAACAGTAAGGCAGACTTTACTCAGGATTCCTTCAATGGGGTTTTGCAGTAGAGGAGAGAAATTGGGCTTGTTCCAAATACAGCCAGGAAAAGTGGGAATTTACAGCCAATGAGCAGAGTTGGGGGGTTCCACGGATGGAACCTCACTAAAAGGGTAGTTATATTAATCTGTTTTCACACTGCTGTGAAGAACTGCCTGGGACTGGGTAATTTACAAAGCAAAAAGGTTTAATTGGCTCACAGTTCCACATGGAAGCCTCAGAAAACATAATCATGGTGGGGGGGAAAGCAGGCACATCTTATATGGTGGCAAGAGAGAGAGGACATGAAGGAGGAACTGCCAAACGCTTATAAAACCACTGGATCTTGTGAGAACTCACTATCAGGAGAACAGCATGGGGGTACCATCCCCATGATCAAATCACCTCCCTCCAAGCCCCTCCCTCGACACATGGGAATTATGGGGATTACAATCTGAGATGAGATTTGGGTGGGGACACAGGGCCAAACCATATCAGTAGGGTAATTCTTCACTAAACTGACATAACAAGATTCTTCTGAAGGCAGGCCAGGGTGATTAGATGTCACCTGGGACATGGTGGGGGATGGGTACAGGTAATTTGATTAGATATGGAGGGTGGAAGACTCTGTGTAAATCGACTTGACAGGATTCTTGCCCAAACTGGACTCTACCGCAAGGATGGAGACAGAAGCCCAAGGTGGGTCTAGTCAAGCAGAGGGCTCAGAGGAGCCTTATTAAAATTTTGTCAAGGAGAAAATCTTTGTTAGTCAATACAAGATATGCCTTTTAATGTAGAACTATTCAAGAATTCCCTATGCTTTCTTCATTTGAATAAACAAATTTAAAAAGAGATTTTTGACAAGATATTTCCTCAGTAATTTCCTCCAAATTTCTGGGAAACTAAACAGTTAGCTGCACTATTTCTCTTACCATGATAAAGCATAGAAATGAAAGGAAATGAAGAGTGGAGACAGAGATAGTATTGCCAACTGGCTGACAGATCTTTGAGAATATGATTCTGATGGGGCTGAGGATATGCTATCCCCAAATATGGCACCTTGGTGTTTGAGAAAACTGCAGAAGCAGGAACGTCTCTCTCTGACCTTCTCCCACCCTTCTCCCCTGAAGCAGGCTATTAGTTCTAGAAATGGAGTTTCTGACCTTCACCTGAATAGGCCATAAGACCTTCATGTGAGCTCTGAAGACCCAGAGAACAAACAAGCTTTGCTAAGCTCCTCCTGGTTTACCATCATTAGACCATACTTCTTTTACCCAGTCATACTTTTCCACAACTATCCATTTCTTCATCAAACTCAGGAATGAAAATACACAGGTTTCTCTGACTCTTTCGATCTTCATTTCTGAAGGCTACTGTGTCATGCAAGACTTATATTAAATAAGTTTGTATGCTTTTCTCCTATTAATCTATATCTGTCTTTTGTTATAGAAGCCTCAGCTATGAACCTAGCAATGGATAAGAAATCTTTTCTCCTCTATGGTTCTCATTGACAAGGATGATAAAGGCATTAATATTAAGTTTATTAGTGACACTTTGAATATCCCCAAACATAACAGCAAAGTTCTGAGGAGGAAAGGAGATGATCCAGGGGTCAAGTGCAGCACATCAAATCAAAGCTCTTTTCAGCAGACAAGTGGGGAGATAGGATGCATCATAGCAACCACACTTCCCTATGGTGCTTTGAATACAGTTCTCATCAAGGGCTTATTTAATTCTCTAAGTCTCTACCTGCTTCCCTCTGGGACTGCCCAGTCAAAAGCATGGGTCTGAATACATTTTACTTGTTTTTGTGTCCCAGTGCCAGCTCCTTAATGGACGATCAGTATATACTTCCTAAATGTATATATAACATCAGTTCCCTGTGAACATTTTCTTAAGACTTTTAGTTGTTAGGTTATTTTAATTAACTCTCGTATCATGGTTGCTCAATACCTACTGGGTGCCAACCTGATGGTACATGGTACATATTACTGATCCCTCTTCCTGGATTTCTCCTGAGGTGCTGTGCCTGATTAACATCTACTCACCCTTCAGTCTCAACTAAGACCCCACTTCCTTCCAAGCTCTCCCTAATCATGCTGAACCAGGTTCTTCCCTTCCAAGGTATACCTGTAGCACCCTGTGCTTCCACTTTCCTTACCATGTGAAGAGACCAACAGCCCATCAAACTGGTATGGAGATACTTCAAAGTAAAGACATCTGAGCTGCAGAAGATTCAGAAAGAAATCTTTGAATTTCCTTCATCTGACAGTGTTTTATGAGAGTCAGCTGCCCCTGAAGCCCCTTTGGGGAGGTGTCCATTCAAGAAGGTAGTGGCCTTGCACAACAGGACAATCCAAAAAAATGGTGTGAATGAGCCCCATCAGAACCTTTCAACCTTTGAAACTCTAACTTCTGCCCTTCTTATTAGAGACTAATAGACTGTCTTACTAGACTAATAGTCTAAGAGACTCTAACTGTTCTGGGAGCTACTCTCTATATAAGGTACTCCTGCATGCCTAATATATTTTTCTCCTATTAATCTGTTTATTGTCACTTAATTCACAGGCCCCCAACCAGTAGGACCTGAGTTGGGAGAGGAGAAGTTTTTCCTCCCAGCACATGACACTGTTCATTACAAATTAATTTTAACATGAATATAAGCTCAGAGAGCAGAGATTGAGTTTGTCTTACACTCATTGAATCATCTAGAAGTTTCCCTAAGTCCTTGCTTATCCTTGACTATTTTTTTACTTCATTCACACATGAACAACAAATTAATGTACTACAGTATTTTTGAATATGGAATCCGTGTACTATAGTATTTTTTTTTCCAAAGCTAACTGAGTATTTCTCAATTGAACTAGTTATTTGATCCTTGATAAATATACTCCTTATTCAAGTCCTCACCCAGCCCTCCAAATCCATTCAATGTTTCTCTACCTTGCTGTGACCACTAAAAGGCTCACAGCTGTTTTCTGCCTCTGTTGGCCCCCTTGCCTGCTGGCTCCGGGCTGGGTTCAGGCAATGGAAAGTACCAGCAGGTGATCAGAGGGCAGGAGGGGAGAGAGAGGTCAGAACTTACCTTTTCCCCATTTCCCCTAGCCCAGTGCAGAATCTCTTAACAGCAGCTGTGTCCCTTTGTGATTTTAGAACACATACAGGGCCCCTGCTCTGCTAACTTTACTTCCTCTTCTTGTTTCTTTAGCCCAAGAGACATCAACAGGTTGTTGCTAGTCTCTGGGTGCCTCACCTTCCTGTTTGCTCTTTTAATCCTTTCGGTAAGTAGTGCCTTTATTAAAGTCTCTTCATGAAACCATCAGAGGTGGTTGCTGTTTCCTGCAGGAATCCTAACAGACACAGTAGATAACTTGGTGGGTTGTTGTTGGTTTTATTTTGTGTGCGTTGCGGGCCGGGGGCGGGGGCAGGAGTAGGGGGACAGGGTGGTGAAAATGTCTAGGATTTTTACATTCTGTTAATGATTGAGCATTGTCATTGTTTTGTTATGACAAAACAACGTGAATGGGAATGTTATTCACACCTTCAATGTCCAGATGTTTACACTGAGTTTCTCTGGATCTTTTCTTATCTTAACACTTTGATCTTTGTTTCTGGCCCAACAATTCAGTTGTCTCTTTTGGGAATTCTATATTCCTTGATTGAATCTCCGTGATCTTTTCCCCATATTTTTAAATCTCACTCATCACCTCAATCTTTTACCCATTTCTTCTGTGTTCTGGGAGAGTTTTGCAAATTCTTTTGTACTTCACTAACTGATTTTCTTCTATTGGCTGCTTCCATCTCTGTTTTAAATTTGGCAGTCATGATTTTCAAATTCAGGCAATCCTTAATTATTTTAGATGTTTATTCAAGTTACATAAATGCAATTCTCTCTTGAATCTTAACAAGAAGACAAATCAGTTGTTTTTTCAAAACAGTCTACTGAAAATGGCTGTTCTCTGAGTTGGATCATCACCCTCATCCCCCACATTTTTTTGGTTTAAAAATACATTTGTAGGCAACATGATTTTTCTGTTTACCTATTGTCCAAAGAATGCTATATGCTTGCCAGTTTTGCTTATAGTTGAGTAAAACTTGAGATGGTCCCATCAAAAATATTGATATATTTGTACAAATCCTTTCAGAGGGGTATTAGGGGAAAAGCCTTCAGAAGATAGTCAGTTCTTGGGTCCAGCATGGAGGCAATCAGAAATGACCTGGAGCTTGAGTTGCTGCCAGAAACCATGTTTTATTCCTTTTTGTATTTCTAGCACAATATCTGATAATGAAGATTTGATGGATAAACAAATGACTGAGTTCAAAGTTAAAGAGTTTTAAAAGTAGTCAGTGGAATAAATTTTCCATATTAAGAAAAAAAATTAAACTTTTAAATATTCATCATTTTAGCACACTGTCAACAAAATTGTGGGTTTAAAGAAAAGATTAATTTAATGTTTTTAAGGTCCAAAGTGTCATTTTTATTAAAATGCCATTGTTTTCTAAGTTCTGAACCAGTATTCTTCTTCTCTGTACTTAGACAGAACAAATATGCAGATGAGTCATCCAACTTGCAAAGAGGCCATGGGAGGCACGATGAGGTCAAGAAAAGAGCAAACTGACTTAGTGAGAGAGACCAAAGTTCCACTGCCATCTTCCAGCTGTATGACTTGCATATGCCATTTAAATGAAGTCTGGGTTTTTTTTAATCTGAAAAATTTGCCTTATCTACCTCAAAAAAAGGGGATGAAAATGCATCTTAAGCATGAAGTGTTATGCAAATCTTGGTTGTGGTTATTACTATAATTTCATGTATTGATTTTAAACAAAATGTACTTTGAGTTGGAAGGTAAAAAATATGAAAGACTCTAAGAATGGGTAGGCGGGGAACCAAATGATCTGTGGCCACACTGAAGGTAGAAAAAAAGGAAGTGAATTTGAACTAAAGAAGCAGAAGTTGAGAAAGTACCAAAGTCTTTGACTTTCAGAGTGACCGAACACCAGCATAGTTCACCAGAGAAGATCAGGAATGCTGTCTCTTCTGAAAGGGTACCAAAAAGAGAGTAAACAGATCATTCTATATTGATCAAGGAGTGGCAAACTGACATCTGCAGAACAAATCTGATCCCCAGATGAGCTCTATTTGTTCAACAAAGATGTTGTCGTTGTTACTTTTTTTATTGAATTTGAGTGCTTTGGCGCACCTAGTCTTTCTGCCACTGTAGGTCCCACGACTTTCTGTTGCCTTATACTCAGCCCTTTAATTATTCAAGATACCTGCAGAGCCCTAGAGGCCTTTGAGGTTATCACTTCTACTGAAGGCCAGTGCCCAAGGTTGCTGCCCTGCTATCTCTCCTCCTAAGTTTTCCTAAATGTGTTCTAATGGTCACTATGCCTGCAGCCTGTCTTCTCTCCACTCCATCTAGCATATGATAAGATAAGTCCTTAAGTCTAAACTTCTCAGCCCAATATATGATACCCTTTAAGAAAAGTTTTCAAACTTCCACTTTCAGTCTCATCTCCTGACTTATTTCCACACTTTTCTCCTTTAAGTCCTCCAAACTTTCCATTTGCTAGAGACATCATCCTTATTTCTACTCTCAGCCTTACATTTGGTGTTTTCTATGACTTGAATGCTTTTTATTATTCAGAGCCAAGGTCAAATCTCATTCCTATGAGGCCTTTCCTAATTTTCTTTCACTACCCAAACACTCACTTTAGGAAGAATTAGTTACTCTTTTTTCTGTGTTTCCACATGAATCTATCCAATTCAAGGACTTCTTTGCATGTAAATCTCTATATCCATATTTCCCTACCACACTGTAAAATCTTCAAGGCCAAGGACTGCATCATATTTATTTTTGCATCTATCTCAGGTCCTAATACAATGGTTATACTATGATTGTAACTGAGTAAGAGTTATGGTGGATACACAATTTTCAGCAGATGTCCACAAAGGTAGATAAATGAAGAAACATAGGAAGAGTGCCTGTTATTTTCTGTTTCTTTTAGGATCAGTTAGTACTTTTATATAGGCCTTTGATTGGGCAGTGATATTTTGTGGGGTACATTGCCTACCACAGGAATGGAGAACCAGTCTTTTTTTTTTTTTTTTTTTTTTTTTTTGAGATGAAGTCTCGCTCTGTAGCTCAGTCTGGAGTGCAGTGGCATGATCTTGGCTCACCGCAATGTTCGCCTCCCAGGTTCAAGTGATTCTCCTGCCTCAGCCTCCAGAGTAGCTGGGATTACAGGCGCATGCCATTGCACTTGGCTAATTTTTCATATTTTTAGTAGAGACAGAGTTTCACCATGTTGGCCAGGCTGGTCTTAAACTCCCGACCTCAGGTAATCCACCCCCCTCGGCCTCCCAAAGTGCTATGATTACAGGCGTGAACCACCGTGCCCAGCCAGACAACCAGTCTTTCAAACATGTGCCTTTGATGACACAGAGCAGGCTGGGAACAATGCTAAGTCATTGCCCCCTTCTTTTGAAGTAGATAAGGCGGATTTTTCAGATTGCTACTTGCAATCTTCTTCCACACCTAAAACTGCAGAAACTACCAGTTACAGCACAGACTGAAGGAAAATTGCCTGGCACACTCCAGGGCACACCAACTTTCAGCACATATATGCTCAAAGTTTGATGACCTATACCCCCAGAACACTGCAATTCTATCTTAACAATGTCAATAAGCAGGACACTTGATTTTTCACATTGCTTTAAAAGAGAAACAAGAGTGATAGATTTGATTTGCAGACGAAACACTGAAAAGGAAAACAAACAAAACACAGTTTTATCTTTTTTTTTTTTTTTCCATTTTCTGGAGAACGGGGCCTCGCTATATTGCCCAGGCAGGTCTCGAACTCCTGGGCTCAAGCTATCCTCCTGCCTCTTGCCTCCCTGAGAGCTGGGATTACAGGCGTGAGCCACCGCGCCTGGCCACAAAACACAGTTTCAAGAATGAAATGCCCTAAGAGGGATTTCATGATTTCTAGATGATACTCATTATACATAAGTCTGTGCGATATTCCTATGTTACAGCGATCCAGCACAATACTGGTTCTTCATGACACTGGAGTAAATTAGGAGATTAGGGTTCAACAAGGTTGTATAAAAAGGTTTGATTTTTGACGTTTGGAAGCACGGTTGCATGGGGAATTAAGAGGAATATTTGTCACAGCTCTGTAACTTAAAAAAAAAAGGAAAGGATTCTTTACACAATGTCTGAATTTATTAATTCAATCAATATCATTGAGAACAGATCAGGTACTGTTCTACATGCTGGGACTAGAATGATGAACAGAACATGCAGAACCCTACACTCATACAACTTGCATTCTGGATGAGGCTGACATTTTAGTGATGGATTCAGATTTCTTCTTTTTAAAATTTCAGAGTCTTGTAATTCCATAGGAAGTCAATATTTTGGAGAAAGGATTTTCATGTTATGTAAAACAAAGGTCAAAAAACAGTAATAAATCATTTTAGGAGAATAAGAGGGAGACTAAGAAATATCCTGAAATGCAACTAAATAATCTCTTACACTTGCACTCTCTCCTTCCATACCTACAACTGCAAAAAGCACTAGTTAGCATAGGCAGGGAGCGAGTATCTTCTTGTTTTCACTCCTCTCAGGCGTGCTTCATGGTCACTAGGTTGGTCAACTTGCTTTCTCCTAGGAACTGAGAGGAACTCTTCTGCCAACAAGTTGCCTGTTCCTTTGGAGTGCACAAGGCAGAGTGGACCCGTCTTGGTCATGTTCTCTGAGACTGTGGTGTAAGCTTGGAGTAACTCTTAACCTATGGGTTCTGGGGCATGGAGAAGGAGGTGAACACCTCAGGAGCCAGCCAAGCGGAATCAGAGAACCAGAGGCCACATGAGCCAGCAGAGCACATCTGAACCAGGAAATGTGACTGCTCTCTGGAGCAGTGGGTTTCAACCTTGTCAGACGCAGCTTTTTTTTTTTTTTTTTTTTTTGAGATGGAGTTTTGCTCTTGTTGCTGCAGTGCAATGGCATGATCTGAGCTCACTGCAACCTCCAGCCCGCCAGGTTCAAGGGATTCTCCTGTCTCAGCCTCCCGAGTAGCTGGGATTATAGGCTCATGCCAGCACATCTGGCTAATTTTTATATTTTTAGAAGAGAAGGGGTTTCGCCCACTTTGGCCAGACTGGTCTCAAATCCCTGACCTCAGGTGATCCACCCGCCTCAGCCTCCCAAAGTGCTGGGATTACAGGCATGAGCCACTGTGCCCGGCCCGACACAGCTCCTTTTATAACAAATATTTTGTAGTGTACCTTAAGTGAAATAAATACTATAATTTACTCCACACGTTTTTTTAAAAGTCAGTATAATGCTCTAAATATATAAGCTTAGGCATAGAGATTATACATAGAATCCCTGCAAATGCCCTAGTAGTGAATATAGACTGATAAAGATATGTTGGTCTATGGCTTAAATGCCACAGTGAGGCAATTTTCCATAATGTTTTAACTCTCAATTTACATGGTGGTTATATTCCTAAAAACGTCAATGTATATTAAAACCATGAACAACAACAACAGCAAAAACCAACTTTGAATTTATATGTAAAATGTAGTTAGGCTCTGGGCCCAGAATAATAAGCAGGTTCTTCACCAATATGAATGCCCACCAAAATATTTGTAAATTGTGTGGGACACAAGACAATGTTTAATTGTGTGGAACCGCCCTGTGCACTGCATCAAGCCTAATCTCCCAATCCCTTATTTTAACCTCCCAGTCATGGCGACAACAAAATACCTCTCCTCCTACAAATTTCCAAAGCCCTTGGGGTGTGGAGTGCTACTGTCCCCTGGTCTACCATACTTGAGCTAGCCCAATGCTGTCCTAGAGATGTGGCCGGATGGGGTTTTCACTTGCATCCAGCCATGTGCTTAAATGAGTTGATCAAATCCATTTAAAGGGCTTGGTATGCAATTGGCATTTTCTTTCAACATTTGAAATGCACAAAACTTTGATTGGAAAATTCTACTTCTAGGGATTTGTACTTTAACTCATCCAACCAACTGTATATACAAACAATGGCTAAAAGGCTATACATCACACTTAACAGCAAATTTCTCTGGGTAAGGAATTGAGAGACGTGAGTATGGGGTGGAGACTTTCACTTAAACTTTCTATTACCTAGTCTGTCTTTATAATGAGTATGTTTCAGTATTTATTAAAACAGTATTTTTAAATGCTATTTTTACTCAAAAATAATAAAGGGCTAAAAATTAGATGATGAACTTGAGTATGAACCCATGACTTGACTCAGTGACCCACTCATTTGAGTACATTAGTCCCAACATATTACGACCATATCACCTAACGATGTCATCTTGACATCGTAGTATCTTTAAATCATTTTTTTAAATAAAATAAAAATAAATATCCACTCTGTTGCAATGTGCTCTAACTTTCAGAGATATTCTAGACCAGTCTTCTTCTCTGAGGTCTTTTAGAACAGAAATAAATTAGTCACGTGTCTGCCCTGGCAGAATATGTGAGGAATTCTCTAAAGTCAGACTCTTGGGGCTGCCGTGGGAAAGCTGAGCACCATTACCACTTCACAGCAGGCAAAGTGTCAGGGTACAAATGTCACATACCATCTCGAGTTTCTAATTTTTAGTATTTAAGGGACTCTAAGAGATATAAATATTTCTGAAAAATCTTTCTTATTTTCTCTTTTCCTGTAGTTTCTTTATTCCTTCAGTTCATTTTTCCTTTCCTTATCTCCACCCTGCCCCCGACAGTTTCCTTATTAAAACAAAGACAGCTATTAAAGGAAGAAAGAACTGCAGAAGGGGGAAAGAAAGGCTTCCTCTAGAAGGTGACAAAGGAGGGAAGATGTCAGAGGACTGAACGTGGCCTTGACATTAGGATGTTCCTCAAAACAGATCATGATATAAAGCTCAGAACTAAAGATTTTTTTAAAAACATTAACCAATGGTTCATCGTCCCCCTATATGCTCTTTGATAACTTTAACACTAGAGTTGTGCTGAGTTAATACATGAGATCATATCTGAGAAATTATTAATAGCTCCTAAATTAACTTCTCGCATGGGATTTCTGCACTTACAGTTGTTCTTCTGATGCCTGAGAACCACATACAATACAGAGATAAAGTTATAATTATTTTACTCAATGCCTACTATAGGGAGAATATGCAGCCTGAACGTTCAGCAACCCCAGTTTTGAGAAAAAGGATATTTTTAGAGGGTAATAAATTGCATGTTTTATAGATTTTTATGTATAAGGAAGCTATGTTCTCTTAAGTTGAAAAAGTAACCCCCAGTGGGCAACAGTTTGCAGGATGTAGTAGCAATAATCACAGGTAGATCAATGTCTTCATCCACTTGGGCTACTATAGCAAAAACCTGTATAATTACTTGGTAATTTGGAAATAATAGAAATTTATTTCTCACGGTTCTGGAGGCTGGGAGGTTCAAGACCAAGCTGTGATGGAAGAGATGAATGTTGTGTCTTCTCATGGTGAAAGAGGCAAGGTAGCTCCCTTCAACCTGTTTTATAAGGGCACTAATCCCATTCATGAGAGGAGCCCTCATGACCTAATCCCCTCCCAAATCTTCCCACCTCTTAGTACTATCATGTTGGGGGTTAAGTTTCAACATATGAACTTTGGAAGGACGCCAACACTTAGACCACAGCAATCAGTTAATTCGCAGCTTAAAAATCATCGTGCCATGAACTAAAATTGCTTTCAATACTTATAATCATGCTTTACATTCATCTAGTATTCTGGCTTAAGAGTCTTTAACTTGGTTATTAACACATTACATCCTCTTTTATGGGCCTTCAATACAAAAATCAGTGCTGTCGAAGCTCTAAGATTCACAATTTATTTATTGTTCTTTCTTGAAATAAGAAGAATAATTAAAATATTCTATGTAATTTGATACAACTAAGAAATTAGTGGACCATTAAATCAAATAAATTATTGATAATAATTGTTTGAATTTTTCTTGAAGCTCTACCAATATATTTCTACCTTATTAGATACTCACAAACACTGTATAAAGGAAATTAGAGATATTAGTGTTATTCCCATCACACAGAATAGAAAAATGAGGCCTAGAAATGGTGCATGATAGCCTGGGCCATCAGCACCAGAGCTGGGGGTAAAATCTATATCCCCAAATGTTCTCAAATCTCCACTACAGCCTGTCTAAATTAATGGTTCTTTAAACAAAAAAAATTCAAAAACAATCTGATCCTTTCAATTCTTCAATAAGGCCTAAACTGTACCGGTTTCTTTAACAATGTTTTAGATACAACAAGCCAGACAAGACATCCAAAGATAAACCGCACACCCCATTGGCTTTTGCCAATTCTCATTTTTACTGGCAGCTGCATTTCAAGGAAAAGCTGGTGAACTGCAGGGAGTAGATAATGGTGGCTTCTCAAGGTATCAGTACATCTAGACCACTGTGCAAAGCAGATAATCTACAGCATCTGTTTAGAATGGGAGAGACAGCAAAGAAGTCACAGCTGAGCCCCAAGAAACCCTCAAAATGTGAGCACTTTGTTTATGAATCAGCTGCCTGCTCTATGGCTTGAGAATTAAAGAGCCTCAGCCAGGCTGTGGTCCTCTCCATACACTTAACACAGATGCAGCAACAGTGTAGCAGAAGTTGTGGGAGAAATAAAAACAGCAATCACTGATTGAGAGTCTAACTTCCAGGTACCAGCCTGGTTGTTTTATGTATATTGTTTCATTTAATCCTCATAGACCAAGATAGATGGTCATTTCTTTTTCTTTTTCCAAGCTTCTACCTGAAGTTGAAATAAACCATGAAGAACACCAAGAAGAGAGTTTACTCGGAAGGCCAAGTGATTAAGAAGTACATATCTTTTAGTAGTATGTTTCTATTCTTTGCCGTATTTTAGCATTATAATACTGCTGCTTGCCCTATTTTTTAAAAGTGAAATATTTAGACATATAATATTTATAGCCTTTTAATTGGAAAGTTTTGATGACTCGTTTGTAAGAGTTTAATCAAAGGAGAACAAAAGCTTTATTAACCTGCCTCCTCACCCCCCTTCTTTGCACGATGTGCTTGTTTATTATCTGTTGGAACATACTCCTCATATGGTTTGAAATGAAAGGATGATCCATCTCCTCATTACCAATCCTCTGCTTGGTGATGAAAAACAAAACAAAACATATGAACAAAGGAAAATGCCTTCCTGCCATTTCTCAGCCTTCCCTGTGCTGCTCAGCTGGGATGTTAAAGATCTGGATTTAATGAAAGAAGGTGAGAAGGTGAACGACAACAACAAAAAGCCCTAATGAGCGAATATTTAGTTATACAGGAAGATCACTGAGAAGTGGCAGCAATTTTCTTTGTACCTAATACAACGCAGTATCTCCCAAGGTCAAACAAGCCCATGGCCCTTCCTTCCTTACCCATTCATTGCCTACCCTGGCAACCCACTTCTCCACCTAGAGCAGGTCTCACAAAGTTTAATTTCTGACAGTTGAGTGAAAAAGAATCTCTTTTCCAACACCAACTTGTAGTTCTTGAGAAGCACGCAGAAGTGGTGCAGGAGTTTCTTTCAGTTGCTCGCATCGCTGGTGGAGCAACTCACGAGCAGGCATTTCAGACCTTACGCTGTGGATGGCAGAGCCCCAGCCCAGTCTGCAGGCTTACTGACACTTACCCTTTAGACTGGGAGTGAAGAAGCAGATTCCCATCTAGTAATGCAGAGCCACTGAAAAACAAAATGCTTCAAGGGAGAGCCAATAACAGCTGTCGAAACTCTAAAGCAATGCTCCGAATTAGAATGAAATCGTGTAGTCATAATATCATTCCTAAAATGTCCTTAATCAGTGAGCGTTCCAGCCCTGTAGTGTGAGCATCACACTGAAAATACCAAAGAAAACGTGAGGACCAAACTTGGACCGAACCCCCAAAACTCTAAAAGAGAGTGATGTCGCTTTCCAAACCAGGAAATCATGACTCATCATCCCCAACAGACCACCCATTTGGGGAGTGGGAGAGAAGCACGACAAACCATGGCAAGTTAAAAAAAATAAAATAAAACCAAAAACATCTTGAAGTAGAGCTCCTTTTGGATCCACAGCTATCTCACCAAAGCAGACATGTTTCCTTGATGCTCTATGGCCAGTAGAACTCTTAACACTTTGGCAGGCATAAATTGAGATCTTTCTTTGAAGTTGAAATATGCAGCCTTAACTGTGCTCTCATCCTCTACATTTCACTGAGTGAATAACCTAAATTACACAGAACGGCAGTAAATTGGCTCATCATAGCCCTGTTCTAATTTTAAAAGGATAAGGATCTGAAAAACCAGGCAGCCTAGCACTGAAGGGACTACTGAAGCCTGTTCAGGGGCTGCCGGGGCATTTCCTCAGAAGGTCATGGATTCAAATTCAACCTGGGTTTGTGGTGACCAAGAGCCATTCAGCACTTCATGTTAAATTTATGAATGCTCTCAACATAATGTTCCTAATAGGGAGGCTGACAGCTTGCATTTGTCATTCTTGCTGACTGTCTCAGGAGTACAGTGGATGGCCAACCACATGTGGAAACTAAATCATTTCCTCCCACATAAAGGTGATCCTTGCAAAATGTGAACTCCAAGGTACCGAAGAGCATCTTTCCCTCGCACCATCTGCTGTCTGATCTCTGCCCCTCTTCCAGTTGCCCCAATCCAAGGAAAAAGTACAGCAGCTCTCCTGTCTGTCAGTCTAATACCTTGACGAAAATTTAAAGATGCACATGAAGGCCCACAAGAACAGTATTTGCCAAGGAACATAACTCTCTTGTTTTTGACACAGCATTCACTTGTGGTGATAAAATGCCAGGTCATAAGTCAAATTTTGACTCCATTACTGATTATTATCCTTGAGCTCTAAATGGAAAGTCAGTACAATTCAGCTGTCAGGCTCCAGGTTTCCCCCAACCCTGAACAACAGAATAACAAACTAAACAGTTATCTCGGCTGGAGTCACTACTAGATGAGATTCCGAGTGATTGGCTCTGGCCACAGGTCACACTGGCCCATCAACGATCTTAGGTTTCTGCTTGGAATTTCATAGAATTCAGTGAAGAAACCCAACGTCAATCAGAAGATATTTGGGATGACTTAGAGACACAATAATCAGATTGTTCCTCTTTATGAAAAAGCAAAAGCTGGTGTGGCTGAGTTGAGATACAAGATTTCCATGGAATACCTTTCACAGGTTGATGCTGACCACCACGAAGGTATAGATCAACATGTGGGAAAGTGCTCCTTATAGAAGGAGCACCACCAGGGTGTGTCAGTGTTGTTTAGCTGAGTGATGTTGAACAGCTCTGCCACTCCAACAGCTCACGCCCTCCAGCTACAGGGGAGGGTGGTAGCACCCAAGTGAAATCCTGTGGCCTGAAAGCATTCTAGGAGTCCAGCTCCCCCAGGTTTCTTGTGACTGAAGATGTCCTTATCACAGTCAGAGGAAGCGCTGCCTTGATCCTTTCTTTTAATTACTAGCAGTCATTTGAAACTGAGCTGCCAGGTGGAGGAGAGACTTTGAAGTTATTGTCATCTGGCCTCTTGGGAAATCAGAGTCTGCGAGGTCATAAGGAGAGAAAATTTTTGCAAATATTTCCTACTGCCAGGGGTGTGAGGTGAAGGGAAAATCTAACAACCACGACCCCTAAAAGAAAAAAGCAACAGATGTTGAAGCCTCCTCCCTTTGAATCTTGCGCTGGAGCTGTCTCTGCCATGGAGGTGGGCTAAAAATGCCTGTGAGTAGAGCCTTCCCCAAGCAGCAGGGTTAAGGCTCAGCACTAATCCCACATCTACTATCTATCTCCCAGTCATTCTTCCATCTATCGATGGGTCCATCAGAACTTTATTGATAACCTTTTCTAACCACCCACCTAGTAGGACTTAATCATTTCAGCGGTGGACTCTCTCTCTCAATGGAGTCAAATGGTCATTTGCTTGACGGAAATACTTCTAGTCTAAAGCAGTCTAGGGGGATTTTCAAAAACTGCACTAGTGCTCTGCGGGAAGCCTTTGTACGATTTGGCCTGACGTTTCCAAAACGGTTTTACAGCCTTCCCTCCTCCAGGACCTTGAACTCAACAATCTTCCTTCTTTCCCTGAGAGGCTCGCTTTCACAGATTCTCACCACGTAGTTCAAATATAGGGTCCAGATATAGTACGGTTGCTGTTGGGGTCTGATCAGGGGCGGGAAGACCTGGAGGTCGGTAAAACGGAGCGGTGCGGGATGATGTCTGGGAACACCGGCAAGGTGTCATAAAATGAACGCCAAGGCGGCCACAAGAGGACGGCCGGGAACCGAACCCAGCGCCCAGCACGGGGCCCTTGTGGCCGACGTGACGTGGCTCCGTCAGGTGGAAACCGTGCGATCCTCTCCCGATCCAACTCACGAGAGATAAAGATGTCTAAATAACCACGACCGCCGCCGCACACCCTGCAGGGCCCCGGGGGCGGAGGGGAGGGGAGCGCCTCCTCGGCAGAAGCGGCGGCCCAGGCTTGTTTGGAGGTTCGCAATTCACCATGATAAATGTAAAGACCAATTAAGGTTTGATCCGTGCACACAGGAGGCAGACGGCGGCTGATAGTGGAAACAATTAACGAGCATGTCCCCTAATTCCTGCCGCGGCTGCTGAGCACACCGCGGCTCCCCAGGCGCCCGCCGCTGCCGCCCCCGAGTCCCAGAGCCCCCAGTCCGGCCCTGGAGTGGGGCGTCCTCCTCCAGCGAAAAGGTGCGAGGAGCGGGGCCCCGGGTGGCCGGGGAGGGGGCGCGCCGGGCCGGGAGGCGCGGAGCCAGCCGCCTACGGAGCCCAACTGTTTGCATCGGGGACCGGCGGGCGGGGCGCGCCCGAGTGGTCTCGCCGGGAAAGGGCGGCGGGCGCTGGAGAAGGCGCCTGGCGCGAAGCTGGGCGGCGCCCCGAGGGCGGAGGACAGGTGGCCGCGCGACCGCAGCCAGGTAGCGAACGGCTCGGGGGCTGCGCAGCGCGGTCCCAAAGCTCAGCCCGGCCCCGGGCCCAGCTCGCTGCCGCCTGCCACGGGAGCGGCCTTGCGCGGAGGGAGGGGGCGCGAGACCGCACCCCCGGGCCCGGCGCGCCTCGGCCTCTGGGCTCCCGCTCCCCTTCCCCTTCCGGCTCAGCCCGCTGCCCCAGACGTGACCCCCGCGGAAGGTGTTGGCGATGCGCGCTGCCCGGGAGCGTGTGATTAATGGCCCCGAGGTCGTGGGCGGCGCATGCACCAGCCCCTTCTTGGCCTGGTCAGGGTGTGAGGGTATCCGGGAGCACAGCGAGGTCATGGCAGCGGGGGCCTCCGGGAGCGCGGCGGCGGAGGAGGAGGAGGAAGAGGAGAAGTAGGTGACGCGGGCCGAAGAGGCTTGTCCCCTCTGGCCCCAGGGCTGGCGCCGCGGCGGGTCCCCCGCCCCAAGCAAAGTTTGGGGCTACGGGCGCTGCGCTCAGGTCCCTCCCCGCGCAGTTCCCTCGGCGGGGTCTGTGCCGCCGCCGCTGCCAGGGCAGGACAAAGGCTCATTAACACGTGATGGGACCGCGCTTCATAAATGGGACTGGAGCGAGAGGGAGCCAGAGACAGCGCGAGCGGAGGGAGCGGCAGGGACTGCGCGAGCGGGACGAGGCGACGGGCGCCCGGGCTGGCGGAGACGGGCGGCCCCACGCCGGGCCAGGCGGGGCTCGCGGGAGGACCCAGTGAAGAGCCTGGGAAGGGGCGAGGCTCGCCGGCGGTCGGAGCAGCGGGGCGCCAGTCCCGGTCGCTGTCGCGGGCGGGCGCTGGAGACCGGGACGCCGGCGCTCGGACGGACTGACTTGCTGACCGCCCGCCGGAGGCACACCCCACTCCACCCCACCCCGCCTCGCCAGCAGCCCGGCGCCGGCGCCGCCTCCCGCACGCTACTCCCTCTGCCACCCCTTCCTTCTCCACTTCTTTTCCGCCTCCGCCTCTTCTTGTCTCCCGCGGCGCCAGCGCCTTCCCTTGGCCCGGGCGGGGGCCTCGGCTCCCTGCAGAGCTCTCCGTAGTCAGTGGGGGATATTTCGTTCTAGCGGACAACCAGCCCCTGAGCTGGGCGAGAGGTGCCAAGGGAGCTTCTGTCCCGAGGACCAGGGGATGCGAAGGGTAAGACCTGGCAGAGTTGCGTTTGGAAATACTTTTTCCGCCTCCCGCCCCCTCGGGTACGACCAGTGTGGTCCCCAAGTGTCCTTCGTGGAGTTCTTATTCCGTGTGAGCGAATCGTGCGTCGGTGTTTACTTAGCTGTATGGCCCCAGCCTGTTAACTGTGATCTGTTCTACTTCTGGAGATTTCTACCATTTACTATTTATTGAATGTGTGTGCACCTGGCTCTGTATGCACTGATGTCTGTTTGTAGAAAATGGGTAATTGTGCATGTTTGAAAAACGGGCGCTTGAGTTGGTGCTGAATGCCTATAAACCATGTTAGCAGCTAAGTCTTCCCAGGGAAATACATCGATCTCTGCTGCAAGCCTAGAAACTGACTAATGTAAAATAGTAAATGTCATATAAAGAGATGTATGTCAAATAATAAACTTTTGATAAAAAGCTACAGGAACCACTTCTCTTTGAGGAAAAACAAATGTCCATGTAACTAATACCTAAAATTGAATGTTGATGGAACCGTTTAACTCAGAACTAGCTGTTAGATGACTAAAGTTAATGTTGCATTTTTAAAAGACATTTCTTGTTAAGGCTTACAAATCATAAACGGATCACCTCTCAAATAAAAATATGTTTGCTGTAATAGACATGAGAAACTGTCATTTGGTCATTTGGAAGTTTAAAAGCAACATGCATGTTTCTGATTTTAATAGATTGTCTCTCAGATATTTAAAATTGAACAGATAAAAAAACAAAAGAAATGTTTAGTAACGTATTAATCATTTTGCCTCCCATCTTTTTTTATTTTCCTCCAAATAAGTGCTATTCTTGCCTTTGTTGTTGATTTCCTGATATAGTAAGCCTCCTCGGGCATGTAATCCAATAAGAGATTAGAACAGATTTACTGGTTTTAAAGGTGTTGAAAGATATCTCTGTGGGTCCCATAACTTCTCCTCATTTTTATTACCAAGTTAATATCTTTTGAACAATGGGGGAAATGCAATTTCTTAGAGGAAGCTTAGCGGACACTGAGTATTAGTGGGGTCACCACTGACATCAATCTATTTTGCAGAATATTGAGAAGCTCAGAGCAACCAACCTTTAAGGTTCCCATAGGACTTTATGTGATTTAAAGTGTTGCTTTTCTAATCCTACCCTACTGACAGTTTGCAAGGGAAGATACACTAATTGATTTTTCTCTGTCCTTTTTTTCCCTGGTACTCCTCCCCCTCCCCCGCTCTCTAACTCAGTTAAGAGCAATTTTATAAAAATAAAAGGCCATTTATAGTTTCTTAAGTGAGACAAATTACTTTCAGATTATATCCATACATGAGCAGAAGACATGCACCTCCAGAATTTTAAACATTGCATACTACAGGCACTTATTTGTAGGCACAATGGCAGTTACCATAGTGGGGCAAGAGACTTGATGTGGGACATGGTTTTAAAAAACTAATCCATTTTAGCTTATCAGGAGAACTTACTGTAAACCGACTCTTTTTGTTTCAAAGATGTCTCCCACTCCAGGCGAGGAGCGCTCTTGGCTGAGGTATGTATCAAGTGTCTGATGGGGAGAGGTCTCATTGTGTTTCTCAGTGTCCATGGGGGTACAATGATGCCACAAGGTGGAAATACCCAATTCTGGCCTTTCACAAATAAAATTACTGTGCTTGCATACTCGTTGTTAGGAAAGCAAATTAGATATTCATGCCCCTGAATTTTAATAACATTAATATATGTATGTAAAAAGAATGTTATGACTAGAACCTTAAATAAGCCATAAGTGATTATTATTTAGTGTGTAAAGTTTTAAATTCTGATGAACACCAGGTCTCACATTGAAGTAGTGCTTGGCTTTGTTTGTTATCCACTGTTTTCTGTCTTTTTCTGTTACCCATTTCCCAGTGGACCATGTTCCTCTCTGTCTTGCCTGTGAGATTGCTCTTCTCTAATAAGCCTAGCTGCAGGATCAGTGTGTTCTTTTTGGCATTTCAAAATGGTAAAATAGTGAAATTGTTAAATGTTACCAAGATGAAACTGCTGGGAATGAAATTCTCAAAAAGAACCACTGTATTTGTGGCATATTTCAGCCTCTTCCAAAAGAAAACTCTTTGATTCGGTTTACCTATTTTCCCAAGAAGGAAGCAGCCCCATTGATTGTGTTGATAAGTGTTTAGTATGCAGTGTCAGCTTATTAATTACTAAGGCAAAGCCTGAGAAACTGTTTCAAAACAGTCGTATAACACTGTTCTTTGCTTTGACTCAAAATTAACATTAACCACGGGGAAATTTAGACAGGCTTCTTGGTTGTCTTGCATATTAGTGTTTGGAATTAGAAATCAAATACTTTGCTATGTAAGAATAAACTATTATGAGATGGAACTTCTAATAGCAGTTTATAGTTCACCACGCTTACCAAATGTTTCTTACCAGAAAACAGTTGGCCAAATAAGGGATTATTTCCCATAACTAGCTATCCAGGAATGCTGCAAAAACAAGAGTAACAAATTGAATTGGAAAATACCTAATGACACATAACTAGCAAAATGAAAGATTTGGTTATAGCTTCTTGAATTTATAAGAATTCTGGGTGAAAGTTATTGCTTCTTTTATTCCAGGAAATATTTTGGAGAAGTCTGAATTGATCTATGTTATAAAGTTAATCCAGTCTAATCTAAGAATATACAGTGAATTAAATGCTAATTAAAGCAATTAAAGCATGATAACAGGCAGTAACCTAAAGGACAGGCTCCATCTTACTTACCAAATTCCATGTTAGCTCAGTTGCATAAAGAACATAGATGAGAGCTTTCATTCCCTGCTGAAAAGGATGCCATGCCTCCACCAGTGTAAGTCTGTTTCTTCTATTTTTGTATTTATCATTTTCTAATTGAACTGACAAATAGTTAGAGTGAAACCAGGCTTTGGGTTTAAATTATTTATAATTCTGCTGTTGGCTCTAAAACAATGTGGACCCAACATTGTTTGAAACACTGTGCTAGGGCCAGGTTTACATACTGCATATCTGTATTTTGAGAGGCAGCCTGCTTTGCTGATTTTTCTCTTATATACTGAAGACTGGTAGAGAAGTCAAAGAATAAGAGGAAATCAAAATCAGTTTATATACTTTGTGTTGCCAAAATTTTAACTTCATGTTTTCTTCCCTGAATCTCCAGTTCTTTCCTAATCTTATCCTCAGAGAAATGGTAACTTTATATTATGGCTGCATGAATGCTGCTTTTGGGGACTTGGGGGATTCAACTTTTTGCCACTGAATTGCTAGTTAATACTTTGATAAGCATTTAATTCTCTGTATATTCTTAGATTAGATTGGATTGACTTTATAAATTCAGATTTCTCCAAAATGTTTCCTGGATTAAAAGAAACAGTAACTTCACCCAGAATATATGTATAATATCAAAGTATATATTGCGTAATTTTGGACACCTGGACATAGAAACACACTTTTATTTACATGTATAAACATTTTTATAGATGTAAATCATGACTGAAATAAAAATTTAAATATGTTGCCTTTATACATTTGAACATGTAATTCTGATTTTAAATAAATACTACAAATTTGGGGAAATGTCCGCATTCAAAGCAGCTGTGCAGATGGACACTGAAGAGTTAAAGCAGATATCCACCTTGAATGGAAACGAGGCCATTCTTGTTTTCCAGGATAGGTGGAAATCCGTGCCAGTCCCATGCGTTCTAAGAATCTTGCAAGTATGCCAGGGTGAACATCACCACATTTGATTATAATTTTATCATAAACACTGATGGGTTTAAGACAGTTTCTTTTTAGCCAATCCTTTTAGTTGTTTATTATTTTTTGGAAATTAGGGCTGTACAAGTTGGAGGAAAATACAGAAGGTTATTACCATATCTCAGAATGCATATTAAGATAGTTATAGTTTTTATATATAACACATTACAACGTTACCACAAGTGAGTTAAAACTATAGGAAATTTGTTAGGGGGGCAGGTTTGTAAGGTGGGTGATTTTTAGTAGACGCTGTCACCTCTCTTGCTGCTTTTGAAATTGTTTGATGTGAGAGCAAGCAACTTCCATCTCAAACTTGCTCACATGGCATGTTTAATACATATTGCTAATAAGAGGTCAAAGTCATGACATAAAGTAGTGTAGTTATCTTTAGTTCTTATCAAAGTATTTACTAAAAGCTTTCCTGGATTATATTTCTTGATTTAACAAGGCCCCATAATGAAAAAAAGTATATTTTTTATAATAGTTTAGAGGACAGTTAGTTGCATGTATATATTCTTGATCTAGTTTCCATTGATATTTTCCATATATTTGAAGTATTTTCCATATAGATGAATTAATAATGGACAGCCTCTAATTTAAGTTTCACTTGGACAGGTTAAGCTAATAACTTAATCACCATGGAATTCTCGAGGTTCATAGTTTGTATGGGTTTTTGAGGGAAGAATTGTTTACTCCCAAAACCCGAGCAAATGGGCATGGCAGAGTCATTGCAGTTGTTCTGGGAATACTATGAATTGTATTTGAGCCCCAGCTGGAGAAATGTTCACACCTGCACTTTAAGAAAGCTTTCAAAGTTTTGCTTTCTTTGCTTTGTTTTCTTTTGTTTTTGAATATGTAGAGACTGGTTAGATGGAAATCATTATTTTTGAGCAAATTCTTTTTTAACCCATTGTGCTATTGCATAATATTCTATATTTTTGAATGTTTTCAAAAGTACATTTTGCATTTTTTTGAATGCAAGAATTTAGTTTGCCTTTTCTCTCAACACAAAAGGCAAATAAATTTGCCCTAAAATACAATATTTTACTACTTAATGTCTTATTTTTCCACTCTTATTTGGATTCTTAATTAATTAGGAAATTATGTTTTTCAAAATTTATGTTTAAATGAGAGGGTCCCCCTCTTTCCTTCACCATTTCTTTATTCATTCTTTTAGATCATAACTTTAGAGAAGAAAATTGGAATCAATATGAGTCCTGAAAATTGAGTGAAGTTTTAAGGAGTATTACATTCAAGCTAGCGATAAATTCTAATATGCTTTTGAAAAAACAAATTCTAGTCCAGGCGCGGTAGCTCACGCCTGCAATCCCAGCACTTTGGGAGGCCAAGGCAGGTGGATCACTTGAGGTCAGGAGTTCGAGGCCAGCCTGGCCAACGTGGTGAAACCCCTTCTCTACTAAAAACACAAAAATTAGCCGGGCATGGTGGCATGTGCCTGTAATCCCAGCTACTCGGGAGGTTGAAGTGGGAGAATTGCTTGCACCCAGGGGACAGAGGTTGCAGTGAGCCAAGATCACTCCACAGCACTCCAGCCTGGGTGACAGAGTGAGACTCTGCCTCAAAAAAAAAAAAAAAAAGAAAAGAAAAAAAATTTTTTAAGTTTGTTTTAAATAAATTTCTACTTATATGGACGTTTGTACTAGGTAATTCATAACATTGATTTCTTCGGGTCAAAAAGCTAAAAATGATGTTTTTATTTATTTATTTTTAATTAATTTATTTTGAAATAGAGTCTCACTGTTGACCCAGGCTGGAGTGCAATGGCACAATCTCGGCTCACTGCAGCCTCCGCTTCCTGGGTTCAAGCGATTCTCATGCTACCATGCCCGGCTAATTTTTGTATTTTTCGTGCAGACGGGGTTTCACCATGTTGGCCACGCTGGTCTTGAACTCCTGATCTCAAGTGATCCGCCTGCCTCAGCCTCCCAAAGTGCTGGGATTACAGGCGTGTGCTACCGTGCCTGGCCTAAAAATGATGTTTTTAATATAGCAAGTTAACCAATATAATGGTTGATCTTTAAAAAAAAAAAGATCATTTAGGTACTAGACCTTTGTCACTTGTGTTTGCTTTTAACTCAGCTATATTTAAAAATTAATCAAATTTATTTATTCTTTATATGAGGGACTTAATGCCACTATGATCTGAGTATTTTGGTTTATTCCATGGCGTTTGGCTAAATGGATCCAATTTTCAGCTCATTGAAATGCATTGCTACCAGAATTTGCTAAATGTTTTCTTTAGCTTTTGTACAAGTTGTGAGCAGGCAGTATGCATGTGAAAAACGAAAGCTAGACAATTTAACATATAACTGAAACAAGTGCAAGATTGGCCAAAGAATTTTGTGTCTCTGCGTATGTGGGAATTTGACTTTGGAAGATACACAGCTACTTTTGGAAATGAGATCTAATGTCTTATAAACAAAAAAGGAGAAATCTTTGAATTATTTTAGTCCTCAGCTAAAGTAACTAATTGTGAGTAATCTGTGATCCATTTTTATTGACGAAATAATTAAGAGAGAGAACAGTTTGCCCAGAGTCATATATTTAAGTGCCTTGGGATATATTTCTAAATATTTGTAACTTTTAGGTATTTTTGAAATAGGTCCACTATGAAAAGTGTAAATTGCATAATTACCAGAGTAATTCTGTAAAATAATTTGCAGTAGATCCATATTACTTGGGCCTACAGCAAAATTTTCATTTTAGTTCGTTCTTTCCTGGGTTCATCTCTTAAGATGTAGTATTTTATGGTTTGGAGGAAAAGAAGAACAGAAACAAGTATTTCCAGCTTGAAAGAAATAAGCTGACATGTTAATTACTTTTACTTTTTTCTTGTTATGCTCAATAATCATGGGTTCCTTCACAGTAGTGGTGAAGGAAATGTCTTAGCAACCCTATAAAGCTTTGCATAGCCTTTGTAAATAGAATTAGGAGAAAATGGTGTGGAGTTCTTAATATATATCTGTGTATTATATCAGTACACATTACATTTTGAAGCCACTTTCCTTTGCTGGACAAAATCCATAAAAAAGTTTCCTGAAAAAGTCCAGAGAAGCCCTGGATTGTAGACTAAAAAAACTGGAGAGGTTCTCCACTCTTTATTCTTATTTTCTGGCTAAATGACATTATTCTATTCCAAATAGGAATACCTCAGTTATAAAGATCTTCTGTGGGAGGTTATTTTATCTTGAGCTGGCTCCTGTAGCAATCTGTTTCAATGATCTAAAAACCTATACTTACAGAATATTCTTTCTTCTTATCTAACCTTAGTTCTTCTTAAAGGTTAAATCTACTTCCCCTTCTCATTTAGTCCTTTTCATATGTCTCCATAATCTTTCACAGTGGTTCTTAAACGTCAGAATGTGCTAGAGCCTCCTAAAGGCCTTGCTAAGAATGGAGATGCACCCCAACCCTAGAGTTTTTGTTTCCATAGATCTGATCTGGATCCTGAGAATTTGTGTTTTTCGTAAGTTCCCAGATGCTGCTGATGCTTCTGGTTGGGAGACCACCCTTTGAGAGCCAATGACCTATAGACTAACCCTGCATGCACTTACAAACCATTGTGTAACTTCTCAGACTGGTCTTTCAGATGTATATTATAATTTTCAGCCCGTTGGTACCTGTCTTATTTACTAATTCAATATGTTCACATCACTTTTTCTGAACACTTTTCAGTTCCTGGAATCTCTTAATTCTTAATTGTATCACACAAACGCTAAGAAGGGCTCGATCCGGAATGAATACAATAGAACAGCCTCATGGTTTCAATGGCATAAAAATTCTGCACTTGCATCCAATTTGCATACATACTTCTTAATCACAACTACATTTCCAGAGCATATTTTGCATTGCTACTGAAACCTCGTTCTTCCAGTTCTGTTTGTATGTAATTATTTACATCTTGAAAGCATATTTTTCTGTTTATGTCTTGCATTGTTAGCACACACTGAAAATTTCCTAAACATTTCGACTAAAGTAGGTGATACATAAGTACCTAGTTCTTAAAATAATGTCTGAAGGAAACCCCGGATTTACGCAATAATAAAAACTTATTTAAAATTATTTTAGTGAGAGAATGATAGGAAGGAAATTGAATTATTTAGAAAGTCACTGTGTCCTCAATTTGTATGAATATTTGAAGCAAGATTCATTTCTCTTGTTAAATATTCCATTTTAGTCCCTACAATAATAGAGATTAATTTTCTGTTCTTTTTCATCACAGAGTTAGGACCAGTAGTGATTATTGCATATTTGGAAATTGGAAAGCTGAATGTTTTACAAAATAGAATGAGTTGGTTATTAATATTGATTGTGGGTTCCTGAGACCACCCCTCTTACTTTTAACATCTCTTGGTTTAAACATATTTGTTTTAAGTAGAACTCCTTTCCTTTTCTCATTCTTAATTACTTTCTTGAGGCAGAATTCCTGATATTCAAAATTAATTTTTATCAATATATTAAATTTTCTCAATGCCCTTTTGCCTCAGAAAAGTAATTAGAAATTTAGTTTTCATAGGCAGTAGTAATAACCCATTTTAACTCTCCATAACATATTTTCCTATTTGTATTTTAATTAATTCAGTTGTAAAATACATAAAATGTTGTAGCAGGAGGAGAAGTTGCTCAACCAAAGCGAGAACTATGTCCACCAAATAGAATAACAAATTGATTCCTGAGGGCTTATAAAAGCCACTCCATCTAGTGGTTGAATTTTCACGTGACTTCTCTTGAGAAGTTTTGGAAACACGCTCGCAAGTGGAGAAACCCATTTGGGAAACATCAATGCACAATAATGTGCATTTAGGGGAAGAAAAAAAGTCCATTATAATAGTAATTTCATATATTGTCTTTAAAGGTCTATCAACAGCATATAATTAAGATTCATTCAAGGTTGTGCATGTCACAAAAGACTCTTGATACGTCATTGCTAAGTGGCTGAACTTTGCAGTTCATAATATGTACTCAGGCTGAACAAGGATTGGAATAAAAAGTAAATACCTGATCTGTGCCCATAACTTCCACTTGCCATCAATATAATTTCTATGTGATACTGAAATAAGACATCCTGGGGTAAATAATTGATGGATTCAATATAATTTTCCCATTTGGACACTTTTTCAGATGGTTGTTTGTATGAGACCAAGATTCAGGTTTAATGCCCTCATGATCAGCTGGCTTTATGCCAGAAAAAACTGTCCATGGTTAAAAGCTGTTCTGTTACGTTGGATCTTCCATGTTGCTGATGCATACCAACATTTACTTAGTAAACAGGTATTGAATACCTACTCTGTGCCAGGCACTGTGCCAGGCAGAGGACCTATAAGATAGTTCCCAGCTCTCAAGGTGTTCATGGTCTGAAGGGTTTAGACACAATAAAGACAACTACAGGATGGCTCAGCAATGCCCATCACCTCTCCTGGGAGAAAATCTCAAAGCATGTAGAGAAAGAGAATTCACACAGCCCAGTACTATCTGATGATTAAATATATTCCCTTTATATGTTTTTATAACCTATTCTACTCTTTCAACTAGGAAAAGGAAGACAGAAGGGTGGGCTGTATTCGAGGTGGAGGGGTGGAGGGGAGAACCATTTCCCTTGCTTTCTTGACCTGACCCATGTCCCTTACATGGGTGTGAAGCATGGATATATTTTGGGGGTCATCTATCACAGAAAAATGTTACATCTTGGAATATAATGTCCACAATCCTAGGCACAGACTGTATGCCCAATAAAAATGTGTTAAATCAAGCATTTGAAGGCCTGTAACTTTATATCTATTAGCCACATTGCTGTAGTAATGCAGTTTTACATCCATTGGGCACCAGGAGATGGTAACGGTCACTCATTTGTTGGAACAACAAATGGTACAACGTTTATATAATTTGTCTACCTTGATTCCAGCCAGGAACTTAGGAATGGGCCACAGAAAGTCTTCTTCTCCCTGGTCTAAGAAAACCTCATGGCTCATGGTGGGAAGTTGGGTGATTTTGAGTGTTTGAATTTCTCCATGTAGGGAATGGATGTTTGAAGCTTTCATTTACTAATAAACATGTCTCATTCAGACCTAAAGAAGGTGCCCTATTCGTGTCTCACTGGTGTTGTGGAAAGTGTCATTACCATCTATATTCCTGACAATTGACTAATGAAGCAAAAAAACACCTTCCCTTACTTACAAAATAGTGGCAAAAATGACTTAGGTTTTATTTGCCAGTTACTGCCATTAGCACCAGTGACTGCAAACAAGGTACTAATGCAGAGTTAGGATTTATACCTTATAGTTAATTGGCATACTTTGTTGCTGAAGACCGTGGAGCAAGGATGACTTGCAAGTGCTTTGGTCAACAGATCATTCCTTCAGATTTTAGTTGTTTACTGTATAAAATTATCATGTACACATTAGATAACGTGTACCTTCTCCCAAACCAACTCTTCTTCCCTGTAAATGAATGAAAGGGTGTCTTATTAAATGGTTCTTGGAACTCTGTGTTGAGAGCAGGGGCTTTGAATTATGCAGACCTGGATCAAATTTCCAGCTCTGCCCTGTCTAGTTAGAGACCTTGGGTAAAGGATTTTTCTCTCTGAGTGTGTGGAATAGAGATTGTAATAGCACCCACTTCATGTAAATATTAAGGAAAAATAATATATTTTTTCCATGACTGGCATATAATAAAAGTTTAAATGTTTCTTAAATGAAAATATTTGGAAATTAGGATTTTCTCTATTGTGCATTTACCCAAATTCTCTCAGATTTGAATCTGGAGAAATAAGACTTGGCTTTTAGTTGGAGTTAATTTGCATGATTATGGACTCAAAGAGAAAATATGCCTTCACTGATAGATGAAGAGAGAAGAAACTGTGAAAGGTGTGCTGTGCAATTGGATATCATATAGCATACTTTTCACTGTTGCTATGGACTCCTTGATAATGAACTGCAAAAGTAAGAGCCTGTTTACTAGTTTCTACACATTTTGTGGACCAGAATAATATATCACCTTCCACTTTTAATGACCAAATCTCATATGCAAGATAAAGATAATTTTATAGAGTATTTTGAATATGGCCATGGCTTTTACTTAATTGAAAACTTTGTATGTTCTCTGTTAGTGGAAGGCTGCTTTAATAATTGCTTTCTGGGCGGGCACAGTGGCTCAAGCCTGTAATCCCAGCACTTGTGGGAGGCCGAGGTGGGCGGATCACTTGAGGTCAGGTGTTCAAGGCCGGCCCAGCAAATATTGTGAAACACTGTCTCTACTAAAAATATATAAATTAACTAGGCGTGGTGGCATGCACCTGTAATCCAAGCTTCTTCGGAGGCTGAGGCAGGAGAATCACTTGAATTCGGGAGGTGGAGGTTGCAGTGATCTGAGATCACACCACTGCACTCCAGCCTGGGTGACACAGCGAGACTCCATCTCAAAAAATAAAAAAATAAAAAAAATTGCTTTCTTTACCCAGTATGTAGAAAGATCTCTCTCTCAAGAAAAGTGCCAAGGCACTCTTAATTGGAGGAAACAGCTAAACAGAAGAGCAAAATTAAATAGTAAATGGAATTTGTTATACAGATCAACAAATGATTTTATTTGTATCATTAATTCAAGAGGCTTTGTTTCTTAGCATCATCACCACGTAGTTCCTAACCCAATGAAGTTGCAAGACATCATTTTCTTGAGCCCTGAAATTGTTTTAACTAGTCTCTAAATGTGAAATCTTTGGCATATTTCACATTAAATTTGAACAGAAGTACAGTCTACTACACTCGTATAAGTCAATGTCCTAAGTTCATATCAATTGATATATTTTTATGAAAAACATAACACATATAGTGTTAGTAAAGAATAGACTAGAGAAAATGGTGCATTAAATAACTTCTATTTTATGTTACAAAATATATGAAAAACTGAAGGTATGAGAGCCAATTGAGTGTTACCAATATAATGGAATTTTCTTTCATATGTAGGAAAAGGAGCTGACATTAATATAAGGAAAAAAGATTATGTATTTTTGCCTGAATTATCAGGATAATTAAGTCAATCAGTTATTTCACTTTGCTGTAGAAGATGAGGGAAAAGTGACCAAGCTTCTTTAATAATTCCAAAACTCTAATGATTAGGTAAGAGTTAGAAAAGACTCATTGCCCATTCAACTGGAGTGGAAACATCATTCATCAAGTTATGATGTTGGCCTATGGCATCTGCCGTGTATATTGACAGCATGACTTAGACATAATGCAGTTATAAGAGTCGACTAAAATTTTCCCTACTAACTTTAGAGAAATACATTAGCACAGTATTTTCTTGATCAAATTAGTAGAAAACAGACTTGTTCCCAGAAATGAATGGAAAATAACCAACAAATATATCCACTGGAAGCTGCATTCTCTTGAACTCTTCACAAGGTTCTTTTATGAGGCCAGCCAAGTGAACAACAGAACCAACAAAGTAGGAAAAACAACAAGTTAAGCAAGGGACTGGAACTTCTGCATTTGACATCCTGGACTCCTGTCAATGTAGACACTGTGCCAGGCACTGTCTCTTTAAAGCACTTAGAAACTTAGAATATCAGAGAAGGAGTATGATGGGTTAAAGCAGTCTATAATATATCAGGGAGCACCAGTCCTTCCAATACTTCTACAGTGTTTTCAGCCTAGAACACATGGACATTTTAAACCCTTTGTGGTTATACGAATAAAAATAAAGACTCTGGATAAACATTAAAAAAAACAACAACTTTATGCAGCAGCCATACTCACAAAATTCCTTTGATGATACCATAGCTTGCTAGCTGATAGATATGGTTTTCTTGGAAGGAGGTAGTGGAGAGGCAGGTTTGCATACAGAGAAATAGACAAAAAGAATAGATGATAGTCTAAAAATTGGAGTGATTTTTTAAAAATAATGGATTTAATACATTAAGATATTTTTATCTTTACTATGAAGTCATGATTTATATAGCTTACACTGTTAGAATATGTTGGCTATATTTTTTAAAGCAGAATTCTAGGAAAATTCCCTTATATGTCATTCAATCATTCTTTTACTATAACTGTAATAAAAACCAACTGCTTCTTTAATAGGTGCATCTATACATCTTGCTAGAAATTTCCAATTATGATTTTCCTAGTAGCAAACAAAAACAAAATTAATGGCAGCTACATCCCCCAAAGCCTAAGCCGTATTAGTAATGAACTCTCAAAGGAAGTTGTTGATGCAAAAAATAATAAGGTGGAAATTACTGTAATAATCCAAATGTAGAAATAAAGGAAAGAATTATCAAAATGCAGAGAGCAGTTTTCCTGCCATGATCCCATTAACTGTTAAAATAGCCTGTGCACAGTAGTATTTCGACATTACTGAGATCTTTGAACTACATAAAATCCATATATTATTAACTGTATTCTTTAATTCAATTGGCTTATATTGGACAGAAATTACTCTGTTATCATATAACCACACCCATGCCCTAGCTTAGATTTTAACAAGCTAGTTTGTTTTAATGAAAGTGCTTGGTTGCATTAAAATGGGAAGTTGTGATCACACTTGCGGTGATCTTAATCTAAAGTAAGTCACAGAAACATGTTTTTTGCATTACTGGAATAAGATATGTGATCCTTTGTCTTCACTGAAGAAGCTTTATAGCTCTTCCAAGTAGTGACTAAATTTTAATCTTTAGGTCCATGCAAGTAGGTAGACTTACCTAGATGAGCTTTGATAGGAAATAGGGATTTAGTAGCAGGTAGTCTTAATTACTATTGGCAAAATGCCTTAATTTACATTTCTTTTTTTTTTTTTTTTTTTTTTGAGACGGAGTCTCGCTCTGTCGCCCAGGCTGGAGTGCAGTGGCGGGATCTCGGCTCACTGCAAGCTCCGCCTCCCGGGTTCACGCCATTCTCCTGCCTCAGCCTCCCACATTTCTAAGAATCCAGAAGACTTAAATATAAGATGCAAAATGGCTTTAACCTAGTTACTGTTAATTCTGAAATCGTCACATAAAATCTCAAAACAGACTGTGGAGTCTGAGAAACTTCGATTCATCTGCAAATCCATCATATTCTAGGCAATTTACTTAACATCTGATGGCCTCCATTTCCTCATCTGTGAAATGGGGATTATAAATAAGCACCTGATAGGGTTGCCTTGACAATTTAATGATAGAATATATGTAAAGTTTCTCAAATGGCTGGATATAACAGACATTCAATAAAGGTTCCCCATCCCTTACCCATGTCTATATATATCTACTATTTGCTTCATGTTTTAAGTGCTGAGGCAAAAATAAGATTGAATAATTAAGGCAATGAGCATTCTTGAGATATAATTAGTATGTATTATATTATTATAATATATTCTTACAATATAATTAGTATATAGTATATAGCAAAGAGCCATAATACTAAGTAATGATAATAATAATACCCATTGAAGACTTACTTTTGTGTCAGGCACTATGTTTTACATGCATTTAATTTCATCTAATTTCAGATCAGTTCTGCGATTTAGGCATTATTGTCATCATCCTCATCCCCATTTTACAGATGAAATACTGAGGCTTAGAAAGACTGATTGCCCAAGTACCATCTAACACCAATCTTGGTCTGCTAACTCCTAATTCCATTGACTAGGTGCTTTGACTGGTTGGAATCAGTGAAGAAAACAAGGAAGATGGTAATATCCCTGTCTTAGCTTAGAGAGATGGTGTATCAAAAAAAGCTACAAGTAAGGGCCCTAGACCTGCACTGTCCAGTATAGTAGCTACTAACCACATGGAGCTATTAAGGACTTGAAATGTGGCTCTCATCTGGGTGCAGTGCTTGCTCTACTACTTACTAGCTTTGCCTATAGCAACTTACTTACCCTCTGTGCCTTTCTTCTGAAAATGGGGATAATAGCACCTACTTCATAGGGCCATTGTGAAATAAAGGAATTGATATATATGTAATAGGCTCAGTGTCACCAGTCCATAAGAAGCTCTCTCTATATGCTTAAAAGAGGAAAATCAGCAAGACTTAGTGGTCTACCTGATTGTAGAGGTCAAGAAAGAGGAGGTGTCATAGTAAGTCCAAGTTAGGAACTTAGGTGACTAGAAAGACTACTCACAATGCCATAAGAAATGTGAAAAAGTTCTCAGGAGTCAACTCTTGCTCCTTGCAAACTTATGTTTGCTAAACAACTCCATTTACATATGAAAGTTTTCATCCATAATCAAAGGGACACAGAAGACAGTCACAATATATGAGAGAGCTGTTCCTTACATGGTCCTGGCACATCCACAAACCTAGCTTTTGCCTTTCAACTCCCACCCATACTTAAACACCAGGCTTACTGGTCCTGAGTGACTTGCTGAGTGACCTGTGGTTGGATTCAATTTATTGCAGCATCATTTCTAATAGCAAAAGATGATAACCTAAACCTCCATCAGTAGGAGGCTGGTCACATTCATCTAACAGATCCTTAAGGCAGCTGAATGAAGAGAGAGGTTTTATATACGAATATGGAACTGTTCACAATGTGTACTTCTAAGAAGAAAAGAAAGGTATGTATAATAATGTTAATTACTGTTTGCTAAAAAGAAAACAAAGAGGGGGTAAATACATATATTTGTTTGAATATGCATGGAGTATCTCTGGAAGGGGTAACAAGAAACTTACTCCTTGCCTTTGAGAAAAAAAACTAGGTGGCTGGGATATAGGGATGAGAGAGATTGACTTTTCTCTGTATGTCTTTCTGTACCTTTTGAATCTTAAATCTTGTGAATCTAATACATAAAGATAATCAAAATTTCTGATAAACTAGTTTCCAGTTGGAAAGTGTAAAGGGGGAGTTAGTTAATTGAGGGAAGATGGCATAAGGAATGGGAAGATGACTGGAATGGCTCACAGGAGCTACTTGGAGATGGAGGCTCAAACTCTGGTTTTCAGGCTAAATGTCTATTGCATAAATTATTTTTTCTGTCCTCTAATTTTAAGAAAAAGGCAAATGCAAATCACTGTTTTAAGGTACCACCTAATAAAAATTCAACTGCCATTTTATTAGGTTCAGGTGAACATTTCTGTGGGAACTCAGCTGTCTGCTCTCCTGCTATCATGCTATCAGGCTGGTAAACCACTTAAGAAAAAAAGATGCCTCTGTGTTTGGAGATCTCATTCTAGTTATGGAAATAAATATGTGAACTCCTGATTATACGACGTGATGAGGCCTGTAATAGAGGGATGTGCTGGGGAACTAGTTATACCTAGTGGGAGGGGCTGGTCAGGAAGGTCTCAGACATGGAAGTAGCATTGGCACAGACCTGGAAAGATAAGTTTAGTAGGCAGAGAGCTTCTATCCAGATAAAAGAAGGGACAAGGTGAAGGAGGAAGGTGTGCAGGTATGACGGTGTATTCAAAGAGCAGCAAGTCACTCAGGGCCAGTAAGCCTGGTGTTTAAGTATGAGTGGGAGTCGAAAGGCAAAAGTTAGGTTTGTGGATGTGCAAGGACCATGTAAGGAACAGCTCTCACACATTGTGGCTGTCTTCTGTGTCCCTTTGATTATGGATGAAAACTTTCCATATGTAAATGGAGTTGTTAAGCAAACATAAGTTTGCAAGGAGCAAGAGTTGACTCCTGAGAAATAGCCGAATGTGGGACATATAGAGCATGTTCTAGAAGAGGTGAGGATATGAGAAAAGATATGACAGACAGACAGATGAACAGGGAACCTAAGGATACTAAGGATACTCGAGAGTTAACATTGGAGCCAGGCTGAGGGTAGGAACTCAGGAGATATTTTAGATAAAGGAGCCCAGAAGCACTGGGCAACTGGCTTGGCTGTTGGTCTTTGGTCTTTTATTTCTGCATCCTTTATTTCTATAGCCACTAGCCTTTGCCCCTGAGACACTGCCTTGACTTGATTGGCGTTAGCAGACTGTACCAGCACACTGGGTGCCTCTGTGTGGCTTGTACCTTAGAGCTCCTGCCTCTGGTCCAGTAGGTGATGGCTCCCATCTGCTTTATTCTATGACAGTTGCAGGAAAGGTGTGCAGAACTGGTTCAGAAGCCCAGACTAAAAAAAACCCTCAATTTTCTTAGTGATGATAGAAGTTACCCATGGGAGATTCGGGGCCCTCAGTTTGGCAGTGCCTCCTACTGCCATCACAGGCTACAGTGATCTTGTAAAAGGGTTACACAACCATGGAGGAGCTAAGGGAGCCTTCTGGCTTACCTGTCACATTAGTGCTGAGGGCTCTTTCTCTGTTCACCATTTGGTATGGCATTGCCAATATTCTTGTTTGCCTCTCTGTAGCCAAAGTTGCTTATTGCATATAGCTCATTCCATGAGAGTTTAGACTAGATAATTATATAGGCAGCTTCATTTAAAATGCTAATAACCTTACCTAAATAGAGCATATTTCTAGCACAATTGGATTGGGCAGCTCTCCAGGCTAGATCCCTTGATTCAAGTTACATGATCATTTTTTTTTTTTAATCAGCATTGGGAGAATCCTTCCCCTTCTTTGGGTAGAAAAGAGCTTCTTGTTTTTGTTCTATTTTGAAATACGTATATCCAATCAACCAGCTTATTTGGAGCCTTCTTCTGTGTGTTAGGCATTCTACTAAATGCTGAGTAGATACTAAGATAAAGTCCCCAGTAAGATCTTCAGTGAACTTACTGTCTAGTGGGTGGGAGGAAGTAGTGGAACAGATGCAAACACAAAGAAGTATTAGAAAATCTGGTCAGTACCATGATAGAACTCTGTTTGGGTATTCTGGGAGCCCAGAAAGGGTGTTCATCGCCATGGGAAGCAGGGAGCTATGGCAAGAAGTGACATCAAAGTGATGGGGAGGAGTTGACCAGGCGGGAGTGTAAGGGGCAATGGGAGCAACAGCACTGAGGTGAGGAGCAGTCAATTTGCTGTGTTTATGGAACTAAAATTCATCTGGTGTAGCCCAAGTGGCAAGGCCAGGGCTGGCAAGAAGAAGATTGGAGAGGTGGGCGGGAGCTAGATCACAGGAAACTTTTTACTGGACTTCATCCTGCAGGTGGGAGATAGAAAGCCATCCTGTTTAGGGAGACAGGTTGTGGAGAGTATTAAGGACAAGAGCCTGAGGGTCAGAATTGGAAAGGAGCTCAGCTGGATGGAAACATAGAAGGCAGACGAGAGTTGCATACATGTCTGGAGGGCCTGGGCCTGAAAAGGAAACTGCGTGAAAGTTTATATTTGGTTTTTAGGGCAAAGAGATTGAAAGAGGGGAGTCACATAATCAGCATACGTTTATGAAGATTACCCCCACAGCTGTGTGGCAAGTGATCAAAAAGGAACAGGACCAGAGAAGAGCAGGAAAACTGGTCAGAAAGCAGGCGCCCTAACCCTGGTGAGCAGTGATGAGATCCTGGAAGTGGAGGTGGCAGAATGTGGGAAGGTGGGCCACATTTAACACTTTATGCCTGTTCCAAATTACTTTTCTTAAGAATCATGACACTAGGGTATTAAATAAAATTATTTTCATTGACTCTGTGTCCTGTCCCCACCTACAGTGATGCTACCTATTCTTAGCATAAATATCTTTTCCTTGGGGAAACCTCCTTCAGCCCTCTAGACTGGGTGTCCCCAGAGCATCCTGTACGTCCCCAATTGTAGCTCTCCCCATGCTTTCTTTTAATTTCTGAGTCAGCTGTCTGCCTCCTCTGCTAGATCATATCCTTCATGCGGGCAAGGACTCTTTTTTTCACAGAATGTTGCTCTGTTGCCAGACTGGAGTGCAGTGGCATAATCTCGCCTCACTGCAACCTCCGCCTCCCGGGTTCAAGCGATTCTCCTGCCTCAGCCTCCTGAGTAGCAGGGATTACAGGCGTGCCACCATGCCCAGCTAATTTTTTTAAAATTTTTTTAAATTTCTTTTTATTTTTAGTAGAGACGGGGTTTCACCATGTTGGCCAGGATGGTCTCAGTCTCTTGACTTCGTGATATGCCCACCTCAGCCTCCCAAAGTGCTGGGATTACAGGCATGAACTACTGTGCCCGGCCAAGGGCAGGGACTCTTTCTTGATGCTGTCAACACTAGTGTCTAGTACCGTAGCTAGACATAATACAAGTGCATAGTGGATGCTCCATAATTTGTTAATACATGAATAAATGAATTATTAATTCAGATATTAGGGTCTCTGAATTAATAACTCATTTATTGTTAGTTCAACATTTTTAAAATTTGTTCTGAAATAGTGATTGTCTCTCCCCCAACCCCATACAGTGTGATATGTTTCAGGAACAACAAATGCCAATTAACAAGTAATATATTGTTTTAATTCTTATTTTAATTGTTATAGATATCACTCTATACTTCTAATTTTTAAAAATAAACTAAAGAAATGAATAGCCCACATTTTAAACAAAAATTTATAAATAGTAAGATCAGTTCTCTGGCTGTTTATTTTGAAACAAAACCAAATTGCTTAGCTTAGAATCGAAGAACCTTAAAGTTTGGGCCTTTCCTCTTAGCTGTTCACATGGAAATCCTTGGACACTCTCCAGCCTGTCTCCTGTCACCAGGCACACTTGTGTCACCAACCTGCTCATGAAGGGGACTATCAGGAGGCCTCCTCCATATCCCTGCTGTGAAAAAGCTCAGTCTTGGCCGGGCACAGTGGCTCACACCTGTAATCCCAGCACTTTGGGAGGCCGAGGCAGGTGGATCACCTGAGGTCAAGAGTTTGAGACCAGCCCGACCAATATGGTGAAACCCTGTCTCTACTAAAAATACAAAAATTAGCCGGGCATGGTGGTGCGCACCTGTAGTCCCAGCTACTCAAGAGGCTGAGGCAGGAGAATCACTTGAACTGGGGAGGTGGAGGCTGCAGTGAGCCCAGATCGTGCCACTGCACTCCAGCCTGGTGGCAGAGCAAGACTCTGTATCAAAAAGAAAGAAAGAAAGAAAGAAAAAAAAAACTCTGTCTTCCTATACGCCTCATTGCAAGTTTGGTCTTTGTGACATTTTTCTTGGTTGATGTGGACATCCTAGAAGTCATGTCAGCCATGGCTCCGTCCAGACCTCCCCTTCTCTGGGTGAAGAAACTTGTCTTGAGGAGCATCTCTCCCCACATGGCCTCAAGCTTCCTCAGTTCTCACTAGCTCCCTCCTCCCCCGCTACAAGTAACATACAGACCACACAACTCATCACTTGATTCTACACTGTCTTATTCTTTGGTTGTCTTTTACATTTAGTCTCATTTGTCTGACAAGGTGAAGTCTCCAAGAGTAGGGGTCATGTGACACATCAGTGCTCTCGCCGGCCCCAACCAGCACTGGGATACCATGTGTGTGTGACAGGAGAAGCCAGGTGCTAAACACTTCCTAACGTGACTATGAAATGGACATTGTCCCCAAGAAACATTTCATTTAGTTCAGTCTTCTTGGCCCTGGAGGTCCTTCCTGGATTCACACACTGACTTCAATACAGAGGGTTTAAATAATGAAAAGGTGATACATTTCTGGCATGTGCCACGCCATCCCTGAACTTTGGGGAGCTTTTCTCTGAGTGACTTACTCATTTTGTTGACTGAATCTGATGAGAACTTGACCTCCTACTGTTCAGAGACAGGAATGAGTTGCCATGACAGTACATTTGCCACATTTACAGTGTCTCTTTGTTTTTATTCTTCCTGTTTCTCACCATTCGGCTTATTTGTTTTCCCTCCTCTTAGGATTGCCCCCTGTGGGTCACTTTCTCAGTCATTTTGAGCTCAGCCTAATCAAAGACTGAGGTTATGAAGTCGATCCTAGATGGCCTTGCAGATACCACCTTCCGCACCATCACCACTGACCTCCTGTACGTGGGCTCAAATGACATTCAGTACGAAGACATCAAAGGTGACATGGCATCCAAATTAGGGTACTTCCCACAGAAATTCCCTTTAACTTCCTTTAGGGGAAGTCCCTTCCAAGAGAAGATGACTGCGGGAGACAACCCCCAGCTAGTCCCAGCAGACCAGGTGAACATTACAGAATTTTACAACAAGTCTCTCTCGTCCTTCAAGGAGAATGAGGAGAACATCCAGTGTGGGGAGAACTTCATGGACATAGAGTGTTTCATGGTCCTGAACCCCAGCCAGCAGCTGGCCATTGCAGTCCTGTCCCTCACGCTGGGCACCTTCACGGTCCTGGAGAACCTCCTGGTGCTGTGCGTCATCCTCCACTCCCGCAGCCTCCGCTGCAGGCCTTCCTACCACTTCATCGGCAGCCTGGCGGTGGCAGACCTCCTGGGGAGTGTCATTTTTGTCTACAGCTTCATTGACTTCCACGTGTTCCACCGCAAAGATAGCCGCAACGTGTTTCTGTTCAAACTGGGTGGGGTCACGGCCTCCTTCACTGCCTCCGTGGGCAGCCTGTTCCTCACAGCCATCGACAGGTACATATCCATTCACAGGCCCCTGGCCTATAAGAGGATTGTCACCAGGCCCAAGGCCGTGGTGGCGTTTTGCCTGATGTGGACCATAGCCATTGTGATCGCCGTGCTGCCTCTCCTGGGCTGGAACTGCGAGAAACTGCAATCTGTTTGCTCAGACATTTTCCCACACATTGATGAAACCTACCTGATGTTCTGGATCGGGGTCACCAGCGTACTGCTTCTGTTCATCGTGTATGCGTACATGTATATTCTCTGGAAGGCTCACAGCCACGCCGTCCGCATGATTCAGCGTGGCACCCAGAAGAGCATCATCATCCACACGTCTGAGGATGGGAAGGTACAGGTGACCCGGCCAGACCAAGCCCGCATGGACATTAGGTTAGCCAAGACCCTGGTCCTGATCCTGGTGGTGTTGATCATCTGCTGGGGCCCTCTGCTTGCAATCATGGTGTATGATGTCTTTGGGAAGATGAACAAGCTCATTAAGACGGTGTTTGCATTCTGCAGTATGCTCTGCCTGCTGAACTCCACCGTGAACCCCATCATCTATGCTCTGAGGAGTAAGGACCTGCGACACGCTTTCCGGAGCATGTTTCCCTCTTGTGAAGGCACTGCGCAGCCTCTGGATAACAGCATGGGGGACTCGGACTGCCTGCACAAACACGCAAACAATGCAGCCAGTGTTCACAGGGCCGCAGAAAGCTGCATCAAGAGCACGGTCAAGATTGCCAAGGTAACCATGTCTGTGTCCACAGACACGTCTGCCGAGGCTCTGTGAGCCTGATGCCTCCCTGGCAGCACAGGAAAAGAATTTTTTTTTTTAAGCTCAAAATCTAGAAGAGTCTATTGTCTCCTTGGTTATATTTTTTTAACTTTACCATGCTCAATGAAAAGGTGATTGTCACCATGATCACTTATCAGTTTGCTAATGTTTCCATAGTTTAGGTACTCAAACTCCATTCTCCAGGGGTTTACAGTGAAGAAAGCCTGTTGTTTAAGTGACTGAACGATCCTTCAAAGTCTCAATGAAATAGGAGGGAAACCTTTGGCTACACAATTGGAAGTCTAAGAACCCATGGAAAAATGCCATCAAATGAATAATGCCTTTGTAACCACAACTTTCACTATAATGTGAAATGTAACTGTCCGTAGTATCAGAGATGTCCATTTTTACAAGTTATAGTACTAGAGATATTTTGTAAAATGTATTATGTCCTGTGAGATGTGTATCAGTGTTTATGTGCTATTAATATTTGTTTAGTTCAGCAAAACTGAAAGGTAGACTTTTATGAGAACAATGGACAAGCAGTGGATACGTGTCAATGTGTGCACTTTTTTTCTATATTATTGCCCATGATATAACTTTAGAAATAAACCTTAATATTTCTTCAAATATCTCTATTTAATTTTGACACTGAAATAACCGTAAAGGTTTATTTTTCTGTTACCTCAACAAGAAGAATTTGAAGACTTCAAAATATTGAGCAGAATTCATTCATACTTAAAAATTTATTAGCCCTGCATTTTCATAGGAAGACACATTATCTTCTGGACTATAGCTGTTCTAATGGATTATAATCAGAATGGAAGAGAGAAAGCATATTGACTTTTTTTGAGCGACATCTCTGACTTTCTTTAGTCTTTAGCTATTACTGGATCTCTTAAGACAGCATGTGTTAATCTTAATGTATATCGTTATCACTGTGCAGTTGCTGTTTACTTGAATAGTATTGTGTTCCTATATTCCAGGTTTAAGTAGATTTCATGCCTGGGTGGCCAAACAACAGTCTTCATTTTTTTTAATTGAAAAGAAGTAGTGTCTGGATCAGTAAAATTATACTGTGTGTGAGTGTGAATATAAATGTGTGTATGTGTGTTTCTGTCCTGTAACTGTTACAGTAATGTCATAAAGTGAGAAAACTGTGACCAAGTATAAACTTTTACCACTTGCTGCACTCTTGCACATGGATTCAGTTTCTAAAATTGAGTTCTTCCTGTAATCTTGTTGATAAAAATACTGACTCCAACCATTCAAAAATTTCACCCCATCCCTCCTTAAGAGATTGGATCAAGTATTACTAAATTGACCTTTAGGTATTACACAAGACCAGTGCTTAGCAAAAAATAATGACAGGCATCCAAGGAAGGGATGTATTTGTAGTGTTATTGCCAGGAAAGGAGAGTACTTTGGTTTCTGAGCACCGAATATTGAGCAATATGTCAGTCACTAAAAGGAAGACAGTTCTACAGAAAAACAATGGTAACATTTTTCAATAGCGTGTGTAGATAGTATGCACTATATACATCACGTTAAAGTAGGACTATCACACCCAGCCCATGTGGCTAAAAAAGCTGAATCAGACAGTGGATGAGACACACAACGGCAGTGAAGAACCGATACACTTGGCATTGACGTCTAGCTATGCTGTATCTGTGCTTTGCCCACATGCCCTTGGTGACAGCTGAGCACCCAGCTCTGTCTTGGTAGGTTTGGGCTAAGGAACAAATCTCTCCTTTGCTCGTGGTTAGCAAGATACACTCAAGCATGAAGATAAACACAGCTGCTTTCTTCTTACACCCCGGTCTCATGCTCCTTAATGGCGCCATGGGTGCTTGTTGGGCCTTTTTCCAGTAAGGAATGATATTGCTGAAGAATCTACTTAACCCTGACAAATTTTAATTATAATCTCTTCTTATACAGATAAAACATGACTCCTACAAGGCCCCAAGGTTTACATAGTCTGAAGTGAAGTACAGAGCTGGCATCTATCTGGTGATTTCTAGCTCTCGAGATACCCAAGCAGCCTGATGGGGCAGTTCCCCTTCTTACGGTTCACGCTCTAAGGCAGGATGTGGCTTATGAGATACTTTGCATTGTCTGTCTGCACACCTTGAATCTGCCTGCTGGCTCCCTTACTTTACCTCTCTGTCATGTGCAGATGAAGGCTCAGGGTGCTAGAGGATTAGTAAGATCTCTTTCTAAAGACAGGAGAGATTATTTACAAGAAGAACTCACCAGGGTTTAGTTTGCATTTAAGAATTGCCAGTCTTTTGTCCTGCATCATCTTGAACATTAATCCACATGTTTCAGAGCTCACCAGGCAGTACCAATGCTCTTTTCACAGCTATGAAGAGCTAGAGAAATTCTTGTTATGGTAGAAAAATTTCACGATTCATTTTTGAAACTGCATTTGTGCGTATGCAGTGTAGATTTTATAGTGTGTTGTGCTTTCAAGATCTAAATCATATATAATAAATTAAGGGACAATGGGGCTGACAGCACTAAACTTGGTGCTTATTGATATTCTAAGAAATATCTGTGAAATATCATCACGTATGTTATACAACCTTCATTTAAAAAGGTTTAAAACTAGTTAGATTCACTTTGACACTTTTCATATCATTTCTTAACCCAAGTGACGAAAACATTGTCCCCAATGAATATACTCATTAGAATTACCATTTGTTAATATCACTCATTAATTAACCCCATAATTAGATCCATTAATTTAAATGATTTAAATTTAAGTAAGTTTTATAAGGTCTGACATCAGAGGTATCTTACTTTCCTCTGAGGATGATGTACTTGCCCTGACCATGCATTTTACCATCACACATGTTCAGAAAGGGCCAAATTCCCAACCTGCTCATTTTTTTTTTATCAGAGTCATGATGAATCAGTCCTAGAATGTTTCATTTGCACAAGTAGGGCTGCCTCCAAGAGGAACCTCTGATTTATTTTGTATGAAATATATGTGAAAGGATATGAATCTGAGAGATGCTGTAGACATCTGTCCTACACTTGAGATGATTTCCAAGCCTCTCTGGCACTTTGAGTTAAGTCTATCTGGTATTAAATGCCAAGGACCTTTTGCTGCCTAAATCCACTCTGCAGGAAATAGGCCCAACCACCAGATGAGAATTAGGCCCTGGATGAGTAGCGCTATAGTTACTGTCCTGTTGATTAATTTCTGCCATTTCATGTCCATAAAAGAGACCACCCATATCATGCACACAATTAGATTTCTCACACTCTAACTGTATATTTGTATGATATTTTAAAATCTCCTAAATGCTGGGCAATGGCTATTAACAATTAATTGTCTTGCACTGGCCTTCTGATGAAATGTTAACAATGCCTATTGTAATATAGAAAAAAACATTCTATCTACTGATTTGGGCTGAATGTATGTAAATAGGTTTCTAAAAAGTCAGATGTTTGAGCAGTGGCCTACAAATCAGTAATTTTCGGATGGGAGAGTTTCTTTACATTGCCGTGGCATCTTAAAAGCTATCTTCATGTAAATTGACTGTACTAGGCCTACTGGGGATCAGAGTTCCCAAGAAAGGAAACCTTTTCTTGTATCTGGATTCAAATTTATTTCCAATGTTTCAAGCGGGAAACATGACTCTTTATTGTCTGTAAATCTAACATTATTACTTTTCCTCTTAGAAGAATATTGTATTGTTAGATGTTTGTTGAGCTGGTAACATCGTTGCAACCACTGCAATATCTTCGTTAGTAATCTGTATAATACTTTGTATACAAGTACTGGTAAGATTGTTATTAAATGTAGCTTCAGTCATTAAATTACTATAGCAAAGTAGTACTTCTTCTGTAATATTTACAATGTATTAAGCCCACAGTATATTTTATTTCAATGTAATTAAACTGTTAACTTATTCAAAGAGAAAACATCTCATCATGTCTATTGTCCAAAGTTACCTGGAATCAAATAAAAATTCTAGATTACCATGAAGAACATAAAATGCCTTTGAACTCTGCCTTATTTCACAGTCTGATGGCAAAATACTAAGGATTTAATTTCTAAAAGATTGCTGAACTAATTTATTCCTCAAAAAGCACTAATGACTACTTGAAAAGTGGGGACATATTGGATTAATCTATTTATTTTTACCATAGGAAAAACACACAAAAAGCTATTTTTTACACAATAAAGCAGAAAAGGCCACCACACCTTTAAAAAGCATTATTTCATTAAAGATTTTAACTGATTTTGCAGTAAATTAAAACAAACATACCATTCATAATGTGTAAATTGAGACTTAACAGACATAGTACAATATAAATTGAAAGAATTTATGAGCACTGTATATTTTGAACCACAGAAAAGAGATAAGTACTTTTCAACACAGTTTGTAAAAACTCATAATTTCAATTTGAACAATAAGAGAAAATACCTTTAAATTTTATAATGAAGAAAGCATTACAATGAAGTTTAAATATTACTGTCTGAAATAATGTGTGTTTGCAGTCAATTTTGAAAGATTTTAATTTTTCAAGTAATTAACTATTTGAAAATAGATTATGTTGAAATATTGAGAGTAGATTATCTTTGCTTTTTAATGACTATAGTCAAAAATCGATCATTCTGCCTCTTTTAGTAAACTCTGGCTGGGTGCATAAGCTGAATGCTTCTTAACAAAAAGCAAATGATAGATATTCTTAGCTCTTAAATTTCTTTTTTTTTTTTCTTTTTTTTTTTTTTTTTTTTTTTGAGACGGAGTCTCGCTCTGTCGCCCAGGCCGGACTGCGGACTGCAGTGGCGCAATCTCGGCTCACTGCAAGCTCCGCTTCCCGGGTTCACGCCATTCTCCTGCCTCAGCCTCCCGAGTAGCTGGGACTACAGGCGCCCGCCTCCGCGCCCGGCTAATTTTTTGTATTTTTAGTAGAGACGGGGTTTCACCTTGTTAGCCAGGTTGGCCTCGATCTCCTGACCTCATGATCCACCCGCCTCGGCCTCCCAAAGTGCTGGGATTACAGGCGTGAGCCACCGCGCCCGGCCAGCTCTTAAATTTCATACTGAGACTTGATGAGAGAAAGATACTTATTTAGTATCTTCATAGAGTATCTTAAGACTCAAAAACTAATCCACAATCAATATATGTTACTATCTATATTGGAATATACATTTAGGATAATGTAGAAACAAAATCAATTAAGACATGCAGAAACTCCAGTTTGCCTCAAGGATGGTTCCAACTGGAAAATTTCTATACTCATCTCTAGAATATTCTGTAAGTTTTTCCTGGATTGAAGGTGATACATGTAAAGTTCTTGGCTCCATACTGGATTTTAGAAAATGAACAGTACACATCATCATTGTTCCTTTACTCCCTACCCCTGGAATGCTGATAGGAGAAATTTGGAGGGTATATATCTAGTTAGCTTAGGAGGTGAAATATGTAATGGGTTGGTCTCCGAACACCTCAGAAATGCTGGTCATTAAGTACTGTCTTAACCACTTCAAAAGTTTCTGGGTAATATTAAATAACAAATACCTGGGCTTATAGACTACATAGTTCCCTGTGACACATCCAAAAAAAGGGGAAATGAACAAAAGAAATTGACAAATGGGAAGAGTGATTAAAATATTACAGTTGCAATCTTAGCTTAAGAGAAAAATCAGACACTGGGACTCCCAAGTATTAACTGCAGCACCTCCTTCATTACATTGAACATGCTCAAATATTTGTAGAGCAAACAAATAATTGTTCTCTTAACACTAAGAAATAGATGACTAATGCAGCACTTCACGTGTTTATTTTAATAATAATAGAATACAACTTTGGGTAAGCCTGATCTATTTGAAAATGTTCATATGTTCCTTACTGAGTACACAATCTTTTTGGCTAATATCAGAATCATGACAAATGTCAAAGATACCCAGTTTTGACCCAGACAGCCACTGTGTTGGAAAGAACACTGGAGGAGGAATTACCGCTGTGTAGATGCAGACCCGCTTGTAGCGGAAATGTAGAAGTGTGTGCTCACTTTCTAGCTGTTTAGACTCAAACAAGCCACAACCCCTGATTCGATTTTCTCATCTGTAAAAATGCCAGCTCTGAAAATAGCAGTAACATCAGATGGTATAAAGTGTTTTGAAGAGCTTTGAAACCTGCAAAAGGCTACAACAATGTAAAGTATTAGAATTAATCTGTGTTGGAATATTTCATTTTGGCTTATTCAGTTAATAATGTCTATACCAGTTCTTTAGCTAGTGATCAGGACAAAGACACTATATTTTATTGTGCCTACTGAGTGTCAGGCATTGTGCCAGCACTTTATATATATTATTTAACCCTCACAGCATCCTTGTGATGTCTCTCTTATTAACTTCATGTTATAAGCGAAAGGAAAACTCTGTGAGGTAAAGACAAGGTAACTATGGTTAGAACCCAGGACTTCCTGATTCCAAAGCCCAAATTATTTTTATTAAGCAGTGCCTCCTTTTATTCACTTTTCTTTCAGTTAAAGCCATATATTCCACAAGTATTTATTGAAAATTTCCCATGTGCTAACAAGTTTAAAGATGAAAACCACCACCTCTACCTACCAGAATGCCTAGTAAAAATAATGTAAAAATGTCTAATTCTACATATGTAGGCTCAAAGAGGCCAAGTATCTTGCCCAAGTTCACATGGGTAGTTAGTAAGTTGCTCTTGAATGCAAACCCAGGTCTTTTGTCTCTAAACTCTGGATCTTTCCATCACACCACATTGCAAGGGAGCATGGGTATGATGAGGTACATGTTTCTATTTCCTTTCCTTCCCTTTCCAGACAGCAGCAATTCAAAAACTTTGTCAAATTTATTCTGGATGTCAAAATAAATTAAATTTGTGTTCTTTGTTACTTGGCCTCATATGAATCATCACACACCTTGGATAGCTGAAAGAGTGGCTGAGGGGAAGTTAGATTTATTTCATCTCCAGAGCCAGGCACTAAAATAATTCCTAGTCCCACCTACAGTAGCAAGTTTTCCAGCCCTTTGGCCACTTTCTTGTTTTGATTTTAACTCACTTATTTAAAAAAAAAAACAAAACTTCTCTTTTATTTTTAACTTGTACGTAGAATACATCATTGAGGAAATAATACTCTGATAGCCAGTGAAGTGTAAATTGTGAAAACTGTAAAATACAATTTAGCAAGTATTTACTGAGAACCTACCTCGTACTTGGCATTGATAACAATGATTGGTATTTATCTCATTTAGTATGAGATGAATTATCTCATTTAGTATGAGATGAATCATCTCATTTAATCTTCTCAGCCACTCTGTGAGGTATTAATGTTCCAGTTTGACAGACGGTAGCCTGCTGAAGATCACACAACTAGTAAGTGGTATAGCTCAGATTCACTCTTAACTATTAGGTTACTGAGTTGAGACCCATAAGCCAATTTCTATATAAGTGAACTGTGCTGTGCATATATCCACCATGGTGAACCATCAAATTACTGAAGATCTAATGAAAGTAGGTGAGCACTTAAAAAGATAATTGCAACACAGTGCAATCAATGCTAAAATGGAGGAGGCTATGGGAAACTAGAAAGGGCACAAATACCTGATTTAGGAAGAAGAGGTGATGCTTGAATAGAGCACTAAAGACAAAGTAAGAGCTAGCTATGAAAAGAATAAAGGGAAAAATGGGGATAAAGGAAGCTCCAAGGAGATAAATTATGGTGAGTTGGGGGTAAGAGGGGAGAGATGTAAGACAGTGTGATATGTCCAGTGAATGACACATAGTCTCATGTGTATGGGACATGGTACGTGAAGGAGAGTAATGAGGATGAGGGCGGAGGGCCAGATAACCAAGGGTCATAGATGCTAAGGTGATTAATTGTTCTTGATGCACCTGCGTTGTGGTTTACAGAGGTCTGAGAAGATTCATAATATTAGTCAAAAAGGTCAAAGTTTAGATAGCTTTTTTCCTAGTTCTGCTAGTTCGGAGATTTTTTAAAAGCATTGCATGTATCTGTAAAAGTATCACTTCCTGCTTGCCCAGAAGAGAGTCCGGGGTGGGGGTGGGGACTCTATATCTTGTTTCTACATTAGCTGGCTGTGTATTTTCCCACTTGATGACATTACCATCATTGCTAGAAAGTGGATTATTCACTTGGAACAGAGGGACATCAATTAACTCCCCATACATAGCAGAGTCATCAGTCACAAAGTGTTCTTGGTCATTATTCACCTGGGCTGGGGCAAACCCTCTGATCTCAAGATGACAGGGACCATATTGAGCACTAGCCCTTGGGATTTCCAGCCCTCTGCCCTCCTGCCCCCTTTGTAAATAAGATTATTGCTGCTGCTACTGCTTGGTTTGCCTGAAGGGATACAGAAATCCTTCAGGGAACAAACAGATAAGGGCTAAGAGGAGAATCTTTTTAAACTGTCCAAAGCAACCCAACCCTACACCTGACCCAAGTGTACTTATTTCATTCATATTGAGTAACACAGACTGCTTTTCAATTAAGAGTTTGAGTTTATAAAGGAAGGAAAAAACAGAAGACATCTTTGGATTACACTGCAAGGAGGGGAGTAAAGCTTTAAAATATTCTGGCATTAACCCTTTTCCAAATCAATTGCACATTTCACAGCTTTTATAAAGATTTTACCATACACATTTCACAAAATTTTTTTGTGTAAATTTTGTGTCTTTTTAAGGGAGAGTAAGCTTTGCCATGTATTTTTGGACACATTATATTACCAGCACTTACAAGCCTAATAACAATTTTTCTGGTTTGTGCTTCATTAACAATCTCTGATTATTCTACAAAGGGACACAGACCCTTTAACCATTCGATTCAGCCTCTGATTGCTTGTCATGTTAAATCCCAATCTTTCTAACCTGGGTGGCTATGAGCAATTTGTCTTACCCAGTAATCCAGTGTGAATACTTTCAAGTGTTTGTACCCTCCCACTGATTGAAGAAAGCCTTCGAAAACATCCTCCAGTTCTTAAGACAGGGAAAACCCCTATGTATTTCATCATTATTTACCTAAATTAGATAGATCCAAATAGTCCTTGGTATGACCCAGAATAGGCCACACTCACTGCAAAATGCCACTATCTCCCAGGGGGCCTCTCGAGAGATATGAGTGTGATGGACACGTCATCGTTGCAGCAAATATGGTTCAACAAAAATCTTGGTGCAGTTGCCCCTCCCAGAGAGCCCTCCAAGAAGATGGGGCTCCATGTGAATTGATTTCCTCCAGAGCCTCATTTCTCACAGCCATTATGATGTGCAAGTGGAGGGAAAACAACAGAGTTCCTACATGAAGGTAGGACTGTTGGTAGTCTTTTCTTTAGTGATGATTCTGATCAGTCCCAAAGCATGAGAACTCTTTGTTCTAATCATGTTATGTCCAAGTGGAGGAAAATAGGAAAAGAAATACTGATTCTTAGAAACTGATTATGAAAGTAAATTCTTTAACAAGGTGGCCTAAGGAGATGCCTGAAGTAAAGAAGCTTCTTGAGGCTTTGTGTGCATGCTAGTAGACTTCCCTTGGTGCTTAGGAACCAGAAACAAACAATACTATGGTTAAAACGTGGTGTCCACCAATACAGTCAGCTTCCATGACTCTCCATTTCTAATTTTTCCTGCCCTGTCTTGTGGGATAGGTTACTAACTGATCACTTGCCTATAGAATTTTCATTTAGACCAGAAGAATCAGAATACACTCATTTTTGTTTATAAATGAACATATGCCTAAACAACCAAAAGAGCCTCCAGGTCTGCCTCTAAGGATGATTAGGCATGTGTGAGGGAAGTTGTCATTAACCAAAATAGGACTTCTCATCTCAGATGCAAAGATGAGAATGAATACCAAAGCCAAGGAAGAGCCATAAACCAAAAGACTTGGCAACAAGGCTCAATTCCATTGTTCTGGTTACTATCATCTCTGACTTTAAATAGTACAAAGCAATCTTAAAAGCAAATTCTTTCCTTCGTGTCCAGGGCTAGAATATTCCAAGTGTACCTAATGGATCTCAGGCAGTGAGCCAAGAGAAAGTCAAACAGTAGGCAAAAGCAGATTTACTATGTTTTAAACATTTTTTTAAAAAAATCTGGCTTATTTTTATGGCACTATATGCTTGTGCAGGAACTCTGAAGCCGTCTGCACAAATGACAGCAAAGACAGAGCAATCATCTGGAAAATGGGAGCTAAAAACACAAGCTTTTGTTTAGGAGTAGAAGAGAAAAGATGAGGCATAAACAGCAGAAAAAGATGAAATTTATAAATGAAAATGAGCTTATTCTGATTCTTTGGATCTAAATGAAAATTCTGTAGGCAAGTGATTAAAGTATTTGCAAAGATACAAGATTTAGAAACTTAATATACATAAATATTTAGAAACAAATATACATAAATACAATAACAAATAGATTTAACATTAAACAAAGCAAAAACTTCTAAACCTGACTATATGAACTGCTCTCCTTGCTTTTCTCCCATATGCGGAGAGTGAGTGTTCAAGAGGCGTAGAAACCTAATTAGGTGTGGCCCATTGAAAACTTTATGTTCAATTTACAATAAGCATTTCTCAGCTTTGAAAGTGTTTATAATATTTCCCTGGGAGAATGAGTTCCTTCATCTACCAGATATTCAGTGAAAAGCATCTTGGCAGATTTAGCTATACAGGTGTTTTAAGACAACTTGATATATTAAAATTCAAATTCATAAAAAGCTAAATGGGGAGGGAATTATTTCTTCACATAAATACTTTGCACCTGCAAAAGAGCTCATTGCACAGTGAGCCTTGAGTTATCAACTCCTCTGGTCGATTAAAATGTAACTAAATGTTCATAAATCCATTTTACAAGAACTTTTTCTGAAACAGCTCTATTGTTCAAAGTGAGATGTTCCTACACTTTAAAACATTTTCACCTGTCTTGCCCTGTAATCCTACACAAGTGCTTCTTGCATATTTTTGTATTGTGCAACCCAGAATTCTTGGATAGGCATGACAACCTGAACATGCTCAGCACTTCAGGGCATAGGAGCCCCTCTGCAGATTTGAAATTGTGTTAGGGATATAGGCAAAACCTCAGCTATTCACAATAGCAGTGGATGGGAATTAAGTGCTTAACGAAATCCATAAATAATCCCTAGATCCCCGAATCCTTGATAGCCAAGTATGAAACATTCTGTTCTCATCAAAGATTTTGTCACTGATGTTAACAAGTGGGGGAGAAGTTTGATTAAACTCTGATGGCTTCTCTTGCTGACCTCTGTCTACAGACAGAAATAACAGGCAGGCAAGTGGTCAGAGAGCAGCACAAGGCCTGGGAACAGAGACACTCTGCAGACTGTGTAATTAGTTCCTAAATAACAAGAAGATCATAAACAAGGCAAAGAACGCTGAGCAGATTTTACTGCCATTCAGCAGTGTTTTGTCCATGTCTGTTGCATGCCCAGAAGACTAAGCACCTCAGCCTCCTATAGTGTGTTGCATCCTCTCCCAAGGCTCTCCAAAATGGCCATCATCACCAGCTACTTCCTCAGGCAATGGCTCCCTAAAGCTGCAGAGACTCAGTGAAGCTACTGTGCTGAAGCAGAAAGGATGCTAAGCCTGAGTTGAAAGCCTGACTTAGTAGCTCAGTTTGATGTTGGCTGTACTTCTTCCCTTACCCATTTATGAGGCCCCATTAAATCTTTCTCCTGGTTGCTTCAAAGGGAAAATGGCTGGCATTGTGAGCAGACAGGATCACTTCTTTGGCCACACCTTAAGTCTGTAAGGTACGGTATTAATGAAAGTTTGTTTTGAGATGGAATCTTGCTCTGTCACCCAGGCTGGAGTGCAGTGGCACGATCTCGGCTCACTGCAACCTCCGCCTCCCAAGTTCAAGCGATTCTCCTGCCTCAGCCTCTGAGTGGCTGGGATTACAGGCGTGTGCCACCACACTCAGCTAATTTTTATGTTTTTAGTAGAGACAGGGTTTCACCATGTTGGTCAGGCTGGTCTTGAACTCCTGACCTGGTGATCCACCCACCTCGGCCTCCCAAAGTGCTGAGATTACAGGCGTGAGCCACCACGCCTGGCCTAATGAAAGGTTTTAATTGCAGGATTTGGACAATGAGATAGCAGTGGAAGTAACGTTAGATGGGCTGTTTCTTCCCAGGAGCCCCCAGTAGGGCCCAACTCTATTATTGGATTTCACCCCAGTAGTTTGTTTGCATTCCTCCTTACCTTCCTCCAAGAGCACTGACAGCCAGAAGGGTTTGAGAGGAAAAGTGACAAACCTTTGCTATGTAGCTGAATTGCTGGGAGAATTCTTTTAAAAATATGATTCTGTCTTCTATGATCAAATTCAGTGCCACTTTGCTCTCTCCAAAGCCTCCTGGAGACTCAGTAGCAGTCAATCTATGTGCATAGAATTCATACATAATGTCAAACCCTGCAATGTATATTTTTTCCCAAAGGTTACATATATGCAAAGAATTAAAGGCACTGAAAGTTAAAAAAAAAAAAACAATAGTTGATTCCTAGTGGATTTAGAAATATACTTGAAATTTCTCCATGTTACTGATAGGTCTATTTCAGTCCTGATTTGAGATCTAATTTTGGGAATCAGTGCAACATAGATTGAAAAATCTAACTTGTATATTTGACTAATCAAGTTAACAGGATTATACAATAATTCTCAACTGTCAGATATTGTGTTATGATATTTTGGTAAAATTGCTTATTGCTACATTGTCTTTGACAGGCTAAAGCACTGTGCAAAGACCAGATTGCTTTACTCTATTCTTTGATGATATTTGGCATTAATCGACCAGAATTTATTTATTGATTTATACGTATAATTCCTTGATTTTAAATATCCACTATGGTTCTTGCCAACTTTCACTTCTTGCTCCAATGATGATTATTTTTACCAAATCCTATGGGATATGAAATCACTTGTAAGGGTGTTAGGATAGAAAGTGTAGGTGACAGGATGCTTTCTACTATAAAACAACATCGATCTGTGCATTTTCTGCCTTATAGGACTAGTTTGCAAGGCATAAAATGCACAGATTGCAAGGGTTCATCACACAAGTTGTGATTTATCCAATTAGAAATTCATTCAGATTAACAAGATCCTTTATTAGTCAGCTAACACCCTCATGGTACATTGAACATATTAGTCATTTATACTTTAGTGTAAATTCTTTTAAATAATAGCTTCAATTATATGTGTTTTTTGATAAGCACTTTAACTTCACTCACCATGTGCTGGACACTGTTCCAAATGCTTCCTAAATTAGTATGAGCTAATCTTGTAATATTAATCAAAGTGTCTACCTGCTATACTCGGGACAGGTCTTCCAAGTTTAAAGTTCTTCCCTAACTTAAAAAAAAAAAAAAAGCAAAGTCACAGCATGCATAGAATATATTATTTCCATATTACACGAGAGTAAACTGCCAAAGCTGCATATGGCTGGAAACCACTGGCCTCAGGCCCTATGTAGCCACTCTAAGGACTGAGGAAAATAACTCAACCCTCCCAAAGCTGTTTTTTCACACATTGGTTTAGAATGTCTGACTTAGGAAACAGAGCTTTAATTTGGCAATTATATAGAATAGGGAATATTGGAGCATGAATCATGTCTTGAGGGGAGTTGGAAAGCATTGAACAATGTGGAGCAAGAAGCCCATGGATTCTTCTAACCTGTCTGAACGTGAAACAAGACGATTTTTCTTCATCAGTTCTTAGGATGCCATTAGGCAGATTTAAAGTTGATATGGTTCTGGTATTTAGGGAAGAGATACTGTAATCCATGTTGCTATATACATCTTCTGTGTTTAAATAATATCTGCTGTATAGATCCTGATCTATTGTCAACCTTTCCTTCAGATCTGACAGGCTCTTCTGGTAATTCTCCTGTGCACATCTTGATCTCATTTCTGAGAAGGTCTGTGGGCTGCTTTCACCACCTCAATCTAATGTCTTTTAAGTTTCCAGTTCTGTCAATCAATGAAATAAGTGCTTCTTCAGCTTTTTTTTTTTTTCATTTTTCTTTTTTTTTTCAGACAGAGTCTCACTCTGTCACCCAGGCTGGAGTGCTGGCACCATCTTGGCTCACTGCAACCTCCACCTCCCAGGATCAAGAGATTCTCGTGCCTCAGACTCCTGAGTAGTTGGGATTACAGGTGTGCACCACCATACCTGGCTAATTTTTGTATTTTTGTTAAAGATAAGGTTTTACCATGTTGGCCAGGCTGGTCTTGAACTCCCAACTTCAGGTGATCTATCTGCCTCAGCCTTCCAAAGTGCTGAGATTACAGGCGTGAGCCACTGTGCCCAGCTTTTTTTTTTTTTTTTTTTTTTTTTTTGAGATAGGATTTGGCTCTGTCACCCAAGCTGGCATGCAGTGGAGTGATCTCAGTTTACTGCAACCTCCACCCCCTGGATTCAAGTGATCCTCCCACCTCAGCATCCTATGTAGCTGAGACTTAAGGCATGTGCCACCACACAGCTAATTTTTGTATTTTTTTGTAGAGACAGGGTTTTGCCATGTTGCCCAGGCTGGTCTCGAATTCCTGGGCTCAAGTAATCCATCCACCTCAGCCTCTCGAAGTGCTGGGATTATAGACATGAGCAACAAGCCTTGCCAGGAATTTTAGTCTCTAAACAAAATATTATAGTAAGTCATTTTTCCAAACAAAAATGGTTAAAGGTGATTTTGATGGGCTGCAATGGGAGAAGTTCTATATTCTTTTAAAATTAGTAAGAATATTGTTGTTCATATACATGTCATTTTTTTCTACTTGAAAAGTGTTTTCCAATAATTTGTTACTTTCACTCAATTGAGTGTATTTGTTCTCCGATCTCCATGGTTCTTATTGTAGGCATGTTCTTCTATTTCCTAGTAATAACTGGTATTATGTCAGAACCTTTCACTTCTGATTTAATTGATGTAGTTCTTTGACCCAAGAAGCCAAACATCATTTACAAAATAATTGCTTTGTAAAAACCCATCAGGCAATAGCCATTACCTGCTATTTACAGCCTAGATACTGCCATTTACAAATGTAGATACTAGAATCACCTGAGAATTCCTTAGCTTTAAGGTCATATACAAACACATAGCAAATCTGGGAATTAAAACATTTTAGTCACTGTAACATCCTCCAAAGGCAATGCAGTGATGATGGGTTTGGAAAGCAACTGGAGACCAATGGGGAGGGAAATAACAATGGAAAATGCCCAAATTATTAAGTCAATGCATTGAAAATTTCCTCAGTCTCGCTGCATAACATCTGAATTTGCAGAATAAGTGAGGTTAAGTGCAAAGTTTAGAAAACAGAGGTTCTTCCACCTGTGGGAGGTTAGACTACAAAAGGCTGCTGCATTCTTTTGTCCATAAATCCAGAGAGACTAAGAGGCAGTTAAGTTTACAGGGGTTTAGGTGATTAAGAGCATACGCTCTGGAGCATGAGTGCCTGGCTTCAAAACCCAGTTCCACCACTTCGTGACCTTGAGCAAGTTATTGAGCTTCTCTACCTCCAGTTTTCTCTGTTTGTACCTATCTCATAGTATAGTTTTGAGAGTTCATAAGAAATACACACAAATAGCAATGTAAGTCAACCATTTGAAGAATAAAAACTGACCAGGCATGGTGGCTCATGCTTGTAATCCCAGCACTTTGGGAGGCCGAGGTGGGCGGATCACAAGGTCAAGAGATGGAGACCATCCGGGCCAACATGGTGAAACCCCATCTCTACTAAAAATACAACAATTAGCTGGGCATGGTGGCGCATGCCTGTAATCCCAGCTACTTGGGAGGCTGAGGCAGGAGAATCGCTTGAACCCGGGAGGCGGAGGTTGCAGTGAGCCGAGATCACACCACTGCACTCCAGCCTGGTGACAGAGCGAGACTCCATCTCAAAAAAATAAAAAATACAATAAAATAATAACTAATTATTCTCACCTTTTCTTATTATGATGAACATCTGTTCTCCAAATAACCCATTTTCTAGAGTGAAAAATATGTTGAGGTAGGTGCCTTCCACTTTGATAACTTCTACCTGTATCATCAGGTATTACTCAGCTCTGTGGCAACCCATCCCTCCCCTTGTTGCCTGCACACATGGTCTGCCTTGGGCAGATACAAAGGTTGGGGTACTGGACCTATTGAATTTTTCCTCATTATGGCAAAGTTGCATCAGGAGCACTTTCATTGTGGTTTGGTTCTAAAAAAACTCCAGGAATGCTTCTGAATTTACATTATAATATTTGGCATCTCATACTGGTTCCAATATTTTGGCCACACACACAAAATGTTTTCATTTGTCAATCACTTCCTTGTTGTTTAACTAAAGAACTATTAGGAATCTACTTTAGGACCACATTCTAATGCTGCCAAACAGCCCACCCCTGGGCTGTAAAATAACCTGGACTCCAACCCACCCCTCCACCTCCACCCACAAATCAAAATGCCTGCGGTCTCCAGTGCAGAACACTAAGAGGGGCCTTCTTATATCTGCTATCAAGCATTTTCTTTCACTACACACATATAGAAGTATAAAAGAGCACTACACCCTTATTAAAGGAATCCATCTTCCTTTTTCTTTCACCCTTCTCCCAGCACAATCATGTGTCACAAAATGCTGCTTCTGTTAACCCTGCCATTAAGGGAAAGAGGTGTAATCTTTATTATTATTATTATTATTATTATTATTATTATTATTATTATTATACTTTAAGTTTTAGGGTACATGTGCACAACATGCAGGTTAGTTACATATGTATACATGTGCCATGTTGGTGTGCTGCATGTTCTCACTCATAGGTGGGAATTGAACAATGAGAACACATGGACACAGGAAGGGGAACATCACACACCGAGATGTATTCTTTTTTATGTTTGTTTGTTTGTTGTTTTTGAGACGGAGTCTCCCTGCAACACCCAGGCTGGAGTGCAATGGCATGATCTTGGCTCACTGCAACCTCCACTTCCTGGGTTCAGCCTCCCGAGTAGCTGGGACTACAGGCACGTGCCACCACACCCGGCTAATTTTTGTATTTTTAGTAGAGACAGGGTTTCACCATATTGGCCAGGCTGGTCTCGAACTCCTGACCTCAAGTGATCTGCCCGCCTCGGCCTCCCAAAGTACTGGGATTACAGGCACGAGCCACTGTGCCCGGCCAAGAGAAGTATTCTTTGCATCCAAATGCATTCCTCCTTTTCCTTTATAGATACTGATTATGTCTAGTTAAAAGCACTATTAATACTATTCTGCAGGAAGAGTTTGGGTTGATCTGGTTGTCTAAGAACCATGAATAAAAAGATGTCTATAGGAAAACTTCCTCCAAACAATAACTTCCTCCTTACAAACAAGCCTTGGGAATGAAAGTTACCTCTAGACTAGCTTCAGCCTCAAAGATGCTGCCTTTACCTGTAACAGCTATTAAACTTTAGTGAGGTCAGCTGCTTTCCTCTTGTTTGAGATGGGCCGTCTCGGAGAGTGAAGAACACAGCAACAGGCTATCTATCTCTTGACATACTATGACATAGAGCTGTTGTTTGCACTGGCCTGAACTGGACCTGTGGCAGCTCTGGGCAGGTTAATCATTTGGCATCCCTTGGAATGGATTTTCATGAATGATTTTTTCAAGATGCATTTAAGATAAAAGTTGAGTATTACTCTAAAGGAGACTCAAAGAGAAAAACCACCGGTAGTATTGTCAGAGGCATTTAAACCAGAACGACTCCATCTTGAACTGGGGCTGGGTAAAATGAGGCTGAGACCTGTTGGGCTGTATTGCCAGGAGATTAGGCATTCTTAGTCACAGGATGAGATAGGAAGTCAGCACAAGATACAGGTCACAATGACCCTGCTGATAAAACAGGATAAACAAAACCCACAAAAATACAAGATGGCAATGAAAGTGACTTCTGGCCATTCTCATTGTTCATTATACTATAATTATAATGCATTTACATACAAAAAGACAATCCCACCAGCACCATGACACTTTGCAAATGCCATGGCAGCATCCTGAAGTTATCCTACATCCCTACATCGTCTAAAAAGGGGAGGAACCCTCAGTTCCAGGAAATCCCTTTTTTTTTCCTAGAAAACTCATGAATACGCCATCCCTTGTTTAGCACATAATCAAGAAATAACCATACATATACTCAATTGAGCAGCCAATGCCACTGCTCTGACTATGGACTAGCCAGTCTCTTGTTTCTTTACTTCTCTAATAAACTTGCTTTTATTTTACTGTATGGACTCACCCTGTTAAATATAGTGAACTCCATGTTGCTCTTCAAAGAATCAGTTTGTTAGTATGTTCAGCTCTCTTATTCTTTGTTCTCCATTTTAAAGTTTGACTTCCTGGTTCTCTTCACCCCCTTACTTCTTGTTTCAGTAAACAACTTTCCCACCAGTTCTAATCAGTAGTTCACATCTGTTCCCTGGTCACCTGGTCCATCCTGACTCATCCCAGTCATGTGCTCTGACCTGAATCATCATGAGTCACCTGTTCTGTAACCGTCCTTCCTGCCAAAGTACTCACCCCACCACTCCAGCTCGTACCCCTGCTCTCTTTAAAATAACCAATCAGAATTAGCTTAGACTGTGCGGTCCAACCCTAGCCAATAGGGCAATGACAGAGCAGTAGAGGCTACCTGCAACAGGAATAAGAACCCCTTCCCCTCCCTTGTTCAGGTGTGGTCTTGCCATTACTCCATCTGTGAGTCACACCCTTCTGTAGAAGTAAAAATTGCCTTGCTGAGAAAATTAAATTTATGTTTGAGTGCTATTTCTTTTGCAGCACAAAAATTTATTTATAACAGCCCTGAAAGCTTTCTTGTGTAAGATCCAATAACCTTCTCTTGGAATCTGGATGGGGACTCTTTTCTAGTAACAGTATTGTCCCAATTTGTATGCCCCACCACAAAATAAAAGCCCTGCAGTTAACTGGACCTACTTTTTTTTTTTTTTTTTAGACAGAGTCTCACTGTGTTGCCAGGCTGGTGTGCAGTGGCACGATCTCGGCTCACTGCAATTTCCACCTCCGGGTTCAAGCCATTCTCCTGCCTCAGTCTCCCGAGTAGCTTGGATTGCAGGCACACACCACCACACACAGCTAATTTTTGTATTTTGAATAGAGACAGGGTTTCACCATGTTGGCCAGGATGGTCTTGATCTCTTGACCTCGTGATCCACCCACCTTGGCCTCCGAAATTTCTGAGATTACAGGCGTCAGCCACCACACCTGGCCTGGACCTACTTTCTTTAAAAGGTACTCTGTGATCTACCACCAAGCTACAATCCATTGGCTGTATTCTTGGTAATGTTAGCCTGTGTGTACAGCTGACCTTCACTTCCACTCCTGGTTAGAAAGCCTCATCTAGCAGTTGGGTGACTATGGAGCCCCGTGCTAGAGACAGCAGGCCTATATTAAATTTCCACAGGGGGTAATGAAGAAGGGAAACCAAACAGACTATAATTAGCTATTGGTTTCTTTCTTAAGATTTTTATCAAGATTCAGTTTAAGAAACAGTCTTTTTAAACCTAAATTAGTCCTCAGAGAAACGCATGAAAATCTGAAGGCACAATAAGAATACCTGGAGCCTAGTAATTCTCAGCAGTTCCATTCCAGGTTCTGTTAGGGTGTTTTAAACTACAATGAAGAGCTCTTTCCATTAAATTGAACAGTAAAAGCTTCACACAGTGCTTCTTAAGCATTCACTTGCATTGGAATCATCTTGAGTATTTGCTAAAACACAGATTGTGAATCCCCAAACCCAGAGTTTTCAATTCAGTAGCTCTGGAATAGGAACTGATAATTAGCGTTTGTAACAAAGTTTCTAGGTGCTGCTGATCAAGATGATGTATTTCTCTACCATTTTAGGTAACATCCATCACAATTGTAATTAAGTAAGATGATAATTAGCTGTTTAATATTTGTCTTCTCCTTCAGAATGTAAGTTTCTTGAGGGCAGGAATTGAGTCCATCTTGTTCACTACAATAACCCCACTTACTTCTATGGTGTCTCAAATATGTATTTGTTAAATGAATAAATGTTGTAATATTTATTACTTTGCTGTCTGCTTCCATCTTTCTTAAAATCATATTTTTCTTAATAAGAATGGCAGTTATAATAACAAGAACTAATGATCATTAAGCACTTAAAACATACTAGAAATTATGCAAGTTTTGACAGCCATAGTCTCATTTAGTATCATAACAATCTTCTGAAGATTTTGTAGCATTGTTCCCTGTTTCACAGTTGAAGAAACTGAGATCCAGGGAAATGAAGTAACTTGAGACAGGTCCCATTACTGGGAGGTTACAGATCCAAGATTTAACCCAGGCAGTCTGACTCCAGGTTCTTAAGTACTGTATTACCGTGCTTCCTGTATACATCCTAGTAAAAATTACTATATGTTGTCCATGATCTGCCCCTGTTTACTTCTCAACTCTTTCCTTCACGCTTACACCCAGTGGCCCAGCCATACCATGGTGCTGTACCATGCGTTTTTTACTTTTAATGTTTTTTCCCTCATATTTGGTCTAGAAAACATCTACTTATCTTTCAAGACTCAAGCATCTTGTAACTGCCTAACAGGTTCTCCTTGCCCGCTGCCTAGACAGAGCTGATTTCTCAAGACAGGGAAATTGCAATAGAGAAAGAGTTTAATTCACACAGAGCCAGCTGTATGGGAGACTGAAGTTTTATCATTACTCAAGTCAGTCTCCTTGAAAATTCAGGCATTGAGGTCTTTAAGGTTAATTTGGTGGGTAGCAGGTCAGGAAGAGGGGAGTGCTGATTGGTTGGATCAGAGATGAAATCATAGGGAGTTGAAGCTGTCCTTTTGTGCTAAGTCAGTTCCTGGGTGGGGCCACTGGACTAGATGAGCCAGTTTATCTATCTGGGTGGTGCCAGCTGATTCATCAAGTGCAGGGTCTGAAAAATATCTTGAGCATCAATCTTAGGTTTTACAATAACGACATTATCCATAGGAGCAATTGTGGAGGTTCAGAACCTTGTGGTTTCAGGCTGCCTGACTCCTAAACCATAATTTCTAATCTTGTGGATAATTTGTTACTCCTGCAAGGCAGTCTAGTCCCTAGCCAAGAAGGGGGTTTGTTTTGGAAAAGGGCTGTTATCATCTTTGTTTCAAAGTTTAACTATAAACTAAGTTTAACTATAAACAAAGTTAGTTTGGCCTATGCCAAGGAACGAACAAAGACAGGTTGGAGGTTAGAAGCAAGATGGAGTTGGTTATGTCAGATCTCTTTCACAGTCATAATTTTCTCAGTTATAATTTTTGCAAAGGCAGTTTCAACCTTAAACTCTATAAAGCTTTTTCTGACTGCCTTCTGCCTGACCCCATTAGATAGGCTTGATCACTTCCCTGTCTATACCCTCCCTGTGCCCTATTCATCTACAACATTTTATTGCTTTTTATTGCACTAGTGTTGGTCTGTTCTAGACCTTGCTCCACAAAGTCAGGGACTGCATAGGTCTTAATTGATTTTTGTATCTTCAGAACTTAATACAGATCTTCCTAGTGGGCATTAATAAATATTGCATACAATTCCCTTATTCTCATAATATTTATAATCTTTATATAAAATAAAAACATGCCTCTTTCTGATATGTAACCTCTTATCACACTAAAACTTATCCCTTTTAGCGTTTTAAATTTTAATCTCTCTTGTTCTTATGTCTAGAGGTTCTATTTAGTTTTTTCAAAATCTACATAGTCTTAAATTTATTATATTCAGATTTCGGTAGCTAATTTTGGCTTATTTGTATGTCTTGATTCTCCTTCATGGTGATTCATTTCCTTGTGCAGTTTGTAATTTTTTAATTTGTGAACTCATCTTCTGCAGGGCTTATGTATCCCTAGAGATCTTGATTGCTCTGGATGTGGGAGAGGAAAAAAATGCTTTTGAGTCCTTTCAGATTTGTTTCCACTGGGGACGTCAAGTCATTGAATAGTGTAAAACCAGTGGAGGAGACATTCAGACCATAGCAACAGGTGAAAGATCAAATATCTACTAAAGAATTCTATGCCCATAATAGAAATTGAGCATCTTTTCTTTATTGATCTATATTTTTATACTCTAAGTTTTCCATGGGGTAAAACCATGTCCAAATGCAGCATGCTCTGAGATATCTGGGTGCCACGTAACAATAACAAAGCCCATGTATGAAAAGAAGTTATATTGCCCACATGGAATGGGCCCCTCAACATATCCAGTCCAGGGACCATGGGTATCCTAAAAGAGCAAGAGTGAGAATCAAATCCCAAATAAGAGAATTCACATAGCTCACCTTCTTTCCACTGCTTGAAATCTTTTCTCTTATTGAATCCCTTTGGTTCTTGAAATGTTTGGTTTTGTCTATTGGCTTTTTTAAAATTTAGGCTTTTTAAAAAAAATTAATATATTGTCTCCAACTGTTTTGCTTAATTCTGATTATAATCCATTTGGGCACAAGTTCTGGAAATTTTTCATCACCTTGAAACCCTCAAGTGAGAATAAGCAACATTCTGTTAGCTAGACCCCAATGGGCCCCATCCCCAGTCTTCCTTATATGAAGGGAGATCAAACCCTTTAAATCCTTTAACATCAATGAAATACTGACAGAATGGATATTGCAAAGGTATATACAATTTCTACACCAAATATTTTATCTTCACACTAGATACAGGGAAAATCTACTCGCCTCTCCCTGCCCCCGCCGTGCAAAAAAAACAAAAACTAGAAAGTGTGACTAGTTTCAGATTTCATTACAATTGGGGGAAAATGCAAATATTTACAAATGGAAATCAGAAGCGTAAGCACTCCTGAGTATTAGCTTCAAAACATCTTGCTAATTAGGCAGCCTTTGTCATCTCCTTACCTTAAGTCAGTGTATGCAAGACCAATCTATGCAGAAGCACTTGTTTTTACGGGATTTTTTGTTAATAGTAAAAGATGTTTGTGTCAAAATGCAGTATTTAAGGTTATCTTCTCATTAAATATGACACTTGTCACAGCATGATTTCCAGCAACAAGGGAGAGTTAATGCAAATAGTTTAATATTACCATGTCTGTGATGTGTTCCATTAGTGTCACTGTGTGTTGGGTTAAATATACTACTAGCCTGTTATATCTCCATTGTCCCTTTATCCTCATGGGCTACTGCACCCAAAAGAATGAAAGTGTCACCCAGCTGTGATGTGAGTAAATGTAGGGATTGGAAACCATTCTTTTAACCTGTTATGATTTTTTTGACCAGTAAAAAGCACTCAAAAAGCTTAGATTAAACAATTGGCAATTCAACTGTTGACAACGCACCGTGTTCAGGGAGCAGAGGTGGCTTAGAGGATTCTACCATGCTGTCATAATCTTCCTGATGTTCTCACATGGCCCCGTTTGATGGAAGCTGCTAAAAACACCAGTTTGGAACATAAAAGTTGTTTGTCTTTCGTTTTGCCTCCTATCCAGGCTCCTATCCTTCTGATAATTTGGCTTCTTCTTTGGGGGCTCTCCGACTTTGGTCAGTAAGTGCAGTCTGAGAATCTGAAACATGTGTGGGGAGAGAAGTGGAAGGTCAGAGACCATGACAATCTCATCCAGCAGGAGTCCACTTCAGTGCATCTACTGGGGTCAGTGAAGGATGTTGATGAATGTTAGCATGGCTGCTCCTGAAACCAAATGCTTTCATTGGGATATAATATTGCTTTTTTTCCGTGACTCTGCAGGGTTTCTGTGGCATTGGGCTTTGTTTGAAAATTCAAAGAATTCTCCAATGGCAAGCTTGGCTGTTCTAAAAAATAATCAATTAAAAACCCAAGTGCTTTAGACACTATGACAGCAAGTCACAAATGTTCCTAGTTTGCATAAGAAAAAAAAGAAGAGAGCTTGAATGTTTTTTAGTACCAAGGACAGCGACAGCTGTCACCTAATGGGGTGAATTCCTCTCACAAAGAAACTCTAAGCAGTAGAAAATGCCAAGGTCTATCATTGTGTTAGCAGGTTAAACCAAAATATAATATGTTCTAAATATTTTATTGTGTGATTGGTTTGATTTGATTGCTTTGTAGGAGCTGCAGAGATGTGGAGAGAAAGGTGACTGCCTTTCTTTAGGTGCTGTAGTCTTATCAGTTTTGTCACCATTTGATTCTACTGACTTCCGAGAAAGGTTTTCCCAAAGTGTAATATGTTTTGTTTTTATTTATGCATTGGGTATATCACCCTCATCTAGCTGTCTCATTCATCACTGCACCAACTTTATCAACACCTGGAAATAACATTATGCACACTGTACAGCTATATTTCTGTAGTCTTCTCTGGACGTGAATGGTGAGAAACATTCTTTCTGACAAATCTCTTCAGAAAACAAGCATGGAATATATCACCTTTGCCTGGAAGGTGAAAGAGGTTTGGAAGAGGGCCCTGAGCTGTATGTTCTAGTCAAGCTTTGCTCCTGCCATGGGAGGTGAGGATGCTGCAGAACCCTGGGAAAATAATGGCCCTTGCCTTGAGCAGAAAATGTGGCTCTAGCCCCAGAGAGCAGTCCCTCACCACACACTGCACCAGCTCTGCTTTCTCACAAGGCAGACAGGGAAGTCAACAATAATCATAATAGCTGACATTTATTGAGTATTTAGGATGTGCCAGGCACTCTGGTGTTTTGAGCATACTAACCCATTTAATCCTCACAACAACCTTTCTATAGATAGAGCAACTGAGGCATATAGAAGTTCAGACATGCATCCAAGGTTACAGAGCTGGTAATAGCAAAATGGGCATTTGAATCCAAGCAGTCTGCTCCAAGCTGTTACTCTTCAAATCTTACTGCGTCTGCATTGAATGTCATCATCAATGTGGAACATAGAGGTGCTAAAAAGAAAGGTCATGAATTAATCTAGTATTTTGAAAATACACATCAAGTACTAGATACATTAACAAATAATAGCACCTAAGAAAAACAATAAAGACCCTTGACCAACAGAACGAGCCAGCTAAAATAATATTGTCATTGTTGTTGCGTGTGTATATGTATGTTTAAAAGAGAAAGATGTGGTTCAGTTCTTGTCACATTTGTTTTCCAGTATAGTCTCAGCTTTCCTTTACAATGGACCCTTAAGTAAGAGATGACAGCTGACATTCAATCAGTTTTATACTCATTGGAAGACCTTTCCCCTTTCCTTTCACTTCATTTTGCATATTTATTTGCATATATCTTCATAAGCAATGAATAGGTGCCTTTTCCTTAGACCCAGTTATTTTCTTTTTTGTAAGACAGGTATTGCTCTGTTGCCCAGACTGGAGCACATTGACACAATCATGGCTCACTGCAGCCTTGACCTTCAGAGCTCAAGCTATCTTCCCACCTCAGCCTCCTAAGTAGCCGCAAGTACAGGCACACACCACCATGCACAGCTAATTTTTTTTTTTTTTTTTTTTTGTAGAGACAGGGTTTTGCCACATTGCCCAGGCTGGTCTCGAACTCCTGAGCTAAAGAAATCCGCCTGCCATGGCTTCCCAAAGTGCTGGGATTACAATTGTCAACCACTGTGCCCAACCAATGACCCAGTATTATTTTTATCTCTGTTTATTCTCTATCATTGAATCCCTTTCTTTTAAAGGGCTGATTCTTTATTTCTCCCACAGCTCACCTCTTGGTGGTTGCTTCTTCTAGGCATCATTTTAGTCACTGTCAGAAGATTTCTTTTCGGCTGTGTTGAACATTTGAACTCAGGCTTCAGGGCCAAAGGTTTTTGGATATTAATTTTAGTATCTCTACCATTGAATTATTGGGTTGTGCCATCCCCCAATCATCTGAGGATAAATTACTTGAGATAGAAGAGGGAGAGACAAAGTTCAGATTAGGAATGCTGAGAGAAGAAAAACAGAGGTCTAAGACCGGGGAGAAAAATGTGTTGGAGTGGAGGTCACCAAATGACCTAAGAGACTCAAAAGAGATTCAGTGGAGGTGAACAGGATGGTGGAAAGTTTCTGCTGATGAGAGTAGCCTATTGCATCCTCCACCTCGATAATACACACCAAGGAGCCAGTCCAACCCCTTTGACTACATGGGGTTCCAGGACCTACAAATATCAGTACTGTATTTGGTTTGGAAGGAAGAAGCAAACATCACCAGGGAAGCAGGACTGACTGCATAACTTGTGGGTCCTGGTGCAAAATGAAAACGCAGGGATTCCTGTTTAAAAAAGTATTAAGAATTTCAAGATCACAACAACAGAGCATTACATCAAGCTTGGGGCCCTTCTAAGCGCAGGCCCTGTGAGACTGCACAGGTTGCAGGACCATGAAGATGGGCTTGCTGGGAAGTTCCTATGCAAACAGAGCGATCTGTCTTTGCTGAAAAGTCTTTTATTTCACAACTAATAATTGAGTTTTGCCTGTGAGCCCAATAAGGGAGAATACACGTGATGATGATAGAAACTCTGTTGAAAAACTTGAGGTAAAATATTAATTTTACAAGCAACTGTCAGAACACAAAAAAAATCATGTGATAAAGTTGTACAAGCAGTTAATAATCTTCCTAGCAGCAGAAAGCTATCATCTCTGTCTGTGTGTGTGTTTGGAGATAACTCCGAATTGAAAGATATCTCCCTTGAGGACACTGAGTTAAATTCCAGGGTAGAAAGAAAGAAAAAAAGGCAAGCATAATTTTGAGAGATTAAATGAAAAAGAGGAGTTGCTAGAGAAATGGGCAAGAAACGGTGTGTATGTCCTGATATGTGCATGTGAGTTACGTGAGAGAGGGAACAAGAAAAAAGAGAATTATAAAAAATGCAGCTATGTAAGCCAATGTAAAATTAGTATAGGTTAAGGAATCAAAACAAATGTTTAACTGCAAATGAAATTCTTAGGAAGAAAAATGTTTGATCTGTTGAGTGTATAGAAGCAGGGGTTGTGGGAAGGATGGGCTGGAAAGACTCTGATTAATTAGCTTGGAAATCCTCAAATTAGTAACTAATGAAAAACAAATTTGCTTTTTTCTCTCCTCATTAATTTGTATTATGTGAAGGAAATTACTTTGACAATAAACAGTTAAGAACTGAACATTTTGTTAAAACAGAGGATACAACTGTATTATCAAATAAGTACACAGCAGTTCCTCTCAATTAGTTACTGTTTGTAAAATGCAGTGAGACTCCTGGATGCAGAGTGCTCTGTAACTGTATATTATTATAGTTCTGATTGTGGTTAAAATGACCACGAATGAAAATAATACACATGCTACACAGGAATATGTGTATGGGAAAGCCACCGTGTACATTTAAAAAGGTGATAAAGATGATTGTTTCCTGGCTGAAAGTCTCCCCTGAGAGAATGACATATGAACATGCTAGTTCTGCACAATGCATCCCTATGGGCTGTGCTCTGGGGTCAGTTAGGACCGATAGAGGTCAGAGAGAACTGGTTAACAGCTATTCTTCACAGTGTTACCTCCTGCTCAGCACCTGAATGAAACTGACAGGGATTCTGATAAATGCACCAGGAGGACAAGAAATCTGGTTAGCATCACTGGGCTGCTGGTCACCTGGGGAGGCCAGAAAGGTAAACTACTGTAGACCCCTAGAATCTAGGCTTTGAAAAGCCCTGAAAAGAATCTGGAGTCTCCCTGGAAGGGCTCTAAGTATATCTCTAATAATAAAACACCAAGAGGATCAGGATGAGTGGGGTGCAGAAAAAAGATGCAGGCAGATGGGAGAGTCTGCAGGAGCAAGTGGACACAAAGGTAATTTTGCCTTCAAAGAAAGGTATAATTTTGGAATTGTGCTCTCTCACTTTCTCGTGTGCGCTCTCTTTCTCTCTCGGTCTCGGTCTCTCTCTCTCTTGCTCTCTCTCTCTCTGTGTATGTGTGTGTATAGTGTGTGTAGTATGAACTGTAGGTTTTGGCAAGAACTTGCCTTCTTTGGAAACTAGGCCTAAAGACAACATGAGGAGATTTGGCCTATTGGTTTCATGGGGATAAAAGGAAACAAACAAATGAAAGCATAAAGTTGAACATAGGCAGAAGTAAGCTCGAGGCATTTGTAGAGCAAGGAGTTCAGCAGTTGTCAGCAGTCAAGGCAAGGAACCGATAATCAGGACTTTTAAAAGGCCAAACAATTTTATGCCAATAGCTGCAGGATTACAAGGCAACGTAAAATTATTGACTCACATGGTTGTCACCCAAACCCTTTTCCTTTGCATTTGGGTAAAAGGACTCCTTTTGAACTGGCCTGCGCCCATGCTGTTTTGCATTAGGAAACATGGTTGCAATGATCAAGGATGGTTTCATTTTGGATTAACACTGGCAGGGCTCTGAGCACAACAGTTGACACTGATGGGGCTTTTATCCACAACAGGTAGCTAAGTGAGCAGGCTGACTGCTCGCAGGTGGCCATTCCCCAGGGATCTGCACCTCCTTGTGGGCCAGCCTTGGGGTGTTCTCTAGTCAAAACAAGAAACATAAATGTATCCCTGCTGCAATCTAATGCTCAAGATGAAAATGTAAAGGAGGAGGCTATGAAAAATGAAGCTGAGATTGGGAAGTCAGGTAAAAAACTGATGGAAAGAAAACTAAAAGATTGATATGGGCTGTACAACCAGTTGCTCTCTAGATCTCTTCTACTCTGAGGTTTCATCATTCCATAATTTCCTGAGGTATATAGAGAAAAATATGCAAGTGTTTAAAAAGCAAAAAAATATAAGAAAAGTCAGAAATCTCTTTATTGATAACCCCACTGAAACAGGCTGGCTGGCTTCCTGTTGTGATCTGGTCTAGAGGAGAAGAACAAAAGCCCCTTACCGAAGCTCTAGCTTACCTAACTTTCAGCCAATCAGCAACAAAAGACCCTAGGAACTGTAAAACACGAGTTCCTGCTTCAGAAGTGTAGGGACTTTCCTGAAGCCCCACACCCATACTTAGGACTCAAACTCAATCTATAAAGACATTTTCAAGATAGGGAGGATTTGTACATGTAAGAGGAAGAAAATGGAGCTAGGAAGAGAAAGGGTGGTGGGTCACTCAAGCAGAAGGCAGTCAGCCAGAGCATGAAGGAATATACGGCGCTTTGAAAATAAGGGTCTGAATCCTCTGGGTCAACAGAATATGGAAAGAGCATGAGTGGAGAGATAGTGGACTGAATGTTTGTGTACCCCCCAAGTTTATATGTTGAAACTCTAATGTTCAGTGTAATGATATTTAGAGATGGTGCATTTGGGAGGGAGGGAGGTCATGAAGGTGGATCCCTTATGATGGGGTTAGTGCTGTTATAATAAGAGACATTAGAGAACCTGCTTTCTCTCTTTCTCTTTCCGCCATGTGAGCTCACAATGAGAAGATGGCCATCTATATTCCGGAAAGAGGACCTTCACCAGAACCTGACCATTCTGGACCCCTGATCTTAGACTTTCCAGCCTCCAGAACTATGAGAAATAATTTCCTGTTGTTTAAGCCATCCAGTCTTTGGCATTTTTGTTACAGCAGCCTGAGCAAACTAAGACAGATAGGTACTGCAGATCTGGCCTGTTTAGCCAATTATGACTGGACTTACACAAATTACACACTCTGGGAAAAAGAACTTCTACTACAGACATACATACATTAATTCATTAATTCATTCTCACTCTCTCTCACACACACACACATATACACACCCCACCCCCATATACATATATCACACAAAGAGACCTGCTCCCACCAAAACTTTTATTTTTTATTTTGTTCTTTTTTATTTATTTTATTTTATTTTTTTTTGAGATGGAGTCTTGCTCTGTTGCCCAGGCTAGAGTGCAGAGGCGCGATCTCGGCTTACTGCAAGCTCCGCCTCCCGGGTTCATGCCATTCTCCTGCCTCAGCCTCCCAAGTAGCTGGGACTACAGGCACCCACCACCATGCCCAGCTAATTTTTTGGATTGTTAGTAGAGACGGGGTTTCACTGTGTTAGCCAGGACGGTCTCGATCTCCTGACCTCGTGATCCACCCTCCTCAGCCTCCCAAAGTCCTGGGATTACAGACTTGAGCCACCGCGCCCGGCCTAAAACTTTTAAAATAAAAGCTGTGCTTTGTTGGGCCAGGTGTGGTGGCTCACACCTGTAATCCCAGCACTTTGAGAGGCTGAGGCGGGCGGATCACAAGGTCAGGAGATCAAGACCAACATGGTGAAACCCTGTCTCTTCTAAAAATACAAAAATTAGCTGGGTGTGGCAGCACATGCCTGTAGTCCCAGTTCCTTGGGAGGCTGAGGAAGAAGAATTGCTTGAACCTGGGAGGCAGAGGCTACAGTGAGCCAAGATTATGCGACTGCACTCCAGCCTCAAAACAAACAAACAGACTCTCAAAACAAAAAACAAAAAAACAAACAAAAAGTTGTGCTTTGTCAACCTGTAGAAGATAGAAAATTAGATTTCTGGTTCTCTGGGTTTCCTTCATCTAAAGACATTGGTGTCAAAACCTCCCACTGGTATAAATGCCCCCTCACCGCTTCACTCTTGTCCTTCAGCACAATTAAAGTCCTAAGACACTGCCTTAGGAAATAAAGGAAGACTTGTCTTTCTCCTGCACCCCAGGGAGTGCAAAGCTAGTCTTGACCTGACATAAAGGAGAGGATCCAGTTCTTGAGATCTGACTAAGCTAGGTGCCCTCTGTCTAGTAAACACTATCTATGTGGCCACATCAAGATATACTAGAATTTTCACTAGAGGGGAGTTTATTGCTGTTGCAACTGTAGGGCCGTTTAAGTATTTATTCCACTCACAAATATGGCTGAGATAGGCTAGACTCTTTGGCAGATTTGAGTCTAGAGATCTAGAAAAAACAAATGGAGGCAGCCTATGGATATATGAAAAAGGATATTCTGAGAATAAGGTGCCGTTTGGCAGAAAAGGCCAGGCAGGGAATGGAAAGGAGCTGTGAAGCAGATCTAGATTAGAATTCTGCTCTTTCAACTTGGTATTTGTTTGCCTTCAGCCAATAACTTGCTTCCTTTATTCCTCAGTTTCCTCATTGATATAAAAAGATTAATAATGCCTGAAGAGTTGCCTGAGGCTTGGAAGGAAGAACATCTGGCACATAGTAGGTGCTCAATAATTATTGTGGAGAAAATGGAGCAGCCAATAAAAGGTGAAGGAACTGCAGTGAGGGAAAGGTGTCTTCAGTGAAATTCTGCTGGCTGAATCATGAAAACCAGAGGAAAGAAAGATAATGCCCACACAATTTAGGTTGGGTAAACATGAATTTGATGTAGATGATAATAGAAAAAAAGTCAATGAAGTGCTCAGAGGAGTGGAAAAACATGCCCACAGATTGCCATAGCAGCAAGTACTAATGTATGATTGGAGGTTCTGAGAACTCTGGCTACATAGGTTTTAAACAATTTGTACATTGTTAAATTACTTGCAAATGGCTGAGACAACAGAAGGGTTTTGGTGCTTGCATTCATGTGCTTTTGGCAATCTTTCCAAAACTTCCTGAAGAAGGGCAGATGCAGTCAGGGAGGGCTAAAGAGGAAAGGAGCAGTTACCAGATGTGTGGCTCCTAAGACACAAAAAGACAATGTAGCCATGAGCCATGGCAAGACAGGGAATAGAGTCACGTTGACTTGCATTGAAGAATCGATCTTGGCTGTGAGCCTTAAAGACCTCGGGAGACAATTAGTCACCACATACTATTTAATAATGCACAGAAAACTTGGAACAAAATCAATTCAGCCGTGGAAACTGGCCAGTTACCTGGAGAATCATGAAGTGAGGCATGCTTCTTACTCAAAAAGCAGCTGATGTTATTCTCCAAAAGCCAGGCACAGGCAAGGAGAGGCAATTAAATTTTTCTATGCCCTCCGGAGACTTTTGCAAACTCTTTGGCTAACTTATTCCTATAATGTGCTGAAAGCATTGCTAATATATTTCATTTATAACTGACTCTATACATCATAGCTCCAACAGTGGGGGTTGCTTAAAACTCACACAGATACACAGGCACACAAACACATACCAGGTTACATACACACATGTATATCCTAGGTATGCTAGAAATACATTTTGGAAAGATAGAGAAGGGATTTAGAATACACAGAGGAGAAGAAACAGGAAATTTTTTTTTTTCTTACCTCCTATCTCTTCTTTCCCATTTAAGTGGACTTCCCATCCTTCCCCTCATGTAACTTAGTGGAGTGTCTTGGTGAAGTGTGGAGATGTCTAGAGGATCTTCCTCCTTGAATTATTGCCAGGCATAGGGCTTGTGCCTGATTCTGGTGACCAGCCTACTCACACCAATATAGAAATTCTTCCAGCGAGAGAAATTCAGTCAACATCTGCCACCACTGCCAGAAGCCACCACTTCTCAGACCCACCCTGACCACTTTTATGTTATGTTTATTGTTTGTCTCCCTAGCTAGAAGATAAATAAACTCCATTACGGCAGGAATCTTTGCTTTGTTTACTGATGTATTCAAATACCTAGATAGTCCCTGGCACATAGTAGGTGCTTAATAGATATTAGTTGAATAAATGAAAGTGCCTAATTAGTGCCAGGCACAGTTCAAAGAGCATTGTATTTATTTAAGCTTCACTATAACTTGTACTGGTATTATTCTGATTTTACAGACAAAGAAACTGAGGCATAGAGAGCCTAACTAACTAGCCCAAGGTTACTCAACTCCTGAGTAATTGACCCAGAATTCAAACCCATGCAATGTGATTCTACAGCCCACAATGTGCTACCTCTCAGGTGGCCCACCTAGGAGCCCGTGCCTAAAGGGAAAATGTTCTCTTCAAAAGAAGGGAGTATATTTTCTGGCTTGCTCCATAATAAAATGATCTTAGACATTCACAGAGATTCTGTTACTGCAAAGGGATTTTAATAATGCTTTCAGTGTCTTGTAGCTAGGATGAAGATTGAATATGCTAATAACTGTAAATAGCAATTCCATTTACTAAGCATATTAGGCAGTCTCTAAATTCAACAGGTATTAAAATATGCTAATATGGTTACTGAAGAAATTGTTGACCCCAAAGGATTCAATCTGGAGCAGCAAACCAATTATCTCAACCAAAAGTTACCTGCAATTGCCCTGGTTGCTTTTTGATATGTTGATGACTTAAAATGTGAACCATCCATTTATTAATTTCTGCTTGTTAAACTTGAAAAGCCTGTGCCATACTTTTTTATTTACATCAATTAAAATGAGAGGCACTTACATAACACGGATGTCATTGTATGCTTGTAATTAATCAGATACTGAGAAAAAAGGCCACTAAGATATTAACATTATAAAGCACATCAGTAAATAAGTGAATATCATGGATTTTAAGGCTAGTATTGTAAAACAATAAATATATTCACAAACATGATCACCTAACAATTCAGATCATGTTTAAGGGGAAGAAAACCCAAATTAGCTCTTTCTTATTTTTTCCTATTATAGTATAAATTATTTCATTTTTCACTTATTAAATAGTTTATACTCTGGGTTGCATTTTATTGCCTCAGTAATGATACAGCACCAACACCGCAATACAAGGAATCCAAATGTATACTTTTGAGTCTGACTTCTTTTGCTCAACATAATTGCAAGATTCATCTGCATTGTTATGTTGTTGTTTATGTTTATGTTATTATGTTGTTATGTTCATTTTACTCATCCATTTTGAGGTATAGCATTCCATTGTGTGACTATACCACCATCTATTTATCATTTTATGTTTGATGTTCATTTGTGTTGTTTCTACCTTGGAGCATTATGAATATACTCCTATAGATATTTTTGTACACGTTATTTAGCATACACTTGTATAGATTTCCATTGTAAATGTACTCAGGAGAGGAATTTCTGGGTCACAGGTTATTCATATGATTTGCTATAGTTGATGCTGCCTATGCTCAAGAAGCAGTCCCAAGACAAAGATTTGAATGTCAATAGTTTGTTTAGGCAGTGATTCCAGGATGCACTGGAAGTCGAAATGGAGACATAGAAAAATGAAAGAAAGCCCTTAAACAATGTATTATCCAACAAGTTACCACTGTGAGTAACGAGCTGAATAGAACATGTCTCAGTTATTGCAGCTGAGAGGTGAAGAAACTAAGGTATTCCTCTACCAAATCCCTGTCAATCAATGTCTGGGAAATGCACTAGGAGGGTGAGAGGGTGTATTCTTCAGCATTTCTAGCTTGCCTGCAGGATGATGTGCTCCACAGCCAACACAAACCTCTCAGGCAGAAAGCCAGAGGTGAGGGTTATAGGTAGCCTTTAGCAGGTAGAGCTAGTACTGCAAAGTCAGGGGCTGACAGCATCTACTATGGTAGCTGAGCTCAAAAAAAGAAAGGAAAATCCCCTGGGGCAAAAATGAAGAAAGAAATTTAAGACAGAGCCGTAATCAGGAGATGATACCACTGCTCAAATGAGCTTCAGATCAGATGTGGGCTCTGAAGGCCAGGGGCTGGGAACAAAAGACATGAGCTTGGGCTTGTGTGAGGTTGGAAATGAATTCCTTGTGTGAAACCTTGAGCCTGAAGAACTGCCTTGTTCATAAAATGAGGGCTAAAAAACTTTGTCCATCAGAAACAAACAGAAGCTTGCTGTTTGTCCAAGGCTTTAGCTGAGGAGGGAGGCCAGTTGTCCATGACAAATTAAAGCCTCCAGGCCTGCACCATATATGGATATGGGTCCTGAACTAATACCATCTCTATGGCATAGGAATATTAAGCCAAAAATTGGCATGAGAAATTGATGAAACTCCCTGGACCTCTGACAGCAGTGAGTCTGAAATCACTCTATCATTATCAGACAGATTCCTTTTGCAGGCAACTGAGACTCAACCAAACTAGGAAACTCTGGGAGGCAGTACAGAACACACCTCAGTGTTGTCCCAACTGAAGGGTGAGGGGCTAGGATATTTACCTATTAACACCCATCAGTCACTGATTGAGGCCATCTCCTAGGGGATATTAACTCCCCACCTCTTTTGGTCTGCCCCATGTGCCGGACAAGCTAGTACTGGCACCTAAAGGAAGTCCTCACACAAAGTCACTAATATTTTTTCTGTTGGAAACTGCTGGGCTAGAGTGCATGGAAGTGGTGAATGCTGAGAAGATACAGGCAGGGCACCAACAATGTCTCCTATACTACCAAACAGTCTACATTTTCACCAACTAGGTAAAAGTTCCATGGCTTCACAATTTTGTCAAAAATTGACATTGCTCCCTTTAAAACTTTTAAAAAATATTCTCAGCCGGGTGTGGTGGCTCACACCTGTAATCCCAGCACTTTGGGAGGCCAAGGCAGGTGGATCATGAGGTCAGGAGTTCAAGACCAGCCTGGCCAAGATGGTGAAACCCTGTCTCTACTAAAAAAAAGTACAAAAAATTGCCCAGGTGTGGTGGCGGGTGCCTGTAATCCCAGCTACTTGGGAGGCTGAGGCAAGAATTGCTTGAACCCAGGAGGCAGAGGTTGCAGTGAGCCGAGACCATGCCACTACATTCCAGGCTGCAACCAAGTGGGACTCCATCTATATATATATATAACTGTCTATATATATATTTTATACATATATATATATAATATATACGATATATTCTGGTGAGTGGTCGTTGATGTATTATTGAGTCTCTATTTTGTATTTCCCTGATGATGACCAATAGGAGGATGGGCCGTTGGATATCCATGATTGTGAAATTGCAATGGAGTATACTAAGTCATTTTTCTTTGGAGTCATTCCTATGGACTTGACAGAATTTTTTATATTTTCAGGATATGAGTTCCTTTCAGCCATACTAATTGCAAATATCTCTACCTACTTCGTGGTTTATCCTCTCACTCTCTTAATGGTACCTTTGATGAACAGAAGTTCTTAATTTTAATTTATGCAGTAAATCAATTGTTTCCTTTACAGTGCATTCTGTATTCTGTTTAAGAAAGATGTGCTTACATAAAGTCATGAAAATATTTCCCTTTGATATTTAGATCTGTAACCCACCTGCAAGTGATTTTTTTATATACGGTATGCAGGGAGGGGTCAAAATTTACTCTTTTCATTGTAGGTATCCAGTTGGCCCAGCACCACTTATGATGTCATTCTTCTTCCACTGCACTCACCTATAGCTTAAGGAATTCTGATTGGCAGTTATTTTCTTTCAGCACATTACCAATATTTTTTCCATTGTCTCCTGGATTTTCTCTCTCCTATTGGAAAGTCAGTGGTAAGTCTTATAGTTGCACTTTTCAAGGTAATGTGTCTTTTTTTATTGTAGCTGTTTTTAAGATTTTTCTCTGTCCTTGGTTTTCAGTAATCTTATTATGATGTACCTAAATGTAGTTTTCTTTGTATTTACTTTGTATTGATGCTGCAAATCTAAATGATATCTACATCTGAAAAGGATTTTCCTTAGCATCTGGTAGGCAATTAGAGAGGAGACAATCACCTTAATCCAATCAGGGACTGAGCTAATTCATAAGGTCTGGTCTATTTCCAATTTGACCATACTCATAAGTCATACTCCTTCAGGGTCAGTGAAAGTCTGGGCATTTTCTAGGGCTTCTTTACTTAGCTAGCCTTGAATTCTAATTGTTATCTTCTCAGTCCTGTTAAACTGCTGAAAGTTCTACTTGTATTCTCTGGTCCTTAACAGCTTCTTTCTTTCTTTTTTGAGCCAGAGTCTTGCTCTGTTCCCCAGGCTGGAGTGCAGTGACAACATGATCTCAGCTCACTGCAAATTCCTCCTTCCAGTTCAAGCATTTCTGGTACCTCAGCCTCCCGAGTAGCTAGGACTACAGGCATGTGCCACCACACACAGCTAATGTTTGTATTTTTTTGTAGAGATGGGGTTTCACCATATTGGCCAGGCTGGTCTTGAACTCCTGACCTCAAGTGATCCACCCGTCTTGACCTCTCAAAGTGCTGGGATTACAGGCGTGAGCCGCCGCGCCCAGCCTTAACAGCTCCTTTCCACTTGTCTTTTCATTCCCTTCACTAATGCCATTTATGAATCAGCAAATCTCTCAAGGAGAAAAAAATGCAGAACACTGAATTCACTTTGTGCTTCCCTTTTCTTCATAATCTGTAACCCTAAGTCCTGACTACCTTAGTAACTTTCTGGTGGCCTTCAGTGTGTGTGTGTGTGTGTGTGTGTGTGTGTATTTTATCCAGCTTTTCTACTTGTTCTTGGTGGAAGAATTGATCTGCTGCAAGCTAGTTCCTTATGGCCAGAAGCAAAACTCTCACTGGTATTTCATGCAGTAAACTTTGTTAAGAGATGTTTTTAACCAGCACTGCCATGCAATTTCAATATAATAGCTGATGTTCCTGATACCAACCTTATGACATTCTGATCCTAATGTGTCTTCTGAATCATCAAAGGTTAAATTAAAATCAGAATAATTTTAGTGTTTAAAACATGTAATGAGTTTTAATCCATTTCACAGGTAATCTATAAATAGCGTATATGAGAATTTGCCTTCAAAATATCTCTGTCAAAGTCATCTCTCATCTGTCTTACGTGGCACAACCCTGAAGAATCAATTCTGCCATATGAGCATTTCAGTGAGTTTAAAGCTACTTCTTAAAGGATGTCTTGGTCCTTTTCTCTGCACTCCAGAACCTTTATGTACAAGAGGGATATTTTCCATCTGGTTAAGCAAAAACTCATGGCAGGCTATTTAGTTTTTATACAAAAATATCATCTTTGCTAGCAAGATGCTTGGAATCTGAAGTGTATGACTCACCTAGTCATGAATTGTTTGCTTTAGAGCTCTTGTTCAAAACCCAGCTGAGACAACTGATATTCAGGAGGAATTGTCTGGGGACACGCCAATCGTTTATTTCTAGCTGTATGATAGAATTACTTGAAGAATACACACACACACACACACACGTGTATATGTACACACACACGTGTATATGTACATACACACACGTGTATATGTACATACACACACGTGTATATGTACATACACACACGTGTATATGTACATACACACATATCTGGGACCCTCCCCAGACTAACTGAATTAGCACAGCTTGGAATTTTTCAGAAGCATTTGCAGTGATTCTAATGGGAAGTCAGGTATTTTAAAATACTTTTTAGATCTCCCCAGAAAACTGCATATCTAAATTATATTAGTTTTGCTCCTGGGAGAAATATCTTTACACAGCTACGATTTAATGTTCTATTACCATCTGTTATTGAAGGTGAATTTAAGAATATAAATGTGACCAACAGTTTAAATCACCTGTAAAGCACTTTTGGCAATATTATCCACCATGTATTTCAGTATTCCTTGTATGAAGGACAGTTTGGATTCACCCAGAGTCACTCACATGGCTTCAGCTACCACCTATATGTTGATGCCCCTTAAATGCGTATCTTGGCTCAGGCCTCAGTCCTGAGCCTATGGCACACCTCTACATGGTTGTTCTACAGGCACTGCATGCCTGACGTGTACAAATGGAGATCACTGTTAATCAGTGTTAAAGATCCCACTCCCATGAGGATCTGTTGTCCCTTTTGATTAATTCAGTGAATGGCATCTCCAACTACCTGGGAAGCATTAACACTTTCCACACTCTCACCCCCACAACCAATCTTGTGTCTAAGTTTTGCCTCTTTGATGTCTCTCACATCCACCCCTTTCTCTAAACCCTTCTATCTTCTGAGTTTGAGCTCATTATTTCTTACCTAGATCCGTGCAAAAGACTTCTAAATGGATTTTTATGGTCATACTCTTTTTAATCCATTTCCAAAATCAGCTTTCTAAAGCAAAAACCTGATTATGTCATTCTCTTGTGACCTTCCAATGGCTCCTCCCATGTTTTCAGGGTAAAATTTAAGCTTTTCAGGTTACATGAAAAGCTCTTTATAATCTGCTTCCTGCCTACTTCCTCATCCTCATCTCACGTCTTGCTTTTGCCACACTCTAGAAGAAGCCACATGCTTAAATCCAGGCCTTCCCACCTAAGCTTTTCTACTTTGAAAGCTCTTTCCTTCATGCTTTGCCTGGAAAATGTAGTTGGTCATTTATAATTCAACTCAGGAATCACCTGTTCCTGAAACCTTCCCTGATTGCTATAGGATGGCCGATGGCCTCCTCTTCCATGTTCCCAGAACAGCAGTGCTTGCCTGATCACACTATTATATCCATATTGTCTGTTTACAAAGCTATCTTTCGCTTAATCTGTAAGTTCTTGGAAAGCAGGACACTTGATCTTATTATTTATATCCCCACTGCCCCTCAAAATAATAGGCATGGTACATGCTCACACAAAAAGTGTTTGAACAAACGAAATTTTTAGTATGCTTTTTTTTTCAATGAAATAGAGCTACTCTTCAAAAAAAATTATGATTCTTTTTTTTTTTTTTTTTTTTAGACAGAGTTTCACTCTTGTCACCCAGGCTGGAGTGCAGTGGCATGATCTCAGCTCACCGCAACCTCCGCCTCCTGGGTTCAAGCTACTCTCCTGCATCAGCCTCCTGAGTAGCTGGGATTACAGGTGAATGCCACCACGCCCAGCTAATTTTTTGTATTTTTAGTAGAGATGGGGTTTCACCATGTTGGGCAGGCTAGTCTCGAACTCCTGACCTCAGGTGATCTGCCTGCCTTTGCCTCCCAAAGTGCTGGGATTACAGGCGTGAGCCACCATGCCTGGCCATGATCCCTTTTTGACTTCATTGCCAGGAAGTTTAGAATTAAGGTTTGTTTCATTGCAGTACCTAGACTTGGACCATAGTTTTTTGTTGTTTTTGTTTGTTTTTCATTTTTTCTTTTTTTTGAGACAGAGTCTCATTCTGCCGCCCAGGCTGGAGGGCAGTGGTGCAATCTCGGCTCACTGCAACCTGTGTCTCCTGGGTTCAAGAAATTCTTCTGCCTCAGACTCCTAAGTAGTGTGCCACCATGCCCGGCTAATATTTGTATTTTTAGTAGAAGCAGGGTTTTGCCATGTTGACCAGGCTGATCTTGAACTCCTGACCTCAGGTGATATGCCCACTTTGGCCTCCCAAACTGTTAGGATTAGAGGTATGAGCCACTGTGCCCGGCTGAACCACAGTTTTTAACCACATATCCCATTGTACCCCCAACAATTTCATCACTAGCCTCCTGTTCTTCGACCCTGGCAGAACTCACTTGCAGCCTGCTATTTTATGCATTTCTCTGTGGCAATTGGAAGCAGCATAGTATGGGCTTTGCAATCAAACAGACTTTGGATTTGAGTTCTAGCCCTATTCTTCATTAGCTGTGTGATGTTACATAAGTTATTAAACATCTCTCAGCCTCAGTTACCTATTTGAAAAGTGGAGAAAATAATAGCACTTACTTTACGGGGGGAGGTGTCATGATTAAATAATACATAGTGCTCACCTCAATGCCATAATAAAAGTTTAGTAAATATCAATTATAATTATCGTTATCAACGTTACTAACACAAGGGTCAGGATAACATTGTTTTGGAGCAGCTGGGACAAAGCTTATGCAATTGGAGCAGAGGAAGCCCCTGGAGATGTGGGTGGGGAAGCAGGATGGTAGAAATAAAGCAGAGGCACAGAGAGAAATTGAGTCAAAATTCTTTGTGGCCTCAAAGAGAGAGAAGGGAAGAGAGTAACCTAATTTTTATCTTTGGAGCCCCCAGTTGCAATCTCTTGCTTGAATGAGTTTCCAAACTGCAATCTAGTAATTCCGGTATTCCCTCATGAAGGGAAATATTTTAATACAAAAGTGAAAGGGTCAGACATTAAACTTTTTACTTTTTATATTTCTACTGACTGTTATCATTTGTATCTATTAGGCTTAAATCTGTGGACCAATTTTATTTTAACTGACCTCAAATATAGTGACTATGTATCCTTCTACAATACTTTCCAGCACACCTCCAATGGTTGATGTGAGGCTATTTAAGAAAATAATGAATAATAAACAGAAAAATGAGTTAAGCTTATTTTTGCCATAACACAAACATTACTGCAGTACATTTTAACATATTAATCATAAGGCAGGATCTGATTATTTAGTATTTCCCAGAAGCAACCCAAAGCATTTATTATTTCATTTTTCAAACTCTCTTTTTTCATTCTATTGAGATTTTTGTTGATATTTTAAAGAAGTCAGAATTACATACATAAATGTTTTCATAAATGATGCATAATTTTGATTGGGATGTGATTTCCACATATTCTTTTGTTTTGTTTTGTTTTGTTCAAGATGGAGTCTCGCTCTGTCTTCCAGGCTGGATTGCAGTGGCACGGTCTCTGCTCACTGCAACCTCTGCCTCCTGGGCTCAAGTGATTCTCTTGCCTCAGCCTCCCTAGTAGCTGGGATTACTGGCACCCACCAGCACCCCCAGGTAATTTTTGTATTTTTAATAGAGATGGGGTTTCACCATGTTGGCCAGGCTGCTTTTGAACTCCTGACCTCAAATGATCCGCCTGCCTTGGCCTCCCAAAGTGCTGGGATTACAGGCATGAGCCACTGCGCCTAGCCTGATTTCCATGTATTCTTAACCACATATTTTATTTGTATGTCGCCATTTACAATGTTCACAATTATAGAGGAGAAAATGATACATGTATCACAGATACATATTCAAACAGATAATGACCAATCCTTTTGAAAAGAATTCCTAAAAATGATCCATAGGTCAAAAACAAAAGTCATTACGCATTATAAAGAGATAATTAAAGAAAAATACATAAGCCAAATTAATGACAATATTTTCAATGACTCTGTATCAGATATTTGAACATAATTTAGTTTTATTGTGTGCCTTTCATGGCTTCCAATACCATGAATACTACAGAAAGTATATCATCTCTTTCCTCATAGTATTTATTGTATTGTTAGAGAAACAAGGCTAACACATAAGAAATAATTGAGGAAAATGTAGCACTGCATTCTTGTGCTATTAGGTCTAGGAATCTACACAAGACTTGATGGTTTCCAGAGAAAGAGTAAAAGAAAATAAGACATAAAAATAATAATTCTCTCATGGCGTGAACCTGAGAGGTGGAGCTTGCAGTGAGAGGAGATTGCGCCACTGCACTCCAGCCTGGGTGACAGAGTGAGACTCCATCTTAAAAAGTAATAATAATAATAATTATCTCATAAGAAAATTGGCAAACCCTGAGAACTCTTCCAGTATAACTTAAGTCTTGTGTTTCAGACTTGCGTTGTGTCTTAACAACCAGCTGGATTATTGTCTGAGTCCAACGTACATCCCATCTCCATCTCCTCTTCGATATTTGAATAACAAACATAAAATAAAAGAACAACAATAACATTAAAAAAAGAAATTTACTTAAGACATTGCTACTATGGATCTAAGTTTAATTAACAGAGTTGTATCCATTAGTATTAAGTTTATCTACATGAAGCAGGGACTGAAAATGACAGTGGTTTTAACCCACTTCAATTTAAAATTGAAGTTAGTTTCACCCTAAACCAAAAGTCTGGGTATATGAACCTGCTTCATAAGATTTTCAGAGACCCAAGCTGTCTCCAGTTTTGTAGTCCATCACCGCCATGGGGACTCTACCCCCATGGTCCAAGCAGGTATAAGTCTAGCCCAGTTTCAAAGAGTTCGAGAACAAGATCCACCTCTTGCTGAGTAGATTGACAAAGAATTTACAGCCATCTTTACTCTACCGTGAGTGTAAAGAAGACTAAATACAGGAACAAGTGGAGTCTTACAGATATTGTTCATGAAAACCAAAAAGACTTTTTAAAGTTGTTCTTGGACCAAGAAGATGAAGTAAGACATTATTTCACTAATGTGGATTAGTGGCATGAATAACAGAAAGAAAATAAAATGTCTCAACTCCTATTTTGCTTCCATATTCTCTGTAAAGAAGATATGCCAATCCGATGGGAAAGGGCAAAATTAACATTGATACTGAGGCAGGAGAATAGGGGGTCGGGGCAGGGAACCTAAGGACGTCATAGAACTAAATCAAACGGAAACTTTGTAAGACCAAGCTTTCTAAGACCAAGCAAATAATTTTATAACTCTACTTCAGCTATGACAGGAAACATCCTCTTCATTTGGATAGGGTGTACACCAAGTAAATAACTTTGTAATCTCACTTTGTCCTCTTCATTTACATAGGGCATACACCAAGTAACAAATGTGAAACCTTCGGAGGATACTTCCCCAGAATATTCTGTAACCGGACCCTTGAGCCGCTTGCTCTGGCCCGTTCTCACCCTGTGGAGCGTGCTTTCATTTTCAATACATCTCTGCTCTTGTTGCTTCATTCTTTCCTTGCCTTGTTTATGCATTTTATCCAATTCTTTTTTCAAAACACTAAGAACCTAGACACGCTCCACAAGCAACAATATGAAGTTATTGCAGCCCAAAATAAGCAAACAGACACAAAGAAGGGAAGAATGTAAGTGCTGTAAGTGATATTTTCCCGTCACAAATGACTCAACTTTTGGGGTTTGTATACAAACACCTAACATTTATTGAGCACATAATGTATGTCTGGTACATTCATAGATACTATAGATTTATTAAAAAGAGAGCGATAGGGAGCACCATCCCTGACCTCTGCAATATTATGGGTTAATAGATACTAAGAGAACATGCCAATTTGCTGAGCTGTCAGTGTATTTGATGTCTGAGGGCTTACAAATAATAGGAACCAACCTTAGCTAGTGTGCTAGGAGATTGAGTTGGTCTTAACAGAGAAATTATGGAGTCTACTGAAGAGGATGAAATTCAATAGGAATAAATTAACTTCAAAGGCACGAGTATAGGATATAAGAGAAATACTAAAAAACTACATGTGTGAGAAAGGGCAAAAGGTTTTAGCTTATTTTAATTGCCATGTGATTCATGATATGACAAGATAGCTTTAAAAAGGAGTAATGAAATCTTAAATTACATTTATACATAACTAGAATCTGGAATATGGAGGAAGACAATCTTACTCTGCTTGGATATCAGAACAGACCTATAGCATTGAGTTCAATGTCAAGGCTTTACTTTAAGTTTACTGCCAATAACCTGAAGGGATCCCCAGAGGAGTATCTAGAAAAAAATGAGGAGTTTAGGAAAACGGACATAAGGAGAGGATAATCTTTTTTGTTGTTTTTTGTTTTTTGAAACGGAGTCTTGCTCTGTCACCCAGGCTGGGGTGCAGTGACACGATCTTGGCTCACAGCAAGCTCCGCCTCCCGGGTTCAGGCCATTCTCCAGCCTCAGCCTCCCGAATAGCTGGGACTACAGGTGCCCGCCACCACGACCAGCTAATTTTTTTGTATTTTTAGTAGATACAGGGTTTCACCGTGTTAGCCAGGATGCTCCTGATTTCCCGACCTCGTGATCCACCCGCCTCGGCCTCCCAAAGTGCTGGGATTACAGGCATGAGCCACTGCGCCCGGCCAAGGAAAGGATAATCTTTCAGCCTCAGAACAAGAAAGCTGTTGATCGGCTATGATAATTTTCTTCAAACCTTTAAAAGGTTTTCATGTGACTCTGATAATAGGAAGAATTTTGTAATACTTAGAGATAATAGATGAATAAATGTATTTATTTATTTAGAAATTCTATAGGTTTTTTAAGTCTTATGATTTGGATGTTTGGTAGTGTTGATAAAAAATTCAAACTCTGTAAAATATTTGAAGTGATTTATTCTGAGCCAAATATGAGCGACCATGGCCCATGACACAGCCCCAGATATCCTGAGAACATGGGCCCAAGGTGGTCAGGGTGCAGTTTGGTTTTATACGTTTTAGGGAGACATGAGACTTCAATCAAATACAGTTAAGAAATACATTGGTTGGCTCCAGAAAGGCGGAACGACTGGAAGATGTATGGTCTTCCAGGTTATAGGTAGATTTAAAAATGTCCTAGTTGACGGTTGGTTGAGTTTATCTAAAGACCTGGGATCAATAAAAAGAAAATGTCTGGTTTAGGTAAAGGATTGTGGAAACCAAGGTTCTTATTGTGCAGATGAAGCCTTTGGGTAGCAGGCTTCACAGAGACTAGACTGTAAATGTTTCTTATCAGACTTAAGGTCCGTGTTGATGTTAATACCAGAGAGGTATACTGAGGCATGTCTGACCTCCACTTCCCATCATGGTCCCAACCAGTCTTTCAGGTTCAGCTCAAGAGCTCCCTGGCTTAGGAGGAAGTCCATTCAGATGGTTGAGGGGTGCTTAGAATTCTATTTTTGGTTTCCAGTAGGTTTTTACACAAATAATAAATTTGATGGGTGGAGAAATGGAAGATTTTTTAAAAACCCAAATGAAAATTGTAGAGATGAAAAATATAGTCTCAGAAAATACACTTGATAGGATAAATGCTACAGATTAGACACTGCTGAAGACTCGATCAGTGACATATATGCACATATATATGAATATTACATCTATAACAATAGAAATTATCTGACATAAAGCACACAGAAAAAATATAAATTTTTAAAAATATGAAAATATATCAGTGACCCTTATAAGGCAAAATCAAGCGGTAAAATAACAGGCAATTGGAGTTGCAAAAAAGGCAAGAGCCAGATACAGGGGTAGAAAAAATATTTGAAGCAATAATGGTTGAAAAGTTTTCAAACGTCTTGAAAACAGTAAACCATAAGATTGAAAAGCCAATAAATCTCAAAAAGAAGAAATGTATAGAAAACCACACTAAGGTGCATCATAATCAAATCAGTACTAAAGAGAAAGACTTAAACACTGACCCAGAAAAAAGACACACTCTGTACAGAGGAACAAAGTTAAGAAAAACAATATGCCTTATCAGAAGCTACTTAAATTAGAAGAAAATGTAGCAACATCTTTAAAGTATTAAAACAAAAACCCTGTCAACTGACAATTTTATATCCAATGAATATATCTTTCAAAAATGAGAGTAAAATAAAGACTTTTTCAGACAAAATCTGACAGAATTCATTGGAACTAAATATGTATTATAAAAAATGATAAAGGAACTTAGTAAGTCAGAAGGAAAATGACACAAGGTAGAAATTTGAATCTATACAAAGGAATGGTAAATAAATGGGTAAATATGAGACTTTAAAAAAATACATGCAGCTCACAGAGGCCGGGAGTGGTGGCTCACGCCTGTAATCCCAGCACTTTGGGAGGCTGAGGTGGGCAGATCACCTGAAGTCAGGAGTTCGAGACCAGCGTGGCCAACACGGCGAAACCCCGCCTCTACTAAAAATACAAAAATTAGCCAGGTGTGGTGGTGGGCACCTGTAGTCCCAGCTACTTGGGGGGCTGAGGCAGGAGAATCACTTGAACCCTGGAGGCAGAGGTTGCAGTGAGCTGACATCGTGCCATTGCATTCCAGCCTGGGCAACAAGAGTGAAACTCCAACTTAAAAAAAAAAAAAAAGCAACTGTTGATTGTTTAAAATACAAAAGTTAACAATGTGTTGTAAAGTTTATAACATATATATAAGTAAAATATGACCAAAAAAAAAACGCACAAAGGATGGGAGGAGAACTGAAAGTATATGGTTGTAAGGCACTTTATTGTTTGTTTTTTTTTAAGACAGAGTCTCACTCTGTCACCCAGGCTGGAGTGCAATGGCATGGTCTCGGCTCACTGCAGCCTCCACCTCCTGGGTTCAAGCGATTCTCCTGCCTCAGCCTCTCAAGTAGCTGGGACTACAGGTGTGTCCCACCACACCCAGCTAATATTTGTATTTTTAGTAGAGATAGGGTTTCACTATATTGGCCAGGCTGGTCTTGAACTCCTGACCTTGTGATCCGCCCACCTTGGCCTCCCAAAGTGCTGGGATTACAGGCGTGAGCCACTATGTCCGGCCAGTTGTAAGACTCTTTCACTGTATGCTAAATAATACTATATTATTTGAATAAAAATTACATTAAGTTAAATATGTATATTGTAAAGCCTAAGGTGACAATGAAAAACTTGAAACAAGAGTTATGGATAATAGGCAATAAAGGAGAAAACATAAATCATAAGATAGTTCACTTAATCCAAGAAAAGACAGGAAATTTAAAAACCTATGGGGCAAATAAAAAACAAATACTAAGATGATTGATTCAAACTCAATCATAAAATAATTACCTTAGATGTAAATGGTCTAAATATTCTGATTAAAAACCAGAGATTGTAATGTTAGATAAAAAATTAAGACTCTACTATAAGCTATCAGCTTAACTTATAAATAGATAAAATTAATGTAAGAAAATAGAAAAAGATATATTGTGAAAACACTAACCAAAAGAAAGAAGTGACTATATCGACATATAAATTAGATTTCAAAAAAGAAATATGAGTGATTTTTTAAAACTCACAATGATAAAGGTGTCAATTCATCAAGAGAACATAAAAATCCTAACTGTATACACCTAATAACAAGATTTCAAAGTACATGAACCAAAAAACTTGTAGAACGGAAAGGAAAAACAGAAAAATCTACAAATAAAGTTGGATATTTCAATACTTCTGTCTCAGTAATTGATAGAATAGCCAGACAGAAAATTATTTAAAATGTAGAAGACTTTAGCAACATCAACCAACCTGACCTAGTGATTGGCTTTTGAATGTTAAACCTACCTTACATTCCTGGAATAAACCCTACTTTCTTGAGATGTAGTATCCTACTTACATATTGTTGGATTTGATTTGCTAGTATTTTCTTAACGATTTCTACTGTACCCAACAACGGAATGATACACATTCTTTCCAACAGGATATGGAACACACCAGTGTTCTGTTGTGTAACAGAATGATACACATTATGTCCCCTACCCTGTACCCATAAAAACTCCAATAGTACGCCCCCATTCTGTACCCATAAAAGCTCCAATAGACCCAGTATTTTCTTGCCTCCTGTCTATCACTTCTATTTACGCGGGTTTAATTTGTTTTTCTTATTCTAGTTTAAGTTGAAATTTATATAATCAGTTTAGTGTTTCTTATTTTCTAATATAAGCATTTAAAGCTATAAATTTTTTTCTAAGCACTACTTTAGCTACATGCAATACATTTTGTTATGTTGTGTTTTTATGTTCATTCAGTTAAAAAGTATTTCTTAATTTTCCTTGGCATTTCTTTTTTGACCTAAGAATTATTTAGAAGTTTGTTGTTTCATTTCCAAAGATTTGGGGTGTTTTTAAGGTATTTTCTGTTACTGTTTTCTAGTTTAATTCCTTTATGGTGGAATACATACTGCCTTTGTGGAGGAAAAGTTAAATATTAAATATGAACTAAATTGAATGTGGACACAAATGATGGTCACCAGGTACCGGAACAGGTTGCATGAACCCCAAGTGCCGGAACAGGTTGCATGAGCCCCAAGTCCCGGAACAGATTGCATGAGCCCCTTGAGGCATTCATTCAGCACTGTTTTGGAAAAATCTCTGTTTCAATCTATTCCTATACGTTAGCTATTAAAAAACAACAGACAATTGCAAAAACAAGTTGACCTTTTTGTGTTCCTTGAGCCCAGTCACAAGGTGCCCTCATGACTGAGTCTCGTGCCAAACAACTCATTACAAAAAGGGCTAGGGTCCCAGACGGTGCTGAAGCTTCATGAGCTCTCTCCTGTGCACTGACAAGTGGCCGACTCTGGAGCCCAGGCTGTTGCTTCCCAGTCTGGTGATGAATCCTCCATAGTCTGGTGAGTGTAAATATATATATATATCTTTTCCCTTCTCCCCTTCCCATTGCAATTTGCTTATTATATCAATTTGCTTATTATATAATTTGCTTATATTAATTTGCATATTATATAATTTGCTTATTATATCTGCATTGGCATTTATGTGGGGTAAAGGTTGTTTACACTTGAAGGTATTGTGTGTGTCTTTTCTTCTCCCCTTGCACATCTCCCACACAGAACACTAATCTACTATCATTTCAATACTTTTAAATTTATTGAGACTTGCTTTATTCCCTAGAACACACCTTGTACCCTTAAAATGTGGGTACGCCATTTCCACCCCTGGAATCAAAAGATGGATCTTTGGAAAGATCAATAAAATTGCTAACTTCTAATCAGAATTATTAACACATACACACATAAGAAAGAGAGAAAAGGCATGAATTCCAAGGTCAGGAATAAAAGAGGGACCATCACTAAAGTTTATACAGACATTAAAAAATAATAAGAAAATGTTATGAACAACCTTATCCTTGTAAATTCAATATCTTATGTGAAATGAACAAATTATTTGAAAGACACAAACTAGCCAAGCTAATTTAAGAGAAAACAGATAACCTCAATAGCTCTATATCTATTAAATAACTGAATTCACAGTTTAAAACCTCTAGACAAATTAAATTTAACAAAGCTTAATTGAGCAAAAAACAATTTGTGAATCAGGCAGCCCTCAGAACCCGAATAGGTTCAGAGAGACTCCAGGGCTGCCACATGGTCTGATAATATTGATAATATTTATGGACTAAAAAAGGCAAGTGATGTATAGGAAACAAAAGTGAGATACAGAAACAGCTGGGTTGGTTACATCTGGATGTCTGCCTTATTTGAACCTGCTTTGGACAGTTGGCTGCATATGGTTAGTTATGATTCCATTACTCTTGTTACAAGAGTAGGTTATAGCTGAGTGCAGTGGCTCACACCTGCAATCCCAGCACTTTGGGAGGCCGAGGTGGGTGGATTACCTCAGGTCAGGAGTTTGAGACCAGCCTGGCCAACGTGGTGAAACCCCGTTTCTACTAAAAATGCAAAAAATTAGCTGGGTGTGGTGGTGTGTGCCTGTAATCCCAGCTACTCAGGAGGCTGAGGCAGGAGAATCACTTGAACCCGGGAGGCAGAGGTTGCAGTGAGCAGAGATCATGTCATTGCACTCCAGCCTGGGCAACAAGAGCAAAACTCCATCTCAAAAAAAAAAAAAAAGATAGTAGGTTACAATTTGTTTACTCATTATTAGTTTATAGTGCAACATGTATAGAGAAACCTTTAGGCGAAACTAAAAATATGTTCAGAGGCAGCTTTAGGCCAAACTTAATTTAACGCCTTCCTACAAAGAAAACTTCTGGCTCAGGGGGCTTCATAGGTCCATTCTATGGAAACTGTATCAGTGGTTGCTAGGAGCGGAGAGAGATTCTAGGGAACAAACTATAATACAAAGTGAAACAGGAGAATTTCCTGACCCTGCCTCGCAGGATGTGTGACAGGAGTGTGGCTCATTTATATGGCTACCATACATGCTCAAATCCCTTATGGGATGGGGAGCACACAGACAGACAGGTGCAGGAGCCATGGTGAGTGCCCCTGGGCTCCGGCCCCATGGCAACATCCAGAGGTGGGATCCTGCGACTTCTGAAGCCCAAGAGGGCACATGTTACAGTGCACTCTTTTAGCCTTGCTGTCCATAGATGGCTTAAGTGTTAAACAGCCCAGTGCCCTCTTGGTACCCAGGTCCTTGTCCAGCATCCAGGAAGAATCAGGTCACACACAGACTTGAAGGATGAATGCCGGTGTTTTATTGACCGGTGGAGGTGGTTCTCAGTGGGATGGATGGGAAGCTGGAAGAAGGAAGTAGCGGGAAGACGATCTTCCCCTGGAGTTTGGCCATCCAGCAGCTAATCTCCTCTCTGACTTTCCCCAGCTGAACTCCTCTCGGCATACGGACTCTCCTTCTTGTCTCTCTGCCACGCCATTCTGCTGTTCTGCTCTTCTGTTTTTGTCTCCTCGTGGAGCCTGGGGTTTGGGGTTTATATGGGTACAGGACAGGGGGCGTGGTGGGCCAAAAGGCAACTTTTGCCTTTTTTCATTTAGAGACATTTTCACTTAGGGCCCATTTTCATTTAGGGCTGTGGATTTCCAGGCTTGGGGGGAACCTTTGCCAGGGAACTGCCCTCTTCTACCCAATATTTCCCTGTCTCCTGTCTGTATCGTCTGTATCAAAAGGAGCAGAGAGAATTGGGGGAATTATAAAAACATCCTCTGTCACAATTTTTATGGTGGGCATATGACTGCATTTGTTTGTCAAAACTCATCAAATAGTATACTTAAAATTAGCAACGTTTATTATATAAAGATTACACATCAATAAAGTAACTTTAAACACCCGTTGCATATTATGTCGTCCTCCCATGAGAGCCAGAGTTTATTTCAGGCCCCTTTACTCAGTGAAATAGCTTAAAATCCATTAGATGCCATATTTTTGCTAAAATATTTCTAAGCAAAATTATCACATACATATTATTTGGGTTTTGTTTTTATTCTTGATGCAGTTTTTTTAGTTTGGATAATGTAACATATTGACGTTTTTTAAAAAGCCAATACAATATCAACCACAAAAGAATAAAAGATCATTTATCAGGGATGTTATAGAAGAAATTCACACACAAGGGAGAAGATTGAGCTAGATCAGCTCTTCTCCATCCTTACTGTAATTTAGAGTCATCTAGGCAGCTCCTTACAAACACCAAAACCTAGACCCCACCTCCAGAGGCTCCAATAGTTTGATTCTATTGGACTAAACCAGAAAAATTCAAAGGTGACTTCTAATATAAACATTGAAATTTCATTGCCTTTGGTTTTTCTTTTTTAAAGTTTAAATGGAGCTTGATTGTTCCCAACCTCATCCAGCCACCTGGTTGCCTTGCCAAGTGTATTTTCAAAACCATTAAGCAATATGCTGAATAGTTCAGCAATTATAACTTTAAGATGTAAGTTATAGAGGAATAGAAACACTTTAGACTACAGTTGAGACACAGTATCTCAAGAACATATGTGAGATTCCTAGATGTCCTAATCCCCCAAGGAACCATATGTAGACATATACTTATAAAACATCAGAAAGCCCTGAAAATTAATCAGTCTTCACAAAAAGAGACAGAGCGACAGAGAGAGAGAGAGAGAGAGAGAGACTGTGCATGTGTTTGTGTGTATATCAGTGTGTATCTAATGGGTTTTTATTATTCAATATACTTCCTTAAAATCTTATTTTCTATGCCTTAATGATGGTCTGGAGACCAAAATATTTTACAGATTGTCTTAGTAGACTCACCATGTGACTTTGAGGCACTAAATCTTTCTCCTAATATAAGTGGGAAGTTGAGGGACTGTTTTCTCTAAAGTTATATGTCAAAAAGACTGAATTTTAAAGTCAAAGAATATGTAAACAGGAAAGTTAAAAGATACTTCAGTAGGTTGGTTTTTCTTAATTTACCTTTTCTAATGTAAATATCTTCTCTTAGTTCTTGTTTCTCCAGTCCCTCCTCAAATTCTTTTCACTTTCTTCATTAATCACAGAGTTTCAATGATATATAACCTATAGAAAATCCACTCTCTGAGGTCTGACATTGTTGAGCCAGATTTTTGGTATTGCAGCCAGATGAGTCTTTGTGTTTTTCTACTTGATTCATTGTTTGTGTCTTAGCTACTTAAGTATATTTTATGTTTCTTATATTCTCATATCATTTGACGCAATGCAGGGCACTGAATTAATAATATAGGTTTTGGATTCTAAAAAACATATTTTTTTTACATTTTAACATTTCTGAAATAAGAATATACCTTATGCTTCATTTATTCATTTAATGTAATATTCTTAACATTTTCTAAGAAAATGAATTAAATGGAATATCTTAGAATTAAAGAAAGATGGCATTTTTTGACTGTTTATTTGTATCCAATGCAGAATATGTAGACTTTATCCTTGTATCAGGTCAACAACTTTACACCTATGTTCTTTACTAAAAAGACCTAAGTAGAAATAGTACATAGGACTAGTAGTAGTAAGGAATATGTACATTCCCATTATGTTAGGCAACTTCTCTTCTCCCTTCCTACCTGTCCAGCTCTATCTTCCCTTCCATACCCAAAGTCACAAAATGACATAACCAGGTTTTGCCTAATTTTCCTATGGAGCTGAACAACTCTAGATGCTTGCCAGTCCAGTCACCAACTTCACATGATGAAAACATGGACAAACTGAGAAGTTACTTAACAAATCAAAATATTTGAAATCTACCCTAAATAATAAGTAAAAACAGATCTAGAGCCTACATTTCCGATATTCCCGATATTCTTCTGTCTACTACAGTATGCCATGAATATATCCTGCCAGTGACACTAGTGTGGGCTAATAGTATTGCTTCAGAACTAGAAGGATCTTATTCAAAACTGAATATGCAGATGAATCTCATGTTTATAAAGCCAGAGTATTTGCAAAACTGTCATGCACAACACAACAACTTAAGGACAGCAGATTTTCAGCCCATCAAACTGTTTTTCTGTGTGTTTAATTATAGTTTTACATGCTATCACTGTGGAAAACTTTATATGAGAGAGAAGAAAATCATAAGAATGGCTGGGGGAAATGTTGTTTAGTATCGGAAAAGAAATCAGGCTTGTCTAATCATCTGTCTTACTGCCAGAATCATACCGTGCAACTATATACTTAAAAATTAGATATTTATTTCTTTCCCTTCTTCTCGGTTCTTTTTACACTTCAGTTTTAATATCCAAGGTGATCTCCATTGAAATCAGTATGTTAAACCACAGTAGTGTCAACTGAAGAAAGAGGAAGTTCATAAATTTGGAAAGGTGTTTTATTTCCCATAAAAGACTGCAGCCTGCAGGGTGGCTGTTCTGACAGGCTGGGAAGCATAGCTACCAGCCAGAAGCTGGAAACAGACATTTCAAGGGAGGGTCAAAGGGAACAGAAATTTATGCTGCACAGGGTGGCCAAATACACATATTCACTAAGCTATAGGAGAAGTCATGACTATTTATGAAAGGAGAAGCATGTGCATGCACAACTGAGCTTCATGTTCCTTCATGGGTCTCTTGTACAAAAATTGGTGGTGTTAGCATGATCCAAGTGTGGAGTTTTCTGCACTCTGGCATCAAAAGGTAAAGCAGAGGTCATGAAAACCCTCCCTGCACATTCTCCTTAGTCTGGCCAGAACCACTCTGTGGTCAGTGGTCTTCTATGAGGCACAAAAGAAAGGGCAGTGTCAGGCCATTGGTTGGTATCTGTGGTGGAGTCTTTTGGGAGGGCTGCTATCTGTTTAGCTCTGAAAGACAAAACCCTCCTAGCGGTTAGTGGGGGAGGGGGTATTCAAAGTGTGTCTGACCTCCCATCCAGTCCTGGCCAAGACTCAGTTTTCGAGTTTACTCTGGGGTCTACTTGGCCAAGAGAGGGTTCATTCAGTCAGTTAGGGGACTTAGAATTTTATTTGTATTTCTCAGTAGCTCCTCACCATTGCCATGATTTAAAGAGCAAATATGCATTTTGGTTTTTGTTTTTTCCTCTAGTATCTATATGTTGTTTTTCAGACCAAGTCACGGTGACATTTTTGAGCATTACTACATGGATGCCTTTTTGCTGCTATTTGCATTCACATTGGGCAAAAGTCATCAAGATGCAATCCATAAAAAACACCAGAGTAGAGCAAAAGGTTGGCAATATCCAATCTGAAGGTGACCTTCAATCTGCCTTTTATGTCACTAGGACTTGTTACTCCTCCTGTTTCACCTCAAGTTCCTTGCTTTGGCTGAGTTTGATATGGGAAGAGGACAGAGTGTTGTCTTCTGGGTATTCAATTAAATAGATGTCACATTTTCAAGATACTCCTGTTTTCTTTTATTTAACGTAAATATAAAAGCCAATTTAAGGAAATACACATTTGCATACATTTTTAGTTTGGAATTTTTTCAAATTTCAGATGTTACAGATGTCACAGGAAACTGGAATAAAAATAAGCCATGCATCATTATTGAAATAATAAATGCCTTATAGGGGTTTCCTACTTGGGGTGATTTTGAAAACCACTCACTTAAATATTAACAGATATTGAGGAAAGGAAAGACAGAGAGAGAAAAAAAAGAGATTTCTAGGTTCCATCTGGTGTAAATGAAGACGGCTTGCTTGTCCTTTGATGAAAAACCCAGCAGCTGTCTGGGAAAGGGGATCTTCCAGAACACAGGGGGGATTCGGGTGGTGGTAGGGAGAGACTCTGACACACAGGCAGAGGAAAGATGGAAACGGCATCTTTCAGGGAACCATCCTTATCGCTTCCATCAGAAGCTGCAGTGGAAACAATCACCTTTTCCGGCAGCAGCTCTGAAGGAGGCACCCCCCAGAATCAGAAACAGGCAGACTAGGCGTTTGAGAGCATCCTCTGGAGACAAGAACTGGAAAAGGAAAATAGAGGGATGAGGAGGCTGAGAGTTCCTGTCATTGGTGATGATGAGGAATGAAAGTTCCCTGAAAGGAAAGTGACATTCCTGGTGGGGCAGTCCCTAGCTTTAAGGCTACTTCTTTTGACATTGTCTTGGCCAGGAAAATAATTAAGAAAAATAAAACAGTTTTCTCCATTTTTCAGAAAAGTATTTGGCATTTTCAGAAGGTTATTGTGATTAGAAGCATTTGTGCCCAATCTTGTATCATTACTAGAAATGAGGCTTGCCCTTTCCTTCCCTGCCTCTATTTTTCCATAAGGCTGCATGTGACACTGCATACCTGAAAGAAAAAAGATGTCCTGTAGATCTAAGCCACATTTCCTCCCTTCTGCAGGTTCTCCTGGCAAAGATTCGGCTGGCAGTGATGAGGTGGTAGTAGCCAAATCAGGGTGGTGAGAGGGCTGTGGGCAGTTTATCTGGGGCCTTATAAGGACAGTGGGAAACACTTGGACCCTGAGGTCCAACTGCTTTTGGTTTTCTTAAGACTCAGAGTTGAGTTCCTGAGAGAAAACAGTGATGCAGGGACAGACTGAGTGTTATTAGGCTGGACTGCAAGTAGGTACTATTCATTAGAGAACTGGGCTAGGAACACCCTAGCATGGACTCTCTAGGTCTAGCCAGACCCAGTCTTGCTTCCCTTCCCTTTATTTGTCCCAACTTTCCAGAGTAGAGCCCACTGAGCTCTTCATCTCCCCTTTTTGCCCTTCTCCTACAATTCCCATCCGATTCAGCACCTGCTGCTGAATGTAAGACAAGAAGAATTTTGCAGCCTAAGTCTCATTCCCCACAGGCTATGGGTTCATCCAGGGATGCTTCTGTGTAAAGCCACTCTATCAAATCACTTGCTCCCACACAGTTTCCCAAATTAGGTCTCTTCTTCCTTTGGCCTCAAGTCACAGAACTGGATCCAAATTTTGTTCCACTCAACTTGCTTAAGCTCCCACCACCTTCATTTAAATAATCCAATATTTAGCTTTTGCCCAAAAACTGATCGAGAGAATGATTTTGTAAGGAAAATAATGTGAGAGATATCATTTGCTCTATTAACAGGCTAAATTAAGTTAGGTCCTGGGGAGGCCATCCACTTGGACCTAATTCCTATACTCATTTACATAAATATCTTCTCTAAGTATCATTCTAATGTAACACTTTGGTCTTGTCTTTGTTTATGCCCTACCTATTTCTAGAAATTAATTGAGTTCATTCACAAAGATGATTACTGCAAAATATTAACAACATGAAAACAAAAGTAGAGAACCATAGGTTATGAGGAGCAAAACAGCTGTCAAAGCCTCTACCATTACTGAGAAAGAACATAAAGCCTAGTCTTAAATTTCTTGGCAGCGAAAACTAGGAAGGCAATATAATATTTGGAAGAAGGAAGCATACAAATTCTTCATGAGAGATAAGGTTTATTCTCCTATCTAATTCAGGGAGATTTTGTTCACAGTCATTGTCTAGGAGGCAGGGAATGGTTCAATGGATAATGTCCTTAGCCAAAGCTTTACAGAATATGAAAGGCCGGATGCCGTGAATTCAACATTAGCTGGAGTGTAGTTTGCCCAGGTAGAAACAAAAAATAGGGATCTCCCTGAAGTAAAAGCATAAAGTTCTGAATGTCAATCTTGTGTTCAAGGAAGCATCAAAAGTCTGACAGTGTTGGGCAAGGACATAAGGAGCACAAGAAGATAGGGTAGTATAGGACCAGGGTAGACATCTAGGGTTCCCTGCCTTTGGTAAACACGCTCCAAGTTTGCATGAACTATGAACTGTGGCATCTGTGGCTTTTACAGCTCCATAGATTATTCTTTTACTATTCCTAAGCCTTTGCTCAAATCTAAAGTCAGATCCATGGTGCTTCACACACATAGCGGAAGATGTGAGCATCTTTCTGTGTGCAGTCAGTCTAGCTGGCAGGATAGAGGTGCTCTTTGGTTTGTATTCCATAGGCTTTCAGACAAACTTAAAGTTTTCTTATTGGTCTCTACATCAAACGGTTGATGAGAAATGGGGAAGAGGACATCTGTTAGTGAAATTAGGTTCCCCGGGGCCACAGGTAGTCAAAATTTAGTCACTCAGCATAACAGAGATTCCCAGAGACAGCCTGAAGGTGCTGAAGGTGAAATAAATTGTCCCAGGGCAATGAGCCTCTTGAGCTGCAACTAGGAAGTTCGGGAGCCCCTGATTTGAAAGTCAGGCAAGTGTGTTCTGTGTGGATCCTAATTAGGAGACTACCTTCATCAATGACCTCTTGAGACCTACTAACAGGATGGAAACAGCTCTGTGTCAGAACACCTCATGGTAGGAAAGGGCCTACACTTAATGGCAACTCCTGTGTGGTTTTGTTATTGGAGTTGGTTCTGCATATGCCCAGAATTATTAAGCATTTGAAAATCACATCTTAGTAGAAGAGACTGGAAAATATGACAGCAGAGTGAGGCATTAATTCCCAGAAGCAAAGCTGCCTCTCCTCTTGTCCCTAATTTCACAGGAGTGAGAAATGATGCAAGATTTTGGGCTCAGCCACGAAGAAGGCAAATTCAGCACTCCAATGAAAGCATTCTTGGGCTATCCTGAGCTCTAATTCTACATTCCTTTTGTGAGTTTTCATTTTCAGTAGAAAAATCTGGGGCTAGGACTGAAAATTCTGTAACAGCATATAATCATCATCTAAAACGGCTTGGCATTGTGACTTGTGAGTGATGGCTCTAACTACTTCTCCAGGGTGAAATTCCTGCAAATCACTTATTGATGAATCGATGCCCCAAATGCCAGTCACCATTACAAGATGTTACCAAGAGATATGCTAATTCCTCTCCAGAACACTATTGCTTTATGTCCATTGCTAATCGTGGGAGGAAAAGCTGTGCAAGTTTCTAAGATAAAAATAATCCACAAGCTAGATATATAATAATCTTTGCCCTGTAAATTCCATTCTAACAGTCACTTGTGTTCATGACAATAGAGTTTGAAGACCTATTCTAACCTGCCAAAGAGAATTCCAAACCACATGGATAAATATGAACTAAATATTATGAGCTTTTTCCTAAATTTGTCAGTCACCTTTTGAAGCAGAAATAACACTTTTAGATCCCTGATGTTTGAATACAACATTGCAGCCTTAATTTAATGACTAGAACTGGAGTGACCCTAAGAAATGAATATATCCTCCAAATTTATGTAAGAGTAAAGTTCTGCAATAGGAATGTTAAGTTGATAACATCTGTCAATATAAGCAGTAACTCAAACCACTGTTATTTCCATTTGCTAAAAACAAATGCAAATGTCTTAGTCTAGTTTTACTTGGACAGGGAAATGGCTCTCTGCATCATATTACTTGAGGGTTGTTTTCTTCAAATTTTTTTCTTTACTCTCCATCATCACTGAGAATTAAAACATGGTATCCAAGAAGTTCTTACAAATAAAGATATCCTTGAGAGAGTGAACACAGTAAAGCATCAACACGATAGCTTAAATTTGCAGGCAATACAACAGTTACCATTTTCACCTTTGGGTTCCTTTTGGGTTCCTAACTATGCTGTTGTCTTTGTTACCATCTAAATGGTGGTATTTTTGTGTGTCTGTGTCTGCAGAGGCTAGGAGTGCCTCAGGGTCTGGGAATCTCCTTATTCATCCCCATGTCCTCTTGTCCTTTCTTCCCCTCAGCCCCCTAGTATCTGGCAAAGTGGCAGGCAAATAGTGCTCAATAGATAGCTATTGAACAAAAGAATTTATAATTAAATTTAACAATACAGCTAGGTGATTAAAAAATTCAGGGGTGAAACTGCAAGAAAGTTATCTTCTTTTTATTATGGAAAAAATAAACTATTTTAAATTAAATTATTTTATTTAAAGCAAAATTAACTCTCAATAAATGTTAGCTGCAATGGAAGGGAATGAATTGGAAAGACCAAGCTGTAAAGATTCTATTTTAGCCACATGTGGTCCATCCTATCACTCTTCAACCATTTAACAATTCCCAAATATCTCTATCACACACCTTCACTTCCACTGAACATTTTCAGAAGGAAGACAAGCACTACATTCAGTACGATTCAGTACGTTGTTTTGTACTTTATCATGAAGGCCCTGAGTCTGGACATATTATTTTTCTTAGGCAGAATAATCACAGCTATCACTAAAAATCACAGAAGTAGAGCCAATGAGGGCTTTGATCTATGATTATTTTGCTTATAATTGTCACAAGAAAAAAACATAAAAATTTCACTGGGACATTTCAGTGCACATAACCTAGTCCAAGACATTCAAGATAAGCTTGGCACTTGTTACCACTATGGTCACATGAACTGCTTTGACGTATTTCTAAGTGAACTTACTACTGAGGTGGAGCACCAGTAACACAACGCATGCTCAGTGAAAGCAGAACAAGAACCATATTGCTGTATTTTTTTTTAGCTAGGAGGGCTTTAACTCAACATGTTTAAACAATAAGGAAATGTTTTGGCATTGGCTAGATCTGCTGGAAGTCCAGAGGAAGGGCAGCTTGAAGGTTAGCATCACTTTGTGAACACAATTCTTTGCCTTCTGGTTCCTTATCTCTGGTTACACCGTATGTTAGTCTCATCCTTAAGATGAAGTCAAGATGGCCACAATTCTTCTAGACCTCACATCTATATAAGACATTAACAGAGGAAAAAAAAAGCTATTCTTTCCTGTGCTCTCTTGTAAGATGGAGAAAATATTTCTCAGAAGTTTTGCAAAATTTATCTTGTACCTCACATGCTCACTCCTGAACCAAGCTCATACTTAGGGATATGCCAGGCCCAGAAACCGATATTATTCCTCCAATCAGATGACTTCTACACAAAGTGGGGGCATGAAGTGGGAGTCAAGGAGACAACAACCATTCCCAAACACACCATCACTGTACCAGGATTGTACAGTACACTTTTAAAAACAACTCTGATACTTTTAGCTAGAGATGAAACTTCTTTCTTTTGAAACCTGCCCAAAATAACAAAAAGGTTATAATGAAGAAGGGAGTAAGAATCCTAAATCACAATATAGAAAATATCTGTCAAACATTATGAAATTTGGGTCAACATAAAAAAGGGCATTGAAAGATAACATGTGCTTTGTCAGACCTCAGACAAAATATAGATGAGCTAAAATAAATGTCCCTGTCCAAAAAGGCACATGCAAGGATGTTGCGATTAGAAGAGCAATAGTTGGCTGTATGGCAGGCAGCAGGGGTGGCTATAGGAAAAGCAGGTAATGTGATTTGACAGAGGTTGATAGATGTAAGACCAGATCCAATAGGATCTCTGAATAGAATTTCTGAAGAATGGAACAGAAAACATGAAAAAAAGAAAAGTATTCAACAATATAATAAAAGAAAACTCTTCTGGAATAATCAACAGACTTGAACTTACAAGTTGAAAGAACTCAACTTTAACCCAGAAAAAAAATGATACAGAATAATCAACACCAAGCTATGTCCTGAAAAAAATTATAAATCTTCAAGAACAAAGAAAAAAGTGAATCTTAAGTCCACCCACACATAGAAAAATAAGTTTCCTAAAAAGCAGAAATAATCAGGTCTACCTCAGAGACTTCTCTTCCGTAACAATGCCATAAATAGTGGATCAGTGTCTACATATTTCTAAAGGAAAAAGAGTATATTCAAGAATTTGGGGAGGTTTTAAGGAAGTGGGACTTTTCTTTGGATTGAATGCTATTAGGAAGTAGCAATAGTTTTGTGACTGGGTACCCTAGTAATTCCTGTCTAAAAGGTGAGAAGAATGAAGCATAACTAAAGTTGCGATTTGTAGAGAATCAGCAATTACACATATTATACATAATGTGGAGATGTTTGATCATTTTTTGTGGTATGGACAAGGTTGTTTTTGTACCTGAAAATGGTTTTCTATTAAATTATTTATGTTCAACAGGAGGACACCACGGTCTAGCTGCAAATGCCAGGTCTGCTCCTGGCCATCAGGGACTGCCATCCTCTTACTCAATTTTCTGTAGTAGAAAGTTACTGTATTAGTCTGTTTTCATGCTGCTGATAAAGACACACCTGAGACTGGGCAATTTATTAAAAAAAGAGGTTTAATGGACTCACAGTTCCACGTGGCTAGGGAGGCCTCACAATGATGGTGGAAGGTGAAAGGCACATCTTGCATGGCAGCAGACAAGACAGAATGAGAGCCAACTGAAAGGGGAAACCCTGTGTAAAACCATCAGATCTTGTGAGACTTATTCACTACCACAAGAACAGTATGGAGGAAACTGCCCCCATGATTCATTTATCTCCCACCGGGTCCCTCCCACAACACATGGGAATTATGGGAACTACAATTCAAGATGAGATTTGGGTGGGGACACAGCCAAACTATATTTGTATGTCTTGGGAATTTTGGTATTCTTCAGGAAATCTTAAACTTTGCAAACTAAATTGATACTTAAAAGTTGCTATAATGGGCAAATTTAGTTCCAAGCCTTCATTATGTTATGTTTCTGCTGTTCTAATTTTTTGAGTGTGAAGGGCTTGTGCTGCAACAGTTAAAAAACTATTTCAATAGTCATAATAATAAAAATGGCCATTTATCGTGTCTAATATGTACCAGACAGCATTTCAGGTGCTGTATATTTGGATTCTTTATTACCTCTCCCGAAACCCAATGAGGTAGATATGATTACAGAAAATGAAAGAGAAGCCCTAGACTGTACATAATTTCCTCACAGTCACACACAAAATAGGTGGCAGAGACACAGTACATTTTTACATCTCTCTAACCTCAAATCCCACATCATTTCTATTGATAATTGTTAATAAGTTTCAGAAACCTCTTATTTTCTATTATCAAAATAAAATAGGAAATGCTAAAAAGCAGCAGCAGTAGCAACAATAAAATAGAAAGTAAATTTTTATTAAAAAACTTTTGAGATTGCCTCCTTACCCAATGTAAGGGTTTTTTTTTTAACCTTAAATGTAGTGGATTATCTGATACTTGCATAATATTCTTCCTGTCATACTCTTGTTCCTTCAGCTGATCCCAACTAACTGGTTAAAAATAAGCTTCTGCTTGCTGCTTTCTAAAGAAGAGTGGCTTAGAATGGATTCCTTTCTGTGCTTTGGAGAAACTTATTACTGGTGGGTAAAACTTAGGTAACAAATTTCTCCATAGCACAGTAAGGAACCTATCTATGATTATATAAACCACAGATTATCTTAGAGAACAAAGTCCTGACCTGGATAGCATCAGAAAGTCCCCCTCTTAAGGTCCCTTCTGGTACATGGACTGATGAGCTGGGGAGGCCAGTGAAATATAGTGACATTTTTGGCTAACAATTATTTTACATTTTCCATTCTGGAGTTGCCCTTGAACTAGAATATTGCATGAAAGATGCCACCTAGCCAATAAAACTTCCCAAGAATCAGCTCACCAAGAAGGCTTTATCTTTTACAAAGTTTACCACAGGTTCCCAAAAAGGGCCATGACTACTAAAAGAGGTGTTGAGTCTTTAAAGTTATAACACTTTCCCATGCTTCCTTCTCTGAGCTATAAATCTCTGATTACCCTCTAGAATGTTGAAGAAATGGCAGAGGCGACATATTTGATTAGGGGTTGGGGTAAAGAGGTAACCTTGCTTCAGAGGTCTCAACCTTCCAAGTGTCTGTTCAACCAGAGGTGAAGATGCTCCAGGCTACAGATGGCAGTCTGACTCCGGCCAATGCCTGATGAGTCCCTTGGTTTGTACAGAGCAGAATAAGGAAAAGGGATGGGAGAGGAGCTATCTCAAGACTTTGTGTGAACTACTCAGCAGGAGCAAATAATTATTAATATTTATTTACTTGACCACTGGACCTGATATTGATGTGTAAAAATGTGTACAGAGGGGCAAAAGTTTTGGGATTTTTTTTTTGTCAAGTTATTAACACAGTTGTCGCTTACCCCTCTGTGTTTCAATGAACCTAGGAGGACTGCTTGCAAGTTCCACACTCCTGTCTGGCTGTACTCTGTCACCTTCTGGCCCTTTGATGACCCCTGTGCCTCCTCACACTGTTGCTCCCTTCCTCTCACCCTTTTCCCCAAGTGTGGGCACAGATCTGTCTCCCAATTCTCCAAAACACAGCTAAGACCAGACAACTGTATTAAACCAAATCTTACTCTTGGCTTAAGAATTGCAAAAGGGAATTAAAGCATAGAAAACTTATAAAATTGGTAGAAAGCTTAAATGTGCTCAAGGTCCCCATGCCTAGCAGAGTCCCATGTTACTGTCTCCCTCCTTAGGTCATGGCCTTCTTCCCAGGGGCCATTGCCAGCCTGGCCTTGTCTCCACTCCCCAGCCCAAGCCCTCAACTCCTCAAAGGCTTCCTCTCACTCCCAGGCTCAGAGCAGCTTCTGCTGGGATATGATTCCTCTCACAAGGAGACAAACTTGTGACTGAACTGTAGAGCCCATCACCCCTACCACTTAAAAAAATTATTTTTGCTTCATCTTTGCTTAACCAGAGAGCTAAAATAGATGTTTTCCCAATATACAAAAAAAGACAATTTTATCTTAAAGTAGAATTCATATCATATCTCTACCTCTAATAGAAGTTTCAGACCCTTACCCCAATTCTATCAAAAAATATAGGAGGTCTAATCTTGGGCAAAGCACCCTATTGAATGAGACATAGATAATATATTGTTGACATTATCACATGTGTTATCATCTCTATTGACAAAACAAAAACCAGTTGTTCCTGTCTCTCATATTTAACAAAATAATTGTGGCTGTATTTCTTTCAATATCCTCCTTTCTGGAAAGAAAATTTCCATGGAGCTCCCTTGGACCAGAATAATATCAAATTTCTAACATTATTATGGAATTAATTAATAAGGTAATATGCAATTTAATAGCATAAAGGCACCTACTTTTTTTTCCTAGTGAAAACACTGACACACTTTAACCTATCTTTAGTCATGCAGTGAGAGGCTTTGTATACTCCCATTGACACAGTGGGGACCCACTGGTGTTTCCTCAGTGACATGAGAACCACCTAAAGCCATGGTCCTTTAAAATTTCCACCTAAAAAACTTTTGTAACCCAGCCCCATCTGACACCTCCATTTTGCCAGAAGCCTGTAAGTTATTAAGCAATTATCTCTGTAACTCATGTTTCTTCACGAAATGAGCTTCTTTATGTAATGAGCTTCGAGCTGGGTTCTGCCAATTTCATTCAGTGTGGCTGTGTTTAATAGTGATGTAAGTGACTTCTTGGCCATCTGTAGTAAGTTATTTTCTCATGTTCCTTGTTTCCATTTCCCTTGTTGAGAAGGTCATTTCCTTGTATTTACATGACTTCTTTCACAAACTCCCTAGCCTTTCTCTGTAGGGTTTTGCACCCTGATTCAGTCTTTTACACAAGGTCACAGCCCCCTGACTATTCCCATGGATTCTGTTCTTTCTTTTTCTTCCGATATTGTCCCACCTTTACCCCACTCCCCTGGCTACTTCGCACTGCTCATTATAGCTTTTCTGATAGTTGACAGAGTCATCATATTGGTCTGAAATTTATCTATAGCAATATAGCATCTAGAGTTATGACCTTCAGACTTCTGGAGTAACCAAGAGATATTACTCCATTTGCATTAAGATGCTACAGCATGGCTTCTGTTAGGTCTCCCCCAATTTTCAACCTAGGAGTACAGTTGGCTGTATGATTTCATTAAGATCCATAGGTTTGCCTATTAAATTCTGCCTTCCCTTTTTATATCTATCTATGTTCAGAATTTCTGGTTACTTTATTGCCATCTTATGCATATCATGCTCATAAATTGGTAGTATGTGGGAAGGGCACTGGACTTTTAGGTCAGAAAAGCGGGTGTTAACTATCACTCAGCACTCACACAATACTGTGATGGTGAGTTCTTCAACTTCTTCTAAGCCTCAGTTTCCTCATATTTAAAAGGAGGCTAACATTGACCTCATACAGATATAAAGATTCAAGGAGATCATGAGCCAAGCAAAAACTTCTCAGCTCTGTTGATTATAATTATACTCAGGATCATCTCACATGGCATTAGGAAGGTTAGCTGAATGCCATCAAAGCACTTTTAAGTAAAAGGTATAATATGTGTACCACAGCAACAGCATATGCATTTTTTTTTTTGAGACAGAGTCTCGCTGTCAGCCCGGCTGGAGTGCAGTGGCGCTATCTGCTTCCTGGGTTCAAGTGATTCTCGTGCCTCAGCCTCCCGAGTAGCTGGGATTACAGGCATGCACCACCACACCTGACTAATTTTTGTAGTTTTAGTAAAGATGGGGTTTCACCATGGTGGCCAGGCTAGTCTTGAACTCCTGCCCTCAAGTGATCTGCCCACCTTGGCCTGCCAAAGTGCTAGAATTACAGGCGTGAGCCACCACGCCCAACCTATGCACTCTTGAGCCCTGTAGTTGGTAACTGTTTCAACTAACATGTCTTAGTGTACTGTTCAGAGTAGGTTCTTCTCTCCCAGCTTGTGTCACAAATTCCAATTATGTTTGATTCCAAAATGCATCATCATCATTATAGTTTGTAAAATGATAATTTTTTTTTTTTTGAAATGAAGTCTTGTTCTGTTGCCCAGGCTGGAGTGCTGTGGCACAATCTCGGCTCACTGCAAGCTCCGCCTCCCAGGTTCACGCCATTCTCCTGCCTCAGCCTCCTGAGTAGCTGGGACTACAGGTGCCCGCCACCACGCCCGGCTAATTTTGTTTTTGTATTTTTAGTAGAGATGGGGTTTCACCGTGTTAGCCAGGCTGGTCTCCATCTCCTGACCTTGTGATCCACCCACCTCGGCCTCCCAGAGTGCTGTTGGGATAATTTTTACACACCCACTATGTACCAGGTGCTGTGCTAGGTGCTCAAAGATTTTATCATACAGTTGGAGTCCTCAAGGAGCTTATATTTTAGGTAGAGAGGTAATAAAAATGTAAAAGAATAAAGCAAAGGAATGTAAATTTAATGGAAGCAGGTAAGTACAGAAAATTAGAGGAAATAGAGATCCTTGTGGGGTTTTGTAATTGTGGCACAGGGTGCTAGCTAATTCCCTCTCCCCTCTCCTTAGCACTCTCCCTGCCTTCCACACAGAGCATTTCTCCTCCTTCCTTTTAGTAATAAAACTCTGAATTGTAGCTAGGCTCAGACTCCCAGATACAGACTACATTTTCCACCCTCCTTTGCAGCTAGGTGTGGTCATATGACTAAGTACTGCCCCATGAGATGCGAGGGGTAAGTGATGTGTGCAACTTCCGTTATACCCTTCAAAGGAAGCTGCTTTGTTCTCAATTTTCTCTTTTGCCTTACTGCAGGCTGAAATGTGGACCTGTGCCTTTGCCCTTACTGAAGCTGCCAACATGTAAATAAGTAGCTCTACTAGAAGATCTCGGAATAATCTCATAGATAAGAGTGGGCTACCCATCCCCAACTGCCTGCTTACCTATGGTAACTATTTGGATGGGGTAAGGTTTTGAGTGTGGATAACTAGAGAACAGTGATACCACAGAGGAGGTACTATAAAACTACATACAAAGAAAACCAGTTCTATATATGAGGTGATAGCAGTGCATCTATTAGGAAATATCCATCCAGCAGAAATGCAAAATTAAAGCTCTGGGGAGCTTCAGCTTTGAGATATATATATATGTGTGTGCATATATATATGTATGTATGTATGTATGTATATATGAAGCATCTGAAAGAAAAGTTGAAACCCTGGGGAAAAGGATAACAGAGAGGTAAATGGAAAACAGGAAAACAGTGCTATTGAAGGTCAAGGGAAGAGCTTTGACAAAATAGGGTTCACTCAACATGGGAGTAGATGAGAGTAAAGGTAACTATAAAAAGAGATTAAACTTGGTTCCTAAGTTCATGTTCTCTTTATCTGTATGTCCTCATTTCTAGCTTTACTTAAAATATTTTTCCCTAAAATCTGATCTTTTTGATTTCTCTGTGCTGCCAAGACACTCATCACATCCTGCCTTGATTTACACAAACTCCTTCTCACTGGCCTCTTTCTCATCAATTTCCTACTCCAGTCTTTGCCAAATGTTATTGCCAAGTCCATTTTCCTTTCCTGCTGTTCAGACTATGCTTCTCCCACTCTGCTTTGGCTTCTCTTCACCTTCCAGCCTCCCCGTGACTCTGCACCTGCTTACAACTTTTCCTCATCCTTCCTACAGCCCCATCCCACACCCCACCTCCACTCCTTCCTCTGGCCCTTTCATCTCTTCTGGCACCTTTAACCACCAAATTCAGGCACTCATAACTTCAGGCCAACACCCTACATTATCCTCCTCAGCGGATCCTATTCCTGCTGCAAAGAAACCCAGTGTATCCACTTCCTGTATGAAGCTTGCTAGCGCTAACAACGATATGCTGTGTGCTGCATTCACCCAGAGTATACAAAAGAGTATTGCTCGGACTGTACTCTTTCCTGTCCCTATTACCTCTAGGGCCTTGTATTGTTTGTTCTGGAAGAACATGATTTCATTACTGTCAGATAATTTCTGTTTTTTGTAAAGTACTTATTGGCGTTACCTTGGAGTACTACATAAATAATACAAATCTCACAATGCCTCTCTGATGAGAGGGCCTAAACCCAACCAGTTTGTCCAAAGGTACCTAGAGTTTTTTTCTCAGTAGTGCCTGGTAAAAAAGCATATCTGTCAAGAAAAGGGAGAAAATTAATGTACAGAAAGAAAGGTATGATGTTTCTATTGTCCTCAACAAATAACGCTCATGGGAAAAAAAAAACATATTTGAGTGAATCAGAAATTCAATGAGCATTATAGGTAGCTCAGCAAAAACTCCTTTCTAGCTATGGAACATTCCTCAAGGACATATCTTACTGTTATCACAGAAAGCAATGATTTGCCTTGCCACCTCTGAACCTTTGCTCATGCCAGTTTCACTTAGCATATATACTAATGTACTACATTTTAGTGAAAATACTCACTATGAAACCTAAAGAACTAAGATGTATATTTATAAGCACATAGGCAAGTATGGAGAATAAACTTGTATATATGTCTTCTAGGAGCATGATTTAAATAATTGTTGCTTGATGCTAGGTTTTCTTCTCAACAAGAAAAAAACTTGAATACTTATCATTAATTTAAATGCACTTGATATTTTCACAAAATGTAGAAACTGAATAATAAAGAAAGGTTTGGTTTTTTGCATTTATTTTACGTGATGAAAAAAGCCCTTGAAATTCAGCACAGAGGTTTCATTTTCAATAAGAATCAGAAAACTGTCAAAGACAAACTGTTTTCCATCAGACAAATGACTTGATCACAGATAATAAAATTGCACAAACCTCAAAGCCTAAATAACCATGTAAATGGGTTCTATGATTTTTGAGACAGATGGTGAATCACAACAGTGATGGGTTATGAATTCCAAAAAGATTGTCTTTCAGAATATAACAAAAAATGACTGAGGAATCAGATTTAAAATATAGTTAAAGTAAAACCAAAATAGAAGAATCACATCAATTTTTAAAAGATCAAGAAGACAGAAACAGAGAACATATAGATTATATTAGAACCACTCTACAAAGAAAATCCTTTTAAATTGAAACATTATGCTTATGTTAACAGAAGGAAATTGGAATGTATTTCAACAAGATGAGTAATGTTATCTGCTTCATTCCATGTCATGTCCAAGATTGTAGAAATTGCAGCCTACTATGTCTATCAACCTGCTTATCACTTGCTGCTGGCCTAGAGGTATGCCCAGCAACCATGGTCACTGTCGGGAACTCTTAATCTCCTTATCTAGTTCTTAGCTGCATAACATGAGAGTGAATTAGGAGCCATTATGGAAGATAATTAAATTCTCATTAATAAGATCTTGTATTCTCAGCACCACTCAAAGGGACCCAGGTTAGATTAAATCACAGACAACCCTATCTAGGTAAGGATTGATAGTCATAGTTTGTCAATTTTGGCCAACAATAAATGAACCCTAGGAAGGCATAAGCAAATACGGTGGAGAAAAATAATCAAGAGTGCTAACCTCAGCCCTGACTCCTGGATATGTATTCTTGGGCCATTTAGGCATATTATTTTGTATATTTATATTAACTAATAATATATATGATAAAATATATAGCATGTATAATTAAATATCTATAATATCACTTACCTCTGTTCACATTCCTTGACTCATCTCTCAACATTCTTTTCTACTTTCTCTATTCTTTTCTCTTTTCTCTATTCTTTTTTTTTTTTTTTTTTTTGAGACAGAGTCTCGCTCTGTCGCCCAGGCCGGACTGCGGACTGCAGTGGCGCAATCTCGGCTCACTGCAAGCTCCGCTTCCCGGGTTCACGCCATTCTCCTGCCTCAGCCTCCCGAGTAGCTGGGACTACAGGCGCCCGCCACCGCGCCCGGCTAATTTTTTGTATTTTTAGTAGAGACGGGGTTTCACCTTGTTAGCCAGGATGGTCTCAATCTCCTGACCTCATGATCCACCCGCCTCGGCCTCCCAAAGTGCTGGGATTACAGGCGTGAGCCACCGCGCCCGGCCCTCTTTTCTCTATTCTTCAGCTCTGCTGCCATTCTCTCAGGATGCATCATGCTTCTTCTGGACAGCCTTTATACCTGTTCTTCCCTCTGCCTAGGCCTTTCTCCCCTTTAGCCAAGGTAGTTCCTATTTAGGCTTTAAGTCCCCTTTAAATGTCATTTTCCCTACCACTGCTTCACAGAAACTTGTAGGTTTTCTTCAATGTCTTCACCCTAGTTCTGGTTAATTGTAATGTCTGCCTTAAGTAAATGATAAACTCCAAGACAAGAGAGCGTCTACCTTTCCTTTTTTTTTTCCTCCACAAACTGTATTTCCAGTGCTTAGTGAATAAGCTCAGGAATAGCTCTGTCAGTGTTTGTTGAATGAACAACGAATGAAGGATTCTGTTGGTGAATAGTGTGTTACTCTGAACATTTCATAACATCTTGCTGTTGCACATGCAGAGACAAATGACTTGGTGCCCAAAAAGAAGGCCTCTTTTTGATACATTATGGCTTGGCTTTATTTACCTGGATCCAGATGAAAACTTCAAAATTTTCCCTAAGAACATTTTGGTGACCAAGAAAATTGAACAGGAAAAGTTCTAGCCTGGAACTTAGGAGAAAATAGGCGCTAGAAGATTCCTCTCATCTTATCTTCCTGGAGAGGGAAGAGACTGGCCCCACTGACATTCAGTGGTATGCAATGGAGACTCAAAGACTGTGTGTGGCAAGGAGGGATCCCCCCTGCCCCACCCCACAGACTCTAATCAAATGGCAAATGACAGCAGGCTTTAATGAGACTGGAGTGATTTCATGAAGACCTGGAGCACATTATATTATAATCTACTTTACAAATAAGGCTGGTTGATTAATTTGGTGTGGTCATAGTACTTAAGATAGGAGCCCTTAGTTTTGGAAGCAATTGGTTTCAGAAAAGCCATCGCGGTGGGTCTGCAACAGTAGAAGGTCGAAGTGACACCCAGAGATGAAATGTTACTATTGTCAAGGTGTATTGCTGATTTGCTGTGTGTTATACATTAAGAAATATAAGCTCACTGAACCCTAGCTCCTCATGGACAAACCCATCAGGGACAGTCCTCAAAAGTGTATTTCTGAGTTGGTACAGTATTCATATTCATTTATGATTTCATTTTTGTTTCATAGACCACCAATAAATTTGGGAAATAACGCATCTACATATCCCTTCTTGGACAGTCACAATGTATATGGCACATTGATGACTTTGAGAAGTCCTGCACTAAAGGTTATTCACCTCGTTTGACCACTAATACTTCTTATTCATAAAAAAACTTATTTGTCAATAAAGATAGTCTCAGCAAAGCTGATGTATTAAAAAACTTCTAAGCTTCAGTGGCTTAAAATAGCAAGGTTTATTTATCGCTCATGCTATATATCCATTGTTGGTTGACTGGAAATCTTACACCACAGTCTTTACTCTGAGATCCAAAGTGTCAGAGCCACCATCATCTGAGCATTTCTTGTTGCTCTGGAAGAGAGAAGGTGAGCTCTGGGTGTTTAACAGGTAAATATTGCAGCCTGAAAGTGATTCATAATTGTGGAATTTTGGCTCAGAACTCATTGGTCAGAAGTAGTCACATGGGCTCACTCAAACATGAGGGGCTGAGAAAGTACCATCCTACCATGTGTCTAAAATGTAGACAGCCAGAAATATTCAGTGGATAGCACTAATGACAACTAACCCAGTTAAAGTGGCTAAACACTAATGTTCATTAAAGTATAGCTGGGACCCACTGCTGTTCATGGTTTTAAAAACAAGGATTGGGGACTTCCAGTTTTAAAATGACAGCATAGAAGCAAACTGGCTTCACTCCCTCCCACTCCCTCCCTCCCCCAAAACAAATATACAGCACTGAGATTTTCACCAGCAACAACCCGTAACTCAAATATGAGGATGAAATAGTTCCCAAGGCCACAGGGAAGTGTAAAAACTCTGAGCAGATGGTAAGAGAAGCAGACTTCCACATCTGTGATGCCTCTCCCTCCCCATTCATTCTGACAACAAGTACATGGAAAATCTTCCCCATGTAGAAACTCATGGTATCTACACTGGAAAAAATGAAATTGAGGTGGTAAACTAACTTTCCTACTATCTTGGGTTCCCTGGAAGGAAACTTTCTTGCCTTAACCCAAAGGAACTATTGTGACTGCCTGAAGAAGGAAATATCCCTGAGGAAAGACAGAGACAAGGGAGGTAGGTGGAATCACCATCCCCAGCCCTGGAAACTGCCTGTAAGTTGGTCAAAGGAGATGTCAAATCAGAGTGGCTACTCAGCAGCACTATGCTATAGGAAGTATGTTCCACAGGTCCCCTGGGCACAAACTCCTAGCCAGTCTTCCCACACCTCCAGGATAATGTCTTTGGGACCCCTCCCATTTGGGACAGACAGCACTCCCATCATTTACTAGAGCAAGGCAAACCTGGGCTTAAAATGGCATCTGGAGCCAAAAAGGAGGCAGCAACTTAGTGGTAAGGATTTGCTAAGCAAATATATATATATATATTTAAAGCCAGGAAGAGAAAATGGAAATAACTAATCCTTTAATGCAAAGACATAGGTATATACCTACTAGAAACAGGAGCAAATAGGGAACTATGATCTCCTCAGAAGGACAAAGCAAAAATCCAGTGACTGAGCCTAACAAGATGATGATTTGTGAGCTCTCCAACCAAGAATTCAAAACAGCAATTTTAAAGAAACTCAGTGATCTCCAAGATAACATAGAAGAGCAATTCAGAAATTTATCAGAGAAATTTAACAAAGAGATTGAAGTGATTAAAAAAATTAAACAGAAATCTTGGAATTGGAGAAATACATTTACTGAATTGAAGAACTAATTAAAGGCTCTCAACAGCAGGATGGACCAAGCAGAGGAAAGAATCAGTGAGCTCAAAGACCAAGTATTTGAAAACACACAGTTAGAGGATAAGAAAAGAAAAAGAAAAAAAAAAAAAGAACAGAAAAACCTATGAGATACAGAAAATTTCCTTAAAGGACCAAATCTAAGAATTATTGGTGTCCAAGGGGGAGCTAAGGAAGAGCAAGAGGTAGAAAGGTTATTCAAAGGAATAACTGAAAACTTTCCAAAACATGAGAAAGATATAAGTATCCAGGTACAGGAAAGTTTGAGAACACCAAATAGATTCAACCCAAATAAGACTACCCCAAGGTATATAGTAATCAAACTCTCAAAGGTCAGGGACAAAGAGAAAATTCCAAAAGCAGTAAGATAAAGCAAATAAGATGCAAGAGAGCTCCAATTCATCTGGCAACCAACTTCTCAATGGAAACAAAATAGGCCAGGAGGAAGTGGAATGACATTTTCAAAGTACTTAAGGAAAAAAAAATACCATCCAGAATACTACATCCAGAAAAATTATCCTTCAAATATGAAGGAGAGAGAAAGTCTTTCTCAAACAAAAGCTGAGAGAATTCAGCACCACAAGAACCATTTTTCATGAAGTACTAAAGAGAGTTATCTAATCTGAAAGAAAAAAACCACTAATGCGCAAAAGGAAAACTTTTCAAGCTATAAAACCTGCTGGTAAAATTAAATACATAGACAAACCCAGAATACTCTATTGCTTTAATTGTGGTGTACAACCAATTCAAAACTTTAGTATGAAGCCCAAAATACAAATCTATCAAAAACAATGATAGCTACAACAACCTGTTAAGAGATAAGTAATATAAAAATATGTAAATTGAGACAACTAGAAGTCCAAATGTCAGGGGAGTGGAGTTAAAATGTAAATATTTTGTGTGTTCCTTTTTTGCCTTTGTTTCTAGTCTTTAATTTGTGATAAGTCATCATCTCTTTCAAAGTAACTTGTTACATCTATAAAATGTTTTTTGTAATCCTCATGGTAACCACACTGCAAAAATCTATAATAGATTCACTAAAAATAAAAACAACTAATCAAAACATACTATCAGAGAAAATCACTTAAACACAAATGAAGATAGTAAGAAAGGAGAAAATGAAGAGAGAGGTCTCATAACAACCAGAAAACAGATAACAAATTGGCATTAGTAAGTTCTTAATTATCAATAATAAAACAGAATGTAAATGGTCTCAATTCTCCAAGTAAAAGGCATACAGTGGCTGAATGGATAAAGAAACAAGACTCAACTATATGCTGCCTTCAAGAAACCCACTTCACCTATAAAGACAGACTGAAAGTGAGGGGTGGAAAAAATATTCCAGGCAACTGGGAACCAAAATAGAGCAGGAGTAGCTATACTTATATCACATAAAATAGACTACAAATTTAAGATTATAAAAAGAGACAAAGGACACTATATAAGGATAAAGGAGTCTATTAAGCAAAAGGATATAACAATTGTAAATATCTATGCGCCCAACACTGGAGCTCCCAAATATTTAATGCAAACATTAATAGATATAAAGAGAGATATCTACTGAAATACAATAATAGTAGGGGACTTTAACAACCTGCTCTCAACAGTGGACAGTTCATCCAGACAGCAAATCAACAGAAAAACAGGGGAGTTAAACTACATACTAGATATAACAGGCCTAGCTGACATTTAGAGAACATTTTACCCAACTGCAGCAGAATACACATGCTTTAGCATATGAACATTCTCCAGAAGAGACCATATCTTATGCCACAAAACTCGTCTAAACAAAATTAAAAAATCCAGGAATCATATCAATTATCTTTTCTCACCACAATGGAATAAAACTAGAAATCAATAACAAGAGGCAACTCAGATAATACACAAACACATGCAAATGAAACAACATCCTCCTGAACAACCAATGGTCAATGAAGAAATTAACAAGAAAATTTAAAAATTTCTTGAAACAAATGAAAATGGAAATAGAACATACCATAATTTATGGGATAAAGCAAAAGCAGTACTAAGAGGGAAGTTTATAGCAATAAATGTCTATATCAAAAAAGGAGAAAGACTTCAAATAACCTAATGAAGCACCTCAAAGAACTAAAAAGGCAAGAACAAACTAAACCCATTTGTAGAAGGAAAGACATAATAAATATCAGAACAGAAATAAATGAAATTGAGATTTAAAAAATTACAGAAGATCAACAAAACAAAAAGTTGGTTTCTTGAAAAGGTAAACAAAATTGACAAACCTTTAGCTAGACTAATAAAAAGAAGAGAGAATCAAATAAATAACATCAGAAATCAAAAAGAAGACACAACAACTGAGATCTCAGAAATATAAAGTGTCATTAGAGACTATCATGAACAATAATAAACCAACAAATTGGAAAATTTAGAAGAAATAAATTCCTTGATACACGCAATCTACCAAGATTAAACACCACGAAGAAATAGAAAACTTCAACAAACCAATAATGAGTAGCAAGATCAAAGCCATAATAAAAAGTCTCCCATCAAAGAAAGGCTCAGGGGCAGAAAAGCCCAAGATAAGACCCACTGGCTTGGAATTCCAGCCAGCTACCATGAACAACATTGCACCTCCCTAAGAAGGAGCTCCCAGGGGGAAGGGCAGGCCATATCTTTGCTGTTTGGGTGCCGTAGCCATTCCAGCCTTCAGGCTTTGGAGAGTCTGAATTGACCCGTGGTGGAAGGGATCTCCCAGCACAGCACAGCTGCTCTACCAAAATGTGGCCAACTGCTGCTTTAAGCGGATGCCTGACCCCATTCCTCCTCACTGGGCAGAACCTCCCAACTGAGACCTCCAGCCACCTCTGTCCAAGCTCTCCAGCCCACAGAGATCTGAATTCCCCCTGGGATGGCTCTCCCAGAAGGAGGGGGCAGGCTGCCATCTTTGCTGTTACGGTGACTTAGCTGTTCCAGCCTTTGAGCTTTGGAGAGTGGAAGCCAACCCAGGGCAGAAGGGATCCTCCAGCACAGCATAGCTGCCCTACCAAAATGTGGCCAGACTGCTGCTTTAAGTGGGTACCTGATTCTGTTCCTCCTCACCGGGCAGGACCCCCCAACCAGGGGCTCCAGCAACCCGTGCCCATGTTCTCCAACCGACAGAGATGTGAATTTCCTCTGGGACAGAGCTCCCATGGGGAGGGGCAGGCTGCCATCTTTGCTGTTAGGGTGACTTAGCTGCTCCAGCCTTTGGGTTTCGGAGTGTCTGAGGTGACTGGAAGCAGAAGTGGACCCCCAGCGCAGCACAGCTGCCCTACCAAAACGTGGCCAGACTGCTTTTTTCCTGATCCCGTTCCTTCTCACGGGGCGGGCGGGACTTCCCAACTGGGGTCTCTAATCATTTCCTACAGATGCCTTTGGGTGGGCAACAAGTCCATGACTCCTTGGGACAAAGCTCTCAGAGAGAGGGGCAGGCTGCCATTTTTGCTGTTTCATAGCCTTCACTGGGGACACCAGTTCTGGAAAATCTGAGGTGACGAGGGACTGGAGTGGGCCCCAAGCAAACCACAGCAGCCCTACAGAAAAGTGGCCAGATTGTTATGTGGGTGACTGTTCCCATATCTCCTCACTGGACAGGTCCTCCAGGCCTGGGCCTCAAGCCATCGCCCCCTACACCCCCACCCCCGCCACCCCTGCCATCCCCACCATCCCCCATCACCCCTGCCACCGCCGCCCCCGCCAGAGCTACTGAGCCAGCACCAACTGAGCAACTCCCCAGACAGAACCTCTGGGGGCAACAAAAAAATAATTCTTTTGGAAAATTTTATGAAAACAATTTTTTTCACTTAAAGTCCTCAGTGGATTTCCAACAATAGATAACAAAATCATTTTCCAGCCAATTCCTCACTGCTTTTCTCAAATACAAATGCTATGTAACAGAAAACATGAATAATTCTACAACACAGCTTATTTCTTGGGTACTAGAGGGAGGTGTACCATAAATGCCCATTTACAATGTCTTCTGCACAGGTGTGCAAAGAGTTAATGGTGTCAGATAAATCCCATAATAATAGAAAAAAAGTTGGCATAGAATTCATATAAACATTAAAAAGTATGTATTTTGTGCTACCATGATAACCTCTGAAAATTCATTTCTGATGAAGTCTACTGAATCAAATTAATGTCTTGGTACCTTGTTTGATAGTTGGCCATAACAGTATCACACAATTACACAGAACAAAAAGGCAGTGATAATGTTCAAAAATAAGTACCTTGGTTCTGAGATGTTACCTGTATACCAAGAACAATGAAGGTACTTATCAGTGGTCATTCAAAAGTCCTTAACTCACTGCTTCTCTGAGAAATACAGGACGTGTTAAATTCATGTCATTTCCTCAGGCACCTCCAAGTTCCTCTCCAGTTCTTCCTTACATATTTCCTATATACAATCATATTTAAGTCACCTAATATATGGAAAATAGGTTGAGCAATGCTTGGCACATAGTAGTCACTAAGTAAGCATTTATTGTTATCATTATCGTTATTACTTCATGTCTTACAAACTTTGTATGTCACATTCCCTGAAGAGATTCTAAAGTATGATTTACTTTAGCAAGTTCAACCCAGTGCTTCCAGGGGAGAGAAAGTCTAATATGTAAAGCATTTCTATATTACATTGTTCTTATTTAAGACAAAACAGGCAAATCACCTAAGAAGTTATCAAAGTGATCAAAAATGCACTTAGAAGATTTGTTGGGGGTACCTTTAGATAAATATCCCCAAGCTATTACCTGAAATAAGTGTTGAGAACAAATTAAAAGTAATATTTGATAACTGTACTGGAAAAATGCACTGATAAAATAGTCCTATCCCCACACTGCATTTCCTTCACACTGTGGCAATCCATCGCAACATTATTAAAGTATTTCAATGTGTATTTTATTTTTGTAATAATGAATCTAATATTCTGTAATATCCTTTGGTTTGTTATATATCATTCAAACATCATTCATTCCATTCACTTAAAGCATCATCTTCACCAGGCATTTCTGTTGGTAATTGGTCAAGAGAAGTTGAATCTTTGTATCTCACAGAACTCTGCTCGGATTGTACCTCAGGTGTAGAGGCTTTTGCCCCCCAGAAAGCCTTGACTGCTGCCCTGGAAGAAAAAACAAAAACCAAAACCACCATATGAAGTGAAAACTAAAACTGAATAGATTTCTATATTTTCTATGTATAGAAATATATATATATGTGTGTGTGTGTATTACCTGTATGTATATATTATATATGGTACAAATATATATAACCTGTACATATACAAATACATATAACCTGTATACATATTTGTACCTGTATATATATTACAGGTACATTACATTACAGCTATATTACAGGTATATTATAAAGGAAAGAGAATATAAACGTATTTATGACTACTGAACTGTATACTTTAAAATGGTAAAAATCATACATTTTGTATTCAAATTTTTTCTCAATAAATAAAATTTTAAAAAATTATAATGATAAAAATTACTATTCAAAAATGTTCAGCATCTACACTAAGGTTACATGACTATACCTACTCAGGAAAAAAAATCGGAAGGCTGATTTTTAAAAATACTTTTACAGGGGTGGGGGGTCTGGGACATACTCAAAAAAATAATTCTTTTGGAAAACTTTATGAAAACAATTGTTTTTACTTAAAGTCCTCAGTGGATTTCCTACAATACATAACAAAATCATTTTCCAGACAATTCATTGTGATGATGCATCTAGCTGATGCATCATAAACTAAAAATGAATAATGAATAAAAAGGCACTTCTTAAAGAAGAGGTAATATATAATATATATGCAAATATAGTATATATATTATATGTGTACATATAGTATATATGGTATATATATTATATATGTAAATATAGTATATATACTGTATACAGGTCATATGTACTATATGTATATATAATATATACTGTATATAATATTATGTATGTATTATATATACATCCATGTAAATATAATATATATTACCTCTTCTCTAATAAGTGTTTTTCATTCATTATTTTTAGTCTGTGATACATATATATTACATACATGTGTCTATATATGTATACACATACATACATATATGTATATGTATGTATATACATAATACACGTTTGTATACATATACGGTTCAAATATATGTGTGTATACATGGTAGAAATATACATATGTAATATATATGATGATATTTATAATAGTTACATGAGCATTACACCCTGGTAAGCCTGAGGGCTCATATACATACATACTACATATATATGTGATGTATACACAATCATATGTAATATATATGCATCACAAACAAAATAATAAAAAGACACTTCTTAGATATGAGGTAATATATATGTTATACATACATATATCTACATATATATTATATAACCCATATATTATATACTCATGTATATTATATATTATATATAAATAATATATACTACATACATATTTGGTACACACATATGACCTATATATGATATATGTATATTGTATATACATTATATGTACATAGAAGATATATGTATATTGTATATACAATATATGTACATATATATGTACATATATATAAAACATATATATTACCTCTTCTCTAAGAAGTGCCTTTGTATTCATTATTCATTTTTAGTTTGCGATGCATCAGCTACAAATCGATAGTATATGAGCCCTCAGACTTACCAGGGTGTACTACTCATGTAGGTATTATAAATATTGTCATACAAATGAATTAGTAGGTTACAATAACCAAGTTTTAGAGTTGAGAGAACCACAACTGGACAACACAAATATTCATTAAATAAAACTTTTTAAAGCAATTACCGTGTAAAATTGTAAAAGTTGCATTTAAAAGCTCTCTCATAGTTGGAGAAGCAAGTCATGAGATTGTTTTAAAAAGCATCTACATAAAGAGACGGGGCAGCCTGAACTAGGGCAGTCACAGGAGTAATGAAAGGCGATGGACAGTTTCAAGGCAACATGTAGGAGACATCACGGACAGGGCTTTGCAATTCACTGGATGAGGAGGGGGAAGAAGAGGATGTCAATCAAGGGTGATGATGCATTCCACTATTCACCTACCAATTTATGATTATGAAGATCAATAAGAAAATTATAAATACACAGATAATGACTCCTATGGTCAGCACAAAAATTAGGGCTGCATCAGTGGCTGGTAGGCTTGATCTTCTCATCTGCAATTCTAGAGAAAACACACAAACCTAAGGAGTATTACTACTGAGGAAAAGGAAATGAATATCTAACTTAAAAGTTTATATTTGAAAAACAACTCTAGAAACATAAAGAAATGCTTAGTGCAGAGAAAATTATTAATGATCTTGCTCTGCATGTTTGAAATGTCCTTTTCAAACATGAAAAAAGTTAAAAGAATTTGACAACGAACAGCCTGTATTACCACCATCTAAATACTACCATTAATATTTTAAAATTCATCTATCCATTCCTCTATCAATTCATTAATCCATCTTATTTTTATGCATTTCAATATAATTTGCAAATGTCAGTACACTTCCTCAAAAATTTTTCAGCAAGCATATCGTTAACTGGAGTTTAATATTAGTTTTTTCTTTGAAATAAAATTTTCACACAAAGAATTGCACAAAGATCTTAAATGTACATTTGCTTAGTTTTGACAAAGGCAAACTCATATATGTAACTAAATGTTAGTCAAGATATAGAATATTACTATACCCCAGAAAGTTCCCTTGAGCCTCTTCCTAATTAACTCCTTCCTCATCCTCCAGAGGCAACAAGCATCCTGATTTTCTTTTCCACCATAGATTAGCTCTGACTATTCTAGAACTACATATAAATTGAAACACACACTAGGTAATCTCTTGTGTAAAGATTTGTTTACTTAGAATAATGTTTTAGAAATTCACCCATACTGTTATATGCAACTATCATTTTTTTATTATTACTAGGTATACTCCACAATTTGTTTACTCATCCTCCTACTGATGGATATCTAGGCTGTTCCAGTTGTGAGATACTATAAATAAAGCTGCCATGAACATTCTTATACAAGTCATTTTGTGAATATATATCTTAATTTTTGGCTAAATGTCTAATAATAGAATTGCTGGGTCGTAGGGTAGACAGATGTGTGTTTAGCTGTCTAAGAAACCATGAGAACTTTCTCAAACTGATTGTACTGACTGTACAGGTTTTATAAATGTTTTCTACCAGATTTTGGCTTGCCTATTCATTATCCTAATGATTTTTGTTAATGAGCTGAAGTTTTTAATTTTGATGCAGTCTGATTTATTCAATGTTTCCTTTTATGGTGATTGTTTTCTGAATTATGTCTAAGAAACGTTTGCCTACTCCTGAATCATGCAAATAGTCTCCTATATTTCTTTCCTAAAACTTTATGGGTTTAGCTTTTACACTTAAGACTATGATACCTCTCTAATTTTTATATTTGCTGTAAGAAAGGAATTGAAGCTCATTGTTTTCTATACACATATCCACATACCCCGACCCCTCTCTCTTTAGGAAATGGGGTCTTGCTATATTGCCCAGGCTGGCCTTGAACTCCTGGGCTCAAGTGATCTTCCCACCTCAGCCTCCCTAGTAGCTAGTATTATAGGCACACACCACTGTACCCACCTCATGCACCACTCTTACCTCAAGCATTCTCTCCCATGTCTCTCTGCTCTTTCAGCAAATAAGGTTATCAAAGAGACAAAGCCAATCTACCGTATGTATTACAGTATTGCTACATTGTAAACTAGTAAAAAGCCAATTAACATAGAATATTACTTACTTTGTGAATTACATAGCTTTATTGTATCTCTTTTATGACCCCAAATTCTGGAATCATAAAAGATTCATGGAAGAAAGAACTACAGAGATCATCTGATCCAACTATTGCATTATACAGATAAGTAAACCAAGGCCCAGGGAGGTTTAATTTGTACAAGGTATATTTTGACTATTTAAATACTTTGATTTTGATAAGTACTACTCTGTCAGAACTAGTCTTCTATATGAGCAATCTCAACTGCTTATTTTTCTGGATTTGTTTCCCTATCTGTTAGACATCATGGAGTATAAGTTTCCATTTTGCCTAGTAATTCTAGAGCTATAAACTCAAGTTAGGGATCTCGCTAAATAGTTCCAAGTATGCTAGAGAAAATACATCTATATTTACGTTCCAACATTGTTGGATTTTTAAAAATCTTTTTATTTCAAAATAACTTTAGATTTACACAAGTGGTGGCATTTTGGAAACTTAAATAAAAAACACCTTTCAGAACTGACACCTGACAAGGAGAAATGCAAATTTCATTTATCCATTACTCTGCAATGTTAGCTGAGAGAGGGTGGAGAGTGAGGGGCATGAAGATTTTATTTATTACAACAGTAGTCTTGCAAGGGTCACCTAGACTATTTTTACAGGTAATGAAAAAAATAGGCTCAATTTCCTATTGAAGTATTTAATGAAAAATAGGCTAAATTTGATGCTCTCACCTTTTAGATAAACTAAGCTTATGTACTTATTAGTTTCCTAGGACCACCATAACAAAGTACCACAAACTGGGTGACGAAAACAACAGAAATGTATTGTCTCGCAGTTTTGGAGGCTAGAAGTCTGAAAACAATGTGTTGGCCGAGCCATGCTCTCACTGAAGGTTCTTGGGGAGGATCCTTCCTTGTCTCTTACAGCTTCTCAGCTTCTGGTAGGCTCAGAAATTCCTTGGATTCTGGTAGCATAACTCCAATTTTTGTCTCCATTTTCACATGGCTGTCTTCTCCCTATGTCTGTTTCTCTGTGTCTTCACCTGGCATTCCGCGCCCCACTTTCCATCTGTGTTTGTGTGTGTGTGTGTGTGTGTGTGTGTGCGCACAAGCATGCCCAAATATTCCTCTTCTTATGAGGGCACCAGTTATATTGGATTAAAGGCCCACTCTGCTCTAGTACAACCTCATCTTAACTAATTACATCTGTAAAAAGTCCTATTTCCAAATAGAGTCACATTCTGAGTACTTCAAAGTATCTTTTTTAACAATGCCTAATTATGAAAGACAACTATTGTGGGAGTGAAAAATCTGATATTTAAGTGAATGGATGAGAATTTTTCACTAGGGAAACCATATTTACCCTAAAAATATCTCAATTACATATTTGTTTCATGCTAGTACCATATTGTGTAGACATTTCTAGCCAAAACATTTGTTTGATTTCTAATCAGCCAAAGGGGTCTGTTGCAGTGGTGTACCCAATTGTCATGTTTAAAGAAATTAGTAGATACTGGAGTGTTTTTAAAATATTTTGTCATTCAATCAGTGCACGTACTGAGATGGCAGAGCTATCCCACCATTCCTGGACTGCTGCTATGAGAGAGAGAAGTTAACTTTGTCTCAATAAAGGCCTGACATTTTAGGGTCTGTGCTCCAGCCTTTAACATATACATTACCAAATGCATGCTCCCTTCTAATTATGAGAGGAGTTAACCACACTGAATTGTCCTAACAGGGACGAGATAGTAGGACAAAGACTGAGAATGGCTCCACACACCTTTAATATCATGAACGAGGGCTAGTTGAGATATTTTTTAGTTTAATGATGTTTTTATTCTCTTGCCTTTTTTAGAGCTTTATTGAAAATGATCCTTTTAACGACACCTGATATCCCAATAGAGGAATAAGATTATTAGCTTTCACCATGAAGATGTTTCTAAACTCATTAAACAGCATATCAAAGGAAGTTTAAATAGTAGTTTATTTTTTAAAATCACCCTAAAATATTTTAACCTGTTTTCATTTCAATAAAATGGTTACGTTGTGCGGTATCTTTAAACTACAGCAGAAGCTCTTTGTGTTCAGAAATAGCTTCAAGAAGTCCAAAAACTCCTTTAAAGTTACATGCAACTTTTGGCATATTTGTGTATGTGGACATTTTTCTGGAAAAAGGATCCTGAGCCTTGATAGGATTCTGAAAAGAACTTGTGACCAAGTCCCCACATCCCTAACAACAAATTTGATAACAACAATTAGAACAGTTAAGAGCAGCTGAACAAAAGGAAATAATTACCTGGATATGTAAGCCATCATAGATTAAACTGAATATAGGCAAATGGATCTATCTCACAAGGAAAATATGGTTTCTAATACATAAAATGACATTCAGGACAACATTTGCATTTTGTGATATATACATTTTTGAGAACTGTATTAGTGCTTCATCAAAAAACATTTGTTTCAAATATATAATTTTTAAAGAGTCATACTTTGACATCGTATTTCTTAATTTTATTTACTTTACTGAATGAAAATTTTCATAAGCATCCATGAGAATTCCATTTATCCATTTTCACTTTTATAATGAAAGTAAAAGCAAGAATATAATTCAAGTTAGAGGACTGTTCTCTGAAAACACTTAAGAAATACACCAGTTTCCCAAAGTGAGGAAATTGTGACTACTTTGTGAAAAAGAAATTAAGTAGTATCTTTTAGAAAAGTCTAAATGATGTAAACCAGTGGTTCTCAAAGTGTGGTCTCTGGACCAGCAGCAACAGGGCAACTTGTTAGAAATGGAAATTCTTGTTCCAGTCCCATCCCAAATCTACTGAATCAGAAACTCTGGGGGGAGGGCTAGAGACTGGTGTTTTAACAAGCCTCTAAGTGATTTTAATGCTCTTTAAAGATTGGCATATAAGCAAACCAAGACATTGCTGGACACTTACCACTGCTCGTATAGACTGTGAATTTAATAGTTGCTACTATTTCATTATTATCCAGTGTGTCACACTCGAAAGCCAAGGGGTGACTTTCCTTGCGTACTTCTAGGATTGCTGAATCATTTACAAGTATAATGGATTGCTATTTAAAAAGAAAAAAATAACAAAGTATCAACATTTTTCATGTACACTTACCAGGAAACAATTTATTTCCCTTAAGGAAAGGAGGGTTACTGTCTCTCTTAGCCTAGTTGAGTAATTAATGATCTACATGGATTTTCAGTCACACAATCCAGACTTCAAATCCCAACCCTACCACTTCCTGCCTGTGTGACTGTGGACAAGTTAGTTACTTACTTGTAAAAATGGGTTTAATGATAGTGATTACCTCAGAGAATTGTTATATGGATGAAAAAAGGCTCTAGCACTCAGTGTCATGTCTGGCACTTAATAAACCCTTAATTAATGTTAGCCACTGCTATCATTATACAACTCCTATATAAGCCAATGAAAACCTTCCTTCCGAAATGGAATACTTTGTGTAAAATAGACGTTTTAAAGTTCTGATTATAGCTGGCCCTTAGACTTATGTAAAGTTTAGTCCTAGTAAATAATGAAAATTTTAAAATTCCAAAATAATAAAGTTGTATAATTCTTAACTTCGTTTTGGCAAACTGCTTTTAAAAAGAAAGTTTTCTGAAAGCCATCAGAACTGAGAAACAAATTTTATCACTCACTAGAAAGCACCAGGTTATATCCATTCATTACTCACTTGGTCTTGTCTTAGAAGTTTCCACATATATTTGAAACGATTTAAGGGAGATGTGTGAATACATGCCAATCTAACACTTTCAAGACTTTCTGAAATTGGTTTACCCCCTGAAAAAAAATTAAGCACATAAATACCATTGGGCATTATAAATTGCTTTATACACGAAATTACTTTTTTTTTTCCTGAGACAGGATCTGGTTCTGTCACCCAGGCTGGAGTAGAGTGGCATGATCTTGGCTCACTGCAATCTCTGCCTCCTGGGCTCAAGCCATCCTCCCACCTCAGCCTCTCAAGTGGCTGGGACTACATGCACATGCCACTGTGCCTGGCTAATTAAAACAAAATTTTGTAGAGATGGAGGTTTCACCATGTTGCCCAGCCTGGTCTCAAACTCCTGAGCTCAAGTGATCCTCCTGCCTCGGCCTCCCAAAGTGCTAAGATTACAGGTGTCACAATACTACTTTAAAAAGCAACCTCCAGTTTTAAAAATCAACTATATGCTGGAAGTTATCAAACATAATTAGGAGTTTGAGTGTAGAGGAACAGAAGACTGATAGGTGCAAAGATAAAGTCACCAAAAGAAGCAGGTGAGGAGACACCATGGCTCTCTGCTCCTTATGCAGAATAAGTTGTAATTGACCTACTGATCTGTTAGACTAAACTATGAGATCTATTAGTGGCTTCCAATGTACTGGTTAGGGACTCCCATTAGAGATACTGAAATTTCAGAACAGCATAATGTGATATGGAACAGCTGTCAAAGTTCCCATTTTAAAGTCTACCAATCTACTGACAAAATGACATGACCAAAGCATCAAAAGCATTTCGCCACAGGACAGCCTCAACTATAGACCCTATATACAGTAAGCCTCCAGTGTATTATAGAGAATATATGTTCAATTTTAGATGTCTCTGAAAAAATGTGAAGCAAAATCAGAAAGTTGCTCAGAACTATAACTGTTTGAAGAAGTGGAATTTAAAATTTTATGATTTCCTTTGAGTATGTCAACTGGTTGCCTCCTTCTACTCAGTGGCAACCTGAGGTGAAAAATATTTCCCCAGAGTAAACTCTTGCCCACAGTCTCCCTCCAATACATAATTCAACTCACAGCCACAATCTGTTGGTCCACGGCATTCTTCTACCCGTACAACACACTTGGATTCACCACCAGGGCATCCATTTGTTAATATAACTTCTCTAACACCAATACCTTTGGTTTAAAATTTAAAAAGGCAAATGTTAAGAAAAAAACTGATTCCAGAGTGTCTTCACTTTCCCACCTAGGTCTTTTCTTAAGACTTTTCTTCTAATTTCAGAAATTAAGTTTCTAAATTCAGAACGATAACACTTAAAATTTTTTTGGCTCTTCATTTTGAATTATTTCCTAAAACAGCATTTTCTGGAGTGAGTTACGTGAAACACTAGTTCCTCTGGTTACCATAAGAAAAAGGATTCCATGATCATACACATTTGAAAATGTTACATCAAATGAAATTAAAGGGACCGCTTTACTACGGAATTTTGAGGGAACTTTTAATACACTAGTAAAATAACATGCTATTGTGTACATTCGCATTGATCTAAGATGTAAAAACATTTTAACATCTTTAAAATCAGAATACATTTACAATTGATAACATGTCATAAATTAATTGGCAGTATTTTTCCTTTTTAGAGTACATAAAATGTACTTCTTACAGTCCATAAATTCGTGGATTTGATGGAATATAGTGGTATACAATATTTCCCAAACTTATTTGACCATGGAACTTTTTGGGGAAGCATGGGGAAAGTTTCTGGAGGAAAATAAAAAATCACATTTTAGCATAAATGATGCCTTTAAATATTTAGATTCATAAAATGTCTGTATTAAATATAGAGAGGAGAACCTATTACTGACCAAATCTCCATTTCCAACAAGATGCTCTCTTTAGATTGTCACACTTTTTGTAACAAGAACTTAACTCTCCTAACTGATCTCAGAATTCCAGAGTTGGCCTCACATCACCACAATTGAGAGAAATAACAAAACATGGGATTAGCTACATGTTGAACCGTGTCCCATGTTAAGACAGGCTAAGAAAGAGTCCATTTTTATTTCCTTAATTACCAGATTTCCTCTTCCAGCCCCTCTACGATGTTATCTTAGAGGGCAAAGGGAAGTTGATGACTAGAGGTGTCTTATAACTGCTTCTCCAACTTGACAGTGCATGCAAGTCACCTGGAGATTTACTAAAATGCAAATTTTGATTCAGCTGTTCTTGAATGGGTTTGAGATTCTGCATTTCTAACAAGCTCCCAGGTGATACTGATGCAGTCTGTGGACCGCACGTTGAATAGTAAGGGAGAAGGCTACATACGAAACAAGAAAATGGAAGGATGGAAGGAAGAAGGTCTTTGGTTAAGAGAGATGATGGCTGAGAATGGCTGAAGTACGGCTCCACTTGAGTTTATCAAAGTTTTTTTTTGAGACGGAGTCTTGCTCTGTTGCAGAGGCTAGAGTGCAGTGGCGCGATCTCAGCTCACTGCAACCTCCGCCTCCCGGGTTCAAGCAATTCTCCTGCCTCAGCCTCCTGAATAGCTGGGATTACAGGCGCGTGCCACTACGCCCAGCTAATTTTTGTATTTTTGGTAGAGACAGGGTTTCACCATGGTGGTCAGGCTGGTCTCGAACTCCTGACCTGGTGATCCGCCAGCCTCAGCCTCCCAAAGTGCTGGGATTACAGGCATGAGCCACCACGGCCAACCTGAAAGCGTCTTTAGAAGCACAGCCTTAATTCCGAAGTAATTAACATGCTATTGTTAATATTTTTAAAACAGGTTTTTTGTTGTTGTTTGTTTTGTTTTGTTTTTGAGATGGAGTCTCGCTTTGTCGCCAGGCTGGAGTGCAGTGGTGCCATCTCAGTTCACGCAACCTCCACCTCCCGGCTTCAAGCAATTCTCCTGCCTTAGCCTCCCAAGTAGCTGGGACTACAGGTATGTGCCACCGCACCCAGCTAATTTTTCTGTATTTTTAGTAGAGATGGGGTTTCACCATGTTGGCCAGGATGGCCTCGATATCTGGACCTCGTGATCCACCCGCCTCGGCCTCCCAAAGTGCTGGGATTACAGGCGTGAGCCACCGCGCCCGGCTTAAAGCAGTTATTTTATGTATTTATTTATTTAGCTAAATACAGTTCACTGAGATGCATGTAGGTGTGGGATTTTCTGTAATACCAAGTAACATCTAAAAATCTGCCTGGATATAAAAGAAAACTTTTTGACTGCTAAAATATTGTTTCAGGAGTTTAACAGAATTTTCATCAAGGCATTTTTCTCTTCTAGTTCTAAATTGGAAGGTTTTTAACATTTTCGGCATGAAATATTGCTTTTCCTAGTTTATTTTTTTCCTTATAACTTATTACCATCTGATACATTACATGTTTTACATATTATGTGTCTGCTCTTACTAAACTATACATTGCTTGGGGGCAGAGAGTTTTGTCTGCTTTGTCTGCTCATATCCCTAGCATCTATAACGATGCCTGGCACATAGTAGGCAAATAATTTTAAAAAAATAATCATTTGAGTGAGTACAATTTCTAAACTTGTCTTTAAATAATAGAAAACAATGGCAATTACTCGAACTGTCATAAAAATAATTCTCTACCTGTGAAAATTTCCGAAGTTAGTAGCTAAACAAAGATGTAAACCACAAATAAGTAATTGCAGGCTTACTACATGGATTTCTCTCATTTTATGACTCTTGACTTACTAAGAAATTAAGGTTAAAAAAAAAAACAGGTTAAAACAATTTTAAGAGATAGAAAGAAGAGTGGTTGCCAGGAGCTGGGAGGAGGGGGGAACAGGAAGTTAGTGTTTAATGGGCATTTTAGTTTGACATAATAAAAAAGTTCTCGAGATGGGCGGTTGTGATGGTTGCACAAGAATGTGAATATGCTTAAGTCAACGGACTTGTATGTTTAAAAACGGCTAAAATGGTAAGTTTTATGTTGGGTATACTGTACCACAATTTTAAAAAGCTTCTCCAAATAAAAACAATTCAGGTGTAATTTTTGACACCGCCACCCCTGCAAAATTCATTCTGATCTAGATCTGAATGGATTTTGTCTTCTTATCCTCTGATAATTGTCCCGTTTTCCCTCTCATCACTATTTTCTTTCCAAGGCAGATTCTATTTAGAAGAAATTTAATTTGATTGTGAATTATCTATGGTCTTCTCAGTACCCTGGTCTACAGCATTGTTTCTCAAAGGATAGTCCTCTAACTAGCAGCATCAACTTCATTGTAAACTTGTTAGAGAAATTTTATGTCCAATTTCTACCCATGGAATGATCAGACTAAGTCATATTCTTTGAATATTATCCTCCCCACAAAGCCAATACATCTTTTCTCCAAAACATGACACGCAAATTGGAGAAATGTAGAATTTAGAATGGACTATTACAAATAAGCAAATTCTTGATAAATTTGCCAACACAATATGTGGGAAGACATCTGTGAGATGCATTGGAAAATCTTTCGTCTTCTGAACATCTGTGAGATAGAGAAAATTTTACTTTGGTGAAGGCAGTTTATGTGCAAAAAAAAAAAAAATAGGGAGCTGGCTTAAAATAAGATTTAGAGATTATAAACTGAAAATATCTTACAGTTTAAAGCAATCACCCTGAGTTTTGTGTATACATTATAGTTATTAGAAATAAAAATCCATGAGAGATGCATGAAAGTACACAAGTTACAAAGTTGCACACTATCTGCTTTTACCTTTCCTCCCCCGCAAATTACAACATGGTTTATTCATCTGCTCCAAGCTACTTACCACATGTAACGGTGCACATTCCGAATTCTACTTCTTTGACGACATTCCTATTTGAAACTAAACATAAAGGGTAAAGATACATTATTTAATTATATGAAAACTTTTCTAAGTGAAACACCTCTTACTTGGAGATGAAAGACATGTGTATGATATGGGCAGCAGACATTTTTTAAGTTTTCCATTTAAATCAGAAAACAATGCCATTCTGAGTACTGTTATTGTCTAACTCAAAAGAGTCTCAAACCTCTAAAGAAGTCCATTAAATTAGGAAATAACCTAATAGGAAGGTTTATATTTAAACTTTGTATATACCTTAAAAATGTTTTTCATCAGTTGATATATAGTGAGTCAAAACTTGATAGAGGGTCTCAGAAAAACACACAAAGCCCTATCTGTTGTAAAAACCAATGTTTTCTATTCTCTATTTTCCAAAATTGAGTGTATAATTTCCATTCAAAAAGAAGCCCTTAACCAGTGTTCATTAAAATGATAAAAGTTATAGATTAGTTCTACTCATTTCCCAGGTTAAGATGGTAAATTTAAATATTTCTAAGAATTTATTTCAACACTTTACAAGGTTAGTATAGGAATATATCACTATTTAAGAAATTAAGTGTTGTTGGTTCTAAATCATATGTTTCTCTTTTTCTAATCATTTGAAGTTTGGCATAGAATTCCACTAGCTATAGTATATAAGCAATTCTTCAGCTCAAATTAGGACGAAAGTCTCAATAGAAAAAATATAAAGTGAGTTGTTAGAAGATGACTTTCAAAAGGCATTGTACCCTAGGACAACAAATCGCATGGAAAACACATCGAACTGGAGTCCAAAGAGCTGCTTCTATCACTAATTAGCTGTTTGCATTTAAGCAAATTTAATTAAATGCTGTCAGGCTTAGTTAACCCTTCTGCAAAATTTGGAAAGGAAAATCCTCATTTGATTGCTGTAAGAATTAAATAAGGATAATGTGTGTGAAAGCATTCTATAAATTGTTTAGTACTACAAACATACTTAAGATATAATTACCCAATTTAAACTCATTTTGTACTTATTAATTTAATGTTTTTTTCCCCTATTTTGATAACTGTAAAATCTCAAAATAGCTTCATAAACACTACTATTCTGTACTTAAGAGCACCAAATATAGTTTTTTGTTTTTGTTTTTCCGAGAGAGTCTTGCTCTGTTGCCCAGGCTGGAGTGTAGTGGCATGATCCCGGCTCACTGCAACCTCCGCCTCCCAGGCACAAGTGATTCTTCTGCTTCAGCCTCCTGAGTAGCTGGGACTACAGGCAGACGCCACCATGCCCACCTAATTTTTGTATTTTCAGTAGAGACGGGGTTTCACCATGTTGGCCAGGCTGGTCTCAAACTCCTGACCTCAAGTGATCCACCAGCCTCAGTCTCCCAAAGTGCTGGGATTACAGGAATAAGCCACCGTGCCCAGCCCCAGTATAGTATCTTGCATACTCAGTAAGCACCCAATGCACATAAGTAAATCAATATTGACTTTAAGTCATTTCTTTAACGAAAATAAATGATTTAGACTATCATGATGATCCATTTTGAATTGTGGAATGCTTAGATACCTTCTACAGACACATTATGAGACACAAATTAAAAGCCAAATCCTGAACATAGAAAACACGGCTAAGAGAATGAGTGCTGCACTACTTTTAAATATAAGCCTTTTTCAAAAACCATTAGTCAATCACTAGGCATTCTACTTTGGGAGAGTTGTTCAATTTCTTCCAACTTGTTTCCTTAAAGAAAAAAAAAATGAGACTAAATAAGAAAGTTTCTAAAGTCCCTTTCAGCTTTAATATTCTATGATGTATTGAGTGTCCATTAGTTTACTCAGTAACTTTTTTTAAAAATGGGAATCCTACAATGGTGGGTCAGTGGAATTGTATGTAACTGGACTTCAGTTTGGCATTTGTCAAAATTTCTTGTTATAAACCTATGAGTGGTAAAAAAAATATATGGTCTGAATGTCAGTAGTTTTATGTGAAACTGTTTAAACTCTAAGACCACAGTTGTTAATTAACCAGTTGGTGTCAACATGGTAGGAGTGATGTGTCACAGGGCTCTGTCCTGTTCAACATTTTTATTAATGACCTGGAAAAAGATGCTGTTATCATGCTGACTGAATCCAGAATTCTGCAAAGCTAGAAAGGATAGCAAATATATTTGATGATACATCTGGATCTAAAAGATGACAGGGTGAAATAATGGGCAAATCTAACAAAATGAAACCTTGTAGGAATAAAAAGTCCTTCACATACAGCTAAAAAGCCAACTGTCCAAAACTATTTTATGGGTGGTCTTAATTTGATAGGACAGTTAAAAACGAATGGAGAGTTCAATAGTGAATTCAATAGGAATCAAAGATGTGCAGAGGCTTCCCTAAAAATCTACTGGGTCTTAGACTACACTAACAAAAGCCTGGCATCCACAGTGATAAGGAAAATGATCTTGCTCTTTTAGTTGTGGCCAGATCCTGAAATGTTCTCTTCAGTTCAGGACAGCACATGGTAACTTTTGGTATATATCATCAGAGTGCAATTTGAGTTTTTCAGTTTCTGACAGTTGATTTGAAAGGCTGATATTTTATGACTTCTGTTCTTCCTTAGAAGTATTCCAAGACAAAAATAACATATAGTTATATTTGTATAGGATAAAACCCATTGTATAGACTACAACTTTCTATTTTGCAATTACTATGTAGGTCTATTGGCCCCTTTTTATAAATCTAAGGGTATACTTGTATAAAAGATATATTTAAAAGGTATATTACATGGTATACAAGGTATAACAAAAGTATAAGGATATAAATCTATTATCTTTTTTTTTTTTTAAGACAGAGTCTCGCTCTGTTGCCCAGGCTGGAGTGCAGTGGCGTAATCTCGGCTCACTGCAAGCTCCACCTCCTGGGTTCACGCCATTCTCCTGCCTCAGCCTCCTGAGTAGCTGGAACTACAGGCACACGCAACCACGCCCGGCTAATTTTTTGTATTTTTAGTAGAGATGGGGTTTCACCGTGTTAGCCAGGATGCTCTCGATCTCCACCTTGTGATCTGCCCACCTCGGCCTTCCGAAGCACTGGGATTACAGGCGTGAGCCACCGCCCCTGGCCATAAATCTAATATCTTAATGATTTTTCTTTATCTTGAAACATTGTGATATTTCATCATCCATAATGATGGTATTGCTCATTATTTTCAACTACATTTTTAAATGACTAAAATTTAAAAATGAAAGAATGATTGGAATTGCCTAGAAAAATAATGTAATGGTGAAAGAATTACACTAACACAAGCTATTTTACAACATCCCATGTTTTCATATTGCTTTGCCCAAGATATTGCATCATCTTTCAAGAAGATACAAAAGAAGTCTAGAGGTATCCTCCTTGTAGTCTATTTTTGGCTTTTATTGAACACAGTTGAGATTTCACAATTTTTCATTTTTTGCCCATAATGGCAAAGAGAAGAAAACTGACAGAGAAAAACATTTCACAATTATTGAACGAATCAGAAGATGAAAAGAGACAGATAACAGCACTTTGGATGCTAATGATGATGATGAAATTGATTGTATAAGCAAAATCTCAATGAGAGATGATGATTATCTTGGATGAATATACTAGATGAATTTTCTCTAACTTAAGAATTGATGAGTAAACATTATATTTCTGGGGATGAAAAGAATATATGGTATTATCATGTAGTTAGCCTGACAACAGGAAAGATTTAATCCTGAAATATACTGTGACAATAACTTGTGCCATACTGTTTCGCTAAAAGGATGAGGACGGTATTCTTTCCCTTTTTATAACGTTTATGCACCAACATTTATTTGCCAAGGTTTGTAAATGAACATATTGTGATGAAAGATATGTATATAAAGGTGACTGAAAGAAAAGATTATGTAGAAATGAGTAAAATTCATTGGACCAATCATTCTAATTGGTGTTTATAAATCTAAAGATGAAAATATTTTCCAATTATGAAGAAAAGAAGATGGCTTTCTCTTCAACAAAATATATGCCTTTGTAGTTTTCAAAAGTGTTGGTTTTTTTGACAATACAAGTGCAAAAAGAACCAAGATTAATGATAAGCTAGAATTTATTAACGATGCACTCAAAATCTGGAATCAGTATTAACATGATGAATGCATTCCAGGTTCATGCTTAACAGTTGAGCACTTAGTTGCATTCAAAGTACTTTGCCCAGTTAGAGTACATACACCTTCAAAACTAGGATATATGGAATAAAAATTTGAATTTTTCCATGTTTAAATTCTTCTTGAAATTTCTAACACAGTTGTTTTCACTATCCCTTTATTCTTATTTGTAAATTATTTTTAAATGACTAAAAAAAAATTAAAGGTCCACTGGATAGTAAATGGGGATAACTGTTTCTACTGATCCACTGAGGGTTAAGGGGACAGTGCAAATTTCAATAATGGTTCTGGAAATTTTCAGACCTATAACACCTCAGATTGTTTAAAGTTTTGGATTCTCTCGCTCCCCAAGAAAAAGCACTTATGCATGAAATAGTATGTATTAAAATCCCACAAAGTACATGGATTCCTTGAAGTCCGTAGATGAGGAAACTGTGACTCAGAGAATAAGTAACTAACCTACATTTTAATTTGAAGGTAAGACATTATAACTTTATTGCCTGAGTTTAGCCTAAATAATATTTAGCATTTTATAGCTAGAAGTATTTCTTGGCCAGTTTAATACTAAAATTGTTAATTCAATTACTTTAAAGAAGAGAATGAAGCAATAGCTACTATGCTTTAGGACGTGTTCTCTTCTTTCCTAGTCATCTTTCTTTTTCACATTTCCGAAGTCAAGGATCTTTTTAAGCTCTCTGTAGTATAATGTTACAAGGCCGTGCAAACCTCGATCCCACTGTTAACCTCAGACAGTTCATTTCTTTCTGTTGGTGCTGAGGATCACTATCAGGAAATGAAAGAAAGGCTGGTAGACACAGCAGTCACTCGATATGTATAGACTGAAGAGATATGAGAATGCAAACAATATTAAAAGAATTGCAGCTGGGTCATTTAGAAGGGAAAGGAATAATCTTTCTTGAGAAGGCAGCAAACCTGCTGCTGACCTTCTACCTGCTAGAATGTGAGTTACTAATCAATATGACATGTACAACAGCCTGTCAAGTTTTATTGCTTAATGAGCCAGCAGAAAAAAAAGCAAATGTATGTACCAAGCGGGGGGCTCATTGTTCCTTGGTTAATATGTAGCATCTAACAAAGCCACTAGCTGGATCCCTTGACAGGTGTTTTCTACTGCTCCATTCCTTTGTCCGAGGCCGCACATACCAATCAAACACCACAATGCAGAGGTGCTCAAGGCTAGGAGCTGCAGGAAGCTGCCATGGGGCTTCTGGGCAGTTTTGTCGGCATACTGGTCTATCTGGGTGTATCGTCGTAAAGGGGGATTCTGAATTCCATTGCAACCCCAAGTGCAAATGTGGAAATCAAGCAACTTGGAACTTGAAAAAAAAAATCTACTATGAGAAGGGAAAGTGACTGCAAGAGGAGTCAAAATGATTCCTCTTGTTGGAAGGCTACCTCCCACCCTGAAAAAAAATCTTTTTCCTTGTCCAAAGCAATATTTAGAAGTGTTTCTATAGCAATTTCTATATACGTGCTTATCTGTGTATCTTGCTGTGGCCTGGGAGAATGAGCACATTCTTCTTCAAGGCCACAGGATGCAAGAAAGGGACAAACTCGGGGCTGAAGTATGAGAGAGAGCTCTCCTGACGTTAACACACATAATTATGGTTCTCAGGCAAAGAGCAGGCCTTTGCTCCGTCAACAGGGGCCTCCGCGTGCCCCGCAAGGGAGCTCCCGCCCTCACCATCCTCGGTTTCAGGCGGAGCGTAGTTCTCCGCGGTCTCGCTGTCGTTGTTTTCGGTCTCCTCCTCGCCCTCGCCTTCGTGGGCCAGGCCGGCATCCTGGACGGCAGCGGTGACGTTGGTCCCGCGCGCGGACTGGAGGCCCGCCAGAAGCAGCCAGCCGACAGTCATCAGCAGCCCGGCGGAGCAGCCCGTGCCCCTGGGGCTCATGGTTCTCGGCCCCGACGGCCGTCCGAGGCGCAGTCGCCGCCGCGGCTCCTGAGGACAGGTACGTCGAAGAGAGCTGCGACACCCCGCCCGTAGCCGCCCGGCTCCGAATCCCGTGACGAACCGTGACGCCTCAATGGTTGCCGGGGCGCTGCTCCGGTGCTGAGCGCCTGGAACTCGCGCGGAGCTAGGCTGCGAGGCGTGCAAGACGGAACGCGACGAGAAGCCGCGTGCGACAAGTCCCTAGGAGAGGACGCCGCCCTTCCCCGCAACCGGAAGTTCCCTGCCCAGGGCGCCTCCTTGAGCCTTCCGGGTGCGGTAGGCGTTGCTGTCGGCTGCTCCTTCTGCCTCAGTTTATGGAGCGACTCTTCAGCCTCCTCGCTCACCCTGCCTGCTTTCTTTTAAGACATTTCTTTTTCGTACATAATGTTTACCCTTCCCCAAACTAGACTTCTTATCCCTCACATACTCTTCGTGTGACTTGGTTTCAAAATTTCTTATCCAGAATATCCAATTTGGGATGTATTGAGAAGGATTCGATTTCTTCTTTGGGATCAGAATAATAGACTTTGAGTAAGAAGAAATTTAGAAATCATCTGATACTCCAAGTCCCTCATTTTTAAGTGAAGAGATTAAGAATCAGAGAGATGAAATGACTCGCCCCAAAAATCCAGAAATTATTTACAAAGCTGGATCTCACAGTCATATCTCCCGAACACTTACTTACTCGATGATCAGTGATTCTTATGATTCAAGGTTAACGAAGAAGCCTTTAGTGGGGGTGATTGGGAGTTCAAGCGCTGAAAAGTTAGGGTTGACTTTTTTGATTCTGTTATTACAAATTTTACCTCATCTAGTAGTCACAATGTGGTTGTTTGTTGTTGTTTTTGAAAAGACATATAGGGTGCCATACTTTGAGGCTTAATGTTTAAATTCCTATGACAAGTGAGATGAAAGTGAACTTGCATACACTCTGGCTTTTGGAATATTTGAATATCTAGTCTCAGCAGACTAACAGATAAGGGGGGTAACAGAAAAGTATTAAGAGGTTCTTCAGAAACACTTATTTGTAACAAAATAGGTTGTTTGAAGCAGAAGTTGAAATTTTGTATTTGAATATTTTCTCCTGCAAAGGCTTCTAATTTTGAAAATACAAGGACTGCTAAACACCTTCAGTGTTAAAGTTCAAATTGGTATTGGTGAGAAGTCTCGGGAACATTTATGTCAATTAAAATACCTTAAAATATAGCGCTTGACAAGATTATGAGGGACGTTAACATGGAAAACTTAGATTTGATCTTGAGAAGTAAAGGCCTTTGTTTCATGGCTAAATGAGTCAAAATTTTTCTTTTTTGAATCCTGAGAGAAATAAGTCAAAAATTATGCCGTCAAACACAAACTTTAAAAAGATGATATATAGTATTGTTGCTGGCAAATTGTTGAGTGTTTCAAAGTCAATTTTAGGATCCATTGCTTCCTGAAGATAGTATCCTTTTTTAGCAGAGGAAGTCCCATAAACTCTAAAATATGTAATTTGACTCAAGGAAACATTAATAATCTAACAAATAATCATCTCCAAAGGGAGCCAGATGGGTCTCAAAGAGGACCTGAAAGATTTAACTCTGAAATAAAGACTATTAATATCTCTAATAGCAGCATTATAAATCACCTATAAAATACCATGTCACGCATGTAAGTTATAAGAAAAAGTATAATATCTGTCCTCAACAAACTTTTACTGTCTCTCTAGTACTCTCTCTAGCCACAAATAAATGAAAGATAAGTGTTTAGCCAGAAGGGCAGGGCACAGAATCTAGAGGGACTGACCCTACTCTAACCTGCAGATACTAAGGAGCAGGAATTCCACCCTGGATCCCTGATATGCTCCTCTGACCCACCTCATCCTGCCTGGAACTAAGCATCTCCACCCCCATCTCCAATTTCCAAGAGGTGGGGATTAGAGCCCAAACTCCTCTGCCCCACTCTGCCCAAACATAGCTCACCTATCTTGGTCTGACCTTACCTTGCTTGGCCTCATTTGGTATGTGGGAAAATCATTCCTCTATCCAGTCTCTGCACTACCTACCCTTGAAGACCAATTTGTATTCTGAAAAGGAAGACCAATTTGTGTATGTGTGATATAAGCACAAGATAATCAAGGCCTAAATAAAGGATTACCATAAAAATGAAAAGAGAAATGAATGTGAGAGAAATAACAAAGGAAGGATTAACAAAATGGAATGACTGGCTGCCTAAGCAGGATAAGGGAGTGAGGGAGGGAGCAAATAAAGGGAATTAGGAAAGTCAGTAGACATTTTGTTTAAAGGTTAAGTTGGAGGTATCAACAGAAGTCAAGTGAAAACATTCGTTGGGCAGCTTGAGATGACCACATACCAAAAAAGAAGATGAAAATCACTGATACACGCCACGAGCATGAAAAAATACACACACACACACACACATTCAGTTAATACAATGTTCTAAGTACTGCTATAACATTAGAAACTTTACAGTGATATTTGTGAAAATCATTATCTGTGAGATAAAATCGATTTTGGCTTTAATATGCTTGATTTGGTAAAAAGCCTTCTCCATAGTAATCCCCCAGAGAGAAGGTTCTCTCTGGGTGATATTTCTAACCTTTAGGGGAGAAGAGGTTTCTCTTTTGGAGCAAGATCCCAGAGGCAGGATTTCTCCCCTGGCTCTTTTGTCTCACACCCTTACCTCTGTTGTGTCCTTATTCTGTGTCCATCACTTAAAACTGTATTGCTACACAATGTGGGAATTTTGTGGTAGAAACTGTAGGAAACCTACTGCAGGAAAAATATAGGCATAAAAAATTAAAAAGCTGTAGGAACCCCCCTGGATTTTTGAATATAGGAATAGCAGCTTCAAATGGTTGGACTGTATCCTCTCAATAAAATGTAACTGCCTACAAAGGCCCTACCTCACTGAAGGTCTTCTTAAGCCAATAAGAATTTCCATGTGTTAAGGGAAGAGTGGTACCCATAAGATGTTCTATTTTAATAAGAAGAATTTTAAAAGCCATTGAAAATTAAATAATATTCTAGAGCAATGTGGTTGGCATTTGTGACAGGAATAAGTATCACATTGTGAATAAGTCTTGATAGAAAGCATATGGTACTTTCATATTCCTCTATTTGCAGGGCTGTGTAAACCACATTTTCTAAGATTGAATAAGGTCTCCTATCTGTAGTTATTCAGGTTATAGATGCACAGCCTCACTCAGCTACATGTGCCCAGATTAATACATGAAACAGAATTTTAGAATGTACCTATATCATTGAGTTTGCCCCACAGCTTTTGTGATCATATCTTTTGTTTTTTTTTTTTTTACTTTTGAGTCCATGGTAAGAACAAGTTCTCTCATTTCCCTTGGTTACTGAGGAACAAGATCTATCCCACTGTCCCATTTCACTACTTCTCTACCGACTCCCACTCCAAACTCAACTGCTTTCCTATTTTGTCTCCCTAATACTCCTAAAATAGATGTGTCCCTTACCCTGCTTTCTAAACATGGATTCCCTGGTGACAAGCCTGAATTGTCCTAATTTCTGAACTCAAAGTTTCCCCCAGAGTCTCAAATTTACAGTTTCTCCATCTAACTCTACTCTGTACCACCACCACAGCACAAACTGTACAGTGTGTTACAACTCCCATGGTTTCAGGATATTTATTAACAAGCTATATAAAAGTCTACTACCTTTTGACATATACAGCACAATTATACCAGAGCTTTTACACTTTTCACACATGTAGATTAAGGAGAATCTCAGAACTGGATATCTTTAGAGTCTTTAGGAATTCTTGCATGGAACCACTAAACATCAGATGCACCTAAATTATCTTAGGATTTTAATTTTACTTTCAACCGTCTAATAACACAGGACAGGCATTCTGGGGAAGAGTGCTTTGGAAGCAGGTAAAAATACAAGTTGTACTTCCCAAAACTCATAGGTACTCACCTTAAAAATTCTCTAGTTACTTTGAGGTGTGAGTAAAGATTTTCTTCCAAAATAAGATTTTTTAAAATAGCATTATTGAGACATAGGCCATACAATAAGCTGCACACATCTAAAGTAAAGAAGTGCAACTTAAAATCACAATGAGATACTACTTTACCTCAGCCAGAATGACCATTATTTAAAAATCAAAAAACAGTAGATATTGGCATGGATGCAGTGTAAAGGGAACCCTTACACACTGTTGGTGGGAATGTAAATTAGTACAACCTTTATGGAAAATGGTAGGGAAATTTTTCAATAGTAGATCTGTCATTTGTTTCCACAATCCCAGTACTGGGTATCTACTCAAAGGAAAAGAAGTCATTACATAAAGAAGACAATAGGCACATGCATGTTTATTGCAGCACAATTCACAATTACAAAGATGTAGAATTAACCTAAGTGTCCATCAACCAATGAGTGAATAAAGAAAAGGTGATAAATATATTCACACATACCATGAAATATACCATCGAATAGCCAAAACAAAGAACAAAATAATGTCTTTTGCAGCAACTTGGATGGAACTGGAGGCCATAATTCTAAATGAAGTGACTCAGGAATGGAAAAACAAATACTGCCATGTTCTCACTTATAAGTAGGAGCTAAGTTATGGGTAGACAAATGCATATGGAGTGGTATGATGGACATTGAAGACTCAGAAAGGGGGAGGAATTTTTTAAAATTACCTATTGGGTACAATGTACACTATTTGGGTTATGGGTAGAGTTAAAGCCCAGACTTCACCACTATACAATTCATCCATGTAGACAAAACACACTTGTGCTCCTAGAGCTATTGAAATAAATTTTCTTAAAAAAAGAAAACGTAAAAAATAACAAAGTATAAAACCATCACCACAATCAAGATAGTGAAAATACCTGTCACACCAATAAGTTTCCTCATCCCCTTCTCCTCCTTATCCCTCCATCCTTGTCCCTAGGCAACTGCTGATCTGCAAGAGAACATTTTATGGAGAGAACACTACTCTTCCATTAATACTTGTAAATTTTTACTGCCTTAAGAAGACCCGCAGAGAGGTAGGGCCTTTCTAGGCAGCTACATTAGAGTTTTATGTAAATGGAATCATACAGTGTGTATTCTTTTGTGTCTGGCTTCCTTCAGTCAGCAACACTGAGATTCATGTATGTTGTCATGTGTGTTAACAGTTCATCCCTTTATATTGCTGTGTAGTGTTTCCTTGTGTGGATAATATCACAATTTGTTTTTCCATTCACCTTTTGCTGTACTTTTGGGAGATGTTTCCAATATGGGGCTTGCAATGTTTAGACTGTTGACATCTAACCAAGAATATTGATTGGTTTCTACAAACTAAGAATATTGGTTGATAATTATCTTGTAATATCTTTGTCTAGTTTTGGTATCACTGCAATGCCGGCCTCATAGAATGAGTCATGGAATAGTCTCTCCTCTGCAATTTTTTGGACAAGTTTGTGTGGAATTGGCCTTATGCTTTTTTAAATGTTTGGTATAATTCACCTAAGAATTATTGTCACGGATTTTTCTTTATGGGAAGATTTTTACCTACAAATTCTATTTCTTTAATATACCTAAGGCTGTTCGGGTTATCTGTTTCTTCTAGAGTGAGCTTTGGTAGTTTGTGCCTTCCACGGAATTTGTCCATTTCATCTAAATTACAAAATGTATAGTGATAACAGTGTTCATAATATTTTCTTATTATCCACTTAATATCTGTAGAAACTATAGTGATGTTATCTCCCTCATGTTTGATGTTGGTAACCTATGCTTTCTCTCTTAGCCTGGCTAAAGGTTTAGGAAGTTTATTGATGTACTCTCAAAGAACTGACTTTTGGTTTCAATTACTTTATTGTTTTTATGTTTTCTAGCTTATTGATTTCTGCTTTAATTTTTATTCCCTTTTCTCTGCCTACTTTAGTTTTAATTTGCTCTTCTTTCTCTAATTCCTTACAATGGAAGATGAGGTTGTTGATTTGAGATTTTTCTTATTTTTTAAACATAGGCATTAAGTGTTATACATTTCTTCCTGAGTCCTATTTTAACATTAGCCCACAGTTTCTGATATGCTGTGATTTCATTTTCATTCAATTGGAAATATTTTTTAATTTTCATTTTGATTTTTTTGACCCATAGGTTATTTAGAAAAGTGGCATTTAGTTTCCAAATATTTTTTAATTTTCCAGATAATTAAATGTCTGCTTTAACTGTGTTATGGTCATAGAATATACTTTGTAAGACTTGAATCCTTTTAAATTTGTTGAGATTAGTATTATGGCCTAGAATATAATCTATATTGGTAGATGTTCCATGTGCACTTGAAAAGAATGTGTATTCTGCTCTTGTTGGGTGGAGTGTTCTATAAATGCCAGTTAGGTCAAGTTAATTGATAGTGTTGTCAAGTCAACTATACCGTTGCTGATTTTATGTCACTAGTTCTATCAATTGTTAAAAGAGAGGTATTAAAATCTCTAACTATGTGAATTTTTCTATTGTTTTTTGCAGCTCTATCCATTTTTGCCTCATACATTTTGAAGCTCTATTATTAGGGGCATACATATTTAAGATCTTATGTCCTCATGATTAATGATCTCTTTATCTTATGAAATAATCTTTTTTATCCATGGTGATATTCTTTTCTTTGAAATATGTGTTTTTATATTAAAATAAGCAATCCAGCTTTGTTTTTTTTAAACTAATGTTAGTATAGTATATATTTTCTTTCCATTTACTTTTTTTTTTTTTTTGAGATGGAGTCTTGCTCTGTTGCCCAGGCTGGAGTACAGTGGCATGATCTCAGCTCACTGCAACCTCTGTCTCCTGGGGTCAAGTGATTCTCCTGCCTCAGCCTCCCGAGTAACTGGGATTACAGGTGCCCACCACCACACCCAGCTAATTTTTATATTTTTAGTAGAGACAGGGTTTCACCATGTTGGCCAGGCTGGTCTCGAACTCCTGACCTCAGGCAATCTGCCCACCTCAGCCCCTCAAAGTGCTGGGATTACAGGTGTGAGCCACAGTGCCCAGCCCCCATTTATTTTTAACCTATTGTGGCTTTATATTTAAGTTGTATTTTTGGTAGGCAACATATAGCTACTATGTATTAAATTAAACTTTTTATTTTGAGACAATTGTAGATTTACACACAGTTATATGAAGTAATACAGAGAAGTCCTTTGTGTGCTTTATCTAGTTTCCCTAATAGTAACATCTTGTAAAACTACAGTAAAATATCATCCAGGATATTAACATTGATATAGTCAAGACATAAAACATTTGGTTCACCTCAAGGCTCTTCATGTTGCCCTTTTATAGCCACACTCGCTCCTCTGCTGCTCTAACACCCTCTTTAGCCACTGGCAACTACCAATCTATTGTCCATTTCTATAATTTTGTCAATTCAAGAATGCTATATAAATGGAATCATAGAGTATACAGGCTTTTGAGATTACTGTTTTTTTATTCCATGTAATTCTCAGGCTAATGTGTGTAGCAATAGTTCGTTCCTTTTTATTGCCAAGTAGTATTCTATGATATGAATGTAGCACAATTTGTTTAACCATTCACCTATTAGTGGACATCTGGATTGTTTCTGGTTTTTGGCTATTACAAAGTTGCTATAAACATTCATATACAGATTTTGTATGAATATAAATTTTCACTTCTCTGTGATAAATGCTAGGAGCACAGTTACTAGGTTGTATGAAAAGTATATGTTTACCTTTTAGAGAAACTGCTACATTGTTTTGCAAAGTAGCTGAACCGTTTTACATTCCTGCAAGCAATGTATGAGTGATCCAGTTTCTCCACATCTTTAACAACTATTTTTTAAATTTTAGCTGTATTGATAAGTATATGATATATATTCCAAATGTTGTACTAGTCCTTTGTCAGACATGTGGTTTGCAAATATTTTCTCCCTGTCCATTGCTAGTTTTCCATCCTCTTAATAGAGTCTTTCACAGGCAAAAAAAAATTAATTTTGATGAAGTCCAATTTATCATCTTTTACTTTGTATGTTTACTTTTGTACTTTTATTTTTGTATGTTTATCTTGTATCCTTTGAACTTGCTACATTCACTTATTAGGTCTAGGTGTTTTTATGCAGATTCCTTGGGATTTTCTACACAATCATGTCATATGCAAATAGGAACAGTTTTAATTCTTCCTTTTCAATCTGTATGCATTTTATTTCCTTTTCTTGCCTGACAGCACTGGCTAGAACTTTCAGTACTAGGCTGAATAAGAGCGTTTTGTTCCTGACCTTGGGAGAAAAGCATTTAGTCTTTCACTATGACGTATAATATTAGCTGTGGGTTTTTTGTAGATGCTCAAGATGAGGCAGTTCCCCCATTCCTATTTTTCTGGGAGTTTTAAAAAATTAATCATTAATGGGTATTGAATTTTGTCAAATGCTGTTTCTACATCAATTGAAACGATCATATAATTTTTTACCTTTAGACTTAATATGATGAATTACATTGATTGATTTTTGAATATTGAACCAGTTTTGCATCCCTGTTAAACTCCACTTGATTATATAGTATAATTCTTTTTTTTACATATTGCTGAATTTGCTAATATATTCTCAAGGATTATAAAATCTATACTCATGAGAGATAATTGGTCTGTAGTTTTGTTTTGTTTTCATTTTTTTGGTTTGTTTTGTACTGTCTGTGTCTTTTTTTAGAATAAAGCTAGCTTCATAGAATGAGTTGAGAAGTACAGTTTTCCTTTAGTTTCAGGAGGCATTGGTTCCAGGACACATTTTCTCTCTCTCTCTCTCTCTCTCTCTCTCTCTCTCTCTGTCTCTCTGTATTATTTTTTATTGTTTCTTTTTTTAATTTGTTTCAAATATTTTTGATTTGTGATTGGTTTAACCTGCAAATGCATAACCTGCAGATAGGGAGGACCAACTGTATTCCCCCAGTAGAATTTTCCAGTGAAACCATCTGGGCCTGGATATGTCTTTTGGGGGAATTTTTAATTTGATTTTTACAAAATCAATTTCCTAAATGGCTGTAGGGTTATTCAAATTATCTATACCATCTTGGTGAGTTATAGTAGTTTGTCCTTTTTGAGAGATTAGTCCATTTTGTCTAAGTTGCCAATTTTATAGGTGTAGAGTTCTTTGTAGTGTTCCCTTGTTATCTTTTTGATGTCTACAGCATCTGTAGTGATAGCCTCTGTTTCACTGTTAATATTGATAATTTGTGTTTTCTTTTTTTCTTTGTCATTCTTGCTAGAGATTTGTCAGTTTATCTTTTCAAAGAGTGAGGTTTTCGTTTTGTTAATTTTCTTTATTTTCTGTTTTGAGTTTTACCCTTATCTTTATTGTTTCTTTCCTTCTGCTTGCTTTGAGCTTATTGTTCTCTTCTTTTTCCAGTTCCTTAAGGTGGGAGCTTAGGTTATTCATTTGAGACTGTTTTCTTTTCTAATATAAGCATTTAGTGCTATAAATATCCCTCTCAGCACTATGTAAGGTGTGTTTCTCAAATTCTGATATATTTTCATTTTTATTTAGTTCAAAGTATTTTTTAATTCCTTTGAGACTTCATTTTTGACCCATGGATTATTTATCAGAATGTTATTTAGTTTTCATATGTTTGGAGATTTTCCTGTTATCTCTCTGTTATTGAGTTCTAGTTTGATTCCATTGTGGTCAGAAAACACATTCTGTATGATTTCAATTATTTTAAATGTGTTGAGGTTTGTTTTATGGCCAAGATATGTTCTATCTTAGTATATGTTCCATTGACTCTTGGGAAGAGTCTGTATTCTTCTGTTGTTGAGTGGCATGTTCTCTGTCAATTAGATGCTGCTGGTTGATGGTGCTATTCAGTTCTTCTATGTCCTTGCTCATTTTTTGGTCTGGTTGTTCTATCTATTGCTTAGAGATCGGTGTTGAAGTTTCCAGGTATAATTTTAGATTTGCTATTTCTCCTTTCAGTTATAACAGTTTTTGCTTCACATATTTTGCAACTTAGTTGTTTGGTGCATGCACATTTAAGATTGCTATATCTTCTTGGTAGATTAACTTATTTATCATCAGGTAATGTCAGCTCCATGCCTTCAACTCAGAGAGTGTGCCAGGTTCTTCCTGGCTTCACCCTCCCTGCACCACAGCCTGCAAACTCTCTTAAGGCAATATTCTGGGGCAACTGTAAGCCTACCTCATTGTTTGCCATCTCTAAGGGATCACTGTACTTCATTGCCTGATGGCCAGTGTCTTGCAAACTGTTGTTTCATAGTTTTTTCTGCTTGCGGGTAGGGCAGACAAAAGAGTGAGTTGCTAGACATAGCAGGGTAAAACCAATTATTCTTATTCCATCTTTGGCATTAGCCAAAATCTCAATGTATGTTCTAATGGTCTTGGATGTGGTGGCTTCCTTCCCTGTCCCCCTATTTCATGAATAAAAATCTAGGAAATTCAGATATTCAGAAAGCTCCAGTTGAATATCATGAAAAAGGAGTTAGTCCAACTTTATATTACAGTTCAATTATGAAGTTAGATCTCTCAAATAAGGCTCTGAAATTTTCTTTTGGGGGCCACATTTTCCAGCTTCTCTGAGCCCCATCATTTCCTACATATCAAATATCACTTTTGATTAGTGACTAGAATTGATTAGTGACTAGAATTTTTCTCTGAATGTTTATCATTAACAGACTAGTACTAGTAGGGAGAGTAGTTTCCTTACCCAAGGATTTAGGAAGTGGCCAGAAGATATCATTACTAGCTATCATTATTATACATCATTTCTAGGCATTAGATGACTTTTCCAACCTTCTGGTGGCTTTTTCCCTAGTAGATCTGGGGACAGGCCTTTATGTAGGTACTGAGTGATACTTAATTCTAAGTACCTTTAAAATAAATGAATCATGTATACTTATAACCTGAACTTTACATTAGTATTCAATTTAATAAAGATGCCTCTGTAAGGAGAGTGTCACAATGGCATTAGTCCCTACCCCTCTGTGAAACTTGTATGAGTGCGGTATAACATGATAGGGACATTATCCATTTTCGTCAAGGGTTTCTAAGATATTGTTCATACCAAACTTGAGACCAGTTGACTCAAATTGTGCAACAATTCCTCTTTTTCTTTTTTAGCCATAAAATATAGTTGATGGAATTGTAAATACTAAATACTGTCTTCAGTTTGTACATAAAAGCTTATATTTTATTTGGTCTCTAAAGTCTTAGATTAATCTTAAACAATTGCTCTTGACAAGTAGAAAATATTTATGTCCAAGAAGATCTAACAATCCTAAACATATATGCACCTAACAACAGGGTTTTGAAATATGAGGAAGAAATTGATATAACTCAATGGATAAATAAATCCACTATTATAGTTGGACACTTCAACATCCCTCTTGTCAAGTAATTGAGAGATGAAACAAGCAGAAAATAAGTAAAGATAGAATTGGCTTGAACAGCATTATCAGTCAACTGGACCTAATTGACATTTATACACAACAGAATACACGTTGTTCTCAAGCTAACCTGGAACATTTATCAAGATAGAATACATTCTGAGCCATAAGACACCCCATCATAGATATTAAAAAAATGGAAATCATGCAAAGCATATTCTCAGACCACAATAGAATTCAACTTAAAATCAATAAAAGAATGATAGATGGAAACTTACTCAAATATTTGAATGTTAAACAACATACCTCCAAATAACACGTGGGTCAAATAAGAAGTCTCAAGGAAAATTTAGAAATATTTTGAAAATACAGTTTATCAAAATTTGTGAGATACAGAAAAAACAGTGCTTAGAGGAAAATTTAAAGTATTGAATGTATATATGAAAGAAAAGAAAGATATAGCATCAATATCCTAAGCTTCCAACTTCAGAAACTAGAAAAAGAAGAACAAATTAAGCCCAAAGTAGGCAGAAGAGAAGAAATAGGCTGGGTGCAGTGGCTCACACCTATAATCCCAGCACTTTGGGAGGCCGAGGATTGAGACCATCCTGGCTAACATGGTGAAACCCCATCTCTACTAAAAATAAAAAAATTAGCCGGGTGTGGTGGTGGGTGCCTGTAGTCCCAGCTACTTGGGAGGCTGAGGCAGGAGAATGGTGTGAACCCGGGAGGCGGAGCTTGCAGTGAGCGGAGATCGCACCACTGCACTCCAACCTGGGCGACAGAGCAAGACTCTGTCTCAAAAAAAAAAAAAAGAAAGAATAAAAATTAGAGCAGAAATCAATGAACTTGGCAAGAGGAAATCAATAAAGAAAATCAACAAGACTAACACCTGGTTCTTTGAAATGATCAATCAAATCAATAAACCTCTAGCCAGGCTAACTAAGAAAAAAAGAGAATACATTAATATAAGAAATAAAAGATGGGTCATCACTGCTGATTCCATGGGCATTAAAAGGTTAATAAAGGAATCTTCTGAACAACTCTATGTCCACGTATATAACCCAGATAAATGAACCAACTCCTTGAAAGATACAATCTACCAAAATCCACACAAGGAGAAATACACAGTTGGAATAGGCCTATATCTATTAAAGAAATTAAATCAATAATTAGTAGCCTGTCAAAACAGAAAGCACCAGGCCCAGATGGGTTCATTGATAAATTCCACCAAAAATTTAAGAAAGAAATTATACTAATTATCTATAATCTTTTAGAGAAAATAGAAGCAGAAAGAATACTCTCTAACATTCTATGAGACCAGCATTCCACCAGTAGTGAAACCAAAGACACTGAAAGAAAGGAAAACTGCAGACCAATATCTCTAACCATCTCTCATGAATACAGATGTAAAAATCCACAACAAATTATTAGCAAATAACACCCAATGGTGTATAAAAAGAATTATACATCATGAACCAGTGGGATTTATTCCATGTGTGGTTTCAAAAATCAGTTAATTTAATTCATTACATCAACAGGCTAAATAAGAAAAAACATGATTTTATCAATAGATGCAGAAAAAACATTTGAGAAAACCCAAAACCCATTAATGATTAAAAAAAAAAAAAAACCCTCAGCAAACTAGGAATAGAGAGGGACTTCCTCAACTTGATATAAAACATCTACAAAAACCATACAGCTACTGTTATACTTAATGGTGAGAAGCAAGATCTACCCCTAAGATCAGGTAGGAACAAGGCAAGAATGTCTGTTCTTACCACTCCTATTTAACATCCTACTGGGAAGTCCTAGCTGATACAATAAGATAGGAAAATAACATAAAATGTATACAGATTGGAAAGGAAGAAATAAAAATGTATTTGTTCATAGATGACATGACCATCAATGTAGAAAATCCCAAAGAATCAACATCAGAAAACCCTGAAGCTAATAAGCAATTTTAACAAGATTGCAGGATACAAGGTTAATATATAAATTGCTTTCTTATATACCAGCAGTGAAAAATTGAAATTTGAAATGAAAACATAATGTCATTTACATTCACACTAAAAAGAAAAAAGAAATCTGTAAAAATAAGCACAAAATTTATATGAGGAAAATTGTAAGACTGTGATGAAAGAAATCAAGGAAGATAACACATGGTGAGACAGTTCATATACATGGATAGGAAGACTTAATTTTTTTATTTTTATTTTTATTTTTATTTTTACAAACATCTCCAGGCATTACACATTTCACCCTGCAGGGAGACATTGGCATCTCTCCCTTGGACTCTAAGCTTTTTCCCACCACTGGATCTTTGTACTGGCTATTCTCCCCTGCATGGAAAGCTCTTCCCCTTACCTCCATTTGCCTGCTTTCTTCTTTTCATTCAAATGTCTCTCTCCTTCTCACAGAGATTTTCCCTGATCATTCCCTCCCAGTCTCCTTCCCTGTTACTTTCTACCAGACTATTCTATCAGCTTTCTAGCCAGTAGCACAAATGGCTCAAAACCTTGAACTTGAAGACAGCTCCTCACAAGGAACCACATTATCTCTGCCTTCCTGTCCTTAAATTTTCGTCTTCACTCACTCCCTGAAGCCACAACAGCTTCTGTTGCTCCTCCTAAGTGCCAGGCATCCCCAGCAAGGCCTGCACATTGGCTGTTCTTTAGCCTGAGCACTGTTCTGAGACAACCTCTGTGAACTTCAGTGTTTGCTCAAGTGTCAACTTCTTAATAAAAGGTCCTCTAACTCCTGCTCCCCTGTGCTCTATCCCTTGCTAATCTATTTTTTTCTACAGCATGAATCACTTAATTATCAACATCATTCCTTGCTTGTCCCCTACCCGGCCACCTCCTTCAGGCCTTTAGAATGTGAGCTACTCCAGGGGAGGAATTTTTGTTATCTTTTCTGGTGTCTCCTAAGTGCTTAGAAAAGAGTTTTGCACACAGAAGCTGCTCAATAAACACTTGAATTACTCTGAAATTACCCAATATATTGATTTACCTGTGTCATTTATCATTCCAGATTGTGAGCCCCAATGCAGGGTCTGGTTCAGGGTGCTATCTACTCACTGACTGCACCCCACTGTGGTTGCCCCCAAATCCCAGAATGCCAAAGAGCTGGAGTAAACTTTTCCTATAACAGCCTTTTTGAATTGCTATTAAAAGGCCAGACCACAGGCTACTCCAGACCCTACTAGTCGACACCTATCACCCTAAATGTTTTAACATGTCAATTCTTCCCAACTTGATCTGTAGATTCAATGCAACCCAATCAAAGTCCCAGCAAGTTACTTTGTGGACATTGACAAACATTCCAAAGTCTACACAGAAAGACAAAAGACCCAGAACAACCAAGACAGTATTTAAAGGAGCAGAACAGTCAGAGCACTGACACTACCTGACTTCAAGACTTACTCTCAAGCTACAGTAACCAAGACAGTGTTGTATTGGTGGGAAAAAAAAAAGACAAATATTTCAACAGAACAGTAAAGAAAACCCAGAAATGGACCCAAACAAATATAGTCAACTGATCTTTTACAAAGGAGAGAAGACAATCCAACAGAGAAAGGGTGGTGATTCTATGATCACACTTCTATTGATATGATAGATCATGCAAATGATATAAATCAGTACTTAAAAATTCCTTCTTTCTGTCAATACCTGGTGAAAATCTACTAAGTAATGAATTTTTAATAAAAGAATAAACTCTTTTATTTTAGTTTCCTAAAAAATAATTTATCTTTTAAATGGCAAGTTAGACAATTAAAATAAACTAGACTTCTTATGAAGTCCATTGATTCCAGGTCTTTAGAGAACTCAACCAATTTCTAATCAGAAAATCTTTGCAACCACCTATGACCTGGAAGCACCCCCACACCCACACCCGCCACTTCATACTTCAACTTGTCTTGCCTTTCTGGACCAAACCAATGTATATCCTACATGCACTGATTGATGTCTTATGTCTCCCTAAAATGCAAAAAAAAACAAGCTGTAGCCCAACCACCTTGGGTATATGTTTTCAGGATCTCCTGGGGCTGTGTCACAGGCTTTAACATTCCCATTTGGCTCAGAATAAATCTCTTCAAGTATTTTACAGAGTTTGACTCTTTTCATCAATAGACTTTATTAAAATTTTAAAAACTTCTCTGTGAAAGATGCTATTAAGAACATGAAAAGACAAGCCACAGACTGGAAGAAAATATTTGCAAAACACATAAGGACTGATAGCCAAAGAATTCAACAAAGAACTCTTATAACTTAACAATAAGAAAACAAACAACCCAATTGAAAAATAGCCAAAAGTTCTGAATGGACATCTCATCAAAGAAGATATACAAATGGCAAATAAGCATAGAGAAAGATCCTCAACACAACATGTCATTAAGATATTGCAAATTAAAACAACAATGATAAACCACCACACAACTAAAACTCAAAAACACTAAAACACCAAATGCTGGTGAGTTTGTGGAGCAAGAGGAACTCTCATGTATTGCTGATGGAAATGCAAAATGATATGGCAACTTTGGGAGACAGATTGGCAATATTCACAAAACTAAACATACTCTGACCATATGATACAGCAGTTTTGCTCCTTGGTATTTACCCCAATGAATTGAAAACATGTTTATACAAAGCCCCACATACAAATGTTTATGGCAGTTTCATTTTGTTTTGTTTTGTTGTGGGAATGAGGAGGACTAGAGAGACTACGGGGTGAAATAGTAGGATGTTTATTGAGTGCACTTAGACTTAGCAGATTAACATCCAAAAACTGGGCCTAGAACAAAGACAGCACTTGACTTTTATACACACTTCTAAAAGGGGGTGGGCTAGCTTGGAATAAGCTTATAGTAGTGTGTAGTGGTGTGAAAGCAAGGAGACAGAGGCAGAACAAAGGCAGTTAATCAAATTGTGACAGGTTCATAACTCAGGATTACATGCAACTCTTGCTATGAGGTCTAGATGGCTGTTATCCAGGCTTGCTCTAGTGCCTTGCACGGGTTTATCTCATAACCTTTGCTATGGCACCTAGATGGCTGCAGCCCAGGCCTGCTCAGGCATGTCTTATAACTTTCACTGTGCTGCTTAGATAAAACAGAATACTTGAAGTTACTAGTTACAGAAAACAGGAATCTATAAACTCATAAGTTTACTCATATCATAGGGGAAAGGGAAATTTGTTTTCTTCTCCTTATTTTGAGAGAGTGCTGGGAGAGTCTCTAGAGCACATTCCTCTGAGCCCTGGCTTCTTTGATAATGTTATTGAGACTTCGCCTGGGTCCAGGCTTTGCCTGTTACTGCCTTTGGGATGAGTCAGCCTAATATAGAAAGTTTGTTTTTCTCTTTTTAATTCTATTTTTTATTTTTTTCTTTAATTTCCTACCTCAGTTTTTTTTTAATTATAAGTTTTATCTTTTTTTTTTCTTTCCAGCTTTTTTTTAGGTTCCAGGGGTGCAGGTGCAAATTCATTACATGGGTAAATTGCATGTCCCAAGGGTTTGGTATACAGATACTTTTGTCACCCAGGTAATCAGGATAATACCTGATAGGTAGTTTTTCAATCTTAACCCTCCTCTCACCCACCACCCTCAAATAGGCCCCAATGTCTATTGATCCTTTTTTTGTGTTCATGTATACTCAATGTTTAGCTCCCACTTATAGGTCAGAACATGCAGTATTTGGTTTTCTGTTTCTGCATTACTTTGCTTAGGATAATGCCTTCAGCTCCATCCATGTTGCTGCAAAGGCCAGGATCTCATTTTTTTTTTAGTAGCTGTGCAGTATTCCATGGTGTATATGTACCACATTTTCTTCATCCAGTCTGCTGTTCATGGCATCTAGGTTGATTTGATGTCTTTTGTTTATAGCAGTTTATTCATAATTGCTAAAACTTGAAAGCAACCAATATAGGTAAATAGGTAAACAAACGGTGGTACATCCATACAATGAAATCTTATTCAGTAATAAAAAGAAATGAACTATCACACTGTGAGGAGACATGGAGGAAACTTGCTAAGTAAGAAAAGCCAATCTGAAAAGGCTATATACTATAAGATTACAACTATATGACAGTCTGGAAGAGGCAAACCTGTGGAGACAATAAAAAGATCAGTGATTGCTAGGGGTTCCGAGGAAAGAGGTGAAGAAAGGATGAATAAGTGGAGCACAGGTGATTTTCAGAACAGTGAAACTATTCTATATGATACTGTAGTGGTAGATGCATGTGATAGGGTTTTTGTCAAAACTCATAGAAGTGTATAATACTAAGAGTGAACCTTAAACTATGGACTTTAATATTAATGTATCAAGATTGGCTCATCATTTGTAACAAGTGTACCACACTAATGCATGATGTTAATAATAAGGGAAACCAGGAGGTGTGTTTGGGTTGAGTGAGTATTTAGGAACTCTCTGTGCCTTCTGTTCAATTGTCTTGTAAACCCAAAACTTATCAAAAAATAAAGTATATTATTTTTTAAAGACTTTATATTGTTTAGAGCAGTTTTAGGTTCACAGCAAAATTGAGTGAAAGATACAGAGATTCCCCATTTATTGTCTACCCCAACACATGTGTAACCTCCCCAACTATCAACATCAAGCACCATAGTGGTATATTTGTTACAATCAATGAACCCACACTGGCTCCTCATCATAACCTAAAGTTCATAGTTTACATTAGGGCTCACCTTTGGTGGTATACATTCTATGGTTTGGACAGATGTATAATGCCACGTACTGTATTCAGCCTTATAGTATGATATAGTTTCAATATATGTTCCCACCAAATCTCATGTTGAATATTAATCCCATTTAATTTAATCAACATTGGGGAATGTTGCAGGGGGAGCCTGGTGGGAGGTGTTTTGGTCATGGGGGAAGATCCCTTCTGCTTGGTAGTGTCCTCACAATAGTAAGTGAGTTCTCGCAAGATTTGGTTAAGTGTGTGACACCCCCCTCCCACTCCTTCTTGCTCCTGATTTCTCCATGTAACATGCAAGCTTCCTGCTTCACCCTCTAACATAAGTAAAAGCTTCCTGAGCCCTCCCAAGAGCAGACGCTGATGCTATACTTCCTGTAAAGCCTGCAGAACCATGAACTAATTAAATCTCTTTCTTATAAATTACCCAGTCTCAGGTATTTCTTTATAGCAATGCAAGAATGGCCTAACACAGAAAATTGGTACCAGGAGTGGGACATTGCTATAAGGATACCTGAAAATGTGAAAGCAACTTTGGAATTGGGTAACGGGCAGATATTGGGAGAGTCTAGAGGGCTCAGAAGAAGACAGGAAGAGGAAGGAAAGTTTGGAACTTCTTAGAGTAGTTAAATGATTGTGACCAAAATGCTGACAGTGATATGGACAGTGAAGTCCAGGCTGCTGAGGTCTCAGAGGCAAATGAGGAACTTACTAAAAACTGGAGCAAAGGTCACCTTTGTTGTGTCCTAGCAAAAAATTTGGCTGCATTGTACCCATGCCCTAGGGATCTTTGGAAATTTCAACTTGAAGTGATGAGCTAGGGTGCCTGGCAGAAGAAATTTCTAAGCAGCCAAGTGTTCAAGGTGTGGCCTGGCTGCTTCTAACAGGATACACTCAGAGGTAGGAGCAAATAAATTTTTTTAAATTGGAAATTATATTTAAAAGGGAAGCAGAACATGAAAGTTTGGAAAATTTGTAGCCTAGATATGCAGCAGAGAAAGAAAAAGCTTTTTGGGGAGAGAAATTCAAGCAGGTTGCAGAGCAACCACTTGCTAGAGAGATTTGCATAACTTAAAAGGAGACAAGTGCTGATAGCCAAGACAATGGGAAAAAGGTCTCAAAGGTATTTCTAAGACCTTCACAGCAGCCCCTCCTATCATAGGCTCAGAGGCCCAGAAGGACTGAATGGTTTCATGAACCAGGCCTAGGGTCCTGCTGCCCTGTGCAGTCTCAGGACACTGCTTCCTACATCTCCTCTGCTCCATCGTCAGCTGTGGATCAAAGGGACTCCAGTACATCTCTGGCTGCCACTCCAGACGACAAAAGCCATGAGCTTTGGAGGCATTCATGTGGTGTTAAGCCTGCAGGCCCACACAGTGCAAGAGTAAAGGAGTCTTAGTAGCCTTTGCCTAGATTTCAGAGGATGTATGGGAAAGCCTGGGTGCCCAAGCAGAAGCCTGCCACAGAGGCAGAGCCCTCACAGAGAGCCTCTGCTAGGAGAGTGCCAAGGGGAAATGTGGGGTTGGAATCCCCACACAGTCCCCAGTGAGGCACTGCCTAGTGGAGCTGTGAGAAGGGGGCCACCATCCTCCAGACTCCAGAATGCTACGTCCACTGGTAGCTTGCTCCCTGCACCTGGAAAAGCCCCAGGCACACAACAACCTGTGAAAGCAGCCATGGGGGCTGAACCCTGCAAAGCCAAAGAGGTAGAGCTGCCCAAGGCCTTGGGAGCCCACCCCTTACACCAGCATGCTCTGGATGTGGGACATGGAGTCAAAGGAGATTATTTTGGAGCTATAAGATTTAAGGGCTGCCCTGCTGGGTTTTGATCTTGCATGGAGCCTCTGGCTTCCTTTTTTTGGGCCAATTTTTCCCTTTTGGAAAGGAAGTGTTTACCCAATGCCTATACCCCCACTGGGTCTTGGAAGTAAATGGCTTGTTTTGATTTTACAGTATCGTAGGTAGAAGGAACTCATTGTCTGATGAGACTTTGGACTTGGACTTGGGACTTGGGACTTTTGAGTTGATGCTAGAATGAGTTACATCTGGGGGACTATTGGGAAGGCAATATTGTATTTTGCAATGTGAGGACATGAGATGTGGGGGCTAGGGGTGGAATGACATAATTTGAATATATGTCCCCACCAAATCTCATGTTGAATTGTAATTCCCAATGTTGGAGGTGGGGTCTGGTGGGAGGTGTTTGTGTCATGGGGGTAGATCCCTCATGCCTTGATGTTGTCCTTGTGATAGTGAGTCAGCTCACTCGAGATCTGGTTGTTTAAGTGTATACCACCCCACCCCCTGTCCGTGTTGCTTCTGCTTTTGTCATGTGGCATGCAAGCTCCCTGCTTTGCCTTTCACCATGAGTAAAACCTTTCTGAGGCCTCTGAGAAGCATATTCTGGTGCTATGCTTCCTGTACAGCCTGCAGAACTGTGAGCCAATTAAACCTCTCTTTTAATAAAGTATACAGTTTCAGGTATTTCTTTATAGCAATGCAAGAACAGCCTAATGCAAGTATCATACAGAGTATTTTCTCTGCCCTACAAATGTTAATTTTAAAAACTGTTTCTGTAGAAAAAAAAAAGAAAGAACTGAAGTAGAGGAAACAGTGATTCTAAGTCTGCCCAAACTTTTCCCACACTGTTCATGGTGGGGAGTGACCATCCAGACAGAGGCTTCAATTATCTCCAGTGTTGCTCAGAAGATCATGGAGCACAATATCCCAATACACTTGTTGCCCATTTATGGTTTGGATCACAGAAGATACACTGGGAAATTTTGCTCTAAGAAAACAAGATAGAGAAAGTTAATTTTAGTTATAGTTTCAATTATTTTTCATTGTGGAAAAATAATGCTGTATGCTGATTAATAAATTTGGAAATAATTATTTCTATTGCTAGCAAGATGCGTTGAAACTGGAATGCTCTAACAATGCAGGATTCAAAATAAATTGTTATAGGCTTTTTCTAGAACAACTTTATCCATAAGTGTGTATATATTATAGGTGTGCTTTGTAAAATATTATATATATTTATATTCAATAATTTGATTATTGGTAATTTATGCTATGAAATGAATTTGATGGCTCAAACTATACAGACTGCACAAAGATGTTTATTACTGCATTATTTATAATGACAAAACATAGAAATTATCTGAATATGTATCTAATAGCAGAATGATTAAATAATGTTTTTGCAGCAATTCAGTAAGATGTGTTACAGTCATTACAAATCATGATTAGGACATTTGATTATAGCCAGAATTATTGTTACTAATTATCATTACAATTAGCTCAACATAGCACTATACAAAAGAGAATGAATACAAAATCTTCAAACATTACATTCTTTCCATCTAACCTCCATAGCTTTGTCCATGTTCACCCTATTGCTTGGAGTAAATGAATGATTGTACAAATACAAGTATGTAAACATCATGTGTGAATATGCAGAGACTGGCAGCTCATTGAAATTGAAAGGCCACATGATGAGAGTTAGGATTTTCTTTTTAATTTTTAAATTTCTATTGTTTGCATAATAAATAATTTATCTTTAAATAATGAGCAATACTTTGCCTATCCTAATTCACTGGGGATTTAAGAGACTTGAAAGCTTATTCTTGAGCAGGCATCATGGCATGACCACACGGGCAACAAATCTGAGAATGGAAGTACTTATCCATATAGTTCAACATCCTGACCATTCTCCCTTCTACCTCCCAGATAATCACTTTTTAAAAACTATATAGAGAATTGAAACAGATTTCTTCCTTTAGATAATTGTCTCAACTCTCAACTCACTTGGCTGGTTAAAATCTGTTACAGAAATGCTTCTCAAGCTTTAATTGTGCGTGAATCACCTGGGGATCTTGTTAAAAGGCAGACTTTGATTTGGTAGATTTGGGGTGGGGCCTGAGATTCTTCATTTCTATCAAGCTCCCAGATGATGCTGATGCTGCTAGCCCTGGACCATATTTATGTAATAAATAATATAGCATTTGAGTAATCTACTTATCTAGTGAATCCAGGTAATTCATATACTTATATGTGTGTGCATATGTATGCATATATATGAGTCATATACTTAAAAGTATGCATATATATCACATATATACACACATATACACACTTTATGTATACATTTATACATACATACTTTATATATGTACATATACAAATATACGTATCTATACATACAGACTATAGATACATCTATACGTATATATACTATATATATATATATACACACACACAAAGTATTCCATCAGGTTTGACCATCAACATGAAGCAAATTATGGCAAATGGCCAGTTTACACTGTAATTTATACTATACAGACTGACTAGTTTCCTTAGTTTTCTCATCTTTGAAACAAAGATGATAAAACAGTTGGTAAGTTACCTGCTATTTCTAGATTCTGTGAAGGAAAAAAAGAAAGAAATGAAGTGTTGAGTTTGATCATGCTTGGCAGAGGCATGACTTGTTTAATGATAGAAGCAAAACCTGGTCATAAATGTTCAAAAAGCATCAATAAGCTCTAGTAACTCTTGCTGATGGAATTGACATCTAGCACCCTTCTTACTCACAGACTATGCTCGAAAAATATTTGTTCAGTAAATGCCACATGAACAAATTTATGAACACCTACAGCCATATCTTTGTACCGTACCCTATGCTACTATCTTCAGCTACTGGCTGAAAATATTATTTTTTTCATGGTGTTCTCAAGTGATAAACCTGATTAACTTCAAATATGATGAAAGTATTCATTTTTGTGGAAAATCTTAAATCATCAAGATGCGATTTTCTGTGACATAGTATTTGAATTGATGACATCTTCCAGAGTCAGTCAGTAGCTCTCAACACATCTTATTTTCCAGACACTGTCCTCAGCAAAAATAATACTGAGAGGTCAGGGCACATCAATCTGCAGGGCATAAAAAGGCGGCATCTGAAATACTCTTTTCTCACTTCTTTCTTTGCATAGATAATGCATTGCTTTCCCCCACTGAATAGGGATTGTTGCCATAGTAATGTTTTAAGAACACTCCTAGATCAATATTAGAACTGCAGAAAGTGTCTGAGATATTCCATGCCATTTGTGAGTCTAAAGCTATGTCCCCACTCTTGTTTATTTGCTCAACTGTAAACTAAAGATTTGAGCAACTCTCACAACTGGTCAGTTCTGTGATGTGAAGAATTAGTCAGTCAACCAACAAGTGTCCTGTGAATGCTCCCAAGCAGAGGATTATGCTAAGCATTAAACAATAACCAGCAATGTCAAATGCAGAGGCTGTGTATCTGTCAATATGGAAAAAAAAATGCAGTGTTTACTGCACCAGAGGGTCAGGATCCCAGCTGTCCCTTAAAATGCACACTTTGATTTTTTTTCCATATTATATTTCAAAGTTTCCCTAAGAAAATTAAATATGTTTCTCTTTTTATTGTCCTATTCATGTTTAGCTTCCCATCACAATTCCCAACTTGCCCACATAAATAATATCTCAGTACCACACACTGCACAAAATATGGGAAATGAGTTGCAATTCCTTATATTACAGAATGTTTAGAAACATTCAGATGGTTTAGAATCAACAGTTAGAAGGAAATAAATATATATGCCAAGTATGTGTCTGCTTCCTTCTGTAACAAAGCTACACATACACAGGCAGTGCTTTTTATGCCACAAGGTAGACATGCATTCCAAAGACCCCGTTAACTTCAAGTGCTGTTACATAAATCTCCTCAAGTTATCCCAATAATGAATGTCCTTCTGAGGAGCTGGGTAAGAAGATGCCTGCGCTCCAGCTGCAGCCCTGCTTCCAGCCATGTGACCCTGAGCAAGTCATTTCACCTTGCTTGAGCCTGGTTTTCCATGTTTAAAAAAGGCAGAACTGTACTTCCCAATCTGAGTCTCCATCTGACTATAAAACCTGTAGCACCATGAAACAGAGTCAAATAAGGGGTCCCTTCATCCTTCTTTGGTCTTTTGCTCCACTTTCATATCCCTTGCTGATATAGCAAAGTACTCAGTATCTGTTCTTATGGAAGTTTGGCGGCAAACACACACCATCTGTCGAAAAGATTGGTGGTGGCTCACGCCTGTAACCCTAACAATTTGGGAGGCCAAGGCAGGTGGATCACTTGAGGTCGGGAGTTCAAGACCAGCCTGGACAACAAGGTGAAACCCCGTCTCTACTAAAAATACAAAAATTAGCCAGAAATTGCTTGAACCCAGGAAGCAGAGGTGGCAGTGAACTGAGATTGTGCCACTGCACTCCAGCCTGGGCAAGAGAGAGAGAGACTCCGTCTCAAAAAAAAAAAAAAAAAAATTAACTCAGTGTTTTCCCAGTCATGCATATTATAGGAATGAATTCAAGGATTCGGTCTGGAAGAATGAGGACACTTGTTATTTCAAATTAAGAATATATAATTTATGGGAGGCCGAGGCGGGTGGATCACGAGGTCAGGAGATTGAGACCATCCTGGCTAACACGGTGAAACCCTGTCTCTACTAAAAAATACAAAAACTTAGCCGGGTGTGGTGGCAGGCACCTGTAGTCCCAGCTACTTGGGAGGCTGAGGCAGGAGAATGGCGTGAACCCGGGAGGCGGAGCTTGCAGTGAGCTGAGATCGCGCCACTGCACTCCAGCCTGGGTAACAGAGTGAGACTCTGTCTCAAAAAAAAAAAAAAAGAATATATAATTTATATATACACATATGAGTTTAGAAAAAAATATATAGGTTAGGTAACTGAAAGATGAGCATTACCAAGTAATTGGTCAAGCTGTCTTAATTTTTTATACAACCATATTTAGAAATAAAATAATGCCCTGATATAAATGGCTTCTAACTACCTGTCCTATATTATTCCTCCATTGTAACCATGAGTGAAATTGCATAAAGTTAATCCATTGACCTGTAAAGTCAGATTTGCCCTCTAAAATGCAAGCTATTCTCAATATAAACAATCCTTTGTTTAACTATTTGTAACAGTCATTTTAGCTATATGAGAAGTGCTTGAAGTGTACTCTTAGAATGCCAAATTATAATTTAAATTTAAACATTATTTGGCATAGGGTTGACTGCCACTCAGTGAATTCCTGGTTATCTGCATTGTGGCAAAATGCTCATCTGCCCAGGTAAGTGAAAATTGACTATAATTTAGTACTGTGAAATTTCCCTTGGCCTGCTCATTGTCTCCCACACATCTCTGGGAATTTAACCTTTCCTCATTGGGATCTATTTCTTTAGTTGCAAAAACTCCAGAAACAATCTTATGTGGGAACCCTAGATATCCAGATGTTACAGAGAAGTAGTGTTATTACATAAGAGGTGTACTTGGGATCTTTCTATTTACACAGATTAAATGGAATGAATAGCTGTGACAACTTCCATCATTGAACACGAGTATACTGTTCTGGGACCATCAGGAAACATAGCAGAATGAGCTGACATAAGCAGGTTACCTCCCTGCATCACCATCTTACACCCAGCTCCCAAAACATAGAAATGCTGGATAAAATAGGACAACACCACAATACAATTTTACTACAAGCCAAGCACAAAAGAATGGTAAAAATGCAGGAAGCAAAAACAAAGGCAGACACCAAAGTCAGAGCAGCACGCAGTAGCAGGGTGATGCAGCCACAGCCCATAGGGATTGAATGGAATGGAGGCCCTTGGGACTGCTGATTGAAGGACAAGAAGTTCAGCCTAGGCTCTATATGAGGCTGGGAGCCTACCTGGGCCTTGGGCATGAAGGTCAGAGCTGTGAAGCACTGCCTTCTCCAGGGAAAAGGAGCCAGGAAAACTCTCCACAAGTCCAGGAAAGCCTTGAAGAAAGATGCTGCCCTTCTGGGGCCTTGGGTTAGAAAATAGTCACCAGAAATCAAAATGCCAGTTCTGTGACATATTTGGGTGTATAACTTGAATTTACATCATTTGCGTGGTAGGGAACCTCCAGGCCAAGAAACAAGCCCAAAAAGTGGCCCGGGATCACTGGAACCCTAGAACCCAGAGAAACAAACTGCAACTGAGGGCATCTGGGAGGTTTCTAGGAAATGTGGACGTGGAAGGATAAACAGAATTTCAATAGACAGAATTAGGGGAAAGGTGTTTCAGGTGGACACCTACCTGTGCAAAAGCATATGAGGGAATATGTGGCCTAAGGTAAGAAATTTGTGAAGGAGTAGAGTGAGAAAAAAGGCTGGATAAGGGGGGCAGATTAGAGGAATAAGATGATCAACTTTTTTATTGTGAAAATAGCTGGTATTGTGCTCAAGCTGAATGCAAATGTCACAATGTGTAAAGCTAATAACTAGGTTTATCCCTTTCCACTTGATAATGAGCAATATGAATAATGAATGGTATGAATGAGTGAAAGGGTTGCTTAATACTAGCTAACCTCCCCTGAGTTCTCTTGGCCAAATAATTCCCCACAATCAGATAAATAAATCCTTGGTGCTACTTCCCTAGAGCTTCCTACAAAGAAGGCCAAATGAGAAGTAGTTCAGTTTTCACATAATTTCGTGCATTGGTCCTTGTTACTTCCAATTTGGAGCCATTTGCAACCATTGTCTAGCACGTCTCACTCAATCATAAAGTCTCTCACTGAATCTCGGTTTCAGCTGCTTCACTAATTGTCTTTTGAGATCTTCTCTGGGCTCTACCTAAAGAATATTTCATATAGTCTACATGGTTTATACTTAAAGTCAAACCATACCAAAAGAATTTCTAAATTGGGAAGACATGAAGCTTGCTGTTTTGCATGATGTGGTGTCACATGAAAACAATTTTTTAATAGAAATCATGGTTAGGCAAACTTTTCAATAAAGATCCAGATAGTGAATCTTTTAGGCTTTGTGGGCTATATACAGTCTCTATCACATATTCTTCGTAGTTTTTTTCATTTGCTTTTATAACACTTAAAAAGCCTAAAAACCAGTCTTAGCTCACAGGCCACACAAAAACAAGCTAGGGCCAGATTTGGCCCACCGGCTGTAGTTTGCTGAGCCCTGATATAGATTAATCCAAGGAATACAGCATTTTTGGCATTTAATTACAAAGAAGTCCGGAGCTAGCATGAGTGAATGACTGAGACCCTGAGGGATGGCTGTTGGAGTGCTGAGACCAGCTGAAGAGAATGTTAAAAACACAAGACCATGCTCGCCTGAACAACCAGAGCATCCATCAAAAGGAAATCATTTTCAAAGTGAAATCATGCTTGCATGACGAACAGCAGAATATCAATCCAAACAGATGTGTAGGAGGCAATGGAAAGTCGGAACCACGGAACAGTAGATTATTTAAAGCAAATGAAGTCAAGTGCCAGAGAAGATGTATAAAGGAACCCAGAATGGGATTTTAAGGAAGATCCTCCCTCAAAACAAAACTACTCTGCTACACCACCCTTCAATTTCAAGTCATTTAAGACTAGGTAACCTCCTGTAGTATAACTCCTATTATAAACTAACACATAAAATATAAAGCTATTATTCTGGAGAAAGAGAAGAGAGATAAGGAAGTAGGGGAGATAGAAGAAAGGCAAAAAGAGGAATGGTAGGAGAGTGTGATGGTAAATTTTATATGTCAACTTAACTGGGCTATGGGGATGTCCAGATAGCTGAAAGAACATTTCTGGGTACGTCTGTAGGGGTGTTTCCAGAAGAGATCGGCATTTGAACTGGTAAACTGAGTAAAGCAGATGGCCTTTCTCAATGTGGGTGAGCATTATTTAATACACTGGGGACCCTGAATAGAAGAAAAAAATGGGGGAAGTGGGAATTATCTCTTTGCTTAAGCTGGGCATCTAACTTCTCCTACCTTCAGACATTGGTGCTTCCAGTTCTCGGCCTCCGGACTTGGACTGGGTCTCCTGGGTCTCAGGCCTTCCAGCTTAGACCAGCATAACATTATTGACCTTCCTGGGCCTTCAGTTGGCTGATGGCAGATTGTAGGACTCCTCAGCCTTCATAACCCTGTAAGCCGATCCCTCATAATAAATTTCTGTATATCTATAAATATCCTACTTGTTCTGTTTCTGGAGATACCTAATACAAATGGGAAAAGAAAGGAGGGGAGAGAAAGAAAAGCCAAGGGAAAAGGGGAAGAACAATAACATAACATTTAATAAATCTTTTTTTTTTTTTGAGATGGAGTCTCGCTCTGTCATCCAGGCTGGAGTGCAGTGGCGTGATTTCGGCTCACTGCAATCTCCGCCTCCCGGGTTCAAGCAATTCTCTGCCTTAGCCTCCTGAGTAGCTGGGATTACAGGCACCCACCACCGCGCCCGGCTAATTTTTGCATTTTTAGTAGAGACGGGGTTTCACCATCTTGACCAGGCTGGTCTTGAACTCCTGACCTCGTGATCCAACCCCCTCAGCCTCCCAAAGTGCTGGGATTTCAGGCTTGAGCCACCACGCCCAGCCGGCATTTAATAAATCTTTAAGTATAAAGTAACATGTGGCATCTGTCTTAAGCCTAAAAACTCTGACTACAAAAAAAAAAAGTACTATCTTTTTTCTTTTTCTTCATGTATGTCCCACAAGAAGTTGACAACTTGTTGTCCAGGATTAACCACATGGCCACACCCAGCTGTGAGGAGGGTGGGAAGTATATTTCAGCTAAGCACATTGCCTCCTCTGATAAAATCAGTAGAAAAGGGATAATGATGTTGGGGTAGGCTATGGCAGTTCTTGCTGTATGGAGCTAATGTGACTTTCACCTTACTGTGGTTATTGGAATATTTTTCAGCCAAGTCAGGGATCTGAAAACACAGAAAATTTAAGGAGCATTCAGAGCCACAGGTATGTAATTGGCCAAGGCATTTTGGAGGATGGACATTGGTAAACACCAGTACACTAAATAAGCAATAGAAATAAATGTGTGTAAAACACACTACCCTTTTAAGCTATCCAGAAGCATATGATACAAACCTTGAAAGAACAGCAATGGCCTTCAACTAAGCAAAACATAATTTATTAGAGGTGAGCTCTTTTGAAATGAAAACTATTTAGAAAGTTAATATTGTTAGACTGGGAAAAAAATATTCCAAAACACACACCTGAAAAAAATTTGTACCTAGATTATCTAAAGAACTCTTAGAACTCAGTAATTAAAGGCAAACAACCTAATTTTAAAATAGGCAAAAGATTTTAATAGACTAAAAAAGAGATGCACAAATGGCCAATAGTTACATTAAAATATACTCAATATCATTAGTTACCAGAGAAATGCAAATTAAAACCACAATTAGATACCACTACATCCTCACTAGAATGGCTATTAGTAAAAAAGCTGACAATACCAAGTGTTGTCAAGGAGGTAGAGAAACATGGAACTCTTCATGCTGATGGGAATGTAAAAATAATACAGCCACTTTGGGGAACAATTTGGCAGCTTCTTATGAGGTTAACATGCAACCCAGCAATTCTACTCTTATGTATTTACCCAAAAGAAATGAAAATACATGTCCAAAAAAACACATGAACATACACAGCAGTTTTATTCAACATTTCAAAACATTGGGAAACAATCCAAATGTCCATCAACCGGTGAATGAATAATGAAATTTATCTCACAATTACAATCCAACAGCACTAATGTTCTTTTAAAATCAATGTATCGTGGTATATTCCCATAATGAAATTCTCCCAGCAAGAAAAAAGAAGACAACTGCATTCAATGACATAGATGAATCTTGAAAACATTACACTTTGTGAAAGAAGTCAGGCACCTAAATACATACTGATAATCCCATTTATACAATTCTAGAATAGTTAAAGCTAATCTACAGTGACAAAAAGCAGAGCAGTGGTTGTCTAGGCCAGGAGTGGTCGTGGGCAAATTGACTGCAAAGGAGGCCAGTGGAATTTTTGGAGATGTTGGAAAAGTTCTGTATCTTTATTTTGATAATATTTATGGGTGTATAAATTTGCCAAAACTCATTTAAAAAACATAGGGTTTTTTTTTGTTTTTGTTTTGTTTTGTTTTTGGTTGAGATGGAGCCTCACACTGTTTCTCAGGCTCCCAGGCTGCAGTGCAGTGGCGCGATCTTGGCTCACTGCAACCTCTGCCTCCCAGGTTCAAGAGATATTCCTGCTGCAGTATTGGAGGCCATTCCAATACTCAACAATACCACATGCCTGTGAATGGTACAGCATGTGGAAGGACCACTGGATAACTTAACTATTATTAGCTCATTCTTGAGTGGCTTTTGTGATAATAAATGTATCACTATCAGACTGCAAATAGTATGGAAAGCCAAACACATTATGCATATTAGTTTCAAGGGCCACAACAGTGTGGCTGGAGTCTGTTGACCAGACTGCAACAGTAACACTGTAACCTGAAAGAGTATCTACAGCAGAGAAGCACCACTGATAACCCCAACAGAGGAATCAAAGATCCAAAGTTGAATGCATATCAATCACCAGTGCATGGAAGGCAGTGTGGCAGCCTACAGCATGAGACAAATGGATCAGCTTATGGCAGGATTCACAGGTCTGGCATGCAGTGGCAGCCTCAGAAACACTGAATCCTTTACTTTGTTCCCAGTCTATGATGGTGGATGTATTGCCATGTATGGTATGAGGATGGATTCCAGCAGCAATGGTAGCAATCCAAGCTGTGCAGGCTTGATCAGCAGTTTGATTTCAGTTGATTTCATCAAAGAATAGGTTCTTATGATGAATATTTACTTGAGTGAGCCTGACTGTTTAGTTAACACAGTTCATGATCCCAAAGAGGGATATCTCTAAATCTGCCAGTCTTTGGTTTTCCAGGTGGCAGACCAAGTAGCTAGGCCATTGGCAACACCCCAAGAGTCAGTAAAAATATAACAGAGTCTGTCAAGGGGAATATTAGGCAGAGCTGTGGGAAGACCTTGAGTTCTGTCCCACCGATAGGATCAAATGCATCCATTTTGCCTCTGCATAGCTGAATAGCTATAGCAGCTCACTGGACAGTACTGGATTTCAGCTTTGCCGAACCATCAGTGACTCAGGCCCAGGCATCTGTAGCAGGAATCAACAAACTTTTTCTTAAAGGCCTAGAGAGTAAATATTTTAGGCTTATGGGATGTGTGATCTCTTTTGCAACTACTCAACTCTCCCACAGTAACACAAAAGTAGACAATACATTATGTTCTATCCACGTAAAGAAAAAAATAAAAATAGACAATACAGGAATGAATGGGTGTAATTGTGTTTTAATGAAACTTTATTTGGGGATACAAAATTAATGTACAAAAAGCAGTAGCATTCCTATACACTAACAGCACCCAAGCTGATAGCCAAATCAGGAATGCAGTCCCATGCACAATTGCCACACACACAAAAAAATACCTAGTAGTACAGCTAATCAGGGAGGTGAAAGATCTCTACAATGAGAGTTACAAAACACTGCTCAAAGAAATCAGAGATGACACAAACAAATGGAAGAGCATTCCATGCTCATGGATAGGAAGAATCAATATCGTTAAAATGGCCATACTGCCCAAAGCAACTTACAGATTCAATGCTCCTCCTATCAAACTACCAATTACATTCTTCACAGAATTAGAAAAAGCTATTCTAAAATTCATATGGAACCAAAAAAGTGCCCAAATAGCTAAGGCAATCCTAAACAAAACGAACAAAGCTGGAGAAATCACACCGCCTGACTTCAAACTGTACTATGAGGCTATAGTAACCAAAACAACATGGTACTGATACAAAAACAGACACATAGACCAATGGAACAGAATAGAGAGCCCAGAAATAAAGCCACACACTTACAACCATCTGATCTTTGACAAAGCTGACAAAAACAAGCAATAAGGAAAGGACTCCCTATTCAATAAATGGTGCTGGGATAACTGGCTAGCTATTACATAATACATGCAGAAGATTGAAATTGGACCCCTTCCTTACACCACATACAAAAATTAACCCAAGATGAATTAAAGACCTAAATATAAACCCTAAAACTATAAAAACCCTGGAAGATAACCTAAGGAATATCATTTTGGGCATTAAAAACTGGCAAAGATTTCATGACAAAAATGCCAAAAGCAATTGCAACAAAAGCAAAAATTGACAACTAGGACCTAATTAAACTAAAGAGCTTCTGTACAGCAAAAGAAACTATCAAGAGTAAATAGGTGATCTACAGAATAGAAGAAAATATTTGCAAGCTATACATCTGACAAAGGTCTAATATCCAGAATCTACAAGGAATTTAAACAAACATACAAACAAAAAACAATTAATCCAATTGAAAAGTAGGCACAAGTGGGCAAAGGACATGAACAGACACTTCAAAAGAAGACATACATGTGGCCAACATGCATATGAATAAATGCTCAGTATCACTAATCATTAGAGAAATGCAAATCAAAACCACAATGAGATATCATCTTACACCAGTCAGAATGGCAATTATTAAGAAGTCAAAAAATAACAGATGCTGGCAAGGTTGCAGAGACAAAGGGAATGCTTATACACTGTTGGTGGAAGTGTAAATCCATTTAGCCATTGTGTAAAGCAAGTGTGGTGATTCCTCAAATAACTAAAAACAGAACTACCATTTGACCCAGCAATCCCACTACTGGGTATATACCCAAAGGAATATAAATGGCTCTACCATAAAGATACATGCACACATATGTTCACTGCAGCACTATTCACAATAACAAAGAGGTGGAATCAACCGAAATGCCCATCGATGGTGGACTGGATAAAGAATACATATACACTATGGAATACTATGCAGCCATTAAAAAGTACCAGATGATGTCCTTTGCAGAAACATGGATGGAACTGGAGGCCATTATCCTTAGCAGACTAATGTGGGGACAGAAAACCAAATATTGCATGTATTCAATATAACTGAAACTAAATAATGGATACATGGATACATACAGGGGAACAACACACACTGGGGCCTATCAGATGGTGGGGTATGGGAGGAGGGAGAGATTCAGGGAAAGAAAAAAAACTATCAGGTTCTATGCTTGGTACCCAGGTGACAAAATATCTGTACATAAAACCTCCAAGTCATGAGTTTACCTATATAACAAACCTGCACATGTATCCCTGAAAGTAAAATAAAACTTAAAATTTTTTTAAAAACAATATTTTTAAATGCATGTTCCCTCATATGCTTCTTTGCACTGTTTATTTTTATCATGAAAAACATAGTTTTGTTTTATTTATTTAAAAAAAAATGAGTGGCCAGCCTGCAGGCCATAGTTTGATTGAGGGCAGAATTCTGTGAACAAAAGGCCCTATTGAGCCAGTGACTTTGTTTCAAATGGTAGAATAGAGGAGATAGTTTCTCCCAGAGAAACCTGCCAGTTTTTCATGTGAAGCTGAGATGCAACTGGGGCCAGGGTGCCTGCATTCTTGAATATACCATTTCTATTTGAAAACAAGGTTTACTGGGCTCTTCACAGCTTGTTACCAGTTGAGTCCAAGTTGACCTACCCCACAATGAGAACTTCAGACTGGAAGTCCAAAAGTCTCCATGAATTAGGCATTCGATGTTGACAAGAGCCAGATAGCAAGTTGTTAATAGCTGCTTTTCAAAAGAAATGTACCTGGTAGCTATGTCAGTAAGGTAACAAGACCAAAATCCCAAGGAGCACCTCTAGATAAAGGCTGCCTCTCTTTACCAGAAGTTCCCATCAGCAAAATCATCAGTCATGGAGGTTTGTAGCTCACAGGGGTAAAAATAGACTTCTTGGTGGTGGTGGTGGTGATCATTGTTGTTGCTTTTTTTTTTGAGTCCCACTTACAGGGTGCTGATTTTCAAGTTACCCCATGTACAGGACCAAGAAAAATGCCCAAGTGAGGCACATACTGTCTCTAATAACCAAAAAAAGTACAGTAAGGTGCTGGGTCTTCTTTTTGGTGGTGGTTGGCTACAGGCAGTAGTTTTTTCTTGACTGATGGAGGGATTGAACATTGTGAATCCATACATGGTCCCAAAAACCTTCACTCACTGAGCAGGCCTCTGAATTGTGTTAGGATTTTCAGCCACCCCTGCTGGCAGACATGGGATAATACCACAGTCAGGATCTTCTCAGGCTTCTGACTTGCTAACCAGGAGGATATCATCTGAATAGTGAAAACTTTGGGCATCTGAGAATGGACACATTCATGCTAAATCCCAAATCACCCGCTGGGCGCAAATATCAGGATGGTTTATCCCACTAACACTTCTATACATTAGCCTCTCTTTGATCAGGGGAATCCCCTCTGGCAACTTCTGGGACAGGGAAGTATGGGAATATAAAACATCAATTCATACTAGAGATTCATCCTATCCACAAGGTCGTGTTAACTTCCCTTCCCTACTGTATATCCAACCCACCCCCTGTCACTTGGGACTTTGGGGTAGGTTGTCTATGTCCAATAGAACTTAAAAGTTTGAGGTCCTTCCCTCCCCAAGCTTTCCCAGCATATTCAGATAAGTGTATAAGGCCTCCAGTTGCTCTTGGGGACAGGGAGACCTTGGCCCAGCCCCAATCCTCCTTCTCTTTGAAGCAGCTGAGTTCAAGGTCAAGAGAGAGGGAGAGATCACAGAGGTGCAGAGGAAGAGAGTGATTCTGCACCGGAAATCAAGGCTTTGTATTTACTTTCAGTTTTAAGCAGTCACAGTGCAGTGCAACCAAATGAACTTCTAATGACTTTAGCCTGTCTAAATCTCTGCATCTTCATTGCTGATATCGTTTATTTCAGCATCACTGCCTCGGTAGCTATAGCCATATTGTCTTTTGGCTCTGGCCACAGGACTCGCTGCCTCATTGTCACTATAACATTTCTTCTTCTTCCCACCTGAGGCAAGCAAGCAATGTCAAAAACACTGTTCTAATTGCTTGTTTTATTCCTATGCCCTTTACTTGGCCTTAAAACATATATTAACAGGCAGGACCATGGAGACCCTTACTAATCCCCCTACAATCCTCGTTCACCAATTGGATAAGAGTGTTATCACTGGATTCTAGAAAATCCTTTCATATTCCTGAACCTGGCCCATAGGGTACTTATCCTTTCTTTTTCAGAAAGCAATGTCTGTGTCAGCATCTTATATTCTCACCAAAAACTGCTGAGAACTACAAAGGGTCTGAGGTTTTACCTGCTTGCAAACTAACAAAGTAGCCAGCCATGGTTTCATGGATGAGGGCAGAAAACACTAGACTCCTGGTTCAAAGATAAAGCACCTTATTAGTCACAACACAGCAGATGGCATGAGCTTCATATTTATGCTGCTTCCTTTTGCCCCTCAAATTCAGGAGTGATCTGGGGAGGGCCTGCATGAATGCTGCACACACACTGGCAGAGGAACCATGAGCTCAGGTGTCCCAAATCTTTCATACTAGACAGTAAGCAAACCTACCTACCACCTGCTCCCGAGGGGGACACTATTATCTTCCAAGGCTGTTTGCTATACAAACATCCTTGAAAAGACAGTTCCAAACAAAGGGACAGTTAGAGCCCCTTCTCATGAAACATGCAGAAATGCAAGGCACCCAAGTTGAATTGTCTTTGAGCATCCAATCGTCTCCACTTGATATTCCCTCACTTGTTTACTTTTTTATTTGTCTTTTGCTCCCAACAGAACATAGCTTTATGGGATCAGGGACCTTCTGTGTGTTGGTCTCTGCTCTTCCCCTACCATCTAAAACAAGACTTGGCATATAGTAGAAGCTCAGTAGGTATTTGTTGAACAAATAGATTTCTCAAAATCTTACTTGTTTCTGAATACCCAGCTTAGATGACCTGTCTTCAGAGGAGCCATACCAGATGCTGTCATTGAGATTTATTAGTCAGGCATTTGAGCTTTCATAATGCTTGAACTTTTGGCATGGCACTTGTAATTGGACTTGTGTTATGGTTCCTTTTTTTGAGACAGAGTCTTACTCTGTCGCCAGGCAGGAGTGCAGTGGCACAGTCTCAGCTGACTGCAACCTCTGCCTCCCAGGCTCAAGTGATTCTCCTGCCTCAGACTCCCGAGTAGCTGGGACTACAGGCGCGCGCCACCATGCCCAGCTAATTTTTTTGTATTTTTAGTTGAGACAGGGTTTCACCATGTTGGCCGGGATGGTCTCGATCTCTTGACCTCATGATCTGCCCACCTCGGCCTCTCAAAGTGCTGGGATTACAGGCGTGAGCCACTGCGCCTGGCCAGTTCTTTTTTATTCATGTTTGTCTGGCTAGATTGAAAAACCCTTGAAGGTGGGGATGGAGTCTTATTCATAAGGCTGAGACTAGGGTGAAGCAACTAAAGAACCTCAGCGCAAAATTTAAGGAGGTACCCTCAAGCACATGCAAATGTGCCCTACACACTTTGCTTGCCTGACCCTAGTCTAGTCCTGCTTACTTGTCTTCACATCTTCAGAGCCCACTAAAGTGGCTCTCATCTAATAGATGTTCCACCAGTGTTTATTCAGTTAAAATGAATAGGATCGCTAACTGAAAGTGTTCGACAACCATTTGCTTAGTACGTAATATTTGCCCTTTGACCCTTTAGAGGCACGTTCACCATTCTCCGCCCTGCTTTGTGCCACAGAAGGCTGACCTGTGTGAACTGTATCAAAAGGCACTCTTGCCTCTAGCTTCTAGTTGAATGTGGTCAGTGGGAACTCCCAGTAGAAATTGGAAGGGCAGAAGGAGGATGAGTTCAGGGCCCCAGCTCCCTTGCTGCAAGGTCACCTTGGATTGGCTATTTCCTCCAACAAAGACACAGCTCCTGTCAGTCAGACCTCTCTTACAGGTACAGTCACTCTCTTCAGGTTACAACAGTTGCTCCCACTCCTTGCTCCTTCGTGCCTAAGACAGGTGATGCCTCCCCATTGTGGCTGCCTCTGGAATGTATTCCTGTACCTTTTTGTTTCCCTCCATTCTGACTGCATCTTTTTTACATAGTTCATTTATTAAAACTCTTTCAGGCCAGGCACAGTGGCTTACGCCTGTAATGCCAGCACTTTGGGAGGCTGAGGCAGGCAGATCACTTGAGCCCCTGAGTTCGAGATCAGCCTGGGCAACATGGCAAAACACTGTCCCTACAAAAAATACAAAAAAAAAAAAAAATTAGTGGGGTGTGGCAGTGTAAACCTGTAGTCTCAGCTACTTGGGAGGCTGAGGTGGGAGGATCACTTGAGCCCAGGAGCTTGAGCCGGGGAGGTTCAGGCTGCAGTGAGCTGTGTTCATGCCACTACACTCCTTCCTGGATGACAGAGAGAGACCCTGTCTCAAACAAACACACACTTCCAATTACTTCATTTGATATGCTATTTTTTTTTTCCTATTGAGACACTTAAAGAACACGATATTGGACCTCAACAGATATTTTATAATAAATATGGGGAAAAGCAATGATAAAATATATCACTTAATTTTTTAAATATAAAAGATATCATTTTAAAAGAAAACTTGACAGCAACTATATGGTATTTTATTGGTTTCAACCAAATGAATTTAATTTCAATGGATCATGATACCTAAAATTGATAAAGTAATAAAATTAAGCCAAAGGGAAACCAGTTTGAAGGCTGGGAAGACTGATGATGTATTATGGATAATGAATGCTAGAGGGTGGGGTATTTTTATAATTCACCTTTTTGTCATTAGTAAGTTAATCGCAAATCTATGCACCAAAATGAAAATGCCCAATCAAAGGAATACATAAAGCCTTAGATGACTCCAAGAATTACTAGGGCATAAAGACTTAAAAGAGTCTGAAAACTAAAGGATGCCTAGGTAAAATAATTTCAATTATCTTAATGATTTAACAGCGTAAGTATGAACATTTCTTGATAACAAAATGGCATTAATGATTCTGGCTGGCAAAAGAAAAGCTTTAATTTACTAGAAAAGGGTTAAAGTTGATATACTGTTTCATCTGGGAAACTCAATTACTGAAAAGCAGAAGAACAAATTGATTAATAGGTGGTTTTAACAATGGTTTCATGCTTTGGTCACTACAAATAGAGGGAGGAGTGATGGAAATCCTACTAAATTCATAACATCTTAATAAGCCTAGAGGATTTTGGATTCTAATAGCAAGTTTATTTTGAGATGGGACTGACATTTACATTAGATTTCATCTCTTCTAATAGTGCCTTTAAAAAAAAATCTTTGAACAAAATGGGATGGCAATTCCTTAACTCTTTCATCCCCGGAACTAATTACCTAAAGAAAGAATATGATTGTGTGTTAAATTCTAAGCTTATTTAGAAGATGCAGCACAGAATTGAGTAATTATACAGATAATTGAATCCCCAAGCCTTTCTCTTTATGCAGAGTCTAAATAATTGACGCAAGGATGAATTATCCAGATTCATTATCTCATTTCTGGACTTCATTTTAGTAATTACAAATTAAAATTCAGCCAACATTTATTGAACAGCAGCTGATTCCAAGATTTTCCATATGCTGTTCCAGTTAATCTTCCTAGCACCTTTGTAGTGTAGGTGTCATTAATTCCATTTTACAGATGAGGAAGCTCAGATTCAGAGAGGTTTATAACTTGCATGGAATTGGATTTGAAACCGCATCCCCTTACTTTAAGTCTGGCAAAGTTTCCTTTAAAAACCCCGTGGATAAATAGATGAGAAATGAAATTTGATCATGGTGTGAAAGCCACACATTCTGGGAAACAATACTAGCCAGGGGATGAGTTTGCTGTTCTGAAGTTCTAACTGAACATGCCTTGAACATTTCTGAGGATCCTGTCATCAACCACACTGGGAGCAGAGCAGGACTAAATTTACACCCAAATTGATTTGTTTTCTTCATCAGTTACCTCTCACTTTCTCTGGAAATGATTTATCTTTCCTACCTGATTTTTGAGTAGAGGAAACATTATGACATTAATTGGTCACCAGTTAAACAGTGACTCATGATTTATGTAAGGAATATAGAGCTTTTCCGGAAGACTACATTTCCCTTTGCCAGTGTTACAGAAAAACATTTCGTCTCACATATAGAAGATCAAAACTCGGAAAGGGAACAAGCATTTAAAAATCCAGTGCCTGTGGGGAGGAAAATGTATCCAAAGAGATAATCCCTCAGGCACTTACTCTCTCTTATTCACCAAGAAAAGAATGCACACGACTGAAAATATATGAGAAAACTGAAAGAAGCAGGAGCTGGAGAAAGCCGGAACAGAATAGCTGTTGTCTAGAAAAGAGCAGTTGGTTCTTGGTTGGTAAAAATACCAATCGCATTCCAGTGGTATGTGACTTAGTAGAACCAAAATAAGTGACATACTGGTCCAGAGAGAAAACTGCCCCAGGTCTAAGGTATTAGGAGAAATGAAGAGCTACAGAATGTATTCAATGAAACATGACTTTCATTTGCATTTTCCCCTTGATTTGACTTTGTACTTCACACTTCCAGCCTTCTACACATTAAACAATGAAATGAACTTATTTCTAGACCCTCACTCAGCAATCCACACAAAATCTATCTCAGGCAGTGCCCAGCAGAAACCAACCTGTATAAAAGCCCAGAAAACCCCAGCAAGATTTTTCCCATTTTTTATCCCACAACCCTCCTCACCTTTCTCAGTCCATACATTGTTATAGCCTCATTAAGAATAGTCTTGAGTAAAACCTACACTTTCATATTTTTCTCCAAGAAACCACTAGAGCAAAACTCATATAAAGAAGAATCAAGCAGTCTTTTCAGATAAACGTATTAGAAAAAGGCAGTTTCTATGTTCACTCATTCATTCCACATTGTTTTAGCAGTACCTACTCATTTCCAGCCTCTGTGCCAGGTGCTGGGGATTTAGAGGAACGATGTGATCTGGCTGTCAACCTAGATGAAGAGACAGGACACACAGTACATTGTAGTTAGGGTACCTCACAGATAGGAACACCAATCTAGGATAGCACAAACATAGAAGTTTTAAAACTTTATTATCTAGAATATGCTGTTGCATGATTTGTTGATGGTGTTTCTCGCAAATAAACGGGTTACAAATGCAACACTGTGGGCTCTGGCCAGTGCTGCAACCCTCCCCCTGTCTATAATTCTGAGGTTACTTCTGGACAAACTGTAAGTAGTCTTTGTTGTCTGGGGTGGCTTAAAGGGATCTGAGGGATGCTCCTTTACAGTAAAGAGATGTTCTCTTTACTTGAGCAGTTTCCAGGTGAGCAAACCTTTGACTCAATTGTCAAAGCCTCTTACTAAGCCCCTCTAAATATAAGGACCTTTTTTTTTTTTTTTTACAGAGTCTCACTCTGTCACCCAGGCTGGACTGCAGTGGCGCGATCTCGGCTCACTGCAAGCTCCACCTCCCGGGTTCCCGCCATTCTCCTGCCTCAGCCTCCCGAGTAGCTGGGACTACAAGCGCCCACCACCACGCCCGGCTAATTTGTTATATTTTTAGTAGAGATGGGATTTCACCTGTGTTAGCCAGGATGATCTCGATTTCCTGACCTCGTGATCCGCCTGCCTCGGCCTCCCAGAGTGCTGGGATTACAGGCGTGAGCCACCATGCCCGGCCAATGATCTTTTTTTTTTTTTTTTTTTTTTTTTAAAAAAAAAAAAAGCTGTTTGGTGGGGGAACTCTCAAATCAAATCAAATAAGAAAAAAATGCACACGAATATTTAACATTGAATGTATTCTCATTTGTATCATATGCCAAAGGAGGTATCACAGGAGATGAGCAAGACGCCAAGTTTTCCCTTTCGTTAAACTTGCAAGAGTCCTGTAAATGGCAACTCTTGAGCACAGAGGAGAGGGTTTTCTCTTCATTTCCTAAATAGTTTTTCCTTCTGTTAGGCTTTCAAAGTGGAGAACGTAATCGCTACCAGTGCTATCCCCCATTTCCCAAGCATTGGCTCCTTCGCCCCTGGAGGGAGGAGGAGCCTGGCGGGAGAGGAGGGGAAGCAGCGGAAGGGTCTCATTCAGCTTCTCCTCCGGGAACCTTCCTCCTGCTGCCGGGATGGCAGGCGTGGCAAATAGAGGTATTCTGCTGCCTCTTCACCACCTTTTCATTCTACTCTCCCTGCCTTGCAAAAAGTCACAGAAGGTCACCAAGCACATAATCCATCATGGCGTTTTGACAGAATACCCGCAGCCCTGCTGAGGGAAGACATGAGGTCATTAAGGGCTTTCAACGCAGACGAGGAGGAACCAGATTATATATGAGCCAAATTACTTATCTCTTGGCCATGAGGGATATTAACGTTGAAATGAATTTCCTAAAGGCTATTGCAGAATCGTCCTGTCTGGGCCCCTTGAGAAGAGAAGGGGTAGTGTCTGTCTAATGCTAGATGGGGGGAGAAGAGCTTGGGAGGAAATGGCATAGCCCCCACTTTTTCTTCCAGCCTTAGACTTCTATTAAACTTCTGTTAGATACTGGCTACAAAGTGCTTTTTGGAAAGTATTAGATTTGAAGTGAAACAAATTGCTGGTCATTTACTTACACTTTGATCGCCTTTGGGTATACACCAATTGTTGATGACAAATAACAAAATTAATGGAAATCGTCACTGAAGAGAAATCTCTACCTACCTTTCCTCTCCCTGTAGGCTTCCATAACTGAGAGAAACAGTTACCAGATTCTGCTGGGGAAAATACAGTTAAGGCATAAAACCAAGAAGAAATGATGTTGTAAGTCAGTGACCCTGTTTTATCTCCTAAACAACCACAACCACACTCAACATTTCAATCGACTTAAGTGAAAACGTGAATTGGGCCCCTAGTTCTCATTGATTAATCACACTGGGAGACAAATCAGCCAAGAAACCAATTGAATTAAAAGGCTGAACAAGATAAATAAAACCTGGGAACAATCCTTTAACACAGACAGCTATGACTCAGTTATGAACGCTCAGCACAAAATGATCCTGAGGAGAGAGAAATGACAGTTATCATTATTATCGTTAACATTATTAGTTGCTATTATTACATTTTATTAAAAACTCATAAAAAATAGATGTGCCATTGTAAAAATTATGTCAAGAACTTAAAACATAGCTAGAGAAAAAAGAAAATTTCAGGTTTTCATGATTGTGCTTAAATTAATGTTTAATACATCCTGCTAACTTAATTTTTTTTTTTTCGCTTGTGACTCATCTAAAAGACTAAAAGGATTTTTACATTTTCAGAACAGGAAGATAAAGAAATCAGGATGCTGCAGCAAAATAAGCAACATTCTAGTTGATAATTATCTATCACACAGTATAGTAACTTTTAATTAATTTGGTCACAGTTTAATTAAAACTTAAGTTTTATTTGATCAGATCTCCAGGAAGCTAGTGATTCGCATTTGCATTGTGCTTAGAATGCACATTTTCTTCACCTCCTGTTATCACCAGGTAATTCAGTAATGATTGCCTGCGACTAAGCTAGGCCTCCATATCGGTCACAAAATTTATCACCTCACTATAGAGTGACCTCTGCTTGAATCTCCTTAGGTTGCTCTAACTTGTTTTATTCATGAGGCACTCTTGTTCCAGGAGGCCAAATACAGTGATCAGCGGCAAAGGTCAGCACCTGTCTTTAGATAGTCTCATAAGTCAGTGGCTCTACAAGGGGTTATTCCACAGCATTATACATTCTGGACTGAATGTACAGGAAAAACAAGGAAACAAGGAAAAGCAAGGCATTTCCCTTTCCCTTAAAAAGGCTGTGATCTGTTTTAGGAAATCATGTTCATCTCTTATCCCCTCACAAGGGCCTCCAGCCAGTCTTGCTGCCTTCTAGCTCCTACTCCCTCCTACCACAGATCTCCCCAGCACCCTTCAATCTGATCAACATCTTTCTACAACCACTTTGATTCTGTCACTCTCCTCAGGAAAGCCGAGTCCAAATTCTTCAATCACCAGATTGCACAACATTGTGGCTGCATTACATAAATCTCTTCTGCAGCCTCACCCCTAATGCCTCACAATGAAGCTGGCTCTGGCCATCGTCCCCACCTGAGCCACCACCTCCCCTCTCTGTTTAGTCACATTCCACCTGTACTTCAAGCTCCAGTTCGCCTCCACAAACTTGCCAGAATATCCTAGCCCTTAGCTCTTTCTCCCTTTCCTATTCATGGGACTTTCTGCGTCAGCAAAGATTTCATTTAGCAATCAACCTTCCAAATTAGATCACTGGCTTCCTGAGCAGAGGCCAGGATTTACACCTTCTTGGTTATCCCCAGGCCCTACCCCAGCATTATTTTTCCTCAACAATTGTTAGTACGTCATGATGGACAGTGATAAAAGTGGTAAAGAATTGATGGTGTAATACCTTAAAACATTTTTAATATGTCAACATGCACAATCATTATATATTAAAATTACTTACATCTTGCCTCTCCCTACTATACTATATTTTCCCCAAGAGTCTAGATCAGGTTGTCTACTTTTTTGCTTTATTCCAAATGCCTAGCATAGCACTGCACACACATTGTAGAGATTTATTAAATAGTTGCTGGTTTAATTTAATTAATTTGATATAGCTGACACAAATATCTACAAAACCAAATATAAATATCTGTGCCACCACTAAATACTATAAGTTAATTGCTATTCTTCAGCAATTTTAGTACATTGTCCTTGTACTGACACTTCACTTCTCAGTCTAATGGGTTATTTATTTAATTAATAGCTATTGCCCATTAGGATCCATTAACATATCAAATTGTTTTTTCTGAGTCTTGCCAAAAAATAAATTGTACATGTTACTCTATGACTCTTGATTGTATTATTTTAACATCTCTTTGATGATCTACGAGTCCCTAATTAAGATAACAGATTAAATATACAAAACATTAAGTTTATAACTCCTTTGTGAAGGCAAACCTAAATATGAATTTGCTGATATTTTAATTTTTTTTCTAAAGTAAATCAAGGTAAAGTAAATCAATTTGATTTTGTAGGACTTTGTCGTGCATAAACAACAAATACACAAATGCACAGACACACTTGGGCTAATTCAAGTTGGGTTTCCAGGAGTTTCTGTGATTTAGTTTCAGGTTGTTTATTTGCCCCTTAGAATTCTTCTTGGTTGTTGCTTCTGGCACATCAGAAGATGACTTTGGGTAATATGTCCTTCTTAGCTGTAATAAAGTGCTGTGTTGGAATCAAATCGGCTTCTACTTCCTACAAACTGTCCATGCTCCATTGAGATGGGAAGCTGCTAAGAAAACAGAAAGCTAAATAGCAGCAGGCAAAATAAATCAATGTTCAAGCCTACCTAGTAAGCAAGTGAACCAAGCCGTTGCCATGAATGTGGGCAGACTGAACTTAAAATGGCTGCTATGAGACACTTGGAAGAATCTGATGTCGTTTGCCCTATTTCTTAGATTTCACACACTGAAAGACTTCCTTTTATCTTGAAGCAAACAAAATAGACAAACATGAACAAAAGTAGACCATGGTCTTATTTTTATATGAGACTTAAATGCAGTCCATGGTCAGGTATCTTGCCATCTCTGTTTTACTTAGGACCAGATCGTTTAATGAAATTATTGAATTATTAAAGAAGCACTTCTCACCAGCCCATCCGTCATTGTATAGGGATTTATATTTCACAAACAAAATCAATAGTCTCGTGAGGACATTGCTGCTTATATTGCAGAGTAACACCATCTGTCAACACTGAAACTTGGGAATTTTTTCTATGACTTGCTATGGAAGCATCTTATATGCAGAGACCTTTAAAAAAAACTTTCTACGAGTGCCTCTTAACTACACCAAATTTGACATGTTTAATACTCCAAAAAAAAGGGCATAAATAAGGAAACTCACTGTAACATTCTCAGCAGTCAAAGCCAGAAAGGATGCATAGTATTCTTACCATCTGGGCCAGCCACAGGTAGGAAATGTCCACTGCAGAAAACTGCAGAATCTCATTCTTCAAAGGACCAACCCACATGCCTCTACCCACACCCACACACATACATGCATGTGCACGCTCTATGTGCAGAATCAAGACTATAGATGAAAGGTCCAAGGGTACATAATCACATTACACATCACCAGTTTATTTTCTTACTCCAATGCCAAAAACCATAAGGAGATGTATATCCCTCAGTAGGTGCAGAGAAGGTGACTTGGGAGATAGAATTTTTGCTGAAGAAGTGATGTGCAAGGTCGGAGCCAGTTCTGGTTGTAAAAATTCTCAAAATGGCAGGTGCTGTCCACAGAGGTTTTTGTCAAAGACCACTTGATGACAAGTTCTTTAAATTCTACTGTGTCATTCAAGATAAGAGTGTCAGATGTTTTGGGCATTAGGTTTGCACAGCTCATCCCTATGAAAACATTTTCTACTTTTTCAACCAAGGAAGTAGGTTAAAGAGATTCTCAGGAAAGAATTCTTGGAAAAGAATTTCTTTGCTCCATTGATAATTTGTGGAAACCACTTTAGCTATTAGAGCACTGCGGCTTCAGATGGGTTTTAACAGATATTCCGAAATCTCTTCATTTTGTTTTTTTGTTTTGTTTTGTTTGAGACGGAGTCTTGCTCTGTCGCCAGGCTGGAGTGCAGTGGCGCCATCTCAGCTCACTGCAACCTCTGCCTCCCAGGCTCAAGCAATTCTCCTGTCTCAGCCTCCCGAGTAGCTGAGATTACAGGCACGTGCCATTACACCCAGCTAATTTTTGTATATTTAGTAGAGATGGGGTTTCATCATGTTGGCCAGGATGGTCTCGATCTCCCAACCTCGTGATCCGCCTGCCTCTGACCTCCCAAAGTGCTGGGATTACAGGCATGAGCCACTGCACCAGGCCCTTGTTTTTTTTGTTTGTTTTTAATATTAATGGATGCAGGGTCTCACTATGTTGCCCAGGCCAGTCTTGAAACAAAATCTCTTCTAACAAAATACAAGTGTATAGGGTAAGATGGTGTCCATCCTCTAAACTTAGTCATTATACTTCTGTCTTTAAAGAAAAAAAAGACTTAACGTTCTCAAACTACTCAGACCTAGTCAGTACACTGTACCAATGTTAGTTAGCTGTAAATTATTCATTCTTTTTTTTTTTTTTTTTTGAGATGGAGTTTTGCTCTTGTCGCCCAGGCTAGAGCGCAGTGGTGGCGTGATCTTGGCTCACTGCAACCTCCACCTCCTGGGTTCAAGCGATTCTCCTGCCTCAGCGTCCCAAGTAGCTGGAACTACAGGCACGTGCCACCATGCCCGGCTAATTCTGTATTTTTAGTAGAGACAGGGTTTCACCATGTTGGCCAGGCTGGTCTCCAACTCCCGACCTCAGGTGATCCGCCTGCCTCGGCCTCGCAAAGTGCTGGGATTACAGGCATGAGCCACTGCGCCTGGCCAGATTATTCATTCTTAATGGATGTCTACACTGTGTCAAGGCACTATTCCAGATCTGATAACACAGTAATAAGCAAAACAGACACAATACATGCCTTTGCGGAGCTTCATTCTGGTTGGGGAAATGGACAAGTACATTAATAAATAAATAAAAGACTGTCTGACATTGACAAATACTACAAATACAATGAAACAGGCTAATGAGGCAATGGCATTCTGAATTCAGATAACACAAACAGACAATAAAATTTCTTTGAGAAAAAAATCCATGTCCTACTTATCCTTCTTAAGACCCCTGGTATCTAATGCAATGCTTGATATTTGGTAGATGTGCACTTTTTTTGCAGTTGAATTAATTCTAAATGCAAAAATAAATAAATAAATAAATAAATAAATAAATAAGACATCGCTGAAGCAAGAACTTTGAAATAAAGGATTAGAAATTCACCAATAATGCTTAAACTCTTTTGCAGTCAAATTTCTAATACAAATGGCAACCTGCACAGGAAAAGCACTCAGAACTGCTCTCTGCCAAAGGATGGAGCTTCCATCCTTCTGATCAGAGCACTGCACAAAATGCTCCTAGTCTGTCTTAACTGATATACTCTGCTCCCTGGAAGGAAGGGGGTACTGGCTTCACTTTGATTCAGATTTATTATGGCAGGACATACAATTGCTTCATTACTGCTGGGACTTGAGGGAGATTCAGAATGAAACCCAGGTGTTAAAAGCCATTTGATGCTGAACTCTCAGCCATACCTCCTGAGGGGTCAACTGACACACCAAGCGGAGAAAGAAGTCATTCTCTCATGGACAGCAGGCTGCTGAAACAGTGTCCCTTCCGACTGGCCAATCAATGGCACATTACAAGAACGGCAAAGAGAGGTCACAGGTTCCAGCAGGAGGTGTTAGGTCATTTATTTATTTCTTTAAGTTGTTGGTTTAGCTCCTCCAGACGTGTCTATTAGAGAAAGAAGGGTAGGATTGGTTTTTGTAGTTTGTATTTGTGATAAAATTCTGTGTTTGAGTCACACTGGTCTCTGCCTATTTATAATTTTTTTTTAATGCAGTGTCCATACAGCAGAAATAAAATTTTGTAAAATCATTCATTAGAGTAGTATTTACATTGTACTGTTAGTAGAAATTGTTTATTTACAACTTAGGTTTTCTATTTATTAGGATCATTAGTAGGAAACAACATTCTCACTTCTACAGGGCAACTTGATGTCACAGACGGAGCACTGGGATCTGAATTTCTATCTGAGCTCACTCATGCACTGGCTCTGGGACTTCTGGCTTTGCGGTCACATCTGAATTTTGGCTTTTTCCTCTCTTAGCAGAATGAGCTTGGCAAATTACCTATCTTCCCCAAGCTTCCACCACCACCTCCATAAAATGAGGATGTCAATATGTACTTCAAAGTTTTTAGGATGACTATTAGCATCATAAATGTCATCATTTATGTATCATCATGTCATCATATGATGCCAATATGTATTAGTTTGCTAGGGCTGCCACAATAAGATGCCCCAGAATGGGTGGCTTAAACAACAGAAATGTATTTTCTGACAGTTTTGGAGGCTGGAAGTCCAAGATCAAGGTCCTAGCAGGAGTGGATTCCTCTAAGGCCACTCGGCTTGCAGATGGCCATCCTCTTGCTGCTTTTTCATATGGTTGTCCCTTGTATACTTGTGTCCCTGGTGTCTCTTCCTCTTCTTATAAGGACACCGGTCATATTGGATTGGGGCCCCACCCTAATGGCCTCCCTTTAAATTCTTGCAAGGACTTGTCTCTAAATATGGTTAAATTCTGGGGGGTGGGACTGCAACATATGAATTTTGGGAGGACACAATTCAGTTCATAACATAATGTTTATAAGGTGTATAATAAATTAGATTCCTTTCCTTTTCCCTTAATTTTACAAATTGGCCTAAATCAGCAGGTTTCAAAGTGTGGCCACAGATCATTGAAGGTCAACAAGATCCTTTCAGGGGATTTGTGAGATCAGAACTATTTTCACACTAATATCAAGATGTTATTTGCCTGTCAGGGTTGACTTTTGTACTGACAGTGCTAAAGCAATGGTGAATAAAACCACTGGCCCCTTAATACGCATCAAGGCAGTGGCACCAAACTTTGCTTATAGTCATTGTATTCTTCAATATCATACACTCGTAGCAAAAAAAAAAAAAAAAGGAAAAAAAGCAACAATTTAACTAAGAGTGTCTTTGATGAAGCAGTTATTGATTTTATTAAATTTCAACCCTTGAATACACGTGTTTTAAATATTTTGTGTGATGAAATGTAGTGCACACATGAAGTACTGCTTCATAGCAAAGTACAACGGTTGTCTCAAGGAAAACCACCTGTGTGGCTGAGTTGCAGCTGACCTAGCCACCTTTGTCACAAAGCACCAGCCAGTTTTCTGTTAAGACTTTCAGACTTACAAACTTTGATTTGAGGAAGTTTAACTTGCAGACAAACTATGATTATTGAGACTTTGGTATGTAATGACATTTTCTTGAAAATGAACTAAGTGGACCTCTCAACTGAAGGGAAAAAAAGAACCTGTGTTTTTCAGTATTTGTCCTAAATAATAAAGTGGGAGCTTTCAGGTAAAAATTAGAATTTTGGAAACTTGTATCTGCCACCATGAGATTAACAGATTTCCAAAGTTTAAATACTTTCCTTACATGGCTGGTGGTGATATTAAAAAAATATGATTTTTTGCCAAAATTTGGAAGCTCTGCATAGCCCAGCGAAACAATGTTTTCCAAATAATCAATGCATCCTTTTACAAAATGAGGCATGGGTAAAGAAATTCATTCAAAGTGCAAGGTAGACCAATAGACTTTAAAGTAAAAGTTCGTTGATTTCGTTTCATAATCTATATTATTGAGCTTTGTTGCAGAACCAAAGAAGAATATCTACAGTTTTCTAAGATGATGAAAATATACTTCTTTTCCAAGTATCTATCTGTGTGAGGCCAAATAGAATGGTTCTGAGTTTCCTCCCCCTACCTCTAAAAAATATTGGTTACTGCTAGCCTAGACCAACGTCTCCCAAGGCACAGTACACACACTGCTGGTCATGCATAAGATGGTTCTAATAAAAGCACACATAAACTTTTTAAGGTTTTTATAATTGCAAATTTACTTTAATTGATTTTGGCAAATTATACTGGTTTTCCATGTTATAGTTTTACAAAGCTTTCTTTTTTCATACATTTACTTATATTAAAAAGTGAATTTAATGGAAACATGCAGATATAGTAAAAATGGTGGCAGTTGTATGTGAATGACTGACGTATGGGAAGCTCTGGTCCCAGGATACATTTTCAAAAGCATGTATTGCACTGGGTTATTTTTTTCTAACTTGGGCCTTCTCACCCAACATTTTTACATATTAACAATTATCACGAATGTGAAAAAACATTTTAAATGGTCCATTTTCAAGGCATGATAAATCTAAGTACTGGCGGCCAGCCTGTGGATGTAACAAACCGCACATCTCATGCACCTAGAAGGTCACGATAAGTGAACAGAATGTAGAGGAGGGGTCAGCCCATAAAAGGGAAGAAAGTTTCATTATCGGGAAATCGAAACTTAAGCAGGGAGGGGGGTGGGGTATAACCTTATAAGGGGGATCATGAAACTTAGGCGACATCCGGGAAGATTGTAACCCCACAGTACTCAACCAATGAGGACCTAAGGGAGGGACTTGCATGCTAGGAGATAAATTACCTTCTGTAACTGCCCCGGATGAACCTACCTACCAAACACCCTATCTTGCAAGACCACCATTAAAAGACTTGCTTTCACTGTTCTTCGTGTCTCTGAGTCCATTCTTTGGGTTTGGACAGGTGAATGTGTGTTTTTCACAATGAAGAAACGGAATTTACTTACAGTACAAATTATTCTCCATCTCATTCAGACCACAAAGTTCTATTTGAGGCCCGGATAATTAGTTTGATTTAGCTATCTGCAGTAACAATTTGAAGTCTCCAATTCGTTCTGGATTTTGTAGACATAGCTCTCATTACACAGCTGGTAACATTACTTGACGAAATAGAAAATATTACTTATCAGTTCTTTTACTTTAATCTCATCTTCTGTCTACAAGCTATGTGAAGCCCTAGGCTTCCTTTAAATTAGAAAACCCTCCAAATTCATGCTGTATGGACAATGACTGATACCTCCATTCACTTTCTAACTCCATGGAAAGTGGTTCAGGAGCCAGTCTTGAGAAACAGGGTAGTTCAGGGAACAGAGTGCTGAAGGCAGCATCTGGAGATTTGGGTTCTTCCCATGACACTGACCCAATTTTGCATTGAGGCTTTGGGCAAAACTCAATCTCTCCGGACCTGGCTTTCCGTATCTGCAAAACAAGGAGTTGAACTAAATAATTTTTCAGTTCAAACATCCTGACTCAGAAGAGGGCTAGAAAGAGCTTGTCAGGGAGCCATTTCTCTAGGGGACTGCAGAGGAAAGGGAGCATTCAGCCCCTCAAGAGGCACCACTCAGGACACTGAATGCCAGGCTCTGCCTTTGCGGATATGGACTCCATTTCCATTTGAACGGTGTTATTTTATCTTAATCTGTTACTCTGCAGTGGCACTGAAACTTAATATAATTAAAAGAAGGGGGTGGACATATTGAATGGGTGGCAAGGCGTGGCTGCCTGAGCCCCAGGAACTGTGAATTCTAATCTTGGCTCTGCTGCTGTCTCAGGACACATCATGTACCGTTTCTAAAACCTAGACAGCTTCTGGACAACATCGTTAGCCTATCTCACAGGACTGTTGTGGGAAATAATTTGCAAAAATAGCAGTGTAAAACAGTTTGCAAAATTAAGTGCTAAACTGAAACTTGGGCAACATGCTGAGTATTCCTATTCTGTCCAGCTAACTAATAAATATAAATTTGCTACTAGTTGAAAAGTCCTTAAGAATATAACTACTTAATCAATACAACACCAGCAGCCTGACAAATTAGCATGAAGCCACAAGCCTGAGACCTGCAAGAAATTAAATTGGTGCTTAACAGAAATTGGACTGTGAGCAAGATAATTTATGGAAATTTAAATTTCAACCCACAAAACCTGAACCACATTATACACTTTTAGGTCTAGATGCACGTAATGGCTAGGTCCACATTGCTGTTACACATATTACAAGCAAATGTGAGAAGACAAACAAAAATGTTTTGGGGAACCCAGAAATTTTTTAAATCTATCTGCAAAATTGACACACAAAATATGCTTTTATAATGAATTTTAAAAGATACTTTACAAATTTTTTAAAGTGGCTATTATTGCTCTAAGTAAATTTGTCTTTTAAAATTGTTTCATTTAAACTAGGGAATTTAAGAATTAAGAACTGGAGAGAAAGAGAAAGAAAGAAGTTTATTTTGATGCTCATTTCTCTTTCCTCTAAGTCCTATACAAGCAATTGAACAAGAGACTTGCAAAACTGAGGTTGACAAAGGGGTGTGTGTGTGTGTGTGTGTGTGTGTGTACATGTATGTACACACACAGAAGTCAGGAAAACAGCTGGAATGGTTGAGTTGTGCTAGACCTCTCCTGAGCATTGTGGTTGGTCATTCCTCTGATGGGTCTGTTTTTCTGTTTACCTTTTCTTGGTCATAAAAGCTAGCCATATCTTTAGGGCAGCCTCCTTAAAGGAAGTGCTTCGATTCTGGCATAATGAAAGGTCTGAATAAATGAATGCCAAGAGTTTTTGTCACCTCTGTGTTCCTGGGGACTCCCCGTCTGCCAGCCTAACACGTCTTGCAAACTTACCAACAGTCTGTCCCCCGAGGGCCAGCAGAAGGTTTCCTTGATTGCCCTGTGTTCTTTTGCTGGATGCAAAGGTTTAATCATGGTCAGATTCCCTTGCCTCATTTCCATGGAGTTAAACTAAATGACAATCTGGCACTCCATCTTGTCTCGCAGTCAGCAGGAAATGGCAGCTCCACGGAGACTGATCTGAAGGGAAAATAAACTTTTTTTGCTAGAAGCAGCCAACCCAGACATTTCTTATTCCACAGGTAGTCGATAAAGTATTAATGACTGCAGAGATTTGAAAGGCCCCAGACAAAGAGGCTATTCTAGGCTTTCCCTTTCTGGTTTGCCCTTTAGATCACTTTGTATCTATAGGCAAATGTAACTCAAGAAACAAACTCCAGAATGAGTTATCCCAAATGACACAAAGAGAGTAGACTTCCTGTTTCCCATTATTTCACTGTAGGGAGCTGAAAAACAGCAATTCTTTGCAACTTGCAAGGCTATGACAAAAGAAAAGAAAACTCATGGCAAGAGGAGAATGAGAAAGAGAGAAAGGAGAATTAAACTTCCCTGATTATCAAGTGGAAATAAGTCAAACAATGATACACATGCCAGGTATACTCACAAAGCTCTCTGTGGAAATCTTCATTCCTTTATGGCTGTTAAGCAGGATCATTTTAACAGCTGTTTCTTTGACATTACTTATTGGCATCTAAAAATATGCCAGAAGCTGTAATGCAGGCCAGAGATGAAACTTCCATTTTTCCCAAGTGTTTCTTTTCCCTTCTCTTTTGAAACCTAGTAACCAACAAATGACACATTAATTCCTTGAGCAATGAAATTAAACAAAGTAGGATTAATGTCCACTTCACTAAAATGAATCAAATGAAATAAATATGTGATTGAAACTTGTCAGAATTAGAGAAAATAACCTGCTTATATGCAATTTTTGAAATGAGCACCTCAGGCACATTTAGTGAATTTTGCTGGAAGAATGTGAAAAACAAATAGTTCTCCATGGAATTTCTGTTAGATGGTCTCTAAAACAGCACCCTGATCAAACCGTCCCTCTCCCATTAAAAAAAAAAAAATGTCAAAGCCAAAGGAAGAATTCCGAAAAGTTAGGAAATTGAATGTTTATTTTTGCTATTGTTTTCATACTAAATAGGAACATGAAAGAAATCTTTCACTCCGCAGCTGCATCTAATTTAAAATGAAGCTCCCCAAAGAGGAGTGAAGAGGATGTGATGAGGAGCAGTTAAACATGGATGCTAATATTTTGTGAGGCATCTGGTACTGTTCCACCACCTAGAATTCTAAGAATCAAATTAGTAGATTCAATTCTGCCAAAGTTATCAAATTATTTGTCCAAAGGATTGTGCAAAGCAGGCCCCTCCCTACCAACATCTGCTCTACCCATCCAGTGAGGACCAAAGACGACCATCTATTTGATTTGTGGAGACGGTACGTTTCACCCGTTGCTGGTCTGGCTGAACACTGCACCTTTCATCATCAAAGTCCTCAGTTATTGCATGAATCTGCAGAGAACAGTAATAAACTACTTCATCTTTAGGTCCATATAGAGATAATTCAAAGATTTGATTTGAATTGTAAGATACTTACATAGTTCACAAATATGTTAAAAATGTTTTAGCACCTGTGTCACCATTTTAAGTGAACAACCAAGAACCTCACCAGCAAATAAATGAATGTAGTACTTTTTTGGGGCGTCGAGAGAACACAAAAGGAAAAGTAGTAAGGGTTTTCTTACTACTTGTTACATTCAGAGCCTTTTAATTTGTTTGAGAAATATTATTTAATACTAGAAAACGTGGTAATCCTATCAAGTCTGACTGTCCATCCTTGATGCATGTTGGAATCAGATGACAGACAATGGGCAAAATCTGTTAGGCTAAAAAGCTGAAATGAAAAGTTGCCAGGGATTTTACTTGCCAATGTCTCGCAAGAGGTAAAGAATGAATGACTATTTATCAGTCTGGGATGTGTGCAATTTGGCTTTTGCACATAGGAATTTCTCTTCCCTCCTACCAAAATGAAAACTGGAGTTTGAGGGTACATTAACCATACTGGATTCAAAGACAACTGACTGGAACCTGACCAGCAAGGATGTGGCTGTGTAGCTCAAATTTATGACGGTGCATCTGCTGTGAGTGGTGTCTTGAATGGAGGCCAGGCCCTCTTCCGTCAGCCGCATCCATATGCTACGCATGTGTTCACTGTACGCACACTTTTTAAATTTAGCTCTTGTGGGTACATGTTCTACACTTTCCCCCTGTACATGATTTTTTTAAAAATATGCTTTAGAAAATATACACAATCTTTTCAAAGTCTTTGCTGACTCACTGGGGGTTCTTTTGAATGTTTTCCTTTTGAAAGCCTTCAATTTAGGTAGTCAAAAGTGTGTGACAAAAGCCACCCTTAGTCTACTAAGATTAAAATCTACTGCTCATTTTAAAATAGCTGTTTTGTGATGGCCTGTCAAAAAAACTTCTTTTTTTCTATCCAGAAGCAGACTACAGCTCTTTTTGATAGACTACAACATGGTGAGAAAAGATAGGAAAACAATCATCCTGACCAGTTTGGGCCAGTTTATGTGTTAGTCTTCCAAACATCTTGCATTTTACAGTTTAGTGACAGGACAACACAGGTTTCAGTACTACAACTGTCAGTATGACTGCCTCCGAAGTGTCTCCCTTAGGAAGATGGAGATTCAGACATTTCCGATGTAAAAATTCAAACAACTATGTTGTCCATTAGATTAATTTCCATAGCTGCTTTTTCTAATGTCTGAGTTGTGAATCAAAGTTATTACCTGGGTCAGGCACTCCTGGAACAAGATTGTGAAATTGGTTGGCTGCAACTTTCCTGGAGGCTTGTGTTTTCATCTGACTTTTCGTGATTATATTTTATCATCTTCTTTGCACCTTAGAAAACAAAAAGGCATTATTATTGTGGGTGTTTATAAATATGTTCCTCATTAGCACTTTTTTTTTTTAAGATGGAGCCTCCCTCTGTCGCCCAGGCTGGAGTGCAGTGGCGCGATCTTGACTCACTGCAACCTTCACCTCCCGGGTTCATGCGATTCTCCTGCCACAGCCTCCTGAGTAGCTGGGATTACAAGTGCCTGCCACCACTCCTGTCTAATTTTTATTTTTTATTTTATTATTATTATTTTTAGTAGAGACAGGGTTCCACTATATTGGCCAGGATGGTCTCGAATTCCTGTCCTCAAGTGATCTGCCCACCTCGGCCTCACAAAGTGCTGGGATTACAGGTGTGAGCCACCGCGCCCAGCCCCTATTTAGCATTTAAATGCATACTTTCAAAATGTTCAATTTGTACTTCTTTTGATCCTGAAATCACGGTTCTATTTTTCTTTTTCTATAGACAGATAAGATAGCCAACTATGCTTTCATTTTATTATAATTCCTGGAAGGCCAGGACAATGCTTTTTTTCATTTTGATTTTTTTCTTTCTTCTCTTTTATCTTACTCTCTTCATGACATCTACAGTCTTATGCACACAGAAAGCATTCTTTTTTTTTTTTTTTTTTGTGAGACAGAGTCTCATTCTGTCCACCAGGCTGGAGTACAGTGGTGTGATCTCAGCTCACTGCAACCTCTGCCCCCTGGGTTGAAGCAATTCTCCTGCTTCAGCCTCCCAAGTACCTGAGATTATAGGCACCTGCCACCGCACCCAGCTAATTTTTGTATTTTTAGTGGAGACAGGGTTTCACCATCTTGGTCAGGCTGGTCTTGAACTCCTGACCTGGTGATCCACCCGCCTCGGCCTCCCAAAGTGCCGGGATTTCAGGCATGACACACAGTGCCTGGCTAGAAACCATTCTTAATTGGCTGTGTTTCCCTCTTCTCTTATTACCAAGCCTAAGATTTGGGAAACAATAGCTTCCGAAGTAGTTTTCATCTAATCTCTTAAATCATTAGAAAAATGCACCCAATAATACAACGTGAAATACAAGATTTACATTTTTAATATATATTTGGATACTTATCTCCTCTGAAACACCCTTTAAAAGACAAACTACATCAAACTTTTCGAAGTAATTCTTAGCATTATTGGAAATGTTCACACTTTTGGAATGGTTGACAGGAAAATAATTGGATGACAGTCACATAATTGATTAATTCAGTAAATTCAGCCTGTAAAATAAACCAATTTGGGATATCATATGAAACAAAACATCTAAATATTTCACATTCAGCCAATTAGCTTACCATCAAATAGCCAGCTGTGAATTAAAGGAGAAAATAAATTATCCCTGAGAAATGGCTTTGTACGGTGTATTTCCACCTGCCTTCCTTGAGGAAGGGTAACCCTCTAATTCAATCTAGCTGATAGCTCTAGGTCACTGCAGTTGATCAAATGATAAAGAAAAAAAACCATTAAGGGATTTTACCCAAGGCTGGGAATAATTTAGAACTAACACTCTGAGACTAGAGTTTAACACAACACTCGCTTCATGAATCTTTCTTAAGGCTACTATATGATTTCCATCATTTTCAAAGAAGCATTCAGGGTTCCATGAAACATCACACGCCTGAGAATTTGTGAGTTCCTGTAGGGTCTAGTGACTCCTCTCACATTCTTCCTACTTCATACACAAATTCATGGTGCTCACATAAAAAGCCCTGGCCCTCCTCTGGTCTTGAAAGCAGCCGTCCTGCTGTGTATTCTCTTTTGGTAGAGGATTGGACACAGTTACACTTCACTTGAAAATCTTACTCAGCTAGAAGGCAGTCATTCAATTTCTTCAAACACCCTCTAACATGTGGTCTCATCTCACATCTGGTTCAAAGTTAAATTTCTTTCTCCTGCTAAAGGAAGAATATTATCACTTCGTGCAAGCCTTGTCCCTGTAATGGCTCCATCTCCAGCCTCATCCAGTCACTGAATCCTGACTCCTCTCACTCCTAAATTTCTCTCATCCACCCTCTTCTCTCCTCCAGGCCTTCTGCTGTGGTCTGATTTCAGACCTTCCTCACCCCAGATTACCACAATACCCCCCTCCAGCCTACTTCTCTACTTCATCCTCCACACTGCTGCCAAAAGGATATTTTTAACTTTCAATTTTGAAATAATTTTAGACTTACAGAGAAGTTGCAGAATCAGTACAGAGTTCCCATAAACCATTCATCAAGCTTTTCCTAATGTTAATAGGAAATGTTTATAATCTCTTATATGACTATAATACAATCACTGATTTTTAAAAATGAATATTTTTCATTGAAAATTCATAATTTTATACATTTGTGAGGCACAATGTGATGTTTTCATATATGTATACCAACTGGAATAACTAAATCCAGCTAATTAACATATCTATCACCTCACTTATCATTTTTTGTGGTGAGTCATTTTTTAATTTACTCTTAGTTACTTTGAAATATACAATACATTATTATTGATTCTAGTCTCCCTGCTGTGCAATAGATCTCAAAACTTATTCCTACTAACTGAAACTTTGTACCCTTTGACTAACAACTTCCCATTTTCTCCCCCATCCCTGCAGCCTTTGGTGACCTTCGTTCTACGCTATGTCCAGGAGTTAGACTTTTTTAAGTTTCCACATATAAGTAAGATCATTTGTCTTTCTGTGCCTGGCTTATTTCACTTCGCATAATGTCCTCCAAGTTCATCCATATTGTCACAAGAGAATTTCCTTTACGAAAGGCTGAATAATGTCTCATTGTGTATTCATACCACATTTTCTTCATCTGTGGATCCATTCATGGGTACTTAGGTTGATTCCACATCTTGGCTATTGTAAATAATGCCGCAATTAACATGGGAGTGCAGATATCCCTTCAACATATTGATTTCATTTCCTTTGGATATACACTCAAATATGAGATTGCTGGATCATATAGTTCTATTTTTGGTTTTTGTAAGGAACCTCCATACTGTTTTCCATAATAGCTGTACTATTACATACCCAACAACAATGTATAAGGGTTCCCTTTGCTCTGCAGACCCACCAATACTTGTTATCTTTCATCTTTTTGATAACAGCCATTCTAACATGTGTAAGGCGATATCTCATTGTGATTTTAATGTGCATTTCCCTGAGATTAGTGATACTGAGCATTTTTTCATGTACCTATTTGTATGTCTTCTTTTGAGAAATGTCTGTTCAGGTCCTTTACCCACTTTTTTTTCCCTTTGAAAAAAAATTAACTTTTAAGTTCAGGTGTACATGTGCAGGTTTGTTACATTGGTAAACTTGTGTCATGAGGGTTTGTTATACAGATTATTTTATCACCCAGGTATTAAGCCTAGGACCCATTAGTTATTTTTCATGATCCTCGTCCCTCCAAGCCTCCACCCTCTGATAGGCCCCAGTGTGTGTTGTTCCCCTCTATGTGTCCATGTGTTCTCATCATTTAGCTCCTACTTACAAATGAGAACATGCGGTATTTGGTTTTCTGTTCCTGAATTAATTTGCTAAGGATAGTGGTCTCCAGCTTCATCCACGTCCCTGCAAAGGACATGATCTCATTTTTTCATATGGATGCCTAGTATTCCATGGTATATATGTACCACATTTTCTTTATCCAGTCTGCCATTGATGGGCATTTAGGTTGATTCCATTCTTTGCTATTGCGAATAGTGCTGCAGTGAACATACACATGCACGTGTCTTTATAAAAGAATGATTTATGTTACTTTGGGTATATACCCAGTAATGGGATTCTTGGGTCAAATGGTATTTCTATCTTTAGGTCTTTGAGGAATCGTCACATTGTCTTCCACAATAATTGAACTAATTTACACTCCCACCAACAGTATATAAGCGTTCCTTTTTCTCCACAACCTTGCCAGCATCTGTTATTTTTTGACTTTTTAATCATAGCCATTCTGACTGGTGTGAGATGGTATCTCACTGTGGTTTTGATTTGCGTTTCTCTAATGATCAGTGATGTTGAGCTTTTCTTTATATGATTGTTGGCCCCACATGTATGTCTTCTTTTAAGAAGTGTCTGTTCATGTCCATGGCCGACTTTTTTATGGGTTTTGTTTTTTCATGTAAATTTGCTTAAGCACCTTAGAGGTGCTGGATATTAGACCTTTGTCAGATGCATAGTTTGCAGAAATTTTCTCCCCTTCTGTAAGTTGTCTGTTTACTCTGTTGACAGTTTATTTTGCTGTGCAGAAGCTCTTGTCTAATTAGATCCATTTGTCAATTTTTGCTTTTGTTGCAATTGATTTGGAGTCTTCATCATGAAATATTTGTCCGTGCCTATGTCCTAAATGGTATTGCCTAGGTTGTCTTCCAGGGTTTTTATAGCTTTAGGTTTTATATTTAAGCCTTTAATCAATCTTGAGTTAATTTTTGTATATAGTTTAAGAAAGGGGCCCAGTTTCAATCTTCTGCATATGGCTAGCCAGTTATCCCAGCACCATTTATTAAATAGGGAACCCTTTCCTCATTGCTTGTTTTTGTCATGGTTGTCGAAAATCAGATAGTTGTAAGTGTGCAGCCTTATTTCTGGGTTCTCTGTTCTGTTCCACTAGTCTATGTGTCTGTTTTTGTACCAAAACCATGCTGTTTTTGTTACTGTAGCCCTGTAGTATAGTTTGAAGTTGGGTAGTATGATGTCTCCAGCTTTGTTCTTTTTGCTTAGGATTGCCTTGGCTATTCAGGCATTTTTTCAATTCTATGTGAATTTTAAAATAGTTTTTTTCTAGTTCTGTGAAGAATCTTAATGGTTGTTTAATAGGAATAGCACTGAATCTGTAAATTGCTTTGGGCAACATGGCCATTTTAATGATATTGATTCTTCCTATCCATGAGCATGGAATGTTTTTCCTTTTGTTTGTGTCATCTCTGATTTCTTTGAGAAGTGTTTTGTAGTTCTCCTTGTAGTGATCTTTCACCTCCCTGGTAAGCTGTATTACTAGGTATTTTATTCTTTTTGTGGCAACTGTGAATGGGAGTATGTTCCTGATTTGGATCCTGGCTTGACTGTTGTTCAGGTACAGGAATATTTGCCCACTTTTTCATTAGGTTATTTGTTTTCTTGCTATTGAGTTGTTTGAGTTTCTTATATATTTTGGATATTAACTCTTTATCAGATGTATGGTTTGCAAATATTTTCTCCCACTCTGTGGGTTGTCTCTTCATTTTGCTAGTTGTTTCCTTTGCTGTGCAGAAGCTTTTTAGTTTAATATAGTCCCATTTGTCTATTTTTGCTTTTATTTCCTGTGCTTTCAGAATCATATATAAAAAATTATTGCTCAGATCAATGTTGTAGAGCTTTCCCCCTGTGCTTTCTTCTAGTAGCTTTACAGCTTCAGGTCTTATATTTAGTTCTTTAATTCATTGTGAGTTGATTTTCATATATGATATGAAATAAGGATCCAATTTCATTCTTCTGGATGTGGATATCCAGTTGTCCTAGCACCATTTATAGAAGAAGCTGTCCTTTCCCCATTATGTGTTCTTAGCACCTTTGTGGAAGATCAATTGACTGTAAATATGTGGACTTATTTCCAGGCTTTGTATACTGTTCTATTGGTTGATACGTGGTATTATTCCAGCTGTTTGGTTAAAATAGCCTTATAATATATTTTGAAATCAGGGAGTGTGATGTGCCCAGTTTTGTTCTTTTTACTCAAGATTGTTTTAGATATTTAGGGCCTTTTGTAGCTCCATAAGAATTTAATGACTGTCTTTTTCTGTTTTTGAAAAAAATGATATTGGAGTTTTGATAGGGGTGGCATTAAACTTGTAGATTGCTTTGGGTAATATAGACATTTAACAGTATTAATTCTTTCAGTCTATGAACACAGGATGTCTTTCCATTTATTTGTGTTTTATTCAATTTCTTTCAGTAGTGTTTTATAGTTTACAGTATACAGATCTTTTTTTTTTTTTGAGACAGAGTCTCGCTTGGTCGCCCAGGCTGGAGTGCAGTGGCACTCGACTCACTGCAAGCTCCGCCTCCCAGGTTCATGCCATTCTCCTGCCTAGGCCTCCCGAGTAGCTGGAACTACAGGCGCCCGCCACCACATCCGGCTAATTTTTTGTATTTTTAGTAGAGATGGGGTTTCACTGTGTTAGCCAGGATGGTCTCCATCTTCTGACCTCGTGATCTGCCCGCCTTGGTCTCCCAAAGTGCTGGGATTACAGGCATGAGCCACCGCACCTGGCCAGTATACAGATCTTTTACCTCCTTGCTTAAATTTTCCACCCCTAAGTATTTTTGTTGCTGTTTTTGCTATGTAAATGGGATTAATTTCCTTTTCAGTGGTTTATTATTAATGTATAGAAATGCTACTGATTTTTGTATAATGATTTAGTATTCTGCAGTTTTACTGAATTCCTTTATCAGTTCTGACAGTTTTTTAGTGGAGCTTTTAGGGTTTTCCATACATAAGATCATGTCATCAGCAAACAGAGATAAAATTTTGCTTATTCTCTTTCTATTAGAATGTCTTTTATTTCTTTCTCTTGCCTAGTTTCTCTGGCTAGGATATCCAGTACTACACTGAAAAGAAATTATGAGAGTGGGCATCCTTGTCTTATCCCTGATCTTAGAGGAAAAGCTTTCAACCTATCACTGTTGAGTTTGATGTTAGCTATACGTTTGTCACATATGGCCTTTATTTTTGTTGAGGTACATTCCCTCTGTACCTAATCCATTATGGTTTTTTTTTTATCATGAAAGGATGCTGAAATTTTTCAAATGCTTTTTCTGCATCTATTGAAATAATCACGATTTTTATTCTTCATTTTGTTAATGTGATGCGTCACACTGATTGATTTACATATGTTAAGTCATCCTCGTATCCAAAGGATAAATCCCACTTGATCATGGTGAGTGATTCTTTTAACATGTTGTTGAATTCAGTTTGCTAATATTCTGTTGAGTATTTTTGCATTTATGTTCATCAGGGATATTGGCCTGTAGTTTTTCTTTCTTGTAGTGTCCCTATTTGGCTTTGATATCAGGGCAATACTAGCCTTGTAAAATGAGAAGTATTCCATTCACTTCAATTTTGCAAAAGAGTGTGAGAAGGACTGGTATTTGTTCTTCTTTAAATGTTTGACAGAATTCAGCCATCTGGTCCTGGGCTTTTCTTTGATGGAAATTTTTTATTATTCATTCAATCTTCTCACTCATTATTGTTCTGTCAAACAATAGACTCATTATTGGTCTGTTCAGGTTCTCTATTTTTTCATGATTCAGTCTTGGTATATTGTATGTGTCTAGGAATGTATTCATTTATTCTAGGTTATGCAATTTGTTGGCATAGTAATTTCTTATAATCCTTTGTATTTCCATGGAATCTGTAATAATGCCTCTTCTTTCATTTCTGATTTTATTTGTTTGAGTGTTCTCTTTATTTCCCAGTTAGTCTAGCTAAGGGGTTTGTCAATTTTATTTATCTTTTCAAAACATGAACTCTTGGCCAGGTGCAGTGTCTCATGCCTATAATCCCAGCACTTTGGGAGGCCAAGACGTGCTGAACACCTGACGTCGGGAGTTTGAGACCAGCCTGACCAACATGGAGAAACCCTATCTCTACTAAAAATACAAAATTAGTCGGGCATGGTGGTGCATGCTTGTAATCCCAGCTACTCGGGGGGCTAAGGCAGGAGAGTCACTTGAACCTGGGTGGCGGAGGTTGCAGTGAGCCAAGATCATGCCATTGCACTCCAGCAACAAGAGCAAAACTCCATCTAAAACAAACAAACAAAAAAAAAAAAACCTTGTTTTTCTAGTCTCTATTTTATTCATTTCTGCTCTGATCTTTGTTATTTATTTCCTTCAGCTACTTTTGTGCTTAGTTTGTTCTTCTTTTTCTAATTCCTTGAGGTATAACATTAGATTATTTATTTGTGATCTTTCTTCTTTTTTGATATTGGTGTTTATTGCTATAAATTTCCCTCTTAGGACTTCTTTTGCTGTATCCCATAAGTTTTGCTGTATTGTATTTCCATTTTTATTTGTCTTTGGGTATTTTTACAATTTTCTTTCAGATTTATTACGTGACGAATTAGTTGTTTAGGATAATGTTTAATTTTCACATATTTGTGAATTTTCCAAGATTTTTCCTGTTATTTATTTCTGGTTTCATGCCTTTGGGATAAAAAAAAGTTCTTGATATGATTTCCATCTTCTTACATTTGGTAAGACTCATTTTATAGCCTAACATAAGGTCTGTCCTGGAGAATGATCCATGTTTGCTTGAGAAAAATATGTAATCTGTTGCTATTAGATGAAATGTTCTGTACAGGTCTGTTAGATTCATTTAGTCTACAGTCTAATTCAAGTCCAGTGTTTTCTTATTGATTTTCTGTCTAGATGATCTGTCCATTATTGAAAGTGGGGTATTAAGTTCCCTAGTATTATGGTATTGCATTCTGTCTCTCCCTTCAGATAATATAATAATTGCTTTATATATTTTGGTGCTCTGATATTGGGTGCACACATATTTACAATTGTTATGTCCTCTTGATGAATTGACCCCTTTATCATTATATAATGACTCTTGTTGTATCTTTTTACAGCTTTTGACTTATATAAATATAGCTTCCTCTGCTCTCTTTTGATTTCTATTTGTGTGAAATATCTTTCCCATCCCTTCACTTTCAGTCGATGTGTGTTCTTACTAGTAAAGTGAGTCTCTTTGTTGGAAGCATGTAGTTTTTTTTTTTTAATCTATTCAGTCATGCTATGTGTTTTGATTGGAGAATTTAATCCATTTACATTCAGGGTAACTACTGTTAAATAAGGACTTGCTACTACTATCTTGTAATTTGTTTTCTGGTTGTTTGTAGATTCTTTGTTTCTTCCTCACTTGCTGTTTTCCTTTGTGGTTTAATTGTTTTCTGAGATAGTATGCTTTGAATTCTTTCTTTTGATATTTTTGCAACTAATATGCATGTTTTGTTTGTAATTACCATGAGGCTTACATAAAACATCTTATAACAGGCTCTTTTAAGCTGATGACAACTTACCTTTCATTGTATGTAAGAACCCTACACTTTTATTCCCTCCCCTCCATCTTTTATAATATTGATGTCAAAATTTATGTCTTTATGTTATTTGTGCCTTAACAATTTATTTCAGCTACAGTTTTTTTTAAAATAGTTCTGTCTTTAACTCTTACAGTAGAAATTAAATTGGTCTATACTCTACCGTTACAGTATTAAGATAGTCTGGATGATTATACATTACTTATACAATTGAGTATTTTTACTTTTACCTGTTTTATTTTATTAGCAGTCTTTTATTTCAACTTAAAGAATTATCTATAGCAACTCCTATAAGGCAGGCCTAGTGGTGATTAACTCTCTTAGCTTTTGTTTATCAGGAGAGTTTTTATTTCTCCATCATTTCTGAAGGATAGCTTTTCCAGGTAAAGCATTCTTGCTTGGTAGTTTTTTTTAACTTTACCACTTTGAATATGTCATCCCACTCTGTCCTGGCTCACAAGGTTTCTGCTGAGAAATCTGCTGACAGCCATATGGGACTGTCTTCAATATTATATGCTTCTTATTTCTTTCTGTTTTCAGAATTTTTTTATGGTGTTTGATTTTTGATAGTTTGACTATGATGTGTCTTGGTGAACTCTTTTTTGGATTGAAATTTATTGGAGACTTCTGAGCTTCCTGTGCCCAGATTTTGTCATCTGTCCTTAGATTTGGGAATTTTCAGCCATTATTTTATAAAATATTCTTTTGGGGCCTTTTCTCTGTCTTTTCATTCTAGAATTTGTATTATGCAAAGCTTCGTTCTCTTCAACAAATCTCTAGGATTTCTATTTGTTTTTTGTTTGTTTTTACTGTTTTTGTTTTCGGGGGAGGGGATCAAACTTCTCATTTTGCTCATGAATGTTTTCAAAATTTCATTGCATTTCTATTTGTATTTTCTTATGGTTTCCCAAAGAATTTAGAAGATTATTCTGAATTATTTGTCAGTCATTTCATAGATCTCCATTTCTTCGAGATTCATTATTGGAGCTTTATGAGTTTCTTTTGATGGTGTAATATTTCCCTGGTTCTTCAACATCCTTGTGCCCTTGCATTGGTATCTGCACATTTGAGGACATGGCCACCTCTTCCAGCCTCCAGGTGTCTTCAATGGTGATAGACCTTCACTATTTATTCTAGCCTGGGATTGGATGCAACTCCAGGCAGGCAGACCTTGCTGTTGGGTTCTCTAGTTGGGCTGAACCACTGTCTGTGTTCTGAAGTTGAGCAGAACTACTGGATGTGCTCTACAGTCTGGTGAGACCAATGGCTGGATTCTGATAAGGCAGGGCTGCTGACTGGACTCTGCAATTGCCTCTGATCAGCCTGGGTTGCAGGCTGTCATCCCTGGCTGGATGACATCACTGTTTGTAATCTGTAGTTGGACAAGGCTGCATCATAAGTTCCAAGGTTGGGCAAGGTCTCTGGGGTTGCTATGGAAACACTCAGGATGAGCAGAGCCAGAGGCTATGCTCCACAGATATTCATGGATATACACTTGCCTTGTAGCTTCAGAGAGCCTTGAGCAGAGCACTGAGGCTTGGTGGAGTTAATACTTGGCCACTGGGGTTGAGCAGGACCAGAAGTTTCTGCTTGCAGACCCGCACTTGTCTCCCAGCTAAAGGATATTTTTTAACTGAAATCTGGTAATGTTATTTCTTAGTTTATAATCCACCCATGGGCCTCCAACATCTTCCAGATATATGCAAACTCCTTGGTGTGGCTATGGAGCCCTCCACAGTCTGATCCTCTCACCTCTTCAGCTTTGTCTTCCAATGATTTTCTATTTGTGATAGTTAATTTACAAGTCAACTTGATTGGGTCAAGGGATGCTCAGATATTTGGCTAAACATTATTTCTAGCCATATTTATGAGGGTATTTTTGGATGAAATTAGCATTAAATCAGTAGACTGAGTAAAGATTACCCTCTGCATTGCGAGTGGGCATTGGACATCACTTAATCTGTTGAGAGATTGAATAGAACAAAAGGGTGGAGTAAGGGAGAATTTACTCTCTCTTCCTGGCTGCTGAGCTGGGACACTGGTCTTCTCTTGCCCTCAGACTGGTACTTACACCACTGGTGCCCTTGGTTGTAAGCCTTCAGACTTGGACTGGAACTACACCACCAGCTTATCTAGATCTCCAATTTCCAGACGACAGATCATGGGACTTCCTAGCCTCCATAATTGCATGAGCCAATTCCTTATAATAAATCTTTAGATAGATATAGAGATAGAGATATACTAACAGTAATGTATATACATTATATATATATATAATATATATATATATGTAAAATTTCCTATTACTTTGGTTTCTCTAGAGAACGCTAATGAACACTACCTGATTTCTAGTCATGTGTAGGATACTAGGTATAGGTTGTGGAATTTGTTCTTATTCTTTTGGGCCTTGGCACATGCTTCCTATTTTCTCTTCCTTGGATGTCCTGCATGCCACTCTATGCCCCTACATTCCAAACCTTCCTAGTTTCATTTGGCTAACATCTACTTGACCTTCAAGACCTGACTCTTTCCTGTTCTCTGATACCCTTAGCACCTGGGCATCTGTTTATCAAAATATTTGTCACACTGTCTTATCATTTCTGCTCACCAGATACTTTTCTGTACTAGATTCTATGCTCTAGTATCTAGGACAGTAGCTAACACATAAGGAGTTTTCATTGTGCCTAAAGCAGGGGCCAGCAAACTATGGCCCACCTGCAAAATCTGACCCTCTGCCTGTTTGGTAAATAAAGTTTTATTGGACCACAGCCATACTCATTGACTTTTGTATTGCCTGTGGCTGCTTTTGCACTGCAGCAGCTGAGCTGGGTAGTTGAAACAGAAACCATATGGTCCACAAAGTATAAAATATTTTTTATCTGGTCTTTTCCAGAAAAAGTCTGTCAACCACTGATCCAGTGGATAAACCAGGAGTCAGTTATATTTAATATTTTATATTTGATTATCAATGGCAATGTGTGTTAGAAATCAATAGATTTGTTAAAAAGATACCTTTTTCATGGCATTAATAACAATCATCATAAATTTAAAAGTGGAAATTGGCAAAGATGTTTTAAAACAACAATTCCCTGTAAGCGTCCAGGGAAACAGTCACTCACACACTGCTGGTGTGAGTGTAAATTACTACACTATTTCTGGAGGGAAATTTGACAATATATTTCTAAAGCATTAAAGTCATGCATAAAATTTGTTCCAGAAATTCCACTTTTAGAAATTTGCCCTAAGGAATAATCAGAGATGTACACAAAGATTTATGTCCCGTGTTCATTGGAGCATTATTTACAATACTGGAGAAAATACACCAGCTAAATACCACCTAAATAGCTAGCAGAAAAAAAAATGGTTAAATAAATTGTACTCTATCCAGAGCCTGGGAAATGAATGTAGCCATTGCAAATCATGCATAGAATACTTATCAATATAGGTAAATGCTCATGAAGTATTGTTAACTGGGAAAAGCAAGTTTTAAAACTGTCAGTATGACATAATGCTATGTTATTATTAAAATATATATAATACATGCATCGAAACAAGCAAAAAAGATGAAAAGAAACATGCCAGAAGGCTAACAGGAGTATCTCTACTATGTCTGATATTTTTTGTTGTTGTTCACTTCTGAATTTTCTATAATAGAGTTTATTGCTTTGGCAATTATAATCTTTTAGAAAGAAAAATGGGCAGTTTCCCCATTCCCTATGACTTGGATGGGTTTTCACACTTTACGTTACAGAATTTCGAGAAAAGAAAGCAAAACTAAAAATGCTGTGGTTGAACCGAGGTCAGGAGCTCAGAAATGCCTTTTTTCCCCCAATCACTCCCACTCTCAGGGAATCAACCAAGAAAAGGGAAAACATCCCCTTAGGTTGTCAATATTAGGGTAATTTATTGCCTGACGCTAATATAATGAAGTTTAAACAAAAATCAGTGTCAAAAAAAAGGTTGAAATGTATAAACTTTTGGGGATACAAGGAGTAAAATGAATTGTCCACATAATTTCAAGTAACCAGATTTATTGATTTTTTTCTCCCCTATTTTCAGCTGGATATTCAATATCATGTAGACATGATCATTAATAACAGCCTCACCCATAGGTGACCCTTTGAGGGACAGGGAAAAATTAGAACCTAATATGCCAAACAACTGCAATGAATGGTGTGTGTGTGTGTGTGTGTGTGTGTGTGTTTGTGTGTGTGTTGGCAGGGTTCAGTGGGAGGAATGGGGAAGTAATATGGATACAGTTGAAATTTTTTAATTAATAAATTTGTGGACTCGAGTTTTATGTCTGTGGGTGATTTGCATAGCTTTTATAAAAAGACATTGGTGGGATAATTTGTCACTATTTTCCAGGACCCTCAAGTATTTCCTGATTTGCCCTAAGTTAACTCTCCGCTGCTCTAGCCAGGCTCCTCACATTGTCTCCTATGCCTTGTTTCTTGCTATACCCTCCCTACTTCTCCACTTCTTTACTTTAAAAAAAAATTGCTTGTGGCTGTGACCTGCTCATGGTCAAGGGCAGGAGTTCACCTGAAAACTTGTTAACAGAGGATTTTAAGGGCAGTGAAACTCTATCGTATGATACTATGCTGGTGTATACACATACATTTATCCAAGCCCATAGAATGTACAACATTAAGAATGAATTCTAATGTAAACTATGGACTTCAGATGATAACGATATGTCAATGTAGGTTCATCAGTTGTAACAAAGGTGCAAATGGGGGATGTTGATAATGGAAGAGGCTACGTATGTGTTTGGGCAGGCAGTCTCCATACCTTCTTATCAATTGTTGTGGACTGAAAACTGCTCTAAAAAAAAATAAAGATGATTTTTAAAAAAGAAAAAAAAGCAGATCCCTAAACCCCACTCCACAAATAACAAATCAGCATCTCTGAGGCCAAACCCAAGCATCTTTATCACCACCCAGCTCCCCAGGTGATTCCCCTGCATATTAAAGTTTGAGAACCCCTAACTCAATGAGTGTTAACATTTCCAGGTAGATCCATTTTTGATGAGGCTTTGGAGAGATAAAATAACTCAACTTAAAAACATAAACGTAAAGGCTAAAATTTCAAGGACTGGTGAGGAATATGTTTTTTAGGGAGGGGGTTGGTATCTTTTAGCTTATCCTCCTACCTGTCCCCTAAAAGTCACATCTCCTCTGCCTTAAGATGATCTGCAGAAGTGATCATTCTCTTATTATGATCATTTATGGGGGAGAATAATATTGGTCCAAGGGGGAATTAAATATTAAAGCCATAATAATTGTTAATGTCTTTAAGAATTTTGCACCCTTGAAGTACTTGAACATTTCCATTTTTTCTTGTTTTTAGTTCTAAAATATCATTTCTAAGTCTCACAGGGATTTTTTAAACTATCCCACTTCTTTATATTTCTGAACTTATTTTTTAATCAACACTTTTCAAAAAATCTTTTGATTGAAATACTGCCTTGGCTGTGACTGCTGATTGGAGTTTTATTTTTAAAACTTAATTCAAATGAATGTGTTACTAGCTGGAATAGGGTATGACATTCAGTTTAAAGAAACTATCCTTGTTTCTTTAGTCTGATATGTGGTGATGGGCAAAAATGGTTCTCTTCTGAGGGAAAAACGCCTCTCATTTTCCTTTCATATGCATGCATATCCACATCAATTTCAAGTGCAGTAATTATGACTGAAATATCTCTTCAGCCTCAGTCTACATTTCTGAGGGGGAAAAAGTTGAACATATAATGCGGTATTATTTTAAATTGCCAGCAGAATCTATTAAATATTCAACTGCTGCACAATAACCTTTATCTAGCCACCATCTTACTTATTCTCAAAGGTTTCAAAGGTGATCTATCGCTCTTCATGAATATAATGGTTGACAAGGTACAGACTGCTGAGTTTGATCTTAATAGAAGTTGAAAGATATTCATCAGACTTGAGCCTCTCTAAGGTTCCACAGTAGATAACAGAATTGTGAAATGCTACGTTTGAAAGAACAAAGATTGACAAGCTCATAGCTATTCCCATTTTCTTGGTTCAGAGGACATTTTGGTATTGCTCTGATGGAAACATCCCTGCAAATGAGGGTCTTGTAAAAGCTCTGCCTAATAAACTGTAATGCTTTCAGACCGCCAGGTCAGATCGAAGCACTACAGTTTCTGTTGCCATATAAATGTGATGAGTTGTGATGGGAATTATAAATTCATCCTTGCTGAAGATACTAAATAAAAGGGTTCTGCGTGTGTGTGTTTGCATGTGTGTGTGTGTGTGTGTGTGTGTGTTGGGGGGGTGATCATTAGAAGGATGATATTAAAAAGGAAAGAAGGGACCCAAACATTATTTAAATCAAATTTTATAACAAATAGGAACTTTAAAACATTATAGACCTCTATGTGTCAAATATTTGAAGAAAGTGTGTGTGTGTGTGTGTGTGTGTGTGTGTGTGTGTTTGTGTGTGTGTGAATTCTTTAAAAAATTAACAAACACCCTCTGGTCTTCCATTAGGAACAAGAAAGACAATTTTCTGATTGGTTTGTCCCTAGATATGTATATACTGTGGGCGTTTTTTTTTTCTTTCAAGCCCTTTACATAGAGCCATCAACTCTTGGAAAATTCTGGTGAAGTGGGAGCAGTTAGTCCTCTAATGTGTATACTCAATCCAAAATAAAATTAAATTGGGAGTTTCTATGCCTTTCTAAAATTGAGCAAAGTCAGGAGGTGAGGAGGAGGTGAGGTGGGGGTGGTAATGGGGGGGGGAGTTTAGAACTCTGACTCTTCTTTGAATGCATTACAGTCTAATGTGTGCCTGCCAGCAACAGCCCCGGAGCTTGAAGGAATAACATAAATAACTCTCGAATACAAACTCAAAGTGAACTTGACAGACGGGATGCTGGGCCAAGACCAACAAGATTAAATTTCATAGGATATAAAATCCTACATTTGGTTTCAAAAAAATCAATTAAGTAACTATAGACTGCAAGAGAGTTGACTAGGCTGCAGCTCAATGGAAGAATATCTGGGACTTACACTTGACCACACTTTAACATAAACTAATATTAATGTTGAGATGGCAACAACTTACAATTTTATAGTAGTCTACAGTTGGCAAAGCACTTTTGTATACATGATCTCATTTGATATTCCCAAAGATATTATGGGATAAATATTTTAATACCCAAGCACAAAGATTCAGAAAACTAAACTTAGGGAAGATAAAGAGCCTGATCCTGAATAACACATCTAAAAACCCTGCCTAGAAGGCAGGATAGGCCACTAAAATGTATTGAGCACCTAATATGTGCTGAGTCCTTTATAGATGCTATCTCATTTAAAACTCAAAACAATGCTGTAATGTGGTAATTGTTGGTTCCAATTTATAGATGAAAAAAAATCAAGGCACATAACTTCCTTAACCTCACAGTAATAATAAGAGGTTGAAATGGACTGAATGATGTCCACCAAAGAGATCAGGTTCTAATCCTAGAACCTGTGAATATTTTCTTATTTAGAAAAAGATTATCAGAAGATGTGATCAAGGCCAGGCATGGTGGCTCATGCCTGTAATCCAAGAACTATGAGAGGCCGAGGCAGGTGGATCACTGAGGTCAGGAGTTTGAGACCAGCCTGGCTAACGTGGTGAAACCCCATCTCTACTAAAAATACAAAAATTAGTCGGGTATAGTGGCACACACTTGTAGTCCCAGCTACTCGGGAGGCTGAGGCAGGAGAATTGCTTGAACCCAGGAGCCAGAGGTTGCAGTGGGCTAAGATTGTGCCACTGCACTCCAGCCTGGGCAACAAAGCGTGACTCTGTCAAAAAAAAAAAAAAAAAAGAAGAAGATGTGGTCAAGTTAGGAATCTGGAGATTAGGAGATAATCCTAGTTTATCAGGGTGGGCCCTCAATGTGGAACAATCACAATTGTCCATGTATGTAAGAGAAAGGCAGAGGGAAACTGGACACCACACATGCAGAGGAGAAGGTAACATGAAGGCAGAACAGTGAGAGACACAGTCACAGCCAAGGAATGCCAACAGCCCTCAGAAGATGGAAGAGGCAAGGAAGGTACTCTATCCCCTCCCAAAGCCTCTGAGAGAGGAGAGCCCTGCCGATACCTTAATTTCCAACTTCTGACCTCCAAAACTGTGAGAGAACAAATTTCTGTTGTTTGAAGCCACCCACTTTGTGGTTATTTGTTACACAGCCCAAGGAAACTAATTCAGAGGTAGAGGCCAAGTTAAAACTCACGTTTGCTAAATCTAAAATTCATGTTCTTTGTATTCTGTAGATGCCAGGGAAAGAAGATTGTGAGGAGGGGGAGAAGGCTGAGGAAAAGGGAAGAGGCTAAAAACTCTCTCCAAGGAGGATATCCAGGGCAGAAATATGGAAAATAGGAGTGCTTTACACCTCTTTCTAGCAATCAGTCCCCCACATTTACAACTAAAAGAAGGAGAAACAGGACCCAGAAGATGAGCCTCAAAGACAAAAGGAAAATCTCAAATTAAATATGAGTTCAATAAATACATGTAATTTTACAACCATAGGAGAAGAGCAAATGAACAATAACTAAGAGAAGAAATCCAACAACAAACAAGTGAAAACTCACAGTCAAGGGTAAACTAGCATACTCGTGGTCTCAAACGAGACCTAAGGAGAAATGGTAACTGTAAAAGAATGAGGGGGTGTACCAAAAGGTGCCAGGAATGCTGGGACCACTATAGAGGAATGAAAACATCACCTATAAGAAGAAACACTGCAGAAAAATAAAGAACTAATAATGCATTCACGGTATCAGCACAGACACTCCTAATAAGAACAAAATTACACAGACAGATGTCAACACAAGAAAAGATGACGGACTTAAAGAATTATTTTCATGTAGAAAGAGATTCAAGCCAAGACAAATCATTCAACTTGTTCTGTTTACTTCCAGAGGTCTCAACCAGACTAACAGGAGAGAAGTTACAATAAAGCCACTTTGGCTCAATAAAAGGAAAAAATTTTAAATAACCAGAACTTTCAACAATGAAGTGAGTCTTCTTGTGTGATGGTGATCTCATTATAAGAAATATGACAGCAGAGGCTGGGAGACCATCTGTCAGGGGTGCTATGGACAAGATTTCAGCATCTCCACATCTTGAGGTCTCTTCCAACTCTAGGAATCTATGGCTTGAAAAAACATACATAAATTATAAAAATAATTCATAAAAATGATTAGAGGACAACTGACTTTGATGATGTTTAACATTTCTCTAAAGAGAATTAAATATAACTTAAATCTAAATGTTTACTTTACCTTATAAAACACAATGGTGGCTAATCAAAGTTCTCCAATAGACACATAGTTAACATATTTCAATGAAATTTAACCTGCAGATAGAGATTAAACAGCTATTCAACTACACTAATGGAATCTACATTTTGCAGAAGCATTAGAAGTCAAAGTACAAGTCTTTCTTGGCTAGCAGCACCTGAGAATACAGTGAGGAGGTGGAATCAGGTGGGGATTTGGAGAAAGAGGTTGGAATTAAAAGCCAGAGGCACCACTTCCTAGCTTTGGCTCATGGCAAGGCATTAAGCCCCACTGAACTTCAATAACTTTGATGTTAAATAGAGATGATAATAATAGACATCCTAACTCACCAGTGGTTCTAAGAATCTTATGAGAAAGTGAGTATGAAAGTGCTTTGCAGGACATAAACAGACACTTTTCAAAAGAAGACATACATGCAGCGCCAACAATCATATGGAAAAAGCTCAACAACACCAATCATTGGAGAAATGCAAATCAAAACCACAGTGAGATACCATCTCACACCAGTCAGAATGGCTATGATTAAAAAGCCAAAAAATAACAGATACTGGCGAGGTTGAAGAGAAAAAGGAGCACTTATACACTGTTGGTGGGAGTGTAAATTAGTTCAACCATTGTGGAAGACAGTGTGGTGATTCCTCAAAGACCTAAAGATACAAATACCATTGGATGCAGCAATCCCATTACTGGGTATATACCCAAAGGAACATAAATCATTCTACCATAAAGACACATGCACGTATGTATTAATTGCAGCACTATTCACAATAGCAATGATATGCATGGAATCAACTTAAATGCCCATCAAGGATAGACCGGATAAAGAAAATGTGGTACATATATACCATGGAATACTATGCAGCCATAAAAAAGAACAAGACCATGTCCTTTGTAGGGACATGGATGGAGCTGGAGGCCATTATCCTTAGCAAACTAATGCAGGAACAGAAAAACAAATATCGCATGTTCTCACTTATAAGTGAGAACTAAATGACGAGAACACAGGGACACATAGAAGGGAAAAACCCACACTGGGGCCTATCAGAGGATGGAGGGTAAGAAGAGTGAGAGGATCAGGAAAAATAACTAATGGGTACTAGGCTTAATACCTGGGTGATGAAATAATCTGTACAACAAAACCACATGACACAAGTTTACCTATGTAATAAACCTGTACATCTACCCCTCAACTTAAAATAAAAGTTAAAAAAAAAAGAAAGTGCTTTGTAAATAGTGATATGTACTCATGATTACTATAGGGTCTTCAAAGCCCCATTATCCTATGATACTCTTATAACCCTTATAATGGCCTTAGGTTGGGATGGCCCCAGTGCAGACCCTAAGACAGGCATTTGGATGCGAATGGTTTTTTTGGATGGTAATCCCAGGCAGCACAATTAGAAGAGCTGGAAAGCGAGACAGGGAAGGAAAGAAGTCAATACAGCGTATGTGTTACCAAACAAACTACTACTGCAGATGACTGAGGTGCAATCCTACTAAGGACTGCTGGGAGTGAGGCTACATAGAAGAAGGGGCACAGTGAGAGAGCTGAGGTCCTGTGCCACCAATTCCCATTAGTGTTTCCTCGAGGTCTACTCCTGAGACACTAGCAGCCCAGGCTTCTAACCTCCCCAGCTCAGGCTGAGCATGCTCCAGCAGTCAGAGAAACTCCTCAGGCAAAAAGTCACAGCTGCCTACAGTAGAAGGCACTGAGTCTTTGAGCTCCCAATATAAGGAGCCCAGGGGAATGTGCACAAGGCATCAACAGCATCCACTCCATACTCTTTTCTTCATTTTGAGAAAACTAAGGCACAAATACTTTCTAAGACTTGGCTATAAGTACATGATTGCAAATTAGAAAGATACAACCCAACCTAGTGAGCTAACTGGGACTGTCAGATTTCACCTTTCCAATTCATCAGAAGTTAGTGGTTTTCTTAAAGGCCATGTTCATAGGAGTTGACAGTATGACAACATTTTGGCATTTTTTAGATCAAAGGAGCATCATATTGATAAATATGGAGATAGGAGAAGTGTAAAAAAGACTATTAAAATCAACACTGAATGGTAAAGAATAATGCAAATATTTATAAGAAAAGTAAGAAGGCATCAATGTTCAGATTCAAGATGCTCATCAAGCAAAATTTCCTAAGCCTGTCTTTCTCCACCACTACCCGGATTCCTATCTCACTGTCTTTGGAAATCCATAGAGGTGATTTCACCCATGCCAGGTTCCACTCTTCCTTTTCCAGGCACGTCTTACATCACGTTGTCCTGCAGAACATAGTTTTCTCTCTTTTCAGGGCCAGCCCTGACCTGCCAGAGACAGCATGCTAATCCTCACTTATCTTGGTTGTAAAGTCTAATCTGTTACAGCACTGGCCTGTCAGTCAGACTTCTTAGCAGTACATGGAGTGAGATTCAGTTCAGCAATCTACAGTGAGGTATGGGACCTGGGGATTCCTTCCTTCTGAACGTTTTATGCCATTGACTTCCAGTGTGGCCTTTGAGCAAGTCATTTAACCTCCTTGGCTCAGTTAACCATATGGAAAATGAACATGATAATATCTCACAAGGGTATTGTGAGATTACTCAATGTTTATAAAGTGCTTGGGAAATGAAAGGCCCTGAATGGGCCTAGCAATGTCATTAATCATGTGGCCAGTTGAATTCAAGTAGGTGGAATGTTATAGAACTCTTTACTTTCTGGATAATTTCATTGCAATACCTCACAAATCATGAGGCTTAACTCTATGAAAATTTAGACAATGAATTTCATGCCGTAGTGGAGGACTTAGAATTTTTCTAAACACTTGCTTTTGAATTGCCTTTTCATAGACGTTGTTTCTTCCTCTCTCAAGAGCAGAAAATTGCTGAAACACTCATTGCTTTATTTCAGGAGCTCTACTTCTTTCTCAAGCACAGTGGGCCTTTCCTTGTCTTCATTTCTCTATCACTTTGTTTGTTTACTCATTCCACAAATGATCATTAAGCCCTAGCTACATTCCAGGTACCCTGCTAAAGGCTGGAAAAACACAACTAAGACATGTTTTCCACTTTGGAGGAGCTCCCAGTCCGGAAGGAGAGAAAGACATACAAACAAATAATCATGAAGGAATATGAACTCCAAAAAGCTATGGAAATTCAAACAAGTTTTTATACTACCTGTCAGGTAGTCAATGAACTGAAATTCCCCTCCAGGAATGATTTCCTCCTCAAAACTCACACTTGAATTACATGAGATTGCACTAGCTATCCTGGTTCTATTACTATCATTGTTCTCCCTTATCGGTTTGTTTTTTCTCTTTAATAAGCGTAGGTATTATCTAAGGTTTTATACTTGGTTTCTCCTCTGTCTGTCTTCCTTTTCTCAGTATAACATCTATTCCCTGATGTCAGTTATTGTCAGTATGAAGCTCTAACTCTGACCTGTCTCCTAAGTTTCCAATTTACTTGAAGATCCTTAAACTGGACATCACCCACACCAAATTTACAACATTCCTAACACTCTGACTTCCTCTGCTTGATTTCTTGAATTCTCTGAATGGTTCCATGACTTCCCTTATCCATGCTTTAAACCCAAGCATCACATGAGACTCTTAATTCTTACTCATCCTCACATCAAAATGAGCACATGTCCTCTCTGTTTTGCAAAGGGTAGAAGATGAAGTGAGCCTCAGAAAATTCAAGATCTCTCAGATACTATCTTCCACTGCTAGTACCTCCCATCTACAATCTTGCAATCTCCTCTCTCCTATCCCTACTGTGAAGTTCTCCTTTTCCCGGGCAATCCCTATAGGCTAGCAATCCAAAATTTCTTTAGCATTCTTCTATTTATATCACTCTTCTGCTCAAAAGTATTGATTGCTCCCCAATGCCTGCTAACTTAAGTCAAATTTCCTCATTCTGGGACTAAGTACCTTTTGCAAAATAGCCACAAACTTGTTTTTCAGCCTCTTCTCCAACTACTTGCCCATGCTAGGCATAAGATGGAGCCTGGCGGATGGTTGATGGTTTCCAAGTGGATATCCTCTTAGTCACCCCTAGATCTTTACACATACTGTCCCTCCTGCCTGGAATATCCTTCTTGCCCATCTCTGCCTAGCCCATCAAGGTCAATCGCAAACATTGCCACTTCCACACAACACCTCTTCCTAATCCCCAGTTACATTCGGCTGATTCTCCCTTCAAACCTCCAGAACTCTTTTTTGTTCACCTCTAATGGCACGAATTTTGCCCTTTTTCTACTCTGTTTGCCTTATCCCCTTCCAGATTGAAAGCTCCTTGAGGAAACAGAATGTATCTTATTCCATCTTCATTATTACCCCCAGCACTTAGAACAACACTTGTTGAATCAAACGAAATTAATCCTAGAAACACCAGACTTCTTGCTGTTGTTTCAACTACTCTTCATTTACATAAATGGGCATTGTTCTCCAAAATATTTTTAATACAAGAGCTGACCTCATTATTGCAAGGAAAAGAAAAGCAACAAAAATCTCTGCAGTGCCTGCCTTAATAATATTAACATTTACTCCCTATTTCAATTAAACCATGAAACAATTTTTTGTGTCCCTGAGTCTGTGCTGTTTGTTTAGTGCTGGAATACAGAAATCAATAAGACCTAGTCCATCACCTCAAAGAACTCAGAGTCAAATGGGAAAGACAAACTAATAAACAAATGCATTGCAATACCAGGTAATATGTACAAGACTAAACATATGGGCAAAGCATGGAGGATGGAGGCAATACTTTAATCAAGGGGATCATGAGTGTTAGAGAAAACACACGTAGATGGAGCCAGAGTTGTCCCAGAAAGTAAAGAGGGGGAGACAGAATTTCATGCATTTGCATCTGCAAAGGCCCAGGGGCATGAAATAATACAGTGTCGTAGCAGGACTGTGGCCAGTTAATTCCTGCTGCCACATAAAATACATATGGCAGTGTCTCATGGGAAGAAGATAAAGAAGTAGTTGGTAGCCACACTGCAAATAGCCCTTCATACCTTACTAAGGAGTCTCTATTTTTCCTATAGATGATAGGGAGCTGGTAAAGAGTTTTAGGAAAGGCTAAGATTCTGACACTTAAATTGGATTTTCTTAAAATTGACTCAATTCTGATTTTTTAAAAATACTAGCACTGGCTAGAAAAAGGAGGTCAAGCCAAGATCTGGAGAAAAGGACTGCATTTTCTGAGGAATATGTATGCTTAAATTTATTTTCGAATTTGTATGTTGAGGGCCCATTTCCCGGTAAACCTACCTTCTACAAGAGCTGCGGCAGCAACAGTATGGAGAGCTGATATGCACGAGGTAGTTATTCCAAACATTTTTATACATTATCTCATTTAATACACCCAACAGTCATAGGAGGTTCACGGCTCAGAGGGAGAAACTGAAACGCAGAGGAGTCCAGCAGCCGTCCAGGATTCCCCACCTAGTGAGAGGGAGATCGGGGAGGAGGGGGCCCCCTAGGTAGCCTGCGTGTCACAGCTCCATGCAGTGCTGCGAAAACTGCGGAACATATCTGCGCCTTGTTTGTTTTCCTCTTCTTTTTAATGTGAGAACAATTATGTTTACTACGTACTTCAGAAACCGGCCCTGCAGCCCAGTGTTGATAAAGAAGGGCTCTGAGACAGGCGCTGCTAGCACCGCAAAAGCCTTCCGGCTGGGAGGGGCTCCTTGCTACTCAGCAGAGAGCCTCGCGCTGTGGAAAAGAACGCGATTGTTATTCAAAACAAAAATATTCTTACCAGCACTGAAAACTACATTTACAAGTTAAGCACACGTTTTCTAAAAGTAGAGAAGATTCCAGGAGGGAGGGAGCATCTCTCGCAGCCTGGAGGGAGGAGACATCTAATTGCCTATTCATGAGGGAGCCGGTCTCTCAGGGACTGTAACATTTCCAAACAGGCTGTGCAGAGAATGGCAGCGACTGTGAAAACAGCAGGTCGCTGAATTCAAAACCTTGATGTAAACATATACATCACAAATCTCAATGCTCGCTTTTCATCAACTGCAGAATCTGTAATGTTAGCACTGTGGATCTTATATTGTGAGCTTTTGTGTATGGGTGCAGGTACACTTACAGGCGTGGAATTCACGTATGTACAGTCCAAGATATTAATGTAATAAGAAAGGTTCCAAAAACCACGTCTGAAAATCTGCTACATTACTTTGGAGTCACAAGTCACACACATGTGTGCATGTTCATGCATGCATGTGCACACCTACACACACACACACACACAGATAATACACATCTCTGGCTTTCTCTATTTGGGGGTGTGGAGGTGTAGAGTAAATCTCCCCTCTCTTCCTTGTATTTTCCCTCAAATTGCCCAAATTTTTGTACCTTTGAAAAAGCTGTGGGTCTCTCTCTGTGTTATCTTTGTACCTTTACAAAGGAAAGAATATGTCAGAAATTAATTGAACCAAACCTGCTGCAGAAAATGGACCAGTGCCTTGCACGACAAGACTCTTGCCTCCTTCTCAAATTTGAAATTTTGACTGCCTAAAGTTGTTGTGTAATGGAACAAGAATTCTAGTGAGACTAAAATATCTGCATAGCCACTTCAGTTTCATCCTGTTCTGTCTGAATGTAGAAAAAGCTAGCACTCCTCTATGTGAAGCTTCCCCAAACCCACTGCCTTCCATTCCAGGCTCGTTATGATGAGGGTCAAAGTGAGCTCAAGAAAGGTGCCATGTGTGAAATGGTAAAATGCTCTAAGGTACAGCTCCTCATTCCTGAATATGGTTTTGCAGGGCAAGGACAGGCATAGGGACTGCCAAGTTTTGATGCTGGGTAGGTTTCTAGGACCCTTATGCAGGGGGCATGGAAATGAGGTTCTAGGGAGAGCCCAAGCGCTAACTGGAAAGCTTTGAGGTTATAAGAAGTGAGAATGATGAAAATGATACCCTCTAGATTTGGAGATGACAAATGAAGGTAGGATGGTGCCTTGGGCACAGACATAAGGAGCTTGAGACCATGCCATGCTTCAAAAGTGAGAAATGGCTAAATTCCATTAAGGATCATGGAACTACACCATGATTGCTAAAAGAAAAAAAATACTCAACTGGCTACGTATTTTAAGAAACCAAAAGTTGCTGCATGGGACTAGCCTAAAAAGAGAAGTCAGGAGGTGAAGAGGGAGAAGGCAATGATCAGTTCAGTAAATAGTGGAGTGTCAGAAGAAAAGCATCCTTTGGAGACCTGAAAGCAGGGTCAGCTTTTCAAGGATGATCTAAGCTGATACTGGAAAAAGTTAGTTTGAATGCCATTAAACATAATCCAGTGGCTAGGATGTAAGTGGGCTCCTGATGTGAAGAAGAAAGAAGTCAAAGTTAGTCTATGAAAGTAAGCGGCTTAAGGGGCCCCAACTAAGAGCAAAAGATGCCCTTGATCAATAGCTAACATATGTGCCTCCAAATCAGCTCAGTGTCTCCATCATGTTTTCAAGGTATTAGCCACCACTGACAAGCCAGGTATCAGTGTGGACACTTCACACACACCGGCATGAATACCAAAAGGTTTGTCTACACTTGAATTTGATGCGGTAAATTCCAGTTGATCTAGTGACTGCCTGTGCAATGGGGCTCAGAAACCTCAGGGGGCATGGGAAGAGATTGTGTGAGGCAGTCAGCCCACTTGGACTCAGAGCCAAACCCTCTCCACACTCAATGTCTGCGTTCAAAGCCAACCATAGCAAGCAGGAGGGCAAAGATCTGTTGTGTACCTCAGTACTAAAATGGCTTGCCTAATCCTCAAGGGACATGCCAGTGTGATAGTGTATGGATTTCTCACCACCCAGAATCAATTCTTGGTCATTTACTAAGGACTGGGAAATATATAGCTCAGACAAATTAAATCCAGAGTTAATCTCAAACCTCTGATAAGCCAGCAGTTACAAATACTTACTGACAAAATCCTTCACCAGAACTGTTTTGACGAAGGCAAGTTTCCTCTGATCCCCTCTTTATTTCATTCCCTCTAAGAAGATTTACTAATGAACTGAGCAAAACCTTAGCAAAGGGTAGAAGATGAAGTGAGCCTCTAAAAATTCAAGTGCTGGGCCTCACTGGAAATAAAACTCTGTTACAACTTCCCTCCAGAACTTGAAAATTAATTATGGTCATTTTTAAGGAGGGTCAATGTATTAGTTCGTTTTCACACTGCTATAAAATAAAGAACTGCTATAAATAAAGAACTACCTGAGACTGGGTAATTTATAAAGAAAAGAGGTTTAATTGGCTCACAGTTCCACATGGCTGGGGAGACCACAAGTAACGTACAATCATGGCAGAAGGCAAAGGGGAAGCAAGGCATGTCTTACATGGCAGCAGCAGAGAGAGAGAGAGAGAGAGAGAGAGCAAGACTGAATGGGGAAGTGCCACTTTTAAACCATCGGGTCTCATGAAAACTCACTCACTATAACAAGAACAGCATGGGGGAAACCACCTCCATATCCAAGCCCCTCCCACCAGGTCCCTCCATTGACATGTGGGGATTACATTTCAAGATGATATTTGGGTGGGACACAGAGCCAAACTATATCAGTCAGTTAGTTAAGAACAGAGTTAATCAATAAGAAGGTACTGTGGCCAGGCGCGGTGGCTCACACCTGTAAGTAATCCCAGCACTTTGGGAGGCCAAGGCGAGTGGATCACCTGAGCTCAGGTGTTCAAGACCAGCCTGGCCAACATGGTGAAACCCATCTCTACTAAAAATACAAAAATTAACCAGGTGTGGTGACAGGTGCCAGTAATCCCAGCTACTTAGGAGGCTGAGGCAGGAAAATCACTTGAACCCAGGAGGTGGAGGTTGCAGCTAGCCAAGATTGCACTATTGCACTCCAGCCTGGGTGACAAGAGCGAAACTCCATCTCAAAACAAACAAACAAACAAAAAAGATTGCACTGAGCCCCAGAGGGTGCCAGACACTTCTGAAACAGGGCAGGTGTTGCATCCAGGACCTTTCTCGCACCTGAGTCAAGTCAACAGGTGTACAAGATGATTTTCCAATGCTCAGCCATAGCCCATCTCAGTAAAACAGTAGACACAGCAAAGTGAGTCTTTGGCCTCCCCCCTCAACTCCTCCTACATTCTTGCTCTTGACTGAATGTCAACAAATCTTTCCAATGTTTCTTCTTAACTAAGGTAATTAGAATTCAAGGTGTGATCCCTCCTGGGAAGGGGGAAAATGTGAAATCAAAAAAGGTATCAGGACCAAAATAAAGGCTAAAACAGTGGGCTGACAAGCAATGGAGTTGATGTTTTGAAGTAGAGGTCCTCAATTTTACCAGGTAGACAAGGTTGACATGACCCCAGCAGCTAGGATGGAAGAGAGAGAACTCTGCAAGAATAGGCATGTTGTAAGAAGCTCACTCATCACTCCCCTCCACATCATGGGTTTTTTGGAGGGGAGCTTAGCAGGTAGTAGGCTGGCAGTGTCCTCAACCCACTCAGCACAGTGGGAAAGGTGTCTCCCATCCCCTGGTGAGATCTTTGTGAGATCATTCCTAACACTTAGTCTCAAAGCATATACATATTAAAGTCAATGTTAAAATCATTTCAGATTGATTAAGGGCACACTCAATTGACAATGCTCTCTGTAAAACTTTGTGCCACTGGGTGTCAGAACATATTTCCTGCTTATTTCAAAACCAAACCCCAGGTGTAGCTGCCATGACTTCCACTGAATTCCAATTATTTCATTTTGAAAGATGCCACCCATGAACAGTACATTGGGAACCTCACTTTGAAGTTAAGACTTTTCTAAACCATGCTGGTTTAAAATCCCAGGGAATTCCTTTTTGCAGCAAAGCTCCTAGGGTGTTTTTACACAAGGAAATGAAAAACTAAAATTATAGTATAAGGTATTCAACTGATTTCCCTAGGGGATTTTGGCTGGGAAGAAATACACTACCGTGAAAATTTTATCTATCACAGGCTCGTAAGATTCATCTCTTTCACTCCTAAACCCACGTAGGCTGTTCAAAAACCTCAGATTTGGGGCATTTTTGCTTGCTATTTATTACTCAGAAATAATATATTTTATTAAATTATCTATGTTTTAACTTATTTGTTTTAGATGTGCTCATAAGCTTTTTTGCTTTGGTATGAGTTTTAATTCATTTTTTTATAAATAATCATGTCCATGGTACAAAATTCAAAAAGCACAAAATGAGACATAGGAAAAAGTAAGTCTCATTACATCTCTGTGCCCCAGCAGCAGAGGCAAAAACTGCCACTATGTTTTAGTGTAACTTCTAGATATATTCCAAGCATTTCCAAATATAGACATATATGTAAAAGTGGAATTTTTTTTTTTTTTTTGAGATGGAGTCTCGCTGTCACCCAGGCTGGAGTGCAGTGGCACGATCTCAGCTCACTGCAAGCTCCATCTCCCGGGTTCACGCCATTCTCCCGCCTCAGCCTCCTGAGTAGCTGGGACTACAGGCGCCCGCCACCACGCCGGGCTAATTTTTTGTATTTTTAGTAGAGACGGGGTTTCACCGTGTTAGCCAGGATGGTCTCGATCTCCTGACCTCATGATCCGCCCGCCTCGGCCTCCCAAAGTGCTGGGATTACAGGCTTGAGCCACTGCGCCCGGCCAAAAGTGGATTTTTTTTTAACATAAATGATAGTATATTATACAAGGTGCTCCAAATCTTGCCTTTTTCACTTAGTGATATACTTTAGAGCACACCCCATATCAATATATTATTTTTAACTGCTGCAGAACACTCCATTGTATTACTATACCAAATTTCATTCAATTAGTCCTTTCAGGATAAAAATTTAGGTTGTTTCCAATCTTGTGATATTACAAACAATACTGCAATAATAAGTCCTTTAACAGAAGGTGAGCATATCTGTAAATGAGCATATCTAAATATAGAAGTATAACTGCTGGGTCAAATGGTATGTTTGTTTTTTAATTTTAATAAATATCATAAATTGCCTTTCATAGAGGTTACTACAACAATGAGTGCCTGTTATTGCGTATTTTCAAAGTGTATTATCAATTTTTTAAAAAGTTTTGCCAGTGTGGTAAGTGAAAAATATGTCATTGTAGTTTTATTTTGACTTCTTTTTGTTTAAATGAGGTTGAGCTCCTTTTCATATGTTGTAGAGCCATTTGTATTTACTTTTCTGTGAACTGTCTTCATATCCTTTACCTAGTGTTCTAATGGATGTAGAATCTTTCTCTTACTGATTTATTAGCTCTTTACATGTTAAGAAAATCAAGCTTTTGCTGAGATAGGCTTTCAAAATGTTTTACCAGCTTTTCATCTGCCTTTTTATTTCTGTAAACCAACTTATGTTGTTTTTTGCCACACATAAATGTTTGATGTTTTTCAACAGGATTTTAGAAGTATCTTAAATGCTTGAAAAATTACTTACCAAATAATTTTTAAATATCATAGGCTTGATATCTATCTTCTTAGACCAAGACTAAAAGTTCTACATTACACCTGTATTCATTTTCTGTATTGCTTAACAAATTACCATAAACTTAGCAGCTTTAAACAATTCCCATTTATTATCTCAAATTTTGTTTTCATCAGGAGTCTGAACATGTCTTACCTGGGTCCTCTGCATAGGGTCTCACAAGCTGCAACTAAGATGTTGGCCAGGGCTGGGGTCTCAGCTAGGGCCTCAACTAGAAAAGGATTTACCTGCAAGCTCATCAGATGTTTGGAGAAGTCACTTCCTTAGGGGTGTAAGATTCATGGCAGCTCCATCTTCAAAGGCAGCAATGGAAAGGGAGACTCTAGAGCGAGCATGCTGGCAAAATGGAGTCGTATATAATGTAACATAATCATAGGAGTGACATCCTATTACCTTTGCCATTTTCCTTGGTAGAAGCAAGTCACAGTCCCACCCCCACTCAAGGGGGGGTGGATTATATGAGGACATGAATACCAGAAGTCAAAAATCACCAGAGTCACCTTAAGATCTGGCTGTCATAGGCATAATATGAAGTTCTGTGGAAAAGTATAGAAATAAAACAATTGGGCAACATTCCCTCAGGAACTTAAAAGTCTAATAGAAAAGATAAAAATAATTTTAATATAAGCCATAATATGGTATCTTTTACCAAAAGTGGTACAAAATAAAACATTATGCAAGTTTAGAAGAGGAAGAGGGACTTTGAGAGATTTTGAGAAGTATTCTCAGAGAAGGTGGTGGCATTTGAGTTGAGCTTTTAAAAATTTTTTTTTAATTTTTAATTTTGTGTAGAGATGAGGGTCTCACTATGTTGCCCAGGCTGGTCTCAAACCCCTGGCATTAAGAGACCCTCTCACCTCAGCCTCCCAAAGTGCTTTGGGATTACAGGTGTGAGCCACTGCACCTGACCAGGTTGAGCTTTCTAATGGTGGTGGTTGTTGCTGTTGCTATCCTTATTACTTAACAGTTAGCATTTACTAAATCTATGCCAGGCAGGATGCCATGCAGATGAGGGTCCTCACCTTCTTTCCAGCCAGAACAGCTCCATTTTCATCTGTTTTACATATTTCACTATAAGACTTTTATTTTATCAAAGGCTTTTTATGGCTGAAAAACCGATGTGAAACAATTGATTGGATTGGGTAGGGGCTTTGGAGAAGATCAATTCAATGTCAGACCAAAGGTTCCAAACTGAGTTTAAAATCTACAAAAACTGAGGCCCAGCAGACAAGACCAGAGGTCCATGCAGTGACCATTACATCATAGGGAGACTGTGCCTGGAGAGCAGAAAATCTGACCCTCATCTGGTCCTGGCCTAGGCTTGGTCACAGGAGAAATGAGTTGTCCAAGTTAGTGAGATGAGGAGCAGAACTGAATCAATGCTAAGCCCTAATTTAAGTGCTTGGGGCAAAGAGCACAGACTGTCCCTAGAGTCTAACATTGGGCCTAGTGTTAAGTGACGGGTTAGAGGGGAATGGAAAAAGAGTACAGGGCATCACTCGTGAAAATTAGGAGACTGCTGTGGCAGGAGAGCAATATGGCAGGGTGAGTTTGACTTTCCTGGATGGTCATCTTGAAAGCCTTCTGACTAGGGTAATAATAGAGAATAACTCATTTATTTCTTGATGTCACTCCTTATATCCTACTTCTGATTCAGAAAAGTCTTTGATAATTGCCATGTACTGTTTGAGAGGGCTATGGATGACCTGCCTGAGAATGTTGTATCTTTTAAAATCTATTTTTTAAAATAATATCTTTAACTTGCTATCATCTCAAGCAATGGTTTTCTAACTGTACTCTTGTGTGGAGCCTCAAGGCCATCTCAGGAATTCAAGGTATGGGAGCAGGGACCCAGGCTCCAGACACCCCCTTAACCAAAGCAGCTCTGCTTTTATTGGTTTCATTTGCTTAAAATTCCATAGGTTTGTTGATTCAAGAAAGAGTTTCTTAGATTTAAAATATTTTAAAATAATTTTTAAATTATCTATTTATTTCCTTATCTTTACCAAGAAAAATCAGTCTAATTTCTTTTTAGTCACATTTCGTTTTTGACCATAGATGGTATTACCCAGGGTGGCTCCCCTCTTTATTCATTAGACTTAACTCAAAATCATTCTGGTGCTAGAGTGCTACCAAAAAAAAAAAAACAAAAAACAAACAAACGAAAAAAAAAAACTCATATCTTTGCTCAAAGAATAAAGATTAGTCATTAATGTGAAGATTTAACAGAATGTGCCGCCATCTCTGAAGAAAATTCCAGCAGAGGAATTCTGCAAATGTTTCCAGCAGGTGTATCATCTTTGCAATAAGAGTATAACTCCTCAAGTACTTTAAAAGATAAAGTATTGAATAGTAAACATAATGAAGATCCTCATTATTCAGAGTTCACATTTATAATTTACATTCTTTTTTTTAGATGGATTTTTGCTCTTGTCACCAAGGCTAGAGTGCAACGGTGCGATCTCTGCTCATTGCAACCTCCACCTCCCGAGTTCAAGCAATTCTTGTGCCTCAGCCTCCCGAGTAGCTGAGATTATAGGCATGTGCCACCACATCCAGCTAATTATTTTGTACTTTTGGTAGAGATGAGGTTTCACCATGTCGATCAGGCTGGTCTCAAACTCCTGACCTGAGGCTAGGGACAAAGCCAGCAAAAGATGCATGGCAAACAATCCCCATAGGTGACATAGGGCAGGAATAATTCCTGTTGCCACCAGCTGGAGGGGAAAGCCTCATAATTCATGGCGCACAGAGTACTCAGAAAGGATTTGCCTCTGTAATGGGGAAAAATTAGCCATATTACTTAGGCAGCTTTAGTCCCACCTAAAAAAAAAGCATAAAAGCAACACTCAAAAGCATAAAGCTGTTTCTGTAACTCAATCACACCCTAGAACAGAATTAAGTAATATTTACAGAAATAAAAACACATCCCACATCTAATAGGGTAATATTGGCAATGTCTGGTATCCAATAAAAAATTATCAGGCATGCAAACAAACACAAAAATATAACCCATAATGAGAAAAATTAGCACAACTCAGTAATAAAACAGATGATAGAATTAATAGATAAGGATATTAAACATTATTATAATGGAATTCCATATGTTTAAGGAGCTAGAAGAAAGATGAAACATGTTAAGTAGGGAAATAGAAGATACTTTTAAAAGATAAAATAAACTTCTAGAGATGAAACCTATACTGTTTGAGGTTAAAAATACACTGGATGAAATTAAAAGATTAGTCACGGCAGACAAAAAGCTTAGTAAACTTGAAGATTAAGTAATAAAACCTATCCAGATATGGAACAGAGAGACAAAAAAGAATGAAAAAAAAAGAAAAGAAACAAATATCAGGGACTCATGGGAAAAGTTCAAGCATCCCAGTATACTTGAAGTTGGAATCCTCAAAGAAAAGGAGAGAATAGCAGGGATAGAAAAAGCATTTTAGAGAAATAATTGGCAAAAATTATCCAACTGTGATGAAAACTATAAACCCACATATCTGAGAAGCTCAACAAATCCAAGTTCAAGAAACTCAAAGAAAACTATGCCAAGGTATATTATGACTAAGTTTCTTAATACTTGTAATAAAGAAAGTATCTTAAAAGCAGCCAAAGGAAAATAACACATTATGTACACAGAAACAAAAATAAGGATGACAGCAGATTTCCCTTTAGAAACATACAAGCCAGAAACAGTGGAGCAATATTTTTAAATACTAAAAGGTAAAACAAAATAAAACTCAAATATTGTCAGCAAAGAATTTTTTACCCTGTTAAAATATATTTCAAAAACAAAGTGAAATAAAGACTTTTTCAGAAGAACAAAAGCTAAAAAAAAACCGTCAAAAGCAGACCTACACTTGTGATGGAAATATTAAAGTCCTTCAGGCAGAAGGAAAATAATAACAGACAAAAATCTGAATCTAAACAAAAGAATATGTAGAAGTATTAGTAAATAGAAAACTGTGAGCATATACAAAGGACTTTTTACTTACTATTTAAATATCTTTAAAAGATAATTGATCAATTTAAATGAATATAATAATTTACTGTGAAGTTTATAATGTGTAGAAGTAAAATACATGACAACAATAACACAAAGGCTGTGAGGGGGGAAATGGAAGTATATTGGCATAACATTCTTATGCAGTATGTAAGTGGTATTCTATCACCTAAAGATAGATTGAGGTAAATTGTTGTATGTACTACAAACTCTAAAGCAACCACCAAAACAACACAAAAAGCTATTAGTAATAGCTAATAAACCAACAGAAGAGATCAAAAGGAATCATAAAATATAGTCAATCAAAAAGAAGGCAGAAAAGGAGGGAAAGGGAACAAAGAACAGATGGGACAAATGGAAAATAAAAGCAAGATCATACAGATTTAAACACAAATGTATCAATAATCATATAAAATGTACATATTCTAAATATCACAATTAAAAAGCAGAGATTCTCATATTGGATAAAAAAGCAAGTCCAAGTCTTTGCTTCCTAATGATACCCACTTTACAAACATATTTAAATAGGTTAAAAATTAGAAGGGTGGAAAAAATATACCATGTTAACATTAGTCAAAAGAAGACCAATGTGGCTATTTTAATATCAGATAAAGTAAATTTCAGGGCAAAGAATATTACCAAGGATAAAAGCAGTCAAATTTGTCAAGGGAATATGACAATCCTAAATGTTTATATAACTAATAGTAGACCTTGAAGATACATGAAGAAGAATGATAGAACTATCAGGAAAAACACACAAATCCACTATTATAGATGGAGACTTCAATACTACCCTCTTACTAGTTGATAAAACAATTAGACAGAAAATCAGTAATGATATAGAAGACTTAAACAACACTACCAACCAATTAGACCTAAGTGTCATTTACAGAACACTCTACCCAAAAGCAGCAGAGTACACTTTTTTTTATTCAAGTTCACCAGGGACATTTACAAAGATGGACTCTATCCTGAACCATAAAACAAGTATCAATACATTTAAAATTATTCAAACCACACAAAGTATGTTATCTGATCATAATAGAAAAATAAAAAGATATCTGGAAACTTCCAAAATATTACAGAAACTAAATAACACATTTCTTAATAGCCCATTGGTCAAAGAAGAATTCCAAAGGGAAATTAGAAAGTATATTTTGAATAAAAATGAAGACACAACATATTAAACTTTAAAGGATGCAGGTAAGCAGTACTTATTGGGGGAAATGTATACCACTTATCACCTATATTAGAAAAGATCTCAAATCAATAATCTGTTTTTACCTTAAGACACAAGAAAGAAAGAGCAAATTAAACCCAAAGTAACAGAAGAAAGCATATAATAAATACAGTAGAAGCCCATAAAATAGAAAAACAATAGAGAAAAGTAAATCACAAGCATGTTCTTTGAGAATATAAATAATATTGATAAATCTCTAGCCAGATGGATCAGAAAGAAAGAAAATACAAATTACCAATATTAAGAATGAGAAAGGTGATATCACTAGATTCTACAGGCATTAGAAAGATATTGAGATATTAAGAGAAATATTAGTAATTTAACGTGAATCACTATTTATACTTTTATTCCTATACATTGCATCAGTGATTTCAGACAGTGCAATAAGTCAAGAAAAAGGAAAAAATCATTCAGTTGGAAAGAAAATATAAAATTGTCTTCACTCACAAATGACATGATTGTCTATGTAGAAATCTAATAAATGAGCTTAAGAAAGTTGCAGGATACAAGATCAATATACAACAATTAATTGTATTTAATATTTCCACAGAGTAACAATGAACCTTAGAAATTGAAATTTTTTAAGTGTCATTTATAAAAGCATTGAAATATGAAATGCTGTGGGATAAATCTGACAAAATATGTGATGGTCTATACACTAAAAACTATAAAACATTGCTCAGTAATAGTAAAGAACTATCCCTTCAAAATGAAATACACTCACTTTGTTTATCAGTCAGAAGACTCATATTGTTAAGATGTCTACTCTTCTTAAATTTTAGATTCAATGCAATCCCAATTAAAAAAACCCAGCAAACTTTCTTTAGGAATTGACAAGCTGATTCTAAAACTCATTTGGAAACAAAAAGGACCCAGAACAACAACAATAACAACAAAACCTTTAAAAAAGAAGAAACTTGGAGGGCTTACAGCACCTGATTTCAAGACCTAATTAACTGTAATAATCAAGGCAATGTGATATTGCAGTATTGGTATAAATATAGACAAATACAATCATCTCCCTTTATCCACAGTTTCACTTTTCCATAGTTTTAGTTACCTTCAGTCAACAACGGTCTGAAAATATTAAATGGAAAATTCCAGAAATAAAATCATAAGTTTTAAATTACATGCCATTCTGAGTTATGTGATGAAGTCTTGTGCCATCTCACTTCATCCTGCATGGGATATGAATGATCCTTTGTCCAGCATATCTATGCTGTAGACGCTACCTGCTTGTTAGTCATTTAGTAGCCATCTGGGTAATCAGATCAAAAAAACATTGTATACATAGGATTTGGTACTATCTATGGTTTCAGGCATTCACTGGGGGTCTTAGAACATACTCCCCACAGAAAAGGGAGGACTACTATAGATCTGTGAAACAGAAGAGACTCACCACATAGGGACAACTAATTTTTGACAAAGGCAATTCAGTGGAGAAAGGGTAGTCTTTTCAACAAGTGGTAATGGAACAATTGGCTATCCATAGGCAAATAAACTTTATACCTTTCACTACATTCAAAAATTAACTCAAAATAGGTCATATACCTAAATGTAAAGACTAAAATTATTAAACTTGTAGAAGAAAACATAGGAGAAAATCTCTGTGGCCTTGGGTTAGGAAATACTGAAAGCACTATCCATAAAAGAAAGAATTGATATATGGGATTTCATTAGAATTAAGAACTTCTGCTCTTCAAAAGACACTTTAAAGGGAATGAAAAAACAACCAAGTCACAGATAGGGAGAAAATATTTGCTAATCACATAGATAATAAAGGACTTGGACCCAGGATATTTTTAAAAATCTCAATATTTAATTTTAAAAATCTTTAATGAGCAAAAGATTTGAACAGACACTTCATCAAAAAAGACATACAGATGGCAAATAAACACATGAAAGATGCTCACAACCATTAATAATTAGGAGAGTGCAAAATAAACCCGTAATTAAATACCACGACACACCTATTATAATATCTGCAATTAAGACGAACCATACCAAGTGTCAGCAAGGATGTGGAATGATTAGAATGCTCATACAGTCTTAGGTGGGAATGTAAAATGGTGAAAATTCTTTGGAAAACAGTTTGGCAGATGCTTCAAAAATTAAACATGCACCTACTACATGACTCAGTTCACTGCTAGGTATTTACCCAGTAGAAATTAAAACATGTGTCCATACAAAGACTTGTACACAAATGTTCACAGAAGCTTTATTTGTTATAGCCAAAATCTGGAAACAATCCAAATGTTCATCAATAGGTAAATGGAGAAACAAACCATGTTGTAGTCATATAGTGAAATACTACTCAGCAATAAAAAGAAATAAACTATTAATACAATAACCTGGATGAATCTCAAAACAATTATGCTGAGGGAAAAAAGCCAGACAAAGAATAAATACTGTATTATTCCATATATATATATATAATTCTAGAAAGCATGCAGGCTAATATACAGTGATAGAAAGCAGATTAGGGGTTGTCTAGGAATACAAGGCATGGTGAGAGGGAGGAAGGAGGAATTATAAAAGCATAGAGTAACTTTTGATCATGTTTATTGTGCTAATTGTGATGATGGTTTCATGAGTGTTTACATATGTTCAAACTCATAATATTACATATTTTCAATACATATTATTTACTTTATGTCAATAAAGCTGTTTTAAAATGTCTTGATCCTTGAAACTCATATGGGTTCTGTTTTTCCCTCTCTTTCTTCTGTAGTAACTCTTCTCTAAGGCAATGGATGCCACCAACTGAAGGGCAAAGAATACAAGGACAAGCACAAGGGAAATAAACCTGTTTGTATCTGAAAATACATTATGTTATACAAGCACCAGAGTCCATTGGAGGGAACAGTGTACAAATGGTGGCTAATCTGGCTATGTGACATAGCTTCCATTTTGAAAGGGTTCTGTTGATATCATATGCATGTCCAACTTTGTTGTGAAAATGTTAGGGGTCAGGGAGCTTGCTCATAGCAAAATCGTGAGGTGAATAAATCTTGTCTTTAGCATTCCTCAATTCTTCTGGAATTTCTCCTCACCTATAACTTTCCATTATTACTCTTCCTCTTCTCCCATCCTTGCTTCTCCTCTAATCAAGACCCACTGCATTTATGCTTCCACCAACCATCCCACTCCCTTGTATTCTGGCAGACACTGAAAAGTTATATGATAAATTTAGCCTGACAAAGATATTAGTAATTTAATGTGAATCACTATGCATGGCATAGGATTTCAAAGCATAGATGCTGGAGCCAGGGTACCTGCATCCAAATCCCAGCTGTCACTGACTAGCTGTGTGACCTTGGGCATGGTACTTAGCCACTCAGAGTCTCAGTGTCTTCATCTATAAAATACACATAATTTTACCTACCTCACAGGTTATGAGGATTAAATGAGTCAATAATTATAAAGTACTCAAAACAGTATCTGGCCCATGGCAAGCACAATGTAAGCGTTTATGATATAAATTAATTAAATACCACTTCCCATGGACTATTGTTTTAAAATGAAAAAGAATGCTTGCATCAAGGAAATGAACTCTTAATCTGTCAAGGGGTAAAAGCACCTTCCTGACCCATCTCATATCCCCCTACCTGGGTGCCCACCACTTCTGCCTCTGCATCAGCCCACCATGGGATTCTCAACGCCCTCATTAGAAATCTATGAAGATGCTAATGTCACTCTTCCTGATTTGGGTCAATGGAACTCACTGCTGTCCTCAGAGCTACCATCCTAGTGCTCTGCTCTGCTCAAACATCTCAGAGCCCTAAGCCTAAAAGCCGCCAACCCTTGGCTGAAAACGCAGGAAACCTGCGGCTGCAGATTCAGGCAGTAATAAGTACACATGCTAATGCAGTTCCACAACCTCCTGGGTGAAATATTAACTCTTTCAAGGATATATAAACCCAGACAGAAGCACTCATTAAAAACATTTCAGGGCCGGGCGTGCTGGCTCACACCTGTAATCCCAGCACTTTGGGAGGCCGAGGCTGGCAGATCATGAGGTCAACAGATGGAGACCATTCTGGCCAAGATGGTGAAACCCTGTCTCTACTGAAAATACAAAAATTAGCTGGGCGTGGTGGCATGGGCCTGTAGTCCCAGCTACTCGGGAAGCTGAGGCAGGAGAACCGCTCGAACCCAGGAGGCAGAGCTTGCAGTGAGCTGAGATTGTGCCACTGCACTCCAGCCTGGCGACATAGTGAGACTCTGTCTCAAAAAAAAAAAAAAAATTCAGAGCTATTAATCACAGTAGCTTTTAAAAGGCAGTGGAGCCGCAGCATCATTTGAAGGAAACCCAAACTTTCTCAGTGTTATTTATTCCTCCATTGCCTAAGTCCTCTTGAGGAAGAAACTATATCCAGGAGGATTAGAAGATTTCTCTTGAAAATCTATTAACCCAGTAGAGGCAGGAGTGGGATATACACCCTGAGATATTTTACTCTTTTTTAAGTTCATAATTAGGGTGGTTTTCAGGCTTCTGGCTCAGTGGTGTGTCATTATCCTCTAGGACAGCAACCCTAGTTTATAACATGGCCAATTTCCATCTGGATCCTGGAGTCCAAGACCACAGGGACACTTTTACTCAAGATTTTTCCCACAGTCCTTTCCTGAGCATCTGCTTTGGGCAAGACTCTTACAGCACAAGCCTCTTCCTTCCATAACACAGTAACTATTGGGGGAGGGGGATACCTGTCTTTCCCACAGACTAATTCTCAAACCTCCTGTTGGAGGGGAAAAAGCAATGTTTACATATGTGACATGCCCCCATGAACTGCTGATTTAAACAGGGTGGACATCCAAACCAAAACTAACCCATCTAATGGTCAACTGGTGCCTAATTATTCTCTCTTCTACAAGAATTAAAATTGACAGGGGCTGGCCGGGCGGAGTGGCTCATGCCTGTAATACCAGCACTTTGGGAGGCCAAGGCAGGTGGATCACTTGAGGCCAGGAGTTTGAGACCAGTCTGGGCAACATGGAGAAACACTGTCTCTACTAAAAATATAAAAATTAGCCGGGGGTGGTAGTGCATGCTGGTAATCCCAGCTAATCAGGAGGCTAAGGCATGAGAATCACTTGAACCCAGGAGGCAGAGGTTGCAGTGAGCCAAGACCACACCACAGCACTCCAGACTGGGTGACAGAGTGAGACTTTTTCTCAAAAAAAAAAAAAAAAAAAAAAGAATCAAAGAATCAACAGGGGCTGTATTTAGCTGGCCCTATGGAAGACACATTGATCTGGGCTGCTGGCCATTTGGAGCCATGCGGGGAAACATGGAAAGAGGGTTGAGAGAGCAAGAGGGAGAAGGGTTGCAAAAGCAGAGAAAAGACCACACGGCCTGAAAGAGAGAGTAGCTTCTGTGCCCAGAGCTTGCCCAAATATAGCTCCCATGAGTCTTAGTTGTCCTCAGTGCCTACATTATGAAGTCACCTGTTAGTTTGTGAGCTTAAGTGAGCTCTTATTCCTATCAAAGAAGTTCTGAATAAAACTAATAAGCCTTATGACTGGTTTTTAGCCTACACTACGTCTGGGACTAAAAGACTCACAGATTGCCATCTTCTATATGTAGCAAGAGTTCCATCTTAGGACTAAGCCCTGTTCAGCTAAACACTGAGATATGTGTGGTGGGGCCAATCTACTGTGTATCTATTTCTATAAGAAGCCTCATTGCCTCCTGGGAAAGAATTCATCCTAAAGAAAGAATTAAGGCATAAAATTCTGGTTCAAAAACAATGCTCAGTAGAGAGCAGATGCTGAACATTTTAGTGCGATAGTAAAGCATCTGTTGCAAAGCCCATTCTGAATCTTCTGAAGAGGGGATTGAAATAAAAGGCTTGTTTTCAAAAACTAAACAAAACAAAAAACCTCTTTGATTTCTAGGTACACGAGCAGCACTGTTCTGTATCCTAGTAACTGAGGAATTCCCACAATGGGGAGAAAGACTCTGCCCCGTTCTTCAGCACGAAACCCAGTGCAGCTTAGGAGGGTCTGGGCCACTTAGTAGCAGCAGTTACAGCCCTCCAGATGGAGATCTGTGGCCTCAGCCTAGGAGCTGGTGCCCGGTGCCCACATGGGCCTGCATCCCTAGCTCAAGAGGCATCAGTAGCCCAATCACAGGCATGGGGGAAACAGAAAACACAAAGTAGTTGAAAGCACCTCATCCATAAATGTACATGAGACATCCCCAGAAAGGCTCAGAAATAGGAGACGAGTTGGAAAAAAAGAGCTTCAGAAAAGTTTTGAAAATTCTCTCTTAGGTGGTGGGTGCTTGAGGTAGAAGGATACTGTTCTTATTGCTATTGTGGCAATCCTTCCTCTTTCTCACTGTTTCAAAAGAAAATTTCTAGGTTGGTGGGGAGGGCCACAAAGCAAAGGTTATATGTGGGAATGAAAATTTCCTTTTAATTGTGCCTTTATCTTTGAGGAGTATTTATTGTAGTTCTTGTTGAACAAGGCCACCCAAACTCTTCATCATATTGCAAATTTTCCCACTTTCTCCACCCATCACACTTTCTCTTTGAGGACTGAAGTTTGCTGATGTATTTTCTTCATATTCAAAAAAATTTATTTTCATAATGGACAATGGTGATGACATATGTAATCAAAGCCCCCATAAAATTGGGGTTTCATTAGAATTCTCAAGGGCTCTACCTCCTGAAGGGAGAAAAGTGTCTAACACAGGACAGCAGCCTGGCAGAGAAAACCTTTGATTAGATTCAACACTTACATCTAAAGTAAATGATAAACTCAAGAGCATTTTCAGCACCTTCACTATGGATCTTTGCTACGACCGTGGCTCAGCAAAGCACTGAGGCCTCAGCTTTCAGCGGGTGGGGTCTTCCTTACTATGCTAAGCACATGTGGGAGCCAATGTGAAATCTGAATAATACTTTGAAGGAATGTAGTTCAGTCTAGGAAGATGAAAGCACTTCACAGATAGCATTATCTCTTTAATTCACATACATTCTCTATGCAAGCAGTAGATGGGAAGTGGGTATTTATTCCTGGATTCTGACTCCGTTAGTGTTGAATGATTTGCATATTTATGGGAGCAGAAGAACCCCTGAAATGAACACAGTGAAGGGAGAAATGGATGGGAGTGAGGTTAGCCACCATCAAGGTGATGTGGTGGCCAGTGGATGACTCTGTTTTCCTGCCCCAGGGCAATGGCACTGAGATGGGAGGGCACGGGCTCATTCATGGAAAGCAAATTGTCTAGCTTGAAAGAAACTCTGGGTGTGTATAGAGAAGGAGTGCAACAGGGGGAATGGAAGGGATGAAAGGAACACAGGAGGGAGAAAATGTGGGCAAGGAAGGCGGAGAGGAGCTGGAATAGAAAGAGCTTTGAACACCATATAAGCAAAGAGTTTGAACTTAATTTAGTAAACCATCGGAAGTTGTTGAAGGTTTTAGAATAAGGGGTTGACATGTCAGAACTAACTTGGGCGAACTAACCTGGAAATAGCAAATAAAATGTTTGAAAAGGGAGAGACCAAAATAGCAAGATAGGCCCAGCCAAGAACCAGGCTTTGACCTTGAGATCTTGGCTCCTGAGCACTGATGAACCAGCCTTCCCCAAGCACCTCAAGAGCCGCTGAAGGTATGAGCCTTCAGTGCTAGAGGCTCGAGGAAGTCCAGGGGTGCGGAAAGCACCAGGACCGAGTCTATGGGCTTTATGGCCTCTACTACATTTTCCTCTCAGGTTGAGCTGCCTTAAGTGGTGACATCTGATCCTTACATCTCTAAACATTTGGCTACTCTCTAGACAACCAATCCCATGAAGTCCTACAGCCTAATTGACCTGCCGGCTCTGTCCTACCCTCAAATTTCGTGACATTATTTTTCCTTGTCCCCTGCTTACCAGTTAATTAAGAGTCAATTTCCTATTATAGACACTGCAGTCCCAATTACAATGCTTACTTTAGGAAATATTCATGAAGTATGCCATGGACCAGGCACTGTGCCACAGACACTGGCTAAACCACCGGGAATGCCCTGCACTTGCAGACCCAAGGCCTTGCGAACTCACTATAAAGCACAGGCCTTCAGATGAAAGCTGTTTGACATTCTTATCACTAAAAAGCCTCCTTTCAGCAAACCTAAACAAACTGCACTCTTCGTGGGCTTGCCTTTATGTTTTCCTTTGCTTTGCATTTCATAGGGAGGTGTCCTGTGCACTACAGGATATTTACCGGCATTCTTGGGCTCTACCCATCTATGGTAGTAGCACATCCCCTGCCCCAGTTGTGACAAACAAAAATGTCTCCAGACATTGCTAAATGTCCCCCTGGGGACAAAATTGCGTAGAGCCGAGAACCACCATTTTAGAGGAACCACGTACGTTTATATCTATAGATATAGGCTGCGTGGGCTCCCAGCCATCTGGGCAAGGCAGGCAGCATGGAACTCTACACACCACAGAAGATGCTGCTCCCCAGACCCTGCAAAATGAGGATCTGGGCAAGGAACAAGATCATCAGAGGAAGGGCAGCACCTTTACTGTCTAGCCCAAATCAGGAATGGAAAAACTTGGGGAGAGGTGCCTTGATTAGTCAGTGGTCATCTTCCCTTTCCTCCTGGCTTGATTGCAAAACCCAGAGCTGTAATTGCTCTCACGGTTGCTCTCTGTGGGTGACGGTCTTCATTGGGAAGGAGGGCCTGACTTCCACCATCCACCCATGAGGGCAGGGAGGTGTGGAAGGGGAGGGTGTCAACCTCAGGACGCTTTTCCCGCATTGGAGATTTTGTTCCACCCACAGGAATGCCAAAGGTTTCCAGCCACTTGGCTCCAAGGCAGAGGCGAAGTGGTAGGAATGAGGTGAGGATATCCACAAAAATAATTGCAATTTAAATCTGCATTTTAAGGTGTGCATGTTGAATTTAAAAGAGAAGAAATGATAATGATGCTTTAGTTCCTCGAAGCCTCATAAAAGTATCAAGGTCTGTGATCTGTCCTCACCTTTACAGACTGAAAAAAATACATTTGTCAGTGCTCCTAAAGTGAATGCACATCACATGGACCAACTTAAACTAATTAAACTCACCAGAGACAGATGCGTGAGCCCAGTTAGAATATTTACTTCTATTCACATGAAGTGAAGAATATGCCTCTCGGGCCTGGAAATATTTGTATCTGCTCTCTAGGCTATCCCTTTCTTCATGTCAAAGTTCTAAGGTTCTTTTTTTTTTTTTTTTTGAGATGGAGTCTCGCTCTGTCGCCCAGGCTGGAGTGCAGTGGCGCTATCTCGGCTCACTGCAAGCTCCGCCTCCCAGGTTCACGCCATTCTCCTGCCTCAGCCTCCCAAGTAGCTGGGACCACAGGCGCCCGCCACCATGCCCAGCTAATTTTTTGTATTTTTAGTAGAGAGGAGTTTCACCGCCTTAGCCAGGATGGTCTCGATCTCCTGACCTCGTGATCTGCCTGCCTCGTACTCCCAAAGTGCTGGGATTACCAGCGTGAGCCACTGCGCCTGGCCCAAAGTTTCTAAGGTTCTTTAAATACACAAATTCTTTCAACAAATTTATTTAACAAATTTTTATTGAGTGCTTGCTATGTGCCAGGTTCTGTGCTAGCAAACAAGATAGGAGTGGTTTCTGTTCCCTTGGAAGTTTCAACCTAATTATATTAGTAACGATAAGCTTCCCTGCTGGCTAGTAAAGCAGAGAAAAGAATATGAAATGGGTTTAAGGAATGTATTCAGGGCTCAGAAAATCCGATAAGCTATTTTAAACCCACAACAGAAGAGAGACCTGGTATCTCTTATTGTACAGTGATGCTTAAGTTAATTAATTCCAGCATCAACACTTACTTGCTTAAGAATAAAGGCAAATTATCATGCCTCCATAAATGGTGCTTCTTCGTTTGTAAAATGAGGTAGAAACATATTTTTCTGTCCTCTGTAGCACAAGGTTGTTGTAAGGAAAACACACATGAAAGTCCTTTGTGCTAATGCAGGGGCTGGTGGTGAGTGGTGGTGGTCAGAGTAGTTGCCTGTGTTGTGTTTAATTCCATTGAATACATAGGTTTAGGTGACTACTCTGTGTCCAGTCCGAGCTTCAGAGAAGGAAATGGAGCTAGTGTAAACATTTCCAGTACGCATGGATTTTTGTGAGTCTGCTGATGGAAACAGTAGTAATGACTTATCACAACACTCTAAGGGATCATTTTTTCAAGAGGGGTACTTTGAGAACCTTGGTGTGCCAGGTACAATGTGTCTGTTTACAGAATTAAAAGAGAAACACTAGGAATCATTTCTGTGAATCCAATAACAAGCCTGCCTCCTGCTACCTGGTTCCTGTAGATTAGTTGGTTATGGCTGATAAGTTGCTAAGTATATGCCCAGTTCTGTAACATTATCCATCTGTCCTTCACTAAGAATAAGGGGAAGAAAAAAGGGGTGAGGGGAACCTATCAGATTGCTCATCCACTAAAATAGCAGAGTAAAATTTTAAAACAAACAAAAATAAAACCCTTTCTCCTCTCAATTCCCATTTCTAAACCATTTCAGAGGGCTATTATTAAACTTCAGAGAGTTTGAAATATTATCCTATATTAAATTTCAAAGATCCATTAAGTGCCATTTTGCTGCAGTGAAAGGCAAGAACTAATTCAAGAAGGAAAAAAAAAATCTTGGAAGAGAAATTATTTTTAAAGGTCAGTTTTTCTTAAGAAACAGCTGAAAACCCCTCCATAGGGGCGAGGCTTTCAGCAAGTTCACTTTCTTCTGAATGTTCAGAGCCAGGGAAGACATCCTTGCGTATGGCAGGACATGGTTAAGTCACGATGATTTGAAGAAGTGTCACACTCTGTATTCTCGTAAACTACCATCTCACTTCTGTCTCATGTCTAAGTATCATGTTCTCATTGTAGCTTTACAACAAGCTCCTGTCAAGTAGGTCACTGGGAAAGGAAAGACATGAGACATAAAGAGGGGCTACAGGATGTGTATTATTTACTGTATTGCAGTGGTCCCCAACTGGGGGCAATTTGCTCCCCAGGGGACATTTACTAATGTCTGGAGTCATTTTTGATTTTCACAACTTGCGGAGAGAGTGCTATTGGCATCCAGTCAGTAGAGGCCAGGTATGCCGCTAAACACCCTACAATGCCAAAGACAGACCCCCCCAAAACCAAGAATTATCCAGCCCAAAATGTATACAGTGCTAAGACTAAGAAACCCTGCTGTAGTGCTGTTCTGTATTTTTTTCACCCCAAGTTCTGCTTTCTTGATAATGAACTAATATGTTGCTGGTTGCATGATCTGTTGAACACAAGGTAGCCGTGTCAAACCCTCTCAATTAACAGACAATCCTAATTAATTTGTTATCTTTTTCCCCCTCATTCATTCTTTATTCATCTTGGGTGGAAGCCCAAGTAGCAGCATATGGATGTCTTACAGCCACCAGCTCACATAAAGAAGGGTAAGCATGTTGCTGTAGTCACGCCGTCTGGGCTGCAATCCAATCAAGTTTCAGTATTTTGCATGGCATTCTCACTGCCTCACTTTGCCAGGCATCGTGGAGTTGAAAAACAAGTCCCAACAGAATTTGCTCAAATATATCTCATCGTGTGAAAGGAATCACAGAGAACTGGATGATGTAATATTGACTGCCTGTTAGTAAAGAGAATAAGCATGTCCGCCAAAGAATTAAGCCCAAGAGCCAGAGATGCAGAGGAAATGATGAGAGGGTTGAAATGGTAAATGAAGATGTCAAGTCATATGATGTGTGGACCCAGGCGCTGCGGCAGCACCTGGAACCTTTATAAGCACCTCTTCCAGAATGGTACAGATTTTCTCTCACAAAATGTACGACTATATATCACACTCTTCTGTTTGATCATCTTTATTTTCGTATGTCTACATGCTACCATCAAGCAACATCGTTTGAGCCAGAACAAAGGCTGCTGCCTTCCTTCAGTTAACAGCAGGTTTTATTTCTCTGCCCTGAATCCTATGTAGTCAAATAAATACTTTTGTCACAGAATGTGTGTTGATGAAGAAAGGGATCTATACCAATGCTCAGTAGATTCTGTGCTGTTTGATTCAGTGTATTTTATACACAGATATTTTTAAACTGCTTTACCTCTGAGAAGTACTATTTAGAGGCGATTTTCAAGTGTACAAGTCTCTTTCCTCTTCAGCACATTTTTGCTGCATGGTTTGTTTCCATCCAATCCCTTGATGTTTTCAGGCAAAAGAGAAGGGCAGGGAGGGAATGAAGCTGAGCTGCTGCATCTCAGAGTTTATTTACAGCTGAGTAAGTAACTGAGCTCTAAGAGCCAGACGCCAATGCAGGAGTGAGCGTTGGAAGATCAGCCTACTTTGTTCTGACATCTTCCCTGCACCGACCCTGCTCACCGCCAAATTGTCATCATTAAAACACCTAGTATTTATGGAGTGACTTAGAGCTTAACACTTTCCCATACTGATTCTCGCTGTAACTCAATGAGAAAGCAGGTATTATTCTCAGAGCTGGTTGGAAGCCTGTGGATGTAGTTTACCACGACCCATTACACCTATTGAATTCGCTGCATGTTAACACTGTCAAGCTTTTTCATAGAGGCGGAACATCATATTTTCTTAAATATTGCCTCTCTTTTCACCCTGGAGTTCCAGCATTCTCCTGTGGTAACTGTATTCCAAATATGCCATGCTTAAAAACTCCAGGGTATATGAGGAAAACAGAAGAAAAAAACCTTTTCTGCAAAATTTGAGCCGGAGGACCTGGAATTTAAACTCAACTCCTAGATCTCTCTTCTTTTACCTCTTATACGCTGCTTTATCTTCACCCTCTGGCCCTGGCCTGATGGTGGAGCCTCTGGCACGTCTTGACAGGCCTTCTCAGTGCTGAGAGCCATCAGCATGAGGTCAGTGCTGGTGGCATGCCGAGCTCTCTGTCTAGCCGTGACTTGCACTGAGGCAGTCACATTTTTAGTCCTTTTTTTTCCCCAAGATCATATCTCCAGCTCAACTGCAGCATGATAAATACCCAGTGTAAACATTTTAGTCACCCCAGAGAGTCACCTCCCTCCTTCTGTCATCATTAGTTAATCACCAGATATCAATCAGCCACTTTCGTTTATAGTAAAGCAGATTTCAAGGCATGTTGAGAGCTTGAGAGAGAGAGAAACTCAGCTCATATCCTAAAGGAAAGAGGCTTCAATCATAAATTGGATGAAGGACTGGGCACAGTGGTTCACGCCTATAATCCTAGCACTTTGGGAGGCCAAGGTGGGAGGATTGCTTAAGGCCAGGGGTTCAAGGTTACAGTGAGCTACAATCATGCCACTGCATCCCAGCCTGGGTGACAGAATGAGACCTGTCTCTGAAAACAACAACAAATTGGATGAAGGGAAACATCGAAGTATGCGCTGAATGTGTCCTGTACTCCAGGACCTGGGTTGGGTATTTTATGTGTTCAGGGTTATTCAGTTCAGGGCAGCCATGTAAAAGCTTACGTTATCCTTAATTTCAAGAGAAGGTGATAGATTTGTCCAATATCACCCAGCAATAAATGGCCTGCTCAGGACCAAGCCAAGTTTTTTTGTTTCTATCCCTTCACGCTGCTTCTCAAAATTAGTGCACTCTAGATGGGACCCAAACCCCCAAATCCCAGGAAAATACGGCAAAAACAGCACCTTTGAGCCCTGGGTTAAGTTTTTACACACACATATCTTGACAGGATGACTGTCCATTCCTACTTCTGAAGACAAGAAATCTCAACTTCTTGTGTCACGCCAAAGGACAACATGTTAATTCTGGGCTACCCAATGGGCAAGTAGTAAACTTCCTTGCCTAGAGCGAAAAGCACTGGTCTGAAAGTTAAGAGATGTCCCAGGTTTGCCCTAATTATATCCCAGCAATTCACTTCATCTTTGTGATGTTGGTTTCCTCATTGACCAAACTGAAATGAACTCAGTAAATAGTTTTTTAGTGTCTCCTGTGTGCCAGGCAGTGTTCTAGATGCTGGGAACCTAGCAGTGAACTAGACAAAGTCCCTTCCTTCATTGACCTTTCATTCTACGGGGGAACAGAGGCCATAGACCAATATATAAAGGCAATGATTCCGGAGAATGGTAAGGCCTTTGAAGACAATAAACAAGGTAAAATAATAGAGAAGCATGTGTTGGGGAAGGGGTAGATGAGGGTAGTGTTTCTTTAAAGTGGCCAGAGAAGGTTTCTTTGAGTAGGAGGAATTTCAGTTGATAGCTGTATGGTGGGGAGACAGTCATTTAAAGACCCAGGGGAAGAGTGTTCCACAGAGGGAACAACCAATGCAAAGGTCCTGGGGTAGGAACTACGTGATGTGTTCAAGAAACAGAAAGGTCAGTGTGGATAGAACCTAGGAAGCAGAGAGGGCACACTGCAGTGTGGTATAAGATGGTAGGGGACCTTGTGCGCCACCGTTAGGAATAATACTTGCCTTCCTGGCCTGACAGCATTATGGTAAGGCTCATATTTGATACAACTTTAGATGGGAAAGTCCTTAAGGCAGTTACAGCCTAACCAAAGATTACGTGCTGCAGAAATAGGTGGTGTACATTTGGTATGTGTTTCCTAAGTGTGTTATATGTATTATATGTTGCCAAATTCTTTACTAGTGCTGCTCATGTGCAATCTTTATTAAATCATTCTTAGCAATCTTTATTAAATCACTCTTAGCCCTCAGATTGCTTTGAGGAGTGGGATTGCTCCATCTGGATGAAGCCAGGGATGTTCGGCCCCTTCTCTTCCGTCTAATACTGTTTTCTGAATATGGAGGGCAGAGCACGAACTGTAGGCTCAGGGAAGGGAAGTTACTCTCAGTCTCTAAATCCATTGTAAGCAAGTAGCAGGGCAAAAGCTGCACTGCTTGCTTTAGGCAAGAAACAAACACATACTCCTGTTTTATCTTATTTATGGATTTTTTTAACAAGATACATGTAGCTGGTAATTTGTAGAAATAAAAACCTCCTGAGAGGAGATTACTTCTCATATCCTGTCTTCTTATGAAGTTAAAATGCATATGGAGACAAGAAAACAGGCAGGTTGCCCTGTGTACCCACGAAGGAACACAAAACAGAACCCGGGCTGCTGGGAATAGCAACAGAGCTCTGGGAGCAGGGAGATTCATTAAAAATGTAAAATGAATGCAATGATTGCATGTGGTTGTCTTTGGGGGCATTTTGTTTTAGACCTCATATGTGTTGGAAAACACTACTACAAATGCCATAATTATTTTAAGATATAAAATTATTTAAATTGGCCAATGAATGCAGCCCCTGACACCAGTCTGCATAAATCTGGATGTATTTGTGTGTTCCTGCAGAGTGGATGGGGTTTAGAAGCAGCTTTATTCATTAGCAGCATTCTCTTCACTTTCTTCTCCTCCTTAGCCCATTCGAAGACACAATGTCCTAAACTGCATGACCATCTAGAGGCAAAATACACCTTCACATACATTAGCTCAATTAATTATCATAACTGATATATGTTGCCATTTTCTGTATTTTACCCACAAGAAAGCTAAACTCAGAGAGGTTAAGTGTCTTGCCTAAAATCACACAGCCAGAAATGGCATATTTACTTGAACCCAGGTTTTCTGTCATCAAATCCTCCCTTCACTATTTTATGGCAATGGAAGAGTACCAGTTAGCAGATTGATCTAAAGTGATGAGTCATGTTAGGAGGGAGAAATTTTTTTTTCATTTGGGTGTCCAGTAGTTTCCAGGAATAAAAGAGAATCTGTGTGGAAGAGCAGTTCTGTATATCGAAGCCTTTGCTTATTCATCAATGTGTCAGATTGTGTGGTTTATTTGTTTGTTTGTTTTGCCATGGGCATTCTTTCTTCCTTCTTCAGCCAAACTGAGCTTGCCATGATTTTCAAGCTGATATCTGGCCATCATCTCCTTCAAAGGGCAGAAAGTCTTGCAGAGGTCATGGAATTCTGTAGCAGCTGTCCTCACTCAGACCCTTTCAGTTTGAAACTTCCTGAATGAGATGCTATCTCTGCCATCTCTTTGTTTTCTCTCTAGGAATCTTCATATTATTTCCATTTCTGTTTTCTAGCAAAGGGTAGAGATTACATCTACTCAAGGCAGTGCCAAAAAAACATATTTTTCTCCATTTCATGATTATAAACATTATCAATTGACATTTATTAAATACCCGCTGATGCATGATACCAAACAGACTATGGATTCTGTTCTCTCCCAAGGATTATGGCTCTGACATTGATCTGGGTTAGAAGGATGTAAATGCTGTAAACCAAGGAGGAAGTCAAGATAACATGAATGTTGGGACCAGCATGAAGTTACAGCTCCAACTTATGGGCAAGGTCCCCCTGAGAGGAACTTGGCAGCCAAATATGGTATGGCTAGCTCTAATCTATCTGTTGCCACCCAGCAAAATTCCAGAAGACTTCATCCTCTTTTTCATTTGGGATCAGTTTGAGGAAAGCTAGATTAATCCCATTGGTTGTTACACAGAATAGGGACTGGAAGAGATCAGAAAATTAAGTGATGCCCAGTTTCATACTAGAGGGGACATCACAGCTTCTCTATCCCAATGGGCAGGGATCTCTGTCATTCCTAGTTGTTTCTCTAGCACTGCCTCTTTGAAGAGAAAAGATGTGATATTCATCACCTCCCCAGGAGGCTTGGGCAAGATGTTAGGCAGGACAGAAGGATGGGAAAGAGACCCAGACTTCCACAGAAGAATGAGCCTCCCTCATCCATGTAACTTGTGCAGGCAGATCAACCCCTGTACAATACTCATTTGTGGGATTGTAGGAGCTGGAATCTCTCTCTCTCTTTTTTCTTTTTCTTTTTTTTTTTTTTTTTTTTTTTTGAGGCAGAGTTTCACTCTTGTTGCCCAGGCTAGAGTGCAGTTGCATGACCTCGGCTCGGCTCACTGCAACCTCTGCCTCCCTGGTTCAAGCAATTCTCCTGCCTCAGCCTCCAGAGTAGCTGGGATTACGCCCACCATCACGCCAGGCTAATTTTTTGTATTTTTAGTAGAGACAGGTTTCACCATGTTGGCCAGGCTAGTCTCAAACTCCTGACCTCAGGTGATCCACCCACCTCAGCCTCCCAAAGTGCTGGGATTACAGGTGTGAGCTGCCATGTCCGGCTATGGATTCTTAATAGTTATATTTCTCCCTCTTCATTTGAAAATCATCCCGTTTTCTATTTCACCTGGGATTTATTTTTTAACCCCCAAGTTACATCTCATCTTCTTCCTAACACAACTGAAAACAACTGAATTTAGTTGGAGAATATGATCACGAATCTGGTGAATTTAAGGAGCACCAAAGGTATCATTGTCCATATTTCCAAATACTAAAACACCTGGTTTTAAAGGGCAAACTAGACAGCTCAATTCAGTTCAATAAATATACAATAACTCTGTACTATGTCCTGAGTAGTAAATACCTATTTTATTCTTACCGTTTTCTGAGCACCGTGCTAGGCTAACGAAGATGAGTACCTTAAGTCCCTTGAGGAACTCCCACTCTAGTGGGAGGTTACACTTTGTGTATAATAGACTTGGTTATGTAATTAATGAAGCATTGCACCAGGAGGGAGAAGCTCTAACCCAGTCTTTGGGCCTGGGGAGGCTTCCTGAAGCTGAGCTGGGTCCTACAAAGCAAGTAGGAGAATGTCCGTGAATAAAGACAAAAAGGGGACTGTGGGCACAGAGAATAGCCTGAACAAAAGCAAGATGTGGGAGACAAGATGGGATGTGACAAGACAGTAATGCACAAAGTTGAGTGCCACTAAAGCATGGAGTACACAGCAGGGGATGGAGCCCTTGTAAACCAAGCTAACCAGCTTGGATTTTATGCTATAGGTGATAAAGAGCCCCTGTAGTGTTTCTCTAGGAGAGTGAAGTAGGGAGGCTGAACTTAAGAGGTGCAAAACTGAAGACAAGTTGGTGTGGAGTGCCTCTCACTGAAGGTACATATTAGAATCTTCTGTGGAATACTTTAAACTAGAGATTTCCTCAACTCATCTCAGATTTTTAAAAACATATGTATTTTTGACCCACCACCGGAATTCTAAAATATTCCCTTAGCTATGGACCACTCAACTGGGAGATTATTACATCGTAATAGTCCAGATAAAGGTGATGGAGACCAGGACTATGAGAATGGGAAAGAGGATGAAAAGACATATTTGAGAACCATTTAGGAAGCAAAATCAGTAGAACCTATTTATTTACTCACTCACTCATTCAATAAGTATTAGGCCAAGTACTGTGCTGGGTGGCAGGAACTCAATGATGAAAAGAACTCAGTCCCTGCTACTAATGATTGCACAGTCTAGAGCAGAATTTCTCCAACACAACATTAATCTTTTTAGCAACAGGAAAAATAAGGGGAAAAAATACTCCTGAAACATTCTGGCCATGAATTACCTCTGAGATGATTTGCAGGTTGAGTACTCCAGGGAACCTCCAAAATTTGGTATAGGCACCAGGCAGATCACTAACAAGTTCTCCTTGGAGAAACACCTTTTAATCCCAGGCCTCAAAGAACTGCCACAGATAGTTTTTCAAGAACAATGAGCTAGACACAATTAAAATAATAAAGCAAAAAGAAATACAAAGAAAATATATTTACTTAATATTTATTACTCAGGACATGATACAGACTAATTGTATATTTATTGAACTGAATTTAACTGTCTAGGTTTGCCCTTTAAAATAAAAAATTTTAGTATTTGGAAATATGGGCAATGATACCTCTTGTGCTGTTTACATTTGAAAGATTTGTGCTCATATTCTCTAAAAAAAAAAGCAGACTGCAGAAACCAACCTGTAAAGACTAAAGATATTAGACATATCACATTGTTTAAATATTCAGTCTCTCACAGCTTTGGAATTTATGTTTAATACTTTTTTACAATGCTATATCATCAGGGACAGGAAATTGTAAATAATAATAATAATGACCTGCCAGATTTATAAGGGTTCATTTAAAATAAAAAATGCAATAACCAATATGAAAAACTCAGTGGACAATGTTAGCAGCGGAATAAAGACGGAAGAGAGAATTTGTGAACTGGAAGATAAGAAATTGTCTACAAGGGGGAGCAAACTTTTTCTGTAAAGGATCAGATAGTGAGTATTTCAGGCTTGTAGGCCCTATGGTCTCTGTTGTATCCACTAAACTCTGTCATTAAAATGTGAAAGCAGCCCCACACAAGATGTAAACAAAGCAGTGTAGCTGTGTTTCAGTGGAACTCTTATTTACAAAAGCGGGCAGTGGGATAGACTTGGCTCAAAGGCGGTAGCTTGCCAACCTCTGGTCTAAAATGAAGCACAGAAAACAGAAACATGCAAAACAAGGAACAAATATTAAGAAACAAGAAAGATAGAAGAAGAAGGTGTGACATATGTTTAATCAGAGTTCCTAAAAGAAAGTGGACAGAGAGGCAGAAGCAATATCTAAAGATATGACTGACAATTTCCCAGAATTGATAAGAGATATTGATTTGCTAATGACAAAGCTCCATAATTCCCATGTAGAATAAATGAAAAGAAACACACCTCATGCCCGTAATCCCAGCACTTTGGGAGGCCGAGGCGGGCGGATCACGAGGTCAGGAGATCGAGACCATCCTGGCTAACACGGTGAAACCCCGTCTCTACTAAAAATACAAAAAATTAGCTGGGCATGGTGGCAGACACCTGTAGTCCCAGCTATTCAGGAGGCTGAGGCAGGAGAATGGTGTGAACCTGGGAGGCGGAGCTTGCAGTGAGCAGAGATGCTGCCACTGCACTCCAGCCTGGGCGACAGAGCGAGACTCCGTCTCAAAAAAAAAAAAAAAGAAAGAAAAAAAAAAAGAAAAGAAACACACCTAGATACCCATCATGAAACTGAAAAATCATAAAAAAAAAAAAAAAAGAAAAATCTAAAATGCAAGCAACAAAAGAATGACGCATAGACATAGGACAAACTCTAGGGGCTCCCAATTAAATAGACTAGAGGGGCCCCCTGGGGTTGTATAAGATGGACGCCCTGGTTAAGCCATTAGCTGATTTTTCAACAACAATACATCATGCCAGAAAGTAGTGGGATAATAAAAACCTGTTTTGAGGCATGAGAGTAGCAGGGAGAGTCGCTATATGGGTGACTGGGGGCAGACGCAGGATTTGGAGGCCATGAGGCCTGTATAGTTTGGGAGACCTTTTATGAAAAAAAAAACCAAAGAGAAAATTAAGTACAAGGCCTTGAAGGAGACCTATTCAAGTGAGAGGCCCTAAAATTTAAGCTTTATTAGCTTCATGGTAAATCTTCCTCTGACTTACAATGCACTCCCCCTCTTCTGCCTCCAGCATCCCTCTTCCCCAACACAGGCAGGAGAGCACCATGCCTCCTGGAATGGCCTTGGAGAGTGCCCGCAGTGCTCCTGTTGTCTCACCCTTTGATAGGTTTTGGCTGTGTCCCCACCCAAATCTCAACTTAAATTGTATCTCCCAGAATTCCCACGTGTTGTGGGAGGGACCCAGGGAGAGGTAATTGAATCATGGAGGCCTGTCTTTCCTGTGCTATTCTCATGACAGTGAGTAAGTCTCACGAGATCTGATGGGTTTATCGGAGGTTTCCGCTTTTGCTTCCTCCTCATTTTTCTCTTGCCACGCCCATGTAAGAAGTGCCTTTCACCTCCTGCCATGATTCTGAGGCCTCTCCAGCCATGTGGAACTGTAAGTCCAATTAAGCCTCTTTTTGTTCCCTGTCTTGGGTATGTCTTTATTAGCAGCGTGAAAACAGACTAATACACCCTTGTTCAGAGATCTTCTGAGTCAGCCCAGAGGGACCCTTGATCCTACATCTCCATCATATTCCAGGGGCCTATTAATCAGTGGGGTTCATAAGTTTTGAACAAACGTATAGAGTGTTAGTAGACAGCCACACATATCCTTACATTAGGTCTGCGCACACTTGTGTACCTCATGTGATCTATTCTGTGACACTTTCCATATAAAAAGACAGTAGCTGGCGTTCCAGGCCTCCTTCCCCATTCTCACTGCCTTCTGCCTCATCCAGGCCCTCTTCACTTTATCCATCTGGTGAGGCACCCAGATTTGCCTCACCACCCTCATTCTAAGTTAGACACTGCCACCAAAACTGCTTCTGTAAACGTATTCCCTTCAACAGTTTTTCTCAACCACCAGCGGAGGAATATGATCAGGGTAAAAAGCAATAAATCTCAGCCCCTGCAAATTTCTCCCTCAGGCTCAAAAGATGGGATAATACCTGGAGCATCTCCTCAGTTTCTCCACAGCCTCCAGCTTCCCCGTTGCCAACACCGCAATGGGATCCCGGGAGAATATGCATGCTTCCCAGAGAACCCACACCTGCTCGTGCAGTCACTGCAGTTGTCTCCAAGCAAGCCATACTTTGGTGTAGGTCCCCAGCAGGAGCTGCAAGGCGTTGCAACTCTGCCCCCAGGAAGGCCGGGAGGCCTATCCTATGCTCTCTAGTTCAGAATCGCCTCCTGGGTGCACCCTGGTCACTCATTTACAAGCAGAAACCTGCCCTTTGCAGCCCTTTATTCTCTCCCTCACCCAGCATTTTTACTGCCCCCAGTTTCTCTCCTCCCCACGCACAGCTCTGGGGCGCTGCAAGCTCCAGGTGCCAGGTGGAGCGATTACCCCGCTTCCTGTTTCCTCCTAAGTCCATTCTCCCAACTCCAGTCCTTTCATCTGAGAATCCAGTGCTTTCCTTTTTCTAGAGAGTGAGGGCTTCGGCAAGATCATTCGGATATCCTGGACGCTTGAAAGAAAATGCTTCTCTGAATGGTTAATTCTGCACGTGAGTTATATAAGATCTTTATTCCAGAACCTGCACGCAGTTATTTTAAAAAACAAGCTCCTGTGACTGACTTGAGAGGCCCCCCACCTACTTTGAATGCACCCTTCCCTTCCACGCCTACCTCCAGGAACCCCCACCAGTTGAAACTGGCCACTCACCAACCCCATTTTTCTGTCTCCTCAAGCCCCTGATTCCTTTCTAGACTTCCTCAGGTGGTTTCCTTCCCCCACTCTCCACTTAGCCAAACCTTTTCCATCCAATCCAAGGTCTCATTATTTCTCAGAGGTACCCTGACCGTTGTAGCCCGATCTTGTCTTTACACGTGGAACTTTTGAAGTTGCTATTGTGAATCCTGTTACTTTGCAACTGTGGTTCTCAACCCTGGCTGGACTATTTTTTTTTTTTTTTAAATACACATGCCTGGGCCTCCAACTTTGAAGATCCTTTTTCTGGAAGCTTCTGGAGCTTTGGAAAGCTCCCTGGGTGATTCTGATATGCAGCCAAGGATGAGAAACACTGCTTTAGAAACATGCTATCTTGTGATTTTATGTAATGCCTTTTATGTCTAAGCCTTGTTTCCCCAAATAGACTGTAAATTTATTGAATACAGAAGCCACAGTGGCAGTTCTTCTGTATCCCCCACATCATCTTGCCTACCAGGCATATAGTAGGTGCTCAGTGACAACTTGAATGATGGATTGATTGATTGAGCATGATATTGAATAACAAAGCCCCTGGACGGGAAGGAGGAAACCTTATATCTGTTCCTGACTCCATAACTAGCAAGCCACTATCCTTCCTGGATTTCTGCTTCCTCATTTGTAAAACGAGGGTGATAATTAGGTTTCCAAACTCCTGGGAGCTCAAAGGAAATTGTAGAAGCTCATGAGTTATTTTCAACATTTCAAAAAGTCATTGAAAATTATATATTTTATATCAATTTTCAGATTAGTAATCTATCAAAATATGCATTAATGAATGGCAGTGGGCAGAAATAATATAAAGGAATCTTTAGTAGTGAAAAGGTTTAAAACCGCTTTTAAATTACAGGATTTCATGATTCCATTTGCTTGGTATTTATGATCCAGATCCCCTGGGAGAGGGAGTAAAACAAAGTAAAAACTTTGGAGTTAGGCTAACCTGGGTTCAAGCCCCAACTCCACAGCCTGCTAACTGTGAAGTTACCTTAGGCAAGTTACCTTAGGCAAGTTCTTAACATTTCTAAGCTCATCCCTTCATCTGTAAAATGGGCATATTGATAGTACCCATTTCGTAGAGTTGCTTAAGCATAGATAAGTTGATACATGGAAAGCCTTTAATGCATTGCCTGGCACATAGCAAGTGTTCAATAAATGTTAGCTATAGTTACTAGGAATATACTTGGGATGAGAAAGACACTCAGAGCTATGCCGAGGAGAGAAATGATAGTCAAAGTCACAAGAAGGTAAGGCATGGTGGCTCATGCCTGTAATCCTAGCACTTTGGGAGGCCAGAGCGAGAGGATCACCTGGGACCAGGAGTTTGAGACCAGCTTGGGCAACAAAGCAAGACCCCTGTCTCTACAAAAAATTTAAAAATTAGCTTAGTGTGGTGGTGTGCATTGAGTCATGATTGCACCACTGCACTCCAGTCTGGACGACAGAGTGAGACTCTGTCTCAAAAAAAAAAAAGCCACAAGAAATATTTCTTCTAAGCTGGGGAAGGGTTATAACAGGCTCATGGTTGGGGAATCGTCCTTCCACTCTAGAAGATGTGATAAACGTGTTCGACAGCAGTCACTGTGGTACAGCCTCCATCATAGAACACGGAACTGTAAGAGAACCACAGCTATTCCCCAAGGCCAGGTTTCTCCACTTCCGTGGACTTCCAGATCACCTGGAGGACTTGGTAAAGTACTAGTTCCCAGGCCCAGCTGCCAGATATTCTGAGTCGTTCAGGAAAACTGCATTTCTGCATTTTTAATAAGCCCACAGAAATACAGCTCTAAGGAAATTATTCTAGAAGAAAAATCCAAAGCCCAGTAGAGAGGCAGAGGTTAGGCTGATTATGATGGTTACAAAGCTCCAATGCCTGCTGGAGCCAAAGTGTTGGGGTGGAAACCAATGTGTATGTGATCAGGCAGCTCATCTGCAAGAGGTAGAGAGACCAGGCATGGGTAGGGAGAGCCAGGAGGCCAGCTGGGGCATGGATATGGCAAAACAGAGGGCACAGGGGACAGAGGAAGGTTGACATGTATATGACTGCCTTCGAAGCAGGCCAGCCCTCCACATCCTGGATGCCAGGGTGCCCAGGCACTGGTGCTGAAGCTGTGGGGCTCAGAAGATTCAGGAGGGTAAATCAGTCGGTCACAGCAATTCCCCAGCTTTGGTTTTCTTCCAGGTGGCTTTGTTTACTTCTGAACTAACATTTTTTTTCAGTTACTGTCAGCCCAAGTAGAGGCAGTTACTGACACAACGTTGTCTGATGTTCAGGGAGTTGGGGGTGCTGATGATGACAGTGGGGGTCTCCTGGCCTGGCACCTGCTATAGTAGCATCTGGTATCTAGACCTGAAAAAGGGCAACATGACCCAACAAGAGGAAGCTGCCATTATCATAAAGGCACAGTTAGTTTCCCTGGACTACTTTTCTCTATTTTTATTTTCTTGTCAATCTGTGGTTAGATTAAACTCTCCCCTGATGATTGAATGTCATGATCACAGGCAAGAGAAATATTTGATGGTTTGGTTGATTGTGGTATACATGATACAAACCTTGTCTGTCTTTCCAAACTTATTTTGCAATTACTAACAGTCCAGGTGATACTGAGGGAGAATTCTTAGCCCAGTATTTTGCCCTCACTCCTCACCATTAGGGTTTCTATAGTTCCCATATTCACTTTGACGTGTACTTTTCTGAGCCAAGTTAGGGAAGGAAATGTCTTATATTGAAATACAAAGAGACCATTAGGACTTCTGAACCTATTCTCAACCTCAGTCCTTATCTAAAATGAGATCCAACTTAAGGATTTTAAAGCTCAACAACAACAACAAAATCAGGAATAAGTGTTACAAATTCTCCTTCCAGAGTTCATGTTCATTTAAGGCTGCTAAAATGAAGCTATTCTTCATTAATGTTCAGATTTAATCAGATGGACAATGCTCTGGGTTACATAAGTGGTAACAGAAATGTTAAGGAGGGCATTTGGTTGAAAGAACTTTCTTCCTATCTCCTTGTTTCCGCCTTGATTATACACACAGCACCCTGTTGCTTGCTCATTTACACAAGAGGAAGAGTTGCTAATCTGCTCTCCAGCCCTGACCTTCATCGGGTAAGGGCACAGCGTTGAACAGTGATAGGCAGCTGCAAGCACCTGGTCTTCTACTCGCTGTTGCTGACTGAGGAAGGACCAGCCTGCAAGGGCAGGCCTGTGTCTCCTTGTCCGCTTCTTGCTCTATGAACTCTTGTTCTTGTGTGGGAATCAGGATAGTCAGGACCTTCCCTGTTAGGAAGAAGCTCTTTGGCTCCCCTGTGGCCTTCAGCCTAAGCCACATGCTAGGTTTCAAATTAACCAGAGACACTTTTCACAGGGCAAGTGGGGTAGTATTGTTGTAATTGGAAGCTTGCTGAGATGTTAATAAATATGGTTAGTATTCTTCACTTGGCTGCTGATCTTTGCAGATACAATTTTTTCAGAAGGGAGCATGAGTCTTAGGATTTAGACCCCAATTTCTCTACCTTGACTATTTATTAGAATTCTCCTAAAGTGGTTGAATATTTACTAAAAATCACTTTGTGGCCCTTAGATCCTGTGCAATTCTGTCCTCTGCACTCTGAGTAAAATCCATACTCTGCATTATAAAAAGTCTCAGGTATTTTCTACCACTTTAGCTTTAGTCTGGCAAAGACCAAAGGCAGGGATGGTCCATTTCCACTTAGAACTTCACCTGTAGCTGGATGCATTATTCCTAAATGATTTGTGGAAATTTGGGTTTTAGTCTGTGATGAGACTGTAAGAACCTAGTTCATTGCAAAGGCTTCATTTAGATGTTCACCATCTTTGCCAACTTGGAAATGAGGTCTACCCCACCACTGGGAAGTTTCCAGAACATGAAGATCTTAGAGGTGATCTTGTCAACATCCCACCCAACTCAGCCAATAAGCACATATTGAAATTGTGACCAAAAATTTGCCCATTTACACAAGAGGAAGAGAACCTATTTTCCCCAAACTAACATTCCATAGTTTCTTATTACTTACCCCAAGAGACTCCCACAATCTTTAGAATCAAAATGGTGCTTCCTTCTAGGGTAGATCTTTTGTTTTAGTTCTCTCTCTCTTTTATCTAACAGTTTCTCTCCAGTTGATAGGCCTTCATTTATTTGACAGTCAGTGATTAAGCCATTCTTTGTCTTTCTTTTCTCTAGAAAAGATACAGATTCTGTTCATCCTAAGTATGTACAGGGCCTTTAAAAATCACTCTTGTGGGCCGGGCGCAGTGGCTCACACCTGTAATCCCAGCACTTTGGGAGGCCAAGGTGGGTGGATCACCTGAAGTCAGGAGTTCGAGACCAGCCTGGCCAACATGGTGAAACCCTGTCTCTACTAAAAATGCAAAAAATTAGCTGGGTGTGGTGGTGCACCCCTGTAATCCCAACTGCTCAGGAGGTGGAGACAGGAGAATCGCTTGAACCCAGGAGGCGGAGGTTGCAGTGAGCCGAGATTGCACCATTGCAGTCCAGCCTGGGCGACAGAGTGAGACTTTGTCAAAAAAAAAAAAAAAAAAAAGCACTCTTGTGTATTCCTTTTCCCTAAGAGAGCCATATCTAAACTAGTCCAGATCTAAAACAATGCCAACATTTTCTGGGGGTAACTCACCAGGAATGAACACTTCTCAGTGCTAAAAAGCCTTTTCTATTTTCTTGCTCTAGGTAAAGCTCTTTTCCTCTTCTACTCTGGAAACAGGGAGTAACTGAGCATTGTTCTCTGTAAAAATAACCCTTCATATATTATATATATTCTTTTTTCAAAGTGGCTAAATTACCCTCAAAGTATTGCTTTCTATAAAAGCCCCACAGTATATCCAGCTAAAAGAGGAAGGTTAAATAGAATGTGTGAGCATAGTGATTATTTTAACAATTAGAAATTATTCTGATTTATAAATGCCCTTTCCTTATATATGGTTGCAAATGGTCCTTTTTTCCTTCATCTTCCTGTCTTAGCTTCCCCACCATCAAAACCATCATCCCAAAACCTAACTATTCTGCCTAGAGTGTTGATTATCAAGTTAAATTGTTGGTTTTTCCATATAACCTATCTCTCATCCTCCTACTGACTTCACTACAGTGGGTTGTTTGTTTTCCTGAAGACTGGGCCTTGTGCACCTTCGTGTACTTAAGCCATGCAAAGGGAAGAGAACCTACTCCATATATAGTCACTGGTTGGAAACACAAATGAACAGATGAATGAATCAGAAACACCTGCATACAACCTCTAGATTAGTCAAAAATGCCTAAATAACACCACTGGATTGTGTTCAACCCAACCAGATAATAACTATTTTAACAGCTACCAGTGTTAAGCTCCCCAACCAGGCTTGTTGCTTTACCTATGATATGTCCTTCAGCTTACAACCCCCCTGTGAGGTAAGGGGTTAAGGGAGAGGATTAGCAGAGGTTGAAAGACTGACTGTAATGTCCCCATCCTTTAGTGTCACCCTGATCTTGCCCTCCTCCCTGCCTCCCTGTCTTTAATCATTGAGGTCCTGCAGTCCATGAAGATTTCTGTAGTCCTCATGGGCAGCATTCAATCCGCCAACACTGAGGAAATCAGCCAGCTGGCCTTGCACGAAATCCTTCCTCTCCCATCTCTTTGTCCTGGGCCACAGGAGTGTGTAGTCTGGTTCCCATGTGCCACCTGCTGGTCTCCTGAGTCACTGCTTCCGAAGTGCCTGAGTAGTGCCGAGTAGTGGCTGAAGAAAGGGAAGGAGCGGCCTTTTCACAGCATGTGCACGAAGTGACCCAGATGCCTAGACTGGGGTGTGAATTAGTTCATTCTGACTGCACGTCAGCAGTGGAGACTAGGAACCTGAGGCACTGGGGAAAGAGGTCTCTGCCCAAAGCCATAATCTGTGTTTAGGAATTCTTAGTCAAAGCATTCTTTAGGCATGCAATCTGCCGAACATCCAAAAACAAATGTTTAAAACAGAAAACAAAAGTCTCTGTGCTCATATCATAATAAATACGTGTACAAGATGAATGGGTCAGATAAAACAAGAAAGGGTTATTCGGGTATTTGGTAAACCTATGGCAGTCTCTCTGGAATAAAATAAAGAGAGGAGGGAGGCAGGAAGAGAAGGAAGGAAGGAGAGAAAAATATACACCTTCACCAGAAAAATATTGCTTAATGTACATGTAATTATTCCTAAAAACTCTCCAGCTGAAAATGTTCAGGATTTCTTTTTTTTACTTGAACTAGCCTTTTGGAAATTTATACAAAATAATAAAAATCATTGATTACAAGCTTATTAAAAATTAGATGCAGTCACAGAGATATAAGGTGGGTGCTTATAGAGATAGCAGTATTGATTCGCTAGCAACAGCTCTTCGCTCATAGCTATGATCCAATGAGCTTCTCTGGTGGTTTCCCAAGGGTGAATTATGGCCTCAGTCAGTTGGGTTTCTGGGCAAACATTTACATGAATGATTCTGTACAGAGGCTCTCATGTCTCCTCCCATATATTCTTCATCTAGATCACTAAATAACACTTCTGAATTTCCAGAGACATGTACCTTTGCCTTCTGCTTTAAGAGGTCTTTATTTCAGCTGGGTGTGGTGGTTCATGTCTGTAATCCCAGCACTTTGGGAGGCTGAGGCGGGCGGATCACGAGGTCAGGAGATCGAGACAATCCTGGCCAACGTGGTGAAACCCTGTCTCTACTAAAAATACAAAAATTAGCTGGGCGTGGTGGCACATGCCTATAATCCCAGCTACTTGGGAGGCTGAGGCAGGAGAATCGCTTGAACCAGGAAGTCAGAGGTTGCAGTGAGCCCAGATCGTGCCACTGCACTCCAGCCTGGTGACAGAGCGAGACTCTGTCTCAAAAAAAAAAAAGTCTTTATTTCTCACACACGTTACCTTTGTGTAAAATAGTTTCCCTCCTAAATATCTTCCCCTGCTCTGTTTTCTTCAGCCTGAGGCTCAAAAATTTTTACACGGAAGCCATGTCAATGAATGATTACAGAATTCTTTTCATTTCTTCCTCAAAGGCCAGAAGAATACTGAGGAAGACAATCCCTCCCCATCGTCCTTTTGCCTGAGCTTCTGCTTAAATGCAGGTCTGAGCAAAGTTGAAAACCATGGGCCCTCAGGCAGAGACCTCATAAGCGCTGTATTTAAGGATCTGAACAGGAAATAAAGATTTTGACTTTTTTCTTGGCATTGTGCTTGGCCCTCTGGTTTCTCCTAAGGGCAAGCCCATTTCCTCTGTATCTCGGAGTCTGTTTTGTTTTGTTTTTTATATTATTTTTATTATTTTTTGGGACAGAGTCTTGCTCTATTTCCCAGGCTGGAGTGCAGTGGTGCGATCTCAGCTCACTGCAACCTCCGCCTCCTGGGTTCAAGGGGTTCTCATGCCTCAGCCTCCCAAGTAGCTGGAATTACAGGCTTGCACCACCATGCCCAGCTAATTTTTGTATTTTTAGTAGAGACGGGGTTTCACCATGTTCACCAGGCTGGTCTCGAACTCCTGACCTCAGATGAGCCACCCGCCTCAGCCTTCCAAAGTGCTGGGATTACAGGCCACTGCACCCAACCGGATTATCTGTTTTTAAAATGGGGCCAGAAATTTTGGAATCAGAATGTTAATAATATTATACAATGATGGTTAATATGCACTGAGTGATGACTATGTGCTAGACACTGTGCTAAACATTAACAATGGGTTGTCTCATTTAATGCTCATAAAACCCTATGAGATAGGTAAGAACTCTTATTATCCCCATGTTATGAGTAAGCATAGGTGAACTACAGTGGATTAAAGTACCTTGCTTATCGTCTCTTTAACATGAAATTCCTTCAACATAAGTAAACACCTATTATGTGCTAGCCAATAAACTGGATGCTGGAGCTCAGGACTAAACACAAACATAATCCTCACTTTTGAGGTTTGCATAGGCTCTAAGGAGCCCATGAAGGTAAACTTACAGGACCAGGAAAGCTTTGCAGAGGTTTCAAAGAAGTGTACTTCCAGTGGAATGGGGGCTCCTGGAAGGGAGTGGAAAATCTCTGGGGGTAGGGAGTAGGGGGTTTCAGGGAAGTTCTTAAGATAAGTAGTGCCTTAGGGGAATCTTCAGCAGAAGGAAGAAATGAAGTTCAGACTCCTGGTGATCAGAAGGCCTTCAAGATTTTCCATTTTCAGAGGACTCTGAGACCCTGGGTTGGGAGTCCTGACCTGCCAGAGTGCACATATTCCTATTAATGGTAGGATAAGGCCAATGAGAGGGTCCCCACCATGTGGCCTCGAACCTCCCATTCATCCCCCAAAGTCCAGAAGGAGCAGTCAGGAAAAGGAACCAGCTAGCCTTATACTTGTGAAAAAGAAGTGATTAACAAGTAGCCCTCTATGATTTCTATGTAAACTCAGATCGCAAAAGGCATTTAAATACTTAATGAAAGGATTTCCTCTACCTAGTTTTAGTCCTGCTTATTGATTGAATTCCCTTCTAATGACTGGGCTTTTCTATGTTTGAGCTAAGTTGTCTCTGGGAAGGGAGGTCATCTGAGCGCCTTAGGATGTCATATCCTTCTTGGCAAGTACAAGAAACAGGTTTGAAGAAGCCTGGAGGACATTTACCAGTGATCTGGTCTGGGAAGTTGTGGTTAGGCCACAGCAGAAGGGGACCAATTACCACCATGTACCATCTGGGGGCCAAACACTCTTCTGGGTGCTTTATATTTGTGACCTCATCTCAGGTGGACAATGACCTAGCCAAGGTGGCTCTCATAATCCTTCAGTCACAACTCAGAGAATGGAGTGACTGCACAAAGGACCCAGTGGTGACTGGCAGAACCGGTACTGTGAATCAGCTGTCTTTGAGCCTGGAATTATATTCTTCTGGAAATGCCTCTCTTTACCCAGGCCAGGCAGTTCCCAAACAATTCCCCAAAAGACGCCAGATTTGTGAACAGATATTGGTTGACTAAAACATGTTCCCCCTACAGGAAAAACAACTCCAAGTGCATGCCTTAATGACAGTGCTTCTGCAGTGTCCCCGCTGTACCTGGGGACAACATACTATCCACAATGGATAGTATGTACTGAATACCTACTTTGTGCAAGGGACTAAGCTGACAACTCTGTATACAAGAGCTCATTTAATCTTATTATTATTCCTGTTTTATACAAGGTTAAGTAACTTGCCCAAAGTCACAGCCAGAACTGGGACTTAAACCCAGATCACTCAACTCCAGAATCCATGTTTCATGACTATTTTCCTAACCACTGTTTTTCACTGCCTCTCCTTGAGGGAAATAAATCAGTGGGCCCTGGTATCTGAGAAACGCCACCACAAGACAGCCAACCTCAGCGCTTTGTGGATTTCTCTAATTCTAATTTCTAGTCCCTGTTTTTGTCACCTGTGTGAGTGGTAACGGCCTGAAGCACTGGTATTACTAAGACAGGTCCCCCATCCCCTAAGCAATCTTGAGGGCTGTGACGAACTATAGATAAATGAGGGTAGGTTGAGCACTTCGAATTGGAACGCATGAAATTGGTTGGATTTGTAATCAGATGAGAGAAAGCAAAGGCTTTAGGAAAGCCCACTTTTCCCCGTAGTCCCTTCTCATGGCCATGAGGCATCATCAACTCTTAATGGAAAGGGTATAAATGCTGGAGTTGGGCAGACCTCAGGTCAAGCCCTGGCTCCACTCCTGGCCAGCTGAGTGACTTGGGCCAGGTAACTTCATCTCCCTGAGCCTCAGTCTCCTCATGTGTAAAGTATGTGCACCAGTAGCTAGCAGAGGGCTGGGAACACGGATGGAGATGATCCACAGGAAGCACCTGGCACTATGTCTGGCACGTGGGAAAGGATCAAGTACATATTAGCTAAAAATAAAACTGAGAGCATGGTTTCAGGGCCGTTGGGGATTCCCCAGTCACCAGACTGTGACCATCTGCCCCGATGCTGCATGTGGGATCCTCCAGATCCTACACTGGCGTTGCATCCCTGTGTCTGGCAGGACAGGTGGCTTTTCCTAGCCACCTCAGGAGAGTACATTTGTCACCACGGATGCAAACCCTGGAAGCCAGTGCAAGCTGCTTGCTACAGCACTGGTGTGGCCAGGCCCCTGCTCTGCCAGAACTTGCTTCTAGTGAGAAACCTCATTTCTCACCCCATGGTCAGGTGGACTGTGGTGGGAGGAAGAGGTTGGGAGCAGAAAAGGTGACAGTTCTGGTCTCAGAGTTGATGGCTTCAGATCCCGCAGGGGTTCAGATGCCTTCAGATTTATAGGCCCATAACAGCAGAAAGCTGCCTCCTGGCTGAGCCTGGTGCTGCTTTTGGGCCCGGGGGGCTCCTGGCTGATACTGTTTGTGAACCTCTTTATCTCTCTAATGCCATGTTCTCTAAATCTTGGTATTAGAACGATGAGAAAGGGCGGAGGAGGGTGATTCATGCCCTGGTTACACTGACAACGAAATTCATCGAAATCAAATTTCTCCTAAGCATGCTAACAACATCCCGGCTGGTGCCTGCCTCGGCTGTAGGTCTGGGTTTGTTTGGTTTCTACAACAATTTTTCTTTTTAATGTCATTATTTTTATTATTTCGCCTAATGTTTTTATAATGTGCTTACTGTGGAGGTTGTTCCACAGAGCCCGCCAGCTCTCTGGGGATAGGGTGGGCCACGCTTGGTAACCCCAAAGGCTGCTGTTTTGCACAACCCTCCAATCACTGAAGGAAATAGAGTCTTCACCCTCCCCACTTCCCTAGACCTGTCTTGACAAGGAATCAAACACTAACCATAGAATTACTAACCTGTTCAACCCCAGTCTGAGCAAAGCTCCAATATTAACTGATGAACCCAACCAACCCTCCCCTTCTTCCACCCACCTTTTATTCTCCCAGTTAAGCATCTCTGGTTGCATCAGTCCTTTTTTCTATGTCATGGCTTCTGGCTCCACTTCTGCCATCCTGCCCTGGAACATCATCCCCTGCCCTATTTGCCCATATCCCTCTTAAATGTGACATTGATTAAGGGATGAATAAATGATACCACATCCATATTTCTGGAACATTAAGCATTTTAAAATTAATTTTGGAGAGGTGTCAATGATGTATCCTTAAGTGAAGAAAGATGGAGAAAATGGGTTTGTCCACTTTATGAAAAACCAAAAATCCCAACAAAAATCTTATATACTTGTGGGTTTGTTTTGATATGTTTGTCTCAGCATGAGTAACAGCACAGAAGGATACACACCAAGTTGTTAACATGTGTTATCTGTTTTGGGGGATGTTAGAAGGAAGAATTTTTTTTAATATACCTATAATGTTTCATTACCTGCAGTTAACTCTTGTTACTCTGATTTATTTATTTATTTATTTATTTTTGAGACAGGGTCTCACTCTGTCACCCAGACTGGAGTGCAGTGGAGCAATCTCAACTTAGCAGAACCTCAGCCTCCTGGGGCCAAGCAATCTTCCCATCTTAGCCTCCCAAGTAGATGGGACTATAGGTGTGCCATCACACCTGGCTAAATTTTTTTGGTATTTTTTGTAGAGATGGGGTTTCACCATGTTGCCCAGGCTGGTCTCAAACCCCTGGGCTCAAGCAATCCACTCACTGCAGCCTCCCAAAGTGCTGGGATTGCAAGTGTGAGCCATCACGCCTGGCCTCTGATAATTTTTAAGGAAGAATTTAAAATTGTTTTCAATCCATCAATCATCAATCAATCAATAACATGTTTGTATTTTTATCTTCAATGTGATAGACACTCGGAGTCCTGCAGATGTGGGGATCTGTTCAGGGCCTCTATTCATGCAGCCTAATTTGCATCACCTTCTTCGTTAACTCATGGTAGAGCCGACATCTACTAAAAGTCCTTAGTTGTTTTCCCTAGAACTGCTACAAAGAAAAGTCTCTCCTCCTATCCTATATACTTTTGAAGCAGATTTTTATTTACCCAAGTACAAGACCTTAAGTTTCTTATTAAATTTTTTTCTGTTGGTTTGGCTTTTTGTTCCAATTGTCAAGATCTTTTTAAAATCTGCTCTTCTTATCTAGCCTATTAGCCGTCCTGCCCCGCTTTGTGCCAACTGCAAATTTGATCAGCAGGTCTCTTAAGTCTTGATCCAAGTCCCTAATGAAAATGTTCAACAGGACAGAGCCAAGGACACAGTCTTGCACTGCCCATTTTCAATAAATAAATACAAATATTTTTTGTTTGTCTTTCGGTGTGTTCCCTTCATTATGTACAAGGCTCCTAATAAACAAAGAGGTTTGTGCTAGGCAAATCAATAACCATCACCATTATCTGATCTAGTGATAATAGCAGTAAACACTAATCACAATCCAACTTGAGCCAACCTAGAAGCACAGCAGCATTAGTCAGAGTGATGGAACATATGGCTGTGTCCACATCTGCTCTGAGGCATCCAGATGGAAGAGGAGGTGGGCCAGGGGGCAGGGGTGAGTGAACAGTGGGGTAGGAAGGAGAGAGGAGGGAGCAGACAGGTGAAGGCTGACAGGGGAGTGGGGCAGGGACTAGGCTCCCAAATCAATCTCCACGATTGTGTGGTTAATGTGCAAACAGCACACAACAGCTGCTGGTGGCTCCCATCCGTGACAGTACAACTGTATGACAAATACTTCCTGTCACACTTAGAGAGCTGTGTCTTCTGCTTTTTGGTTAATGGACCTTTGACATGCCTACTCAAATCACTTCTTCATAGGCCTTACAAGTCTTTGTCACAAATATATGCTAATGTTTTTCTTCTCTGTGTGGCTGTTTCCTTTGAGCTATCACCAAGCATGGGTCCTATGCTACCCTGGTCCTCCCCATCTCTCCTCCACAGCCTCCCAGAAGCTGGCACACTCCTGACTTGTGCATCTCCCTACATAAAAGAACACTCACCTAACTGATAAAAGATGTAAATTCAAGCACAGTTCTTGCTTAAAGCAACATTTAACCCTCCCTGTGCCTTGGTTTCAGAACTGAAAAAGGAAAGTCATGACTGCAGCTTTTTTGTAAGACTAAATAAGATAGCATGTGGCAAAGAAGTAGATGCTAAGTATTAGCTGAATCTGAGTCCATACCTGCAGAAGACATGGGCTTGACTTACTCCAAACCTCTGGCTTTGATTATTTATAAACATGGGCAGGGTTAGCAAATGGGTTTTGCAATCTTCAGTGTTTTGCCAGTCACCCTTGTTGGCCTCCTGAGAACATGTTGAGGACCTTTTACAGTATTCTCACATTTGCACTGATTCTTTCATTCACTCAACATTTGCTGTCAACTCTGTGCCAACGCTGGGCTGAGCCCCAGGCATACAAAGATGATTGAGGCAAGATCCTGGCACTAAAGTATCTCACGGTCTAGTGCCCATCACCCATAGTAACAACCCCCCCCCCAAACACACACAGACACACACACCACCCAGCAGCAACACCAGCAGCAGCAAAAGTTCACATACCAGACCCTTACTATAGGCAATATACTCTGATACTTTATGTTCTATTTTACTTTTTAAATTGACTTCACCACCCACTAATGGGATGTTGACCCACAGTTTTAAAAGCTCCATTTTGGGGTTGGATATGTGTGCTAAGTTCTATTATCATTTACTAGATTGCTATGGGAATGCCAAAAAAAGAGCTCCCAGGCCTAAGAGAATCAGCAGACCTAACACTTAAGCTGGAAGGATAGTCAGGTGTGCATGGGGTATTTGGTGTTCTCAGAAGAGGAAACATCATGAACAGTGCATGGAGGAATGAAAGCATGGCTGTTCAGGGAATTTTTTTTTTTTTCTTAGATGGAGTTTTGCTCTTGTTGCCCAGGCTGGAGTGCAATGGCATGATCTTGGCTCACTGCAACCTCCCCTTCCCGGGTTCAAGGGATTCTCCTGTTTCAGCCTCCCAAGAAGCTGGAATTACAGGCGCATGCCACCATGCCTGGCTAATTTTTGTATTTTAGTAGAGACAGGGTTTCATCATATTGATCAGACTGGTCTCCAACTCCTGACCTCAGGTGATCTACCAACCTTGGCCTCCCAAAGTGCTGGGATTACAGGCGTGAGCCACCACACCTGGCCAACTGTTCACAGAATTCTAAGAAGTTTTGAATGGTTAGAACACAGGGAACTTTAGGGGAAATGGGGGAAATATGAGGCTTTAGAGATAAATAGAGATTTTTTGTTTAAAGCAAATATTACAGAGCCAATGACTGAATACTCGGGGAAAAGATTTTTACTGCCAAGCAGGAAACTCAATCCAGCACAGAGTCTAGGCTCTGGGAAAAGAGGTTTCAGGAGAAGAAGAAACAAGATAGGTTTTTTAAAGCCAAGAGACCACACCCTGTATTTAAAAAGCAAACTCTCTTGAGTATTGCTGATTGGTTGGAGGCATCTTGGTGTGTGGATTTGGTTAAGCACTGGGCTGGGTGGAGAGCTCTGCTGTGTACCAGAGCACCCACCTCAGGATTGTGGCACCCAGAGGTTGTTTTAGCAGAAGTCATGTCTGCACCACTGACAGCTGATCCAGCAGCCCAGTTGCCTCTGTCAGGAATCAGATCATGAAGAAATTTGTGGCCTGCTAGAGAGTTTGGGTGTTATCGGCCATGGAGGCCAGTGGAAGATTTAAAGTAAGAGGGTACCTAAAAATTGGTAGAAGCATCAATATCACAGCAGAGTAGCAGATAAGATTGGAAGGAAGAATTAACTGGAGGAACACAAACCAGAAAAGCAGCTAAGGTTAGTAGTTCAGGAGATGGTGATGGTGGGCTGAAAGAGAAAAGAGCTGATCAGGAAGAAAAGGAAAGGCTGGATTAGGAAATGGAAAGTTGGAGAATCAATATGATCTAGGGGCTGATTCAATGTAACAGGTGAGACAGAGGGAAAATCCACAATGATGCATCAGGTTACTAACTTGGGTGATGAGAAGATTGTGGAGACCCCCGAAGAGAAAATTTGGGGTGTTTGGGGAGAGAACGGGAGGATCAGGTCAGCACAAAAACAGTGCTAGAGTACCCAGACTTGTCTCCCATGTATTACCATGAGCAGAGAAATCTCCCATTTACAATGTTCATGAACCCAGGAATTATAGAGCTACCCTTCTCTTCCAGATGCCTAAGGAATCATCATTAGGATCAGGGCCAGGAGGAAGGGGAAGTGTCTGCCTGCTGGTGTGCATGGCGTGAAGGTCGTCTCTGCCATCCAGAAAGCAGACTTTCTCCCACAGACACCAGATACGGTGGGGACTCTTGGGGCTGCAGAGCAACTCCTCCCTCTAGTTGAGCATTGAGCTGGATGAAGAGAGGTAGAAGGATGCATTTGTCAGCTCTGGCTCCAGAAACACTTGCTGGCCATCTCCATCTGGAAACCCAAGTTTGCACTGCCCAGTCACTATTTCAGCTTCTCCTCAGACCTGAGGTTGGAAGAATGATATCTGTAGTGGGTTGAATTGTGTGTCCAAAAGGATATATCCAAGTCCTAATCTCTGGTACCTGTGAGTAAGACTTTATTTGAAAATAAGGTCTTTGCAAATATAATTAAGGTTAAGAGAGATGAGATCATCCTAGATTTAGTGGGAGTTCTAAACCCAATGATTGATGTCTTTGAAAGAGAAAGCAGAGGGACATTTGAGACACAGAGACGCGGGGAGAAGGTGGCCATGAGAAGATGGAGGCAGAGACTACAGTTACACAGGTGCAAGCCAAGGAACACCAGTGGTGGCCGGCACCCATGAGATGCTTGGAGAATGGCATGGAATGAATTCTCCCTCTGAGCCTCCAAAGAGAACCAACCCTGCTGAATTTGGACTTCTTGCCTCCAGAACTGTGAAAGAATAAGTTTCTGCTGTTTGAAACCCCCGTTTGTGGTAATTTGTTATAGTAGCCCTAGGAAACTGAGATAATATCCCATTTAATTGCTTTTATGGCACTTGGGTACAGGAAACCTAGTGACCATCTCAGAAGTAATCACTACTCTCTGGTGGCTTGCCTCTTCTCCCCCGCCTATTCCCCTCAGATAGACACCTTCTCAACCAGCTGTTTCCCATCTTTTCTTCATTCTTTCTCTAGAGCAGAAGCTGTTCTTCCCAGCTTAGATGCTGTTCTGAACTCAGGGTAACAGCCAATTAAGCAGGTCTTTACTGAAGTCTTGCAGTACACCAGATGCTAAAGGTGCCCAGTAGATCCCAAGTGTGACAAGGACCAGAAAAAGCACACTTTTCTCAGGCATTTAGTAAGAAAAGCCTTTCCCATTTTATGTTTTTTATTTCTACTACCCAGAGCAATATGACATTCCAGGGCAATCATTCTTACATTTCAGAAAACATCAAAAAATAGCTTATCCTTAAAACAAAGTTGGAGAGCTCATCCTATTCTAAGGCTTGGCCTGAGCCTGTAGATCAGAGAGGGTTCCATGATCTTAGGAAGTCACCCAGGACTTCTCATTTCCACTTGAACACCTAACACTATACCAAAGCAAGTATTTCCCCAGATTGCCCCAGTTCATGAACTGACCGTGTAGTGTGATGTAGAAATTGCAAATTTTGGTGAGCCCTGGAATTAAAATGTGTCTTCCTTTCTGGAAATTTAAAAAAAATAAATGAAAGGACTAGCCATATCCACATATGGTTCTGCCCTAGTCATTTAACCTCTGTTTGGCCCAGTTTGCTTATTTATGCATTAAGTGGAGATTGTGAAAGGACATCTTATGAATTAATTAATTAACAATTGAAAGGGGCTTTAAAAGTGCTATGCAAATGATAAGCATTATTGTAAGGCCCATGGGAACCTGAGACAAAGCAAGGAGCCAAACTCCAAATTGAGGATTATAACCAAGAAGCAAATGTCAGCACTTTGGAATGTGAAAGAATGATTAACATTGGTTACGATGATGTCGGTTTTTTCTAATCCAGATAGAGAGGTGAGAAACTGTTAAAATGTGGATTCAGTTTGAAAACCCATACGAGCCCAGATGCTCTGTAAGTGGTTACACTTCAGCAAACGCCTGCACATTAAAACATAATCAAAAGATCGAACCAAACTGGAACTGGAGAAGAAGCAGGTGCATAAAACAAATGCTGTCAGCATATGTGTGAGCACAAACAATTCATTGTGCCCACATAAGTCATATGATTGGCATTTGCAGATGTCTACATATATTTAGTTCAAATATTACAAAAATAAAACCTCTTGAACCCACCTAATTTTAATATTACACTCGTTAGAGAGATAAAACCTCTCTCAAACCATTAGCCCATGGAAGTTCTCCAGGCAAATCAGCTTAGTTTTCTGTTTTCTATTTCTCAGAAAATGGACTCTTGGCTTTACAGAGGCCTGAAGCAGCCATTGGTCCTTATAATTATAAACAAAATGTGGTAATTCATCTCTTTAAAAAAATTATTCAAATTAAGCTATTGAGATGTGGCTGTATTGTCTTCTAAAAGAATAAAAAGCTATCTTAATAATAACAACAATAAAAATGAAGAAACAGTTTACATTTTTTTCCAGTTTAAGCAACTTCTGGCTTCAGTAATTATAGAAGAATAGCTTTGCAGATTGAAAAAGCAGCTGTTAGTGTCCAGGCCTGACTTAACTTTTATTTTCCTGCCTGAATGGCACTTTAAAGCGTCCAGCATCCTGTGGTCTTTAGCTTACCAGGCAAAAGCAGAGCTTTCTAGACTGGCAGCTTCTCATTTCCAAATCATCATGATCTATGGGTAAGCAACAGCAATCATAGAATTCAGGACTAGGTAATGAAGTTAGAGACCAGGAAAAAAAAAGACACTCCAGAAAATCTGTCTTCCAAAATATTTCCTCTGGAAATGAGAACAAATGTGTGATCTTTATATTTCTGTGCTGCCTTTGTTGCTGATCATTCTTGTCCAATTGACTAACCAATTATGGCAAAGAAGCATTCAAGGTTGTCTGGGCAAATAATAATGGTCCTACCGTAATACAAACTACTTGAGCTAACATGGTCCTTGACAAAGCCAAGCTGCTTTTTCCACATCTCTGCTATTGATTACATGATGAAAATGTTAAATGCTCAAAAATTTGGTGAGCCCCATTTATAGGCATTCATTTTGAAAAAGTATTATCGTAATGACAGCCGACCTAGGTGGTCTTTGGGCACAGTGACTCAGCTGCATTTATTTGGCTTCCCCAGGACCTTCCTGGGTACCAAAGTTTAGTTTGTAGGATTCTGTTTCCTTGATACACACACACAAAAAAAAGTAAGTATGGCAGGTCTGTCTAAAATAAAACACCCTTTTATATTCTTTTCTAGTTCTTTTAGGTGCCTAAAAAGGCAAGAGAAGTGAGACTATCCGAATCTCCTGAAAGGTTAAAATAATTAAGGGAAGTTTCAACAGAAAGGAAAGAAGGTTTTTAAGCCTTGCACTAAACATAAATTTTTTATATTCCAAAAGAAAAATACCCCAGAAGTTAAATCCTTCATAAAGGTCATCTCAGAAAATCTCAGATCCTAACTTTGGTCCCATGTCCTCATGTCTTCAAGAGCAACCTCCTTCTAACCTGCACTCCTCTCTGACTACCTTTTGAGAAACCCCTCTCTACTTATGGTATCTACCTCCTCTGCAGCAGCACAATTCCTAGGTCTGAGATGCTCAGTCTGGAATAAGAACCAGAGGCCTTGAGGATAATAGATCACAATGGCCTGGCACTCTGAGGCAGGAAATTTTCCCTGACCCCTTCGTGGGCCTTACTTAGCCTGCAGCTCTCAATCCCTTGCAGGAGGGAGAGCACGCAGGTAAGTGGGTGCAGGAGTCAGAGCAAGTGCTTTTGGGTGCTGGCAGGAGCAAAACTCCGTGTGGGCCCACAGCAGCATCTGGGGGGGAGTATCTACAACCCCCAAAGCCCCAGAGGGCATGTGTTACAGTGCTCTTTTAGCTTTGCCATCTGCAGACAGCTTAAGTGTTAAACAGCTCAGTGGGCCTTCTGCCTTTTTGCATAAGGCAGTTGCTCTCCACCAGTGAGGGCAGAGGGTCAGTGTGACAGCCTTTAGCATCTGAACCTATGGAACTTAAGCTCTTGTTTGGCATCCAGGAAAAATGAGGTTGCACAAATGAACTGAAGGGTGGTAAATGCAGAGGATTTTGTTGCCAGTGAAAGTGGCTCTCAGCAGGAAGGGGAGCTGAAAGGGGGATGGAGCAGGAAGGTGATCTTCTGAAGCAATGCTGTCAAGCCGTTCCTCTGAAGTCAAGCTGCTTTTCTCCACATTAAACCACATTCTCTGACTTTCAGCTGCTTCTACTCTCTCCCCTTCTCTGTTCTCTGCCAGTGGAGCCTGGGGTTTTTGTGGGTACAGGAGCAGGGCAGGGAGGGCCAGGGGTGGTTTTGGAAAAGGCAACATTTGAGTGAGAAAATGGGGAGTAAAATTCTCGCTTTGGGCCATGGTTCCAGGCTTGAGGGTGGGGCCCTCACCAGGGACCCCGCCCTTTCCTGCCCAGAATTTCTCTGCCTCTTGTCCCTATCAACGCCATGTCCCAAGGGGTGTGTTCTGGTTTTGGCACTTAAGTCCTGCAGTGGAACACTAGATGGATGTAGGCTCTTGATTTAGTCATCTTTAAGAGGTAAGCTGAAGACACACCTATCCCTGTTGTCCAGCATTCTCAGAAAGTTGTAACGGTCTAAACCAATGGTGAATAAGAGAAATATTTTCCTAACTCAGTCTTAACTCACAATAAAAGCAGAACCATATTATTGTTCAAAGCAGTCTAATTTCTTTCCTTTATCTGTCCTTCCCTAAGCCTTACCCCCACTTATAAATTGTGTCCGTTGAGCTTTCCTGGCATGAGAAATTGCCCCATTAAAAATCAGATATCTCTTTAAAATCCTTAGTCACACATAGACCCTGCTGAATGTTTCCTTTATTCATTCATTCAACAGATATTCATTCACTGCCTATAGGCACCTTGCTAGGCATTCAGAGTACAATGGTGAGTAAAACCCCACATAGCCCCTTGCCTTTATTAGAGCATAATTTATAGGGGCACAATCTATTTTTTTCAGCAAGGGGCATCCTCTTCCCCATCCTCTGGGCAGAAAAGATTGAAGATCTTTCTCCTAGTTACATTTGTTAGAAGCCCACAGAGAAAGCACTTCCTAAATGAGTTATCATTTTATCATTGATTTAGACCAGGTTGCCTTTATCCTGCGTGCTTTTGGTACAGAATTGCTATAACGCAAAGCAATGAAATAGCAAGTCCTAAGAGGGCCTTTCAAATTGTTCTGATTCTATAATGAAATAATCAGAGTGTGAAAGCTCAGAGCTTAGAGATTATCTACCCACCTCCCACCCTCCACACACACATATGCACCCATTTCGCAGATGAAATATCCCTCAAGGCTGAGGGAGAAAGGTGTGCCATGTCTTGTTTAAAGCTAAACAAGTTGTTAGCAGAAGAAGCAGAACAAGCTGGGTCAGCTGCCTGCTAGTTCTAGACTCTCTCCACCACATCCTGCCGCCTTATAAGGAACATTTGGCTTCTGGAATCTGACTACTAGCTGTTCTGCTGCAGCTGCTAGTCACCACCAGCCAATGAGAGGGTAATTTGTTATCCTCTGCATTGCCCTCTTTCTAATTCTACTCACATGCAGAAACAGAATCTAATAAATATGGTACTCACAGTCTTACAATTCTCCCTATGATGGAAACCAGCATTCCTTTTCCAGAGGAAAATGCAAACATGTATACAAGCCGAATGACAGGAAGAAAAATCACTTACATGTCAGCATTGGAGAACATGTACATGTTTCATTACATTGAAAACCAAATTCCTTCTGAAATTACCTAAGAAAAAACTAAGAAAAATAGCAAAAAGACAATGTCAGCAAGTTCTCAGAAAATATATTTTCTATATTTTTCTTTATTAGCAGGTGAGAATAGTGACAGATAAACTGTGCCTCTGTCCTGCCGTAAGATATATGTCATCCAAGGTTGTAGAAGTTGACACTCATTTTTCTCCATGTAACTCATAATTCATTAATTAAAATTAGAAAACATGGTTTGGTCATCAAATGTTCAAATGTTTACATTTTTGTACAGATTTATACAACTAGTTCCCACATTTTGAAATAGAGAAAGTGTAAATCAGGTATAAACAATACAGTCAGCATGAGTGTTCACCATTTAGGAAACAATTTGGGGGGAAAAATAATGTTTAGAGTTTGAAAATGTCCTCTAATTCCAATTTTGTAGCTCCAGTTTCATTTTTTAAACTCTGGTTCTTGAATCCTAGTCTTCAGGGGTTAGTGGAGGTTAAAGATTGCTCTACCTACCAGTCTCGGAACATGTGTGTTTTAACACATTTTAAAGTTTTTATTAGGTGCTCTTTTATTACCTTTACGCTGGAATCCCTGGTGGCCATACTCGATTTTTAATAAGGTAGAAATCCTGTAAAGTGATTGTTCAGTGGTTACATTTAACCAGCAGGCCCGTCGCTGAGCCAAAAGGTCGGCTGCTAAGCTCAGGGAGGAAGCTGGAGAGAAAGCAAGCTGGCTCAGCCTCCCCATTTTAAATGAAGGCCCTTTCATTCTGCTGCTCATTCAGAATCAAAAAGGTTTCAAAGCTCATTCACTACCATGGGAGAAGGGGGCAAAAAGGAGAGGGTGCATTTTGCTACTCGATATCAGAAAAACAGAAGCCTGAGCTGAGCACTGGTATCCTTAGACAACACAGTCTTATAGTATACTATTATTCAGTGTTGTTGTTATACTTTTGCAACGAATATGAAGTTTTATTCATAAAAATAAACAGGTCACTCAGCCAGGAGGCCAAGAAAACCCAGTAATGTATTTCCTGCTGTAAAGGCACAGTGGGGGCCCTTCTCTGTCCCCACTCTTTATCTCTTTTACACATGGAACCATCTGGGTTGGGGGGCAGGCACAGAGTTCAAGAGGCCCTCACAGGGATTCTGAACAATCCCAGTTCTCAGTGTGCCTGCCATCAGAAAGGGAGAAAGGTGGAAATGTTTCCAATAGAGGAAATAATTAGTGAGAGACACAAAACCACTAAGCTAGAGAGATGCCAGCCATATTTTGAAGAATTAGGTGTGTGGAGGTGTTGCGGGGATGACCTTTGGGACAAAATGCCAGTTTTGAGATATAGCTATGTGCATGGGGGTGTATGCTGAAATGCATCCTTCACCTCTGAAAAGGATAGTAACTAACTTAGGGTCTATTTTCTTCCAGCACTATGCTGGTAACATGTCACTAACAACTGTTTTGGAGGAAAACCAGGATGTGGAACATGTTGCAAATGTAGGCTTTGCCACAGGATAAGTGGGAGTACAACAATGCCTGAGATTGGCCAAGAGGATTTGGAGGGAGCTAAATAATATAGATGGATACAAACTCAGAAGCTTCTTCTTTTTTTTTTTTTTTTTTTGGCAGAGTATCACTTTGTCACCCAGGCTGCAATGCAGTGGCACAATCTCAGCTCACTGCAACCTCTGCCTCCCAGGTTCAAGCGATTCTCCTGCCTCACCCTCCTGAGTAGCTGGGATTATAGGTGTGTGCCACCACACCTAGCTAATTTTTTGTATTTTTAGTAAAGATGGAGTTTCACTATGTTCGCCATGCTGGTCTCGAACTCCTGATCTCAGGACATCTGCCCACCTCGCCCTCCCAAAGTGCTAGGATTACAGACATGAGCCACCACGCCCGGCCAAACTCAGAAGCTTCTTAGCAGGTCTTGCACAAAGTAACAGGGTCCTCTTAAAATCAGTGTAGGCTTTAGGGTCTACAGTTTTGGTAACCTAGTTGAGAATCTCACCCCACTGCTGCTCTGTATAGCCATGGGGATGAAAACTCTCTATTACACACACATATAGAATGCACTGTTGCCCACCTAAACCATTACTACTTAAGATATAGGGCAATCTTAACTAAAATTGCACAACCATCTGGTTAACCCAACTGTTGGACTTATCTCATGCTAGGGGTTTAAGGTAGTGTTTGGGCTCCCAAACTTCTACTCACTCTCCTTCCTCTCCATTGCTGTGGCCAATAGAGCAGACATGCCCAAACAGACATCTGAACAAGAATCCAAATATTGGACTTATAACAGACTAAGCAACTATCTAAATACACCTCTGCCCAAGGTTTAGGCTTCCTGGAAACAGCTAAATTGGAGAATGTGGTTTGGCTACATATCTCCTACCTCAAATTGAGGACAGACAGACTGATGGGAAAGGGGACACCTGAGTAGCACCCTAGTTGTAGTTAGAAAAGCTAGAACAGAAAGTGAAAATCCCTGTCTCCCCTCATCAGTATCATCAGTATAGGAAGAGCTTGCTTTGGTGTACAAAGCAAGGAGGAGGTGGCCCTTTTAACTGACAAATGAGACAGAGCCCGCTTTATTTATTTATTTATTTATTTATTTATTTATTTATTTTGTTTTTAGAGAGATAGACATATGTCCATTCTCTATTGAGGAACATACCCCCATCCTTTTATAATTTTCCAAAAGAAATATCAATCTTTGACCATTTGCATTAGCCATTCATTCACCAAAGGGGAGGAGCAGGGGGCAGATTAGAGAAAGTGTCAGGAAGGTTGATTCCAATACACTTGTATTTGGGAAGATATTCCCCTTCCACAAATCACAGCTCAGTGAAATCTGGGGAGGCCAGCAGAGAACAGAAGGATACTTTAAAAGTTCCAATGCAACTGAAGATGCTGTGCGAGATGCCAAAGAAATAGAAAGAGTTCCTGCCTTTGTAGATCAGGACACCAAACTTGCATAAGATTCAACAAGAAAAAAATAAAATAAAAACACAAAATAATAATAAAGTTCAAACTGTATGATATTATCCACTTCCATCAGGTGAACTTCCAAAGATGAAGGGGGAGAAATTGGGAGGAAAAGGGAGGTCACAGAACAACAATCTTCCCTTCCAGGACATTGCTCTCTGCTGGGGAAGCACCTGTAGTGTGAGGTGCCCAGTCTCAGCTCATGGACCAGCATTTGGGTACTCTTTGGGAGCAACCATTGAGCCCCAAGTTTTCTGAAGCAAAGTGATGACAGATAATCAAGCAGTCACTAGTTGGGCTGCTCCTGAGCTTTGGTTTTCTGCAACTCTGGTACCATTGGTGCCTTAGGCTGGCTTGTCAAACACTCCTGCCATCATTCCACCACTCTCATTTACTCTTTCCCTTCTAAAAGCCTTTTCCAACCAAACAAGTGCCTTTTCTGGCCTTGATCATCACCTGACATCTTTTTAACAACTTTGTTGAGGTATAGTTTGCATGCCATAAAATTCACCTGTTTTAAATGTAAAATGTACTGCCTTTTAGTAAATTTACTGAGTTGTGTAACCATCACCATAATCCATATTTAGAACATTTCTAGCACCCCAATAAGATCCCTTATGCCTGCTTTCACCTAACATCTTAATGATATTGTTTGGCAGGTAGCTAAGAGTAAGGCTAAGACACAAAGGGAAGCAGAGGGAGTAGTGAGCCTTAGAAGGCAAAAGAATACCAGAGAGGTGCAGGTGAGAAATGTAGAAGAGATCAAAGGCTTCACATGGCTCACAGCTCTACTGAAGGCTTCAATGATGGAATGCATGCCAGATGTGGCAATCCTTCATCTCCACTCCTCAATGAAAAGCCATAAGAGTGCATGGCCCCACTAAATGCAACATGACTGACAGCAAAGTGTAGACAACCTCTTTTTCAACATGCCCAATATCTAACAATGCCTTGTGCAAAGTTGAAACTTAATGTTTTTTGAATTGAACTGAAATGAGTTGGAGAGATGAAAAGTTGGAAGAGGAAAAATGTCTTCTCATGGACAATTGTCACCCAACATCCTTTCTCACTTCCCAATGCCCCTCCAGTTTCCTTTTTGATAATTACCTCTTTCCATCATGTGTGGTGTTAGAGGGATGATAATTCCTGGAGTGTAGTAAACCATAGAATCAGATTTTCCTTCTTCCCGTCTCAACATATCCAGGGACAAAAAGTTTCATTTTGACACTATAAACCAATGATGCAAAGTCAGAAGGAATGATTAGACATCATCCATGGCCACAGTTGTCCTGGCCCCAGCCAGACTCAACCTGTGTGAAGCAGATGCTATGCTTCCTGCTTCCTGGCCTTCCAGAGGTGCCCTGTTCCTACCTATTTGCAAGCCCAACTGTCCATCCTCCTGCTGATTCTGTGTCCTCCCAGTAATTCCATTTTATTACCTAGAATTGGTTTCTGTTGCTTGCAACTGAGGAATCCTAACCCCTTCATGCCCTTTAATGGCCATGGCATTGATGAGGTGAGAGGTAACAAGAGTCATGGTGTCACTTCCATAAGAGGCATTCAGGGCAAAAATGGGGGTGACTGAAGAAATTATTTCCTGGCAGGAAAGGAAGAGCAGTCAAAGTTGACCCTAAAGTTTTATATTTCAAATGTGTTTCTACCACACAGGGTTTTTGGTCATTTGAACTTTCACCCAGGTGAGCTAAGAAAACTGGTGGCATATTTCTCATAAATGGATCAACAGCGCAGGCTATTTTAAGACCTAACGTGTGAGGATGAGCAATTTTCACATGCTTTTCACTTCACTGAGAGAACAACCAACATGGCTTGTCGAGCAGTTGGTCTCACTGCTCAACCTCACGCACGTGCCGCCTGGGCCGGTGATTCAGTCCCCCCAAAACACTGCTTCCTTCTGAATTGGAGAGCCAAGGTTATGAGTCAGCCCTGCTCAGAGCCAAGACACTTCGATTCAGTGTTATTTTTTGCCTTACCACACAAGGTTCAAAATGTCCAATCTCTTTTCTTTAATGCCAATGCCCCAATAGTTAGGAATCACAGTCCAGAGCTGCTTTATTAAAAATGTTCATTTTCAGAAATCATTGATCCTGAAATCATTGCACTCTTCTGAAATAAAAAATAAATAGAAAGAAAAATCAATCAAGGAAATAGCAAAATGGTAAGCGGTACAATATGACATGTTAATGCTAAATGCCAGCTTCATGGTTCAACGCCCAATTTATTATGTTGAAAGCACTAGGCAGAAGACAGGCATCAAATGAAATGAGGACTGAATAAATGTGCTACTGCATAAAAACTATTTATGAATTTCCATGCTGTTTGTCATTGAATAAAAGCTATAATCATTTGATAGATATACATTTTTGTCAGTGTTACTTCAAACTGATACTTCATCAAATTGCTACAATCCTTTCAGGTGTGAGAATCATAGAGCTTCTTTGACGGAAATCATGACTTAATGCATGAAAGCTGAAAGACCAGCAAAAATTACAGAGCAACAGCCCATTACTAAAGGGCCATGGTATGAGAGACACATAATGCATTTCACTTGGAAGGGATTTCTGAGTTCACCCCTAAGTCCAATCCCTCCACCCAGAGCTGAAGCCTGCCAGTTATAACACAATCCAGATAACATGCAATGGTGTCGTATCACATACTAATGCTATGGTAATTCTCCTAGTATTTCAAAGACTGGGAATCTGAACCAAGAACAGGAATAGATTAGTCAAGTTTATTCAGCTTATGCCTGCATCCTCTCATTGCCCTCTTTAGAATGGAAATACGTCATCATAGTTCAGTTTCCTGAGGTCGCAAAGATAAGACAATATCTACTTTGATTTCAAACAGAATCATCTGTAGATAAAAGAAGGCTCCTCTCTCAAATAAAACAGCTTTTCAAATAGCCTCTCACCACAGTTAGTAATAATTTATGCTTGGTGAACAGGAAAATGTGCTGAATTTATTCATTTTACTGTGTGCTGCCTGTCAAAAGGGCAAGCTGATAAAGACAGAAGTAGGGGTGGGCAATTTATTGGTATTTGCAAATCTGATATAAAAGGTTTTTGTAATTCCTCCTGATTTCAAAAGAAGAAGAAAATTAACTCTGAAAGTGGCAAAACAGAAAATTCCTGTTCTTGTCCATCATATCTGACATTTTACCACGTGGATAATTCTAGAGGCGGGTTTTTCTTTTGTCCTCCAAAATAAATTTTTGCTCCATTTTTGAACCCTAATCAAAAAATTATGCCACAGGAGACACTCTACTTAAGAACCTAGAGTCTAGCCCAGCTTCAAGGGCATAGTCCTACTGTGTCGCATTTTCCTAAACACCTGTAACAGCTGGACAGCTGTTCATTCCCCTCCTCTGCCAACCCAGTCATTTGCTTTAACCAGGACAAGTTTATTTTCAATCTTAATTATTTCTGAATTGAAACTTTATTTTCTTACCTGGTTTCAGGATGTGTTTTAGAGTGTTTTGGGTTTTGAAAATTCACTTTGAAATGGGATATGGTTTTTACGTCCTCTTCTTATGCTGTCTCTCCTCAGGAGTTGTTGAAACTCCTTACATTTAAATTCCTTAGGGGGCACTTGTAGTTTTGTGCCTCATGTAGCAGACAGGGTATCAGGTACAGCTGGAAGTTTGGGGAATTAACTTGACTTGAAGCTCAGATAACCAGAAGTCTTAACTCATATGCTACCCTCTTTTTTCCACCATAAAAGATAATAAAGTCTTTATCATAAATTAAAAGTATAGCATGAAGATTGGGGCATTTTGAAGAGAAGAAAGTTGTTTGAAGTTCAGAATTTAGCAAGTTCATTTTATAGACTTCATGTATGGGTTGCTTTTTGTTTAATAGCACATCACAAAATTCTAGCTGAAAGCCATGAGATAATATAGCTTAATGATACTAAGGTTCATTTATAAAAATTATAATTTAATCATAAAAATACATTTTAGATACAAAAGCTTCTTTCTGAGCTCACATCTCCCATTTATGTCTGAAAGAGCACAGGCAATGCCACCCACTGAGCATTCTTGGTGGTAACTGGTTCTAAACCTCAAATTTCAAAATAATCACACTCAGACACACCACAACCACATCCTGGATCATCAGAAGCCAAGAAAATCCAGTGATGAAAGTTTTTCTTAATCCCACAGGCATCTATGGTGTGGGGAAGAGGACTGTGTTGCTATAGCTACTGATCCCCCCATTTTTGGCTTCTTTGACCTTTCCTCCCCTTGGGGGAGGAAATACTGCTGCAGTAGCCTGTGGAGGCTATGGGGAGAGCAGATCCACCTTCGAGTTCAAGAGAAAGACATTCTCCAGGAAGCCCTCCTCTCCTCACATTTGGCGACAGTTACAAAGCAGAATTGTCTCCTCTTTAAGTGGCCGTCGTGAAGCCCAGAGGCAGTGTGGGATGCTGAATGAAATAACAGTTTCCAAAGTACCATCCGATCAAGCCTTCCCATATTCTCCTGAGATTCCTTTCACTACTGCTCAAAGACTTGGGGGTCTGGAGTCTTTTGTTTTTGTGTGTTTGGTTATTTACCATTAGATGGTAACATAGGGATGGGCCCTGGCTATATTTCCACTCCTTGTTCTTGCTCCTGCATAAATCATGGAAATCCTCACCTTAAAAACTTCTTTTGACCATAACCTTGACTTCATTGTGAGGCATTTAGAAAAAGGCGTGGCCTATCCAAGTAAAGGGCAGGTACTCAGCTTACCCACCAGCTACAACTTGTCACAAACTGACACATAACCTGGCTCTCTATCCATCTCCATTGGTTTTTACACTCACTGAGGAAGCATCATGGTATACCAGAAAGTCTAGGCTTTGGATCAAACATATTTGGATGTCAATTCCAGCTCCTGGATCCAAACATATTTGGATTTAAATTCCTTGAGTAAATTACCCCCATCTTCAAATCTGTTTCCTCAATTAGAAAGGGCTGTTAGGAAGAGGCAATGCAAAACGAGCACTTAGTGTGCTGTGCCAGGCACATACTAAGCGTGTAAAGGATGTTAGCTATTATTATTGTAATTTACTTCATAGGGATGCTGTGCGGAATTAAATGAGATGACATCTGTGGAAGGCCAGGCCCATTTGGAAGAGCTCAAAAAACACTAGCTCCTTTCCTCTTAAGAACAATTAAGTTCTTTCCAAATCTGCTTAGGTTTCAGGTGAAGACCTTGGATTTGAATCCAAGGTGCTTCCCTGCAGCCACTTAACGATACACACCTCTCCCTGTGCCTGCAGCCCCATAGGGGGAGCATCCTAAACACCTTTATGACATCTTTCCCCCTCCCCACCTTAAGTCCAGTTCTGTTGGGTCTTCTTCACCTCACTGTCTGGCCCTCTCTTCGAATACTGAAATGTTTTCCCAATGTCTTCCCTCCTGATTTCTAGGTTGGATCATAAACCTTGCCCTTAGCCCACCCACTCCTGTTTCCTCCTCTACTGCTCTGTTCTCTCCCGTCCATCCCTGAGGGGCTCATTACCCAAGCACCATTTACAATGACAAAGCAAATGCACTGCATTTAGATTGATTTTTGTCTTAGTCAAACTGGGGTACATTTGTAATACAGAAAAGGATTGGTGTGTTTCATCACAAGGAATTAAAGCTATTATCTCACAAATCTGATTGATGTGAGCAGCCAAAACAAATATGTTGAGTAATTTCTTCCCTTACTAACTAGTTCTTTGCTTGAATCTTCCAGTTAATAGTTACGCCTGGCAAATTCTCAAATGGTATATATTATATTCATCCCAGCACTTGCGTTCTGTTTTGGATATGATTTTGAAAGAAGACATCTTAGAGAGTAAATTCTTGAGGAAAGGACATAAATAGATAAATACCAGATATAAATAGATAAACATGAATAAAAATGCATATTTCAGAAACATTGTAAAAAATAACAATAATAATAATAATATAATGGCTGTAATTTTTCAAACATCCTCAGACCACAAAGGTAATGCAGAGGGAAAATAGGCGTATTTGTTTTCCTCTTGCCTTATGGCTGAAAGAGCAAAGCATGCATGATTTTTATGACCTGGCTAGTGATGTGTCCCTTCAGGGAGCTATTAACTCTATCCTTGTAGATGGTGCCTGATCCCCTTCAAAATTAGAAATTGCTTAAAACCAGAAAAAAAAAAAGCATTTCATTCCTAAATAGGCCATTAGTGATATTGGATAGTTTGTTATGCTGTAATGCAATATTGAAATTCCTAGAGGCAATGGATTTTCAGTAGTGAATTAAAAAGACCAAACTAAACCAAGTATTTGAGGAATGAGTGAAAAGAATCTTGGGTAGCTAACTATTTTATAGGTTGTGTGTCAGCAAGTGACCTTTTGAAAATAAAATTATTAACTCTCCCCAGAGAACTAAATGCAAATTGAGCCCAGCTGGATTGTGTGGTAGGTATGAAAACATATCTATTTTGATGCAGGGGAGCAGGGGGTGGACATATATGTCACGAAATGTCAGAATAATGACCATCACCCTCAACAGAAAGTAAGTGGACTAAAAATAGCAACATACAGTTTTGGTTCTTAAAAATTATCAGCAAAGATGCAAAGGGTAATGACAGCAGATGTGTACAGCAGGGTTTTAACCTGAGTATGTGCCTGGACATGCTGTGCTGCCTCACTGCACAGCTAATACAACCTTTGACAACCTTTTCCCAGGAATGCAGAAGTCCAAGAATAATGCACATAAACTAAATAGCATCATTTCGTAGCATAAGTTAAAGGGAAGCTAATTTACTGGCTGCATGTTACAATAGATAAAATGAATTTCATTGTCTCCATGCCTGTACCTATCATCAGGCTTAATGTAAATACCCCTTTGAAGGACTATAGCTATCAGACGTGACATTAGAGTGATTCACAAACAGCTCTAATTACATAAGTACAAAACTATATTGTACTTACAGGCTTGCAGATACTAACTAATTTCTCATCATTTGCATCCAAAAACCCTGGTAAATTCCCTTTTCCTGAATATAGTATCTAAATTTTAAATGTGTAGGAAAAGTCACTATTCTACTAAGTGTATCTTTCAATAGATACTTAATTTCCTTTCTGAAGTTACTGTAATTATTTCAGGAATTGAGCCTTTTTGTCCTAGAATTTTTGTTCTCATCAGGATAGACAAGCTCTCCAAGGACACGCTGATATTTCTCCTGGCTAACCTCTGGGGACATTATCAATGCATGGTACAGTAAGTTAATATTTCACCAAAGGTTAAAAAAAATAGAAGAATACAATTTGAGGAGAGGGGATTGTTAAGAATCATATTCAGGTTAAAATATTACATTCATAGGAACTTTAAAAATTTTAAATCAATATAGATGATTTCAACACAGTATATAAATCAAAGCCCTCCTATTTATTCCCTGGCCTGATTGATAGGGTTTCTCTATTAAAATTGCCCATTCCATCCCAAATATGGATAATATATAATTTGAAGTTGAAATCAGGTCCCTTGAGTTTCTTGAGATTGGATAAATGTCTGCAAACATCAACAAACAGGCCTTAAAGTAAGGCAGTAATCTATAAACCATCCTGATGACTTGTCAATAGGAGGAGGGAGACAGGATGAGACTGTAAACTCAGCAACCTCTTCCTGACCTTAACCCTCCCCCAACCTCTGAAAAGTAATGAGGACTGTTCCTTGAGCCTTTGTTTGAGGAAGCTGAGAATAAGAATTGTGAGCTCCTGTATTCCCACAGAGACTTAAAGTATCCACAACCCCTTCAGTTCAAAATTGCTTTATATTTGGTGACCTGAGGTTCAAGTAGATAAGTTTTGCTACATTCAAGAATGCAGAAATAATTCACCCTGTCACTGCACTGAGCAAGACAACCAACCAGGGCTGGTGTGGCCCAGGAAAGGTCTAGGGAAACAGGGAACCGAGGATGTATTTCAAGGGGGCAGGTGGACTGGGGAACAGGAACTGTTTGAATAATTTTCAGAGACTCTGAGATTTTAGCTGCCACCAAAATGAGAAAAAAAGCACCAGATGTAGAGTTAGTAAACCAAGTTTCTAGTCAGCTCTGCCATTAATTTATTTTGTTATCTTGGACAAGTTTCTTAATTTCTCTGGGACTCAGTTTTCCCATCTAAAGACTGGCTGAAACAATGTCTAAGTTACTGTCATCTCTCAAAAGTCTGCAGTTTCGCGACCGTTACTTATTCCTCAGAGATATAAGAAAACTGATGTTAACTATAATCACATAAGTGGAGGAAGAAAGAAAACAAATTGAGTTTTCTCAGCCTTGCTAATAACACTGCAGCGCAGCACTCGAACGGTCAGTGAGAGGCGATGGAACGAATCAAGATCCTTAGACTAATTACATGTGGAAGACCTCCGTGCGTCACCATGGAAACCAAAGGGAAGGTGGCCCCGGTAAAGGTCAAAGACTCGAAAAATAGACATGGCATTATGAGAGATTCCTACACCTCAACCAGATTCATCCCCAGGGCAGTGAGACCCTAATTATTTTCTAAAACAGTATCTCCAAGTAGGGTGTGTGCTTCAGAATCACCTGGTCAGTTACTCATACAGACTCCTTGAACTCACCCAGGCCCACAAAATCAGAATTTCTGGGAAAAGGACTAGGAAATCTGCATTTCTAAGCAATTCCCCTAGTGTTTGTACAATAGCACTTGAGCACTACTGGTCTAACAAATGGAGAGGAAGAAGTTGGAAGAAAAATAATGAAATGCCCAGCATGTAGGCTCACAGAATACCTCTGGAAGTGGAGGAGTCACTGATAACAGTGGTTGCCTTCAAGGAGGTCTGAGGTACACAGAAGAAAAACTTGCCTTCACTGTAAATGTGTTAATGTTGTTAACATTTTTACAATGAGCAAGAATTACATAAATATTTCTAATCCTAAAAAAGATTTTAAGTGCAAATTAAATGTGGGTACAATTTCTCAGATTTGAAAAAAAATGGGCACTCTTTTTAAAGTTAAAGGATAAAGTGATAACAACAGTTTAAAATTTTCTCCTTTCTTTTTTTTTTTAAATCAAATAACCCAACTTGGAAAGGTTAAGCAAAATGCAGTCTTAGTTTTGGATTTTATCAAATGAAAGCTGTCAAAGAAGAGTTTCAGGAAGGATACTTAACAAAGGTATCTCCCCTCAATTCAGCTAATTTCTGGTTTATATCCTAGAATTAATGCCTTGTTACTCACTGTACTATTTTTTGTTTCCTGGATGATTAGCAGTTCTTGCTAAGCAGAGACCATAATGTATGTCCCTTCCTGTTTCTCAAAGTCCCTTTCATGGTACACAGTACATGGTACTTGCTCAATAAAATTCTTATGAAATGTTTTCTTTTCTGTAACATGTAACACTTCCCTTTTGCAAGAAAACCTTGAAATTTAATCAAATTAAACATATTTTTAACTCCAAGGTAGGCTATAAGCTGTGATTTCCAACAATTGTAAAAGAGGATGATGCCTGAAGAGACCAAGGAGAAAGAGATCAGGATCAGAGGCCCAACTGAAACCACCTTTGCAAAAATTATACCTGAGACAATTATGACAGTGAAAGAGATCTAACCTAACCGACTCCATCTTGCTTTTAACCTCCAAACTGTCCTTGTTTATTCCTAGCCTCCCAAGTAGCTGGGATTACAGGCACACACCACCACGCCCAGCTAATTTTTGTATTTTTAGTAGAGATAGCGTTTCACCATGTTGGCCAGGCTGATCTTGAACTCCTGACCTCGTGATCCACCCACCTCGGCTTCCCAAAGTGCTGGGATTATAGACGTGAGCCACTGCACCCAGCCGTATCTTTGAAACAAAGATAACAGCCCTTTCTGAAATAAACCCCCTTCTAGCCAGGGGACTAGACTGCCTTTGCAGGACTAACAAATTAGCCACAAGATTAGAAATTATACTTTAGGAGTCAAGCAGCTGAAGGCTGCAAGATTATGAACCACCCCAAATTGCTCCTGGGGATAACATTACTATTGTAAAACCTAAGATCAGTGCTTGAGATATTTTGCAGACTCTGTACTTGATGGATCAGCTGCCACCACCCAGATCAATAAACTGGCTCATCTGGCCTTGTGGCCCCCACCCAGCAACTGACTCAGCACTGGAGGACAGCTTCGACTCCCTATGATTTCATTTCCCACCTGACCAATCAGCACTCCCCACTTTCAGACCCCCTTCCCACCAAATTATCCTTAAAAACCTCAACCCCCAAGTTTTAGGGGAGACTGATTTGAATAATAATAAAACTCCAGCCTCCCATACAGCCAGTTCTGCATGAATTAAACTCTTTCTATTGCAATTCACCTGTCTAAAGAAAACGGCTCTGTCTGGGCAGTGGGCAAGGAGAAACTGTTGGGCGGTTACACCAGGACCATTTTCACATATGCTCAGGGGTAAGGCAGTTTGCTTAAGAAAACCCCAGGACCAAGAGGCCTACAGCTGAGAGCTATCAGTGAAGGAGACACAGAGGCCTTCTGCCAAGGCAATTGTTTTATATGAAGCACCACGAGCTTACCTGGAATTCACTGAAAAGTGTCCCACCTCACCATCTGAGACAAAGAGAACCAAAGACACAGCATGTGCTATGCCCTCTGTGGGAAGGGGTGGGATGAGCTATGCCTGGTGTGAGAGTTAGAACTGCACCATCAGGTCCCCAGCCAGGGCTCCCCACACTCTGCTGTTAAGTACCTGTTGGAGAGGTCAGCTTGTCCTGCTCCTGCCTAAGACAGGCAGAGACAGCTGGGAGTGACATGGAAGGAGGTAGGGAGATACTGGGTAGAAGAGGGCAGTTACCCAGCAAAGGCCCCACCCTCAAGCCTGGAAACCCACAGCCTTAAATGGGAACAGGCATTCCTGTTTTTGTGCCCCAATGTTGCCTTTTGGCCCACGATGCCCCCTCTATCTTGTACCCATATAAACCCCAAACCTCATGCTCTACAAGCAGGAGAACAGAGAGTGGCAGCGTGGTATGGCAGAGAAGGAGAGAAGAGAAGGAGCGTCTGAACATCAAGAGGAGTTTGGCTGGGGATGGTCAGAGAGGAGATAGGCCATGGGGTGGCCAAACTCCAGGGGAAGATCATCTTCCCACCCCATCCCCTTTCCAGCTTCACATCCATCCCACTGAGGGCCACCTCCATCCAGCGATAAAACCCCCCGCATTTACCATCCTTCAATTTGTCACTGTGACCTGATTCTTCCTGGACACCAGACAAAAACTCGGGTACTGAGCGGGCACTGAGTTGGTTAACACTTTAGCCATCTGTGGATGGCAGAGCTAAAAGAGTACTGTAACACACCCACTGGGGCTTTGGGAGTCACAGGCACCCACCCCTAGACACTACCATGGGGCCAGAGCCCAAAAGCACTCGCCCTGGCTCCTGCACCTGCCCATCTACGTGCTCCCCCTCCCATAAAGGGTTTGAGCACATGGCAGCCGAACAGATGAGACACACCTTGTTAGGGAAGTTAGGTAACTCTCCTGTTTCAGGAGCATGCTGTGGTGCCTACCAATTACCTAATGGGAAGCAAAGGTTGCTTCAGTTAGTTCAACAGCACTGAGATGAGTGGTGTGCAGTGAGCAGCAGAAAACCATTTGACACAAGATGGGCATCTAGGCCATTGCATGACGGATGATGCAAGAAAAGTGGCAAGCAACTTTGGTGGCTAACCAAACCCAAAATTCAGAATCTCTCTTTTATGGTACAGAGTTGTGAGTTGTCTCTGGCAGCTGGGAAGCAGCTGCCCAATCAAGGACTACTTTCCTAACCCTCTTGCATCTAGAGACAATATAATATGAACAGAAATGATGTGTGTCATTTCCAGTCAAAGGCTTTCAAGCAATTCTTGTACCATCACTCCCTCTTTCCCATCCACCGGTTGGATGCAGAAGATGCCAACCCCTAGCTGTTGACAGAGCCACAGGATGGGGGAAGCCTGAGCCAGAATCATTTCATGAAAGAGACACCAAACAACAAGGAACCTCTGCTTTGGACTGCTACCTTAGCAATAAATAAACTTCTGTTGCATTTGAGGTGGTATACATTGTGGGATATATTAATATTTGTAACAACAGCTGCCGCTACTCTAACTCACGTATTTGGCTATGCCAAAAGTAAGTGCTGTATTTCCTGGGACTCAGGAACTGTGTCTAAACAAGGCCCAGTCCAAGGTCTAATTGGCAGAAGCCCGGAGCCACCCTACTCTGACTAGGCGTTTGCAATGGAAAGAAGACTCTTGTATAAATTTTGTTTGGCTTGAATGAAAAGTATTCCTTCTTTGGATGTTCATCTCTCCAGGACACACTAAAGATAATGCCCAGAGGAGATATATGTTCTCTCTATTTCTTTCTCCATCATATGCCTCTTAGAGAGGGTTTCCAAAGCCTGGAACACTACCTGATTGCAAAATGGTTTAAGACCTGATGAATTTCCTTTTGCAAAAAGCATCTTTATAAAAGAATAAGTCCAGAGAATCCAGCCACAACCCAGAGCAGAGCCTAGAGATTCCCCTGAGAATGCTGAGTGACTTGTGTTTTCATGCAATAAAAACAACTCTTGAGGATCTTAATAGAAAATTATAATTTATCAGCATACAAACACACGTCCATATGCACACACACACATGAAAATATTTGCCCTTTGAATCCCAGACTTGGGTTATATCTATAAGAGACACAGTGGCTCATGTCTGTAATCCCAGCACTTTGGGAAGCCAAGTTAGGCGAATCACCTCAGGTCAGGAGTTCAAGACAAGCCTGGCCAACATGGTGAAACCCTGTCTCTTCTAATAATACAAAAATTAGCCAGGCATGGTGGCAGGCACCTGTAATCCCAGCTACTTGGGAGGCTGAGGCAGGAGAATTGCTTGAACCCGGGAGGTGGAGGTTGCAGTGAGCTGAGATCACGCCACTGCACTCCAGCGTGGGCAAAAGAGCGAGACTCCGTCCCCCTCCCCCCTAAAAAAAGAGACAAAGTCTCACATTTGGGGCATTCAGGTGGTTCAAAAATAAATAAGACATGGTCCCCTATCATCAGGAACGCACAGAATATAACTCTTAGTGTTACAAAAGAGAAGGATGAAGAATGTGCTATAGGAGCAAGAGAGAGGGAAGGGGTAATTCCACATGGGGCACCCGGGAAGTTTTCTGGGGTGGGGAGTATACAATGAATGCCATGTGTGTAGAAGGAGTACCCAGAACAGCAGGCAGAGGTAATAGCTCCAGCACAGGCCCTGGGACAGGACAGGACAGAAAACTTACACTGGATCCTCTTGCTTGCAAAAGCATTTAGTGCCATAATCTCAAGGCAAGGGAGTAGTGCACTCTTAGTAACAAAGCTTCTTAACTTTTTCCTTCCAAAAAGATAAAAATGCAATTTTTAAGCAGTAAACCTGCCACTAAGCACTGTCTGGAATAATGGGTAGATGAAGGGAAGAGCACATTCAGAGGAAGTAGAGAATCAGGATATAGGTGAGCCCAATCCACAATTTGCCAAGATTATATGATGCTCAAGTTACCAATGAAAGCTATGAAGATATTGAGTGAGGAGACAGAAATGAAGGCTGGGCCGAGTGTGGTGACTCATGCCTGTAATCCCAGTGCTATGGGAGGCTGAGGCAGGAGGATTGCTTGAGGCCAGGAATTTAAGACCAGCCTGGGCAACACAGCAAGATCCTGTCTCTAAAAAAAATTTAAACATTTAACAATGAAGGCTGGAAAATTCAAATAGCTTTTGGACAAATGACCTATGAAACAGGGTGGGGCCATATCTCAGAGGTGCCAGACACCCAGTAGGCCTTCAATAAATGTTTGTTGAATGAATGGCCCCTACATACACATACACTTTGCCATGATAACCTGTGTCAGAAATACTCTTCAAAATTCATCGGTGGCCCTAATGCAGTGACTCATCCTCTATCCTTCCCACCCACGTGCAATCAGAGCCAAGAAACTTCCTAGGGCTAAGCTAGAAAATATATACAGATATAAAAAATTAATATTTAAAAGACTATGCAAGCCAGGAGTCCTATGCATACCAAGCAATGCTCTCCATTCAAGCTCCAGCTCTGTCTGTCTTGCTTTCTCAGTCCCAGAAAGGAGTGGGAAGGCACAGCGATCTAGATAGCTATACACCTTTTCATGAGGACAATTTTAAACTGCCTATCATAGTGAGAACTATAAAATCAGTCTCCAAGTGTACATCTTTAAAGGTCTATATGCATAAATTAGTTTTCCATAGCGCTGCAGAGCTCTAATTATTTTTTAATTTATACAAATACATGCAATTAAAGTGCAATTACAATGCAATTAAAATGCCAGTATAATTTAAATGCAGAAAGAAGAAAATTTATAAATCTACTCATGAATCCCCTTGATTTCTTTTTTGAGTTCAATTAATGCCACTTATGATTTACAAATTGTGAAAAATCTTATTTCAGTTCATAAGGCCACCCCATCAATCCATGTACCTTAGGATGTGAAGTCTCATCTAGACCCACAATGTGTATCTTTATCATGAATATTGGACCAGAATTGGCCAAAACAGAGTTGCTTGACAAAGAGGTAGCCAAAAGAAGGAGGGTAATTTAGAGTCCCTGCCTTACAGAGAAGTAAAGAATGTATGCAAAATTCAGGTCTTGCATGCAAAATTCAGGCCTTCTTAAATGCTGGCAGGATACATTTACATATTTTCCTAACAGGAGTTACAGCCCTCTTTACCCTAATTTCTCTGTAGATGAAGATACTCAGTAAATAGAGACTTATCTGAGCTGCCAGCAGTATATCACAGGCTTTTGAAAACTGAAGATGATTTCTGCTAAAGGGCCTCCCCTTTTTTTTCAGCTTTTTATAGATAAAAACTTTCACTGGGAAGTGGCAGGGGAAGACAAGCAGTATGCAGTCCAGTAATATGCTAGAAACTCAAACTTAAAAGGTTGGCTCACATTAAATTATGTTTCATACACCAAACATTGAGCACTTCCAGGCTCTTAGTACAAAAAATAGCCTGAGGCTCTAGTCTTCTGGGAGGACGTGGTTTGGAGGAGAGAACAGATATGTAAAATGTTCATTGCTATACAATGGGATAAAAGCTACAGTGGTCACGTGCATTTCGGGGTGCGAAAGGAAATGGCCAATAATAAAGAGTTCTTCAGGAAGGAGAACATGTCTGAGTTGGGTGCAGATTGAACAATGGTTTTCATCCCCTAAGGGGCTTGTGATGGTTAATATTGAATGTCAACTTGATTGGATTGAAGGATACAAAGTATTGATCCTGGGTGTGTCTGTGAGGGTGTTGCCAAAGGAGATTAACATTGGAGTCAGTGGGCTGGGGAAGGCCCACCCACCCTTAATCTGGTGGGCACCATCTAATCAGCTGCCAGCAAATATAAAGCAGGCAGAAAAACGTGAAAAGGTGAGACTGGCCTAGCCTCCCAGCCTACATCTTTCTCCCACGCTGGATGCTTCCTGCCGTCAAACATCGAGCCCCAAGTTCTTCAGTTTTGAGACTCGGACTGGCTCTCCTTGCTCCTCCAGCTTGCAGACAGCCTATTGTGGGACCTTGTGATCATTTAAGTTAATACTTAATAAACCCCCATATATATATATATAACATAACCCCCATATATATATTGTAATAAACCCCATATATATATATATGTGTGTGTGTGTGTATATGTATATATATATCTCCTATTAGTTCTATCCCTCTAGGAAACCCTGACAAATATGGGACTTTCACTGTTATCTCAGTGACTGGGGCACAACAGGCATTTAGTGGGTAGAGGTCAAGGCAGCTAACCATCCTCACCCAGGGTCAGTGCCCCACACAAAGAGTTGTCCTGTTTTCCACACGACTTTTAAATGTCAAGTGTCATGCCAGGCATTTAGGAGGTAAGAAATCTGTTTATAATTATCTGAGCCTAGAGGCTAATTCGGTTTTACATATAAACCACAAAGAATATGTTATGTTTTCTTATGTTTTTGGCACAATTCTAATACCGAGGAATATTTTTGAATTTTCCAGGAATGCAACTACTTTGTAAAATAAGGGAAAATTGCATTTTGTTTTGTTCAGAACATTACATTATTTCATAAATATAACAATGTATATTTACGCTTCAATTTTTCAATATAGGGCAAAAAATTTTTTTTCCTCAGCATGTGTCTTCTGATAGGAGTCATACAATGTATTTCTTACATAAATATCAAAATATGTCTACAATTTCCAGTTTCAGCTTCTTGAAACTAGAGTGGGGCCAGAAAGACAATCTCGAATTAATATGAACCCCAAATCCCAAGTTTGTCCTCCGGTTTTTTAGAATGGTCTCTTTGTGCACGTTGATGAGAGTTTCTTTAGGATACAAATGGCTGTTCATTGCACAGTTCCAAGGTTTGTGCAATGCAGTGACCCAAGTAAGTATGTACAAGTGGAATTGCTGGATCATAGGGTCTGCACAAGTCCAAATAGTTCTTCAAAGTAGACATGCTTTTTATGGTCCCACCAGCAATGTTCCCACAACCTCACTAACACTTGGAGTTATTCAACTTTTTAAATTTGATAATCTTTGTAGTAACAGAATGGTATCTTCTTGTTGTTTTAACTTAAATTTCTCAGATAATTAGGAAGGTTGGACATTTCTTATGTGTTTATTAGTCAGTCAGGTTTCACTTGCTGTGAATGATGTGTTTATATTTTTCCTCCATATTTCTCATAGTTATTTTCTGTCTTTTACTTATTGAGTTATAAGAGTTCTTAATCTTTATGTGTATTGCAAATACATTCTCTAGACAGTATGTTGACTTCTCTCTCTCTCTCTTTTTTTTTTTAAACATTTTGATGTAACCAATTTTAACTATCTTTTCTTTTTTGGCTTGTATTTTTTGTGTCTTATTCAAGAAACTCTTTTCTACACCAAAATTATGCAGCTCCCTTTCTACATGTTTTTCTTGATGTGTTTAATATTTGCTTTTCTCATTTCGGTCTTTAATCCGTGTGTGTGCATGCATGTGTGTGCATGCATGTGTGTGCATGTATGTGGTATATAAAATTTTTTTTCATGTAGACATTCAGTTGTCTCAGCATCATTGTTTCAAAATTAATATTTTCTTACTTGTTTGTAATGCTGCTGGTGTCAATGATCAAACTCCCATATGTACTTGATTCTGTTTCTAGGTCTAATGGTCTAATTCGTCTATCAGTACATCAATACCACTCCTTCCATTACTAGAGCTTTATAATAAATATTGCTAGCAGATAAGATCACTCCCCCTACTTATTCTTCTTCAAAATTATCTTGACTGTCTTTGTCCATTTGCCCTCTGTGTAAGTTTCTGAGTCAGATTATCAAGTTCCCTGAAAAATCCTGCTTAAATTTTGACTTTATTCATATTGAATACAAATATTAATTAGATAATAATTTATGTTACCAAATCTATTTATCGAGAAACATATGGTTCTCCATGCATTTGTGTCCCTTTTCTGTCTTTTAATGAAATTTATTATTTTCTTCCTAAAAGTTTTACATACAACTTTTGTTGGATTTATTCTTAGGTAACTTAGAATGTTTCTTGCTATTATAAATAATATATTTTTGAAATTATATTTTCTAATTATTCCCTGCTGGGATAAAGGGACCACTTTGGATGTTTTGATACTGTTGACAAAGCAAGAAGTATTGCTTGCCTTGTTGATAAATTCTAATGGTTTGTCAAGTCTTGTATTTTCTGTATAGACACTCATAATTTGCTAATGATGACACATGCAATCAATCTTTTTTTCTCTTATTGCACTAAGACTTCTAATACAATGCTTAATATGAGCAAGAATAGAAAGTATTTTTGTCTTGTTCTTACCCAGAATTCTTCTCTGATAGGTATAATATTCACTGTATATTTTTGTTAAATACTTTTATCAGATTAAAGAAGTTTTATTCTATTCAAAAATTTGCTAAGAGACTTTACCAATTCAATTCAATTTGATTCAATTTGATTTGTTGTATATACCCAACATCATAAAAAGAGGGGGTAAGCTCCCCAACTATTTTTTGAGATTAATAAAATTTTGATAGCAAAATTAGAGGAGTATGTGAATAAAAAAATATAGGTTATTCTCACTTTTGAATAGAGATGAGCATAAAATATATAACAATGATCAAATATGATTATCTCATAGGAATATTTAATATATAAAAATTACTACAGTATTAAGGGAGAACAACCATGTAGTGCCTTGACATTTGCAAAAAACTTCCTTTTTTTCCCTTTCCTAATTTCTGCCAAATTAGTTACTTGTTTTATTCATTGTATTGGTTTGGAAACTATACCATCTGTTGCTATTTTTAATGATTACATTTAAATTCCTTAACATATATTGGACTTAACAAATTATAAAATTAATCAATATTTCTTAACTTTTCCAAAACATAGCAAGCAACTTGGAATTTATTTTTTATTTTTAATTTTTTAAATTTATGTATTTATTTTATTTTATTTTTTTGAGACGGAGTCTAGCTCTGTTGCCCAGGCTGGAGTGCAGTGGCACGATCTCAGCTCACTACAGCTTCCACCTCCCGGATTCAAGAGATTCCCCTGCCTCAGCCTCCTAAATAGTTGGGACTACAGGCATACACAACCATGCCCAGCTAATTTTTGTATTTTTAGTAGAGATGGGGTTTCACCATGTTGGCTGGGCTGGTCCCAGACTCAAGTGATCCTCCCACCTCAGCCTCCCAAAGTGCTGGGATTATAGGTGTGAGCCAGAGCGCCCAACTATTTTTTTTTTTTTTTTTTAGACAGGATCTCTCTCTCCCAGGCTGGAGCGCAGTGGTACAATCATGGCTCACCACAGCCTCGACCTCCCAGGCTCAGGTGATCCTCCCACTTCAGCTTCCTGAGTAGCAGGGACTACAGGTGCATGCCACTATGCTTGGCTAATTTTTGTATTTTTTGTAGAGATGGAGTTTTGCCAGGTTGCCCAGGCTGGTCTCGAACTCCTGGGCTCAAGTAATTTGCCTGCCTCAGCCTCCCAAAGTGCTAGGATTACAGGCATGGGCCACTGCACCTGGCCTAACTTGAAACAGTTTAACTCTCATACCTTCTTCAGTCTTACATTTTTTTGTCCAGTATTCAAATTCTATCTTGTTTTTAAACTCCCTCCACATTTTATCTTCAACACCATTATTGTTTTATACTGTCTAAGTTTGTTTACATTTATTCATATTTTAGTAATTTATTGGGTCACCAATTTTTTTTTATTTCCCGCTTCTTCCTTTGAGTTGAGTTTCCCTCTTGCTGAAGTATAATTCTTCATAAGTTCCTGTGGGGAAGTTCTGTGAATGGTAGACTAACCCCATCTTGTTTTTCTAAAAATGTCTGTGTCCTCACCCTTGAATGATAATTTAGCCTTGTAATTCTAGATCACAAATATTTTCTTTCATTATTTCGTATATCATTCTACTGGCTTCAGGCTTCAGTTGTTTATATTGAAAAGTCTGCCATTCATTTGATGGTCTATTCCTTTTGTAAGTTGACTTTTCTCTTTAGTTGCTTATAAAATCTCCTTTTTTCTTTGTTGTTTAGTTTCATTGTAACGTGTCTGCTTGTGGATTTATTTCTATATTATTTATTCTTTTTTATATTCATTGTGCTTCCAACTCATATTCTTCATATAAGAAACAGGATAAATTGATGTAAATTTTGGAAAATCCTCAGCCATTATATCTTTAAGGATTGCCTCTTCATTATTCTCCCTTTTTTCTCTTTCTGGAACTCTTACTAGATCTATCTTAGACCTTCTAATTTTATCTTCAATATTTCTAAATTTCTCATTTATATTTTTATTTGAAATTTCTTGCCTCAGCACCATAGCTAACTTACATAATTTACATTTAACTTCTTGGCCAATGTCCTTTGAGAATGGCAAGTAAATATGTGACACTTCATTCAGTGCTATAAACTTACAGTCAACTTTTAAAAGAAATTCTGTGTATGTTCTAAGGAAATGCTTGAACATTGCATTGTACCAGAATCCCTGAAGTCTCCATGTAAAACATCTGGGGTTCTTTCTCAAAAACTTCTCCAAACAACAATACTACAACAGGATGAGATTTAGCACTTGGAGCTTCAATCATGTTTCAAATTGCAGAGCTAGTTTGGACATAGCACAGGTCAAACTCTCCACTGTCATTATTTCATTGTAGGCAAACCAATAGTCTTGGGTCTCTACTATGTCTTCATCAATTAAAGTCTTAGCATCACAGTGATACTAGCCATGGTACAACCTGTGTGATCATGAATCTCTTCAGTTATTCCAATGCTACTGCACTCCATGAGAGGGAAGGTATTTCTCTCTTCCACAGCTAGCACACACCCTGTGATGTGTGACTCCTAGCAGCTACGGAACTAAGCTTTTCAAACCTCAATAGCATAATATATTTGGAATAATCTTTACACTGCTGTTGTAGTCAGTCATACCATATAAAGCACATAAAAATGGCAAAAGAAAGCAGAAGTTGCCTGTTAGGGGTTTGATATCTGACACAGCTATAGATAACCCAGGAATTCAACCATTGGCTTTGTTTTTGTTTTTTTAACAATGATTATAGTGGCCATTTCTACTTGATTCATTTGCAAATGTCTGATCTTTTCATTGTATCTTACTTTTTATTATTTTATTTTATTTTATTTATTTATTTATTTTTGAGATGGAGTCTCACTCTGTCGCCCACTCTGGAGTCTGAGATGGCTGGAGTGCAGTGGTGCCATCTCAGCTCACTGCAACCTCCACCTCCGAGGTTCAAGCCATTCTCCCTGCCTCAGCCTCCCGAGTAGCTGGGATTACAGGTGTGCACCACCACAACCAGCTAATTTTTGTATTTTTTAGTGGAGATGGGTTTTCGCCATGTTGGCCAGGCTGGTCTTGAACTCCTAACCTCAGGTGATCCACCTGCCTTGGCCTCCCAAAGTGCTGGGATTACAGGCGTGAGCCACAGCACCTGGCCATTTTAATGCTTTTTTATAGCACTTGTTATTGTTTTAAATGTATATAGTTATTTTATTATTTCCATTGTAGCTTTCTATTATCTGAAAGTTTGGGAAATTAATTCTATTTATTGTGCTAGGTGGCTCTCAATTGTGATATGTTGTTTCCTCATTTGTATTGTAACCGTGGATTGTGAGCTCATCTTTAGCAAGTTTTATTCTGTTGAAATCCTCTGCTGCAGGGGTGAAGATATGGTCCTCCAGAGTGATTCTACATTTGCTTCTGTACAGTATCCTAGGGACATCATCAGCTCACAATTTTTATTGAACTTCCTGGCTTAAGGGTGCCAGACTATGTGGATATTGTAATTTCAAACCTTGGGTTTCAGGTTCTCAGAAATTTTTATGTTCTTTTTTCTTCACCCACAAACACATAAGCTTTCGTGTCATCTCCTGTGTGAGTGTGTGGACTGTTTTTTAGTCCACCTTTACACAGAAGGTGCTGTCTTTCAAAATCCAGGCATTATACAAGGGTTTTATTTCAAACCCACTGCGTATATAGGACCAGTCCTCCTTTCTTCTCCCTTGCAAGCATTAAAGCTCTCCTGCCCCAGTCTCCAGGGAAGGCTTGCCATCAGCTCAGATTCATACTTCTTTAATTTATAGTTTCCTCTTTATCCCCAGGAACTGGAGGTTTCCATTTTCTCCTAAACAGTTATACATTTCTAAAAATTTTTATTGTATTTCATCCAGTATATATAAAAGCTATAAGAAGGAGAATTTTCTGATTGTTTTGTAAGTTTGCTGGAACCAGAAATTCTCAGTTTTATCTCATATAATAGTCTCTTTTTGCACAAATATTTTAGTGCTTTATATTTCCTTTAATTATGGAATTATAATAGGTTTAACAAAAATAAATGGATTTGGAAACACACACACACTCACACCCCTCATTCTTTTAAGCATATAACTCCAACTGGTGTAAGCAGAAGTTTAGGACATACTGGAGAGTGTCCTGCTAGCTGAGTATATTTTGCAGGCTGTAGACATCCGTTAGTATGTTTTACAGAAAGAACGGGGAATCTCTTAAATCCAATAAGGGAGTTAAATGGAGATCGAGGAAGAGTGTCTCTTATAGCTTTTAGAAACTAGAGCGTAAGAATGGATGAGAAATGATTCCAGAGAAATATGTTGGATCCATGCTCTGAAAGCATGTAAATCATTCTGAGAAATTTGGCCTTAATCCCTAGGACATCATGGGAGAGAGCATATCAAAGTATCTAGGCCTGTCAGTTTTGAATGAGAAAACATACGAAACCTTCTGTGTAAAGTTTTACACAAATGTAAGACATTTTTCCTATTATTGCAACATCTATAAAAGCTCCCCTTAAAAACTAGATGTCATTGAAGCAGTCTAAATGTTCTCTAATGCTTATATGAATGTAAGTTCTTAAGCTGCCTCAAGGTCTTTGCAGATGCTCTTGCCTAAAACACTCAGCCCACTCCCTCAGCTGTGGCACCTCAGTGACCATCTCCACCATCCAGCAGACCTCAATTATGTCCTCTCAAAGAGGCCTCAGCTGTGGTGATAGTGGGGAAGGGAGTATCTTTCAAATTGTTTGTTCCCTATGGACTCTACTCTACCTCAACCCTAGCAAGAGTGGCTGTTCCCTATATTGTTTTCTTTTGAATTCTTTTTAACTGTTCGTAGTGATGGCCCATCAGTAGTTAATAATCCTTTATATTAAACTTTCTATGTTCTAATTACTGTGTTGATTCTGTCTCCAACTTGGACCCTGACTGATACACACACTGAAATCTGAGGACCATGACCCTAGATCACAAAATTATCGAAGAGTTTCCAGTTATTTTCACCAAAAGTAAACGAATGACTCCAATGGCTATAAATACCTGTTCCTCAAAGGTTGAGAATCATAAATACCAGAAACTTCTAGGCTCCAGTAACTATTTCCTCAAAGAAATTTTGACATACAGGTAAATGTTGTGCACTTTTAGGGCAATATATGTAATCTGTACTTGTATGCTAGTGTTTTTCTGATTGTAAAGCCTATAAAACATTTAGTTAATTTAATTGAAGAAAAAAAAAAATCCCAGGTCACCATGATTCAAAGCAAGATTAATCATCTGTGGAACTAAGAGATAATATTAATAATTATAGTTCAAAGTTGTTTGAAATGTGTTATATTTATTCAGTTATGGAATTCTATTTTAGCCATGGAATGAGTGCAAAGGTCAGGAAAAGAAAAAATATTTTTAATGGGGCTTTGTAAGGAAATACCTTTTTTTAAAAGAAGCAGGAGATCTCACACATAACCTATGGCACCACATTGTAGTAAGATAAACATTGCTCACAGCAAAAATTCTGATCTTAATTTACTTATTGAATTAAAATAAAAACACCTATTCAATCAAAGTGACCTGTTAGTGCTGCAGTTTCTACTGCTTCAGTGAGTACCTTTCTTATAAAGATCAGTAGAAGGTCCAGAAGAGAAAGTGGTAATTGCACATCAAAGCTATAGGTCACAAAACTCCCAAACATCAGCTTTTATTTCGAAGCTAACTTTAGCTATACAAACCTAAATTTTTATGAGGCCTCAATTCCTTTCTCCCAAAAGTGAATAGATTGTAAAAATCATTCTCAATCCAGAATTTTGAAAGATTTTTATATTCTTTAAGGCTTTTTTTTGTTTTTTTTTTTTGAGACGGGGCCTCATTCTGACACCCAGGCTGGAGTGCAGTGGTGCGATCTCGGCTCATTGCAACCTCCATGTCCCAAGCCCAAGCAATTCTCTCCAGCCTAAGCAATTCTCTCCAGCCTTCTGAGTAGCTGGGACTAATGGCACATGCCATCATGTCCGGCTAAATTTCTATATTTTTGGTGAAGATGGGGTTTTCACTATGTTGCCCAGGCTGGTTTCGACCTCCTGATCTCAAACAATTCACCCACCTCAGCCCCCAAAGTGCTGGGATTACAGGTGTGAGCCACCGCATCTGGCCATTTTAAGGCACATTCTTAACAACAGATTCACCAAAACACAAAAATCACAAAGGTATTCCCATCTTTTAAGAAATTTTCTTGACAACACTGACATTTATGTGAATGTCTTTAGGTTTGACATTATTCTGTGTGAGAAAAATGACTTTTAAAAGGGAAGGTTTTCTTCTGGTGGCAACACGGCAACTTATTCAGTATCAGAACCTCAGTATCAGAACGAAACTCCAAACTCTTCCAGTCTTCCTGGTATGTAAATCTAGAGTAAGTTGTGGAAAGCACAAACTTTAAGATGCTAATGCTTGCTTCCAGTTTCTTTAGAATTTTAGTCACCTTGATTCTTTGTCAGTATAGCAAGATCTCAGCCTTAAACCCACTTGGAAAATCAACCCACATGGAACCCACTTTTCTTGTCAATCCACTCAGTGTTTGACACTTTGCGTCTTGTAGTGTTCACCCTCCTACCTCTTTTACTTTGTAGTGGCACTCAGCCTGGTGCCTACTTATTTTCCTTGTTTATTCACTCATATTTTAATTGGTTGATCTTGGCTTCTCAGCAGTTGATGACCCACATCTCAAACCCTGTAAGTATATCTGGAGCCAAAAAGATCACTTTATTTGTTTTCAATCATTCCATTGATTTTAGTTGTTTAACCAAGAACATGTTCTTTTTCTTTTCGAGAGAATCTACCATGGTTTTTTAAAAACCGCTTGGTAACCTCAGAAGGATTTTAGACACACACATTTGATATATTTGAATCAGAAAAGATAAATCTGGATATCCAATTCACATCCTCAAACTGCAAACCTAATTTCTGCTTATTTACTTGCACAGAGGGCTTCAGAAACTTCTGATTGTGTTTATTTTGTCTTGAAAGGTGAGGATGGGGAAACATATTTATGTGCTTCCTCGACAGGAAATCTAGTAAAGAAACAAAAGTTAATGAGCTGTTTTGGTCACTCTTGATGACCAGGATATTCTAATTTCTCATATTACCGAACTTGGATCCTCTAAACCTATAGCTTGTCAAATATTAATGTGCAAGCTAATCCTCTGAGATCTTTTTAAAAGGCAGTTTCTGATTCAGTAGGTCTGAAGTAGATCTCAGAATTCTGCATTTCTAACAAGTTCCTAGGTAATGGTGATGCTTCTGCCTGGGGGCCCACTTTGAGTAGCAGGCGTCTAGACTATATAAAGCAGGGGTGTCCAATCTAACAAATGGACCTTGAGAGTAAATAAGTTTGTAAGAAGAAAGCATCCTTTTCTGATAGAGCAACTTCCATGACCCACATCTGGAAAATGGGAGTCAGAGGAAAGATCCTTAAAACGTCGACTCTGAGTCCCAAGAGAGAGTTACCACAATATGCATTTAAGTCTGCCTATTCAGATAACAACACATGGAGACTAACTTGCACCCTTCACTATTCCCTGGAGCAAGCAGTGGAAGAATTTCCCATCATGTATATTACCACCTATACCCCTGAGGATCAAAGATGTTCAGGGAGTGAGTTCATGGCACCTTCATGTCACAGGTGGGAGATCGGAGGAATGGCAAAAATTAGTGCCAGTATTTTCTTCTTTTTTGTTGTCCATTGCATCCTTGATAAATAGGCCCTTTTCAAGGGACTTGGTATTGTGTGTTTAATTCCTTTGGCCCAGATGGGCAGGGTAATACCTAATAGTATTAGATGTGAGGGAGGTGTAAATCTTGGGCCTTCTAGGGGGATTACACCAGGATTACCCCCTCACCAGGAAAAGTGATCCGGAAAACCAACTTTCAATCTTCCCATTCTCCAGAAAAGTGCAGGGGTCATTAACCATTGCTTTCCTGGAGGCGGGCAGGCTGTGGCCCATCTTCTGGACCGTTGAGGCACGGTCAAAAGAGTACACACCATGTCATGAGAATTGCAATGGGAACCTCAGAGGACTTGATGCCCTAAGGAATCCTCACCCCAGTTAGGTGGAACCATCTTCAATGGGGGCCTCTGTGGGGCATGAGGGCCAGAGAAATTCGTCCTTCCAGTAGGGAGAAGGGTGCTATGTCTCCCACTTCATGTAGTAGCAGCTGACTGTGTTCCAAGTTGTATCCTTTTCCTGTATTAGTGGTGTCCGTTATTTGTGGCTATCTTTGAGTCAACTGTCCAACCCTTTCTTTATGGCTAGCAAACCTAGGTGGTATCCAGAGCCTCATTCAGTTATTTAGCAGACATTTATAGATTTCTTCCTTGTACAGGCACTGCATGGCCTTGTCTAGCTGACATCTTCACAGACATGCATGCAGTGGTGGCAAAGAAGGGAGGGGGTGAGAACATAGGCTTTGAGGCTGGGCAGACTCCACTGGACTCCCAAATCACCTACTGGCTGTGTGACTGCTTGTTTTGCCATCTATAAAATGAACACTTCACAGGATTGTTGAAAGAACTAAATGAAATAATGCATGAACATGTGTTTGGCATGTCATAAGAGTTCAATAAATTGTTGATATTTTGTTGTTATTGCTATAATTATTATGTTTAAATATCCCTTCTGAACTCCTAGCCAATATTTTCATCTGCCTTTAAATATCTCTCCCCAGACAACTCTTATGAATACATCAAACTCAATATTTCCAACACTGAACACTTTAGCATTCTTGGGAAATGTATTACTCTGTCTTTTTCCTTATCTTAGTATCTTCACCTGCCATTATCTTTATGGACAGATAAAATATCTGTTTCTTCTTCACTCCCCTATTATATATGTCACCTACTCTGTCCTTTTAAATTCATAAGTGCCTCCCTTTCTCTCCATTCTAATTGGCACTGCCCTGGTTTACACTGTCATTCTCTCTTTCCTGCATAGCCCTGGGCTAGAGCTTCTGTAAATGTTTCTAAATGACCCCAATTCTAAATGCTCTGTTCTGTTGTGTCTGTAACCACATTAGTACTTGTTGAACTTGTTCTAATTTTTGATTCAAGAAATACAGCCTCCCCACTCATCTGTGGCCTCTAGTCCTCTCTGTCCCCTCTAAATCATGTCACCTGCCACCAGAGCAATCATTTTAAATAACAAATCTAACTCTATCACTTCAAAACATAAATACTTTCAGTGGCTTCTTAGTATGCCAAACTCCTCTCAAAGTATAGAAAAGCATCCACTCTCAATTCCCAACCTTGCTTTTGAGGCCTATCTCTTGCCAAATGCTAATGTCCATTCTATGTACACTCTAGCCAAACAGAGCCAGGTTTTTAAAAAACACGGAGCCTTCCACTTGTCACCTCCACCTAGGATCCCTTCCCCATCCTGAGCCTTCATCCTGCCTTTTCTCCAAATGCCAGCAATCCTCTCTCATTCTTCAAAAGTCACTTCCTCCATGAAGACTTCCAAAAGCTTTCTCTTGAGAACACTCACGCTTTTGGCTTTGGCCTCATCTGGTAAATACCCTACCATGGGCTTGTTATACAACAGTTCCCTCCATATCTTACTCTTCCACTAGAGTTTGAGTGTCTCTCCCACTGGACTTTGAGCTCTTCAGGGACAGGTCAATAGTTTACTTCTTTATGTTGACAACATGTAGTTGGTCTTTGATAAATGGTTGATGGATGAATGAAAGAATGAATGAATGAGCAGGTATGGAGGGAAGGAGCATGGGCTCAATTTGGAAGGGAGATGAAGGACACTCACTGGTATTTTTCAGTAGGAAGGAAAGTAGCATCTCAATTAGTAGCAGCGTTTGCAAATCAAAGCATGTCTTTTTTTCACCTACAATGAGAAGGGCACTGAGACTTACACAATCACCATTAGAAACTCAAGTAGCCAAAAGCCTGTGGGGTCAAAGAGTATAAGAGAAAGGCCCCAGTGAACACTATGTGCTGGCCCTTAGGAACACTTATGAGAGGAAGTGATGGCCAATATCCAGGTCATTTACATAAGGTTTTAGACAACTAGTAGAACTCTTCAGTCACTTGAAGACTCACAGCGCCGTGTAGAAAGGAATGAGTGTGCGTTCTATTAAGAGTGAGAATTAAGAGGGATGTCATCCTGAGCTTAAGAGGTGCCTTTCTTTCCAGCCAGTCATATTGTATCAGGGGTGTATTCATTTGCTAGCGCTGCCTTTGTGGTACCACAGACTGGGTAGCTTAAACAACAGAAACGTATTGTCTCACAGTTCTAGAAGCTGAATGCCCAAAATCAAGATGTCAATAGGGTTGGTTCACTCTGAGGCTATAAGGAAGACGGGTTCCACACCTGTCTCCTAGCTTCTGGATTTGCTGGCAGTCTCATTGGCTTCTGCTGCCACACCCTAAGCTCTGCCTTCATCTTCACATGGCATTCTCTCTGGGTGTGTATGTGAGTCCAGATTTTTCCTTTTTATAAGGACACTAGTCATATTGGATTAAAGGCACATCCTACTGTGGTATGACCTCATCCTAACATATCTAGTTATAATTGTAATGACTCTATTTCCAAATAAGGTCATATTCCAAGGTATTGGGGGTTAGGGCTTCAACGTATGAAGTTTTGAGGGGATATAATTCACCTACCAAGGGGTTAGGTGGTGTCCATTCCAGAAGATTCTGTTCTCCCAGCATCTTGGGACAATTTATGAGGAACCCACGAGGACAAGAGCTGTGATACTGATGGCTCAGGAAGAGAAGGGCTAGGAGATTCCTAGCAAGCACTATCAATGCACCACTGTGCAAGGGCCTTTAGAAAGCAGACACTGGAAAGGACAAACTATAAAAGGAGGAGACAAAGGGTCTTTAGGACGAGACCCACCTCCTAATGGCTGTTTTGGCAGGTTGTAGAAGACTAACACCAGCAAGCCCTGAAGGATAAAATTGCCACCAGAATTGAGGGTCCCGGGATTGGGAAGGCATTTTGCCAACTGGTTTACCAAAGTCCCAAGGTGTTGATGAATCACTAAAATTAAAGTCCTATATAATTATTTGTATCCAAACTCCAGTTATGTTTAAAAAACAGATTTTTTTTAGAGAGAGAAAGAAAAGAATTTGACAAAATACTGTAGTCTCTCTGCCTTAATTTATAGAAGAAACTCAGAGGGGCCATATATGCTATGATTTAGAAAAAAGAACACCAGATGGAGAAGGAGGAGGACTCTGTTAAGTCCATGTTCTGATGCTAACTAAAGGACCTTAGGCAAACCACTTCATCCCTCTGAACCATACTGTGCTTATCTTAAAATGCCATACGTCTTTCACAGGATGGTCAATTGATTAAGGAGGTAATGGATGTGAAAATATCACTCAACTCTAAGAAATGCTTCTGAAACCAGCCCAATTGTCCCAGAGAACTGATGTTTATGGTTTCTTTGAATAAACGTACAAATTGATCCTCCCAGTCTTAAAATTTGAGAAAGTTATATTTGTCTTCTATGAGTTCCTTTCTCAGAAAGCCAACCATCAGGACTCCCAGATAGTATCAAGGAGCTGAAACTTACTAGATCACTGTATCTGGACAATGAGACACCATATTTCTCACCAATCATGATTGCCTAACTGACCACCTGCTTCCTGTTGACCAAATTCTCTTCTTTACCCCTCCCTAATTCCTGTTTTCCCACACATTTCTCCCCTGCTATATAAGCCCCTAATTTTAGTCAGTCAGGGAGATGGATTTGAGACTCATTTTCCATCTCCTCTGCTACAGCACCTGATTAAAGCCTTCTTCCCTGGCAATACTCATTGTCTCAGTGATTGATTTTCTGTGCAGTGAGCAGCAGGACCTAGACCAGACCCCTGGTGTTTTGGTAACAGTTCTATGAATTCTTAAGTGCAATGATCAGATTCTATTCCTTTTTAAGTCTATAGTAACTAGCACATAGTAGGTGTTCAGCAAATATTTGTTCAGTAGTTGTGAATGAATGAATGAATTCAATCTAGTCCTTACTTGTATTCAGAAAACAGTGTCCAGATCTCAACTCTGAATACCAACTTCCTGAGGCCTTGAAGATGTCCTGATTTACAATCAGGCAATTCCAGAATCATAGGGACAATAGGTTTTCTGAAGGCAGCATCTCAATCATCCTAAAGAAACTATCTTGCTATGGTTGCTGCTTGCGTTCTAAGCAGCCTATTGGAAAGACTACATCCTCTGGCAAAATTCAGCAGAGTTCTCTGAACATCAGCCTCTCAGGACTTGAGAAAGTCTCCCCTGGGTATTGACTGCACATCTGTTACACTCCTCAAAAAGTAAACAAGTAAACCCAGAAAACAAATTCGTTACAGCCAGCATAATCTCCAGCAGTTATTCTTCTGGAGCCCTGTGGCCATGTGGGAGATCTTTGTGCACGTTATTATAACCGGTGTTATTACTGTATATTGCAAGCTCTAACATGGGGATTTTTTCTGTGTCTGGTGACTCACTCTTTTTCTTAGTACCAACTACATTGCTTCTTTGTAGATTGATCAAAATGTCCACATAAGATTTCTTACTTTAGTACCTAACCAATAGTTGGGGGCTGGGAAAAGGAGAGTTAATTTCAAGGCAAACAGGAGAAACTGGCCTGATTGTAACACTTATTGAAACATCCAAATAGTACATTGTAAAGGGACATTTTAAGGGAAATTGTGATAAAGTGGTACTCACCACTCTGAATCTGTGGCTTCAGTCATTAGAATGATTGGACTATGATGTTTTATCCTAACAAGTGATATTTAGGAGCTCATTAGATCCTGGAGGGATGTACTTTACAGCATTTAAATAAACCTAAGTTATTGGACCCTAAAGAGCATAATTGATCATCATTTTTTATTTGATCAAAATGGTTTGCAATTATTCCTGCTGGGAGATTTATCTATTTGCATCTTGCAGTCAGTTTTAGAATTTTATCCCTCTGATCTTGCCATAATATCATGATTAATTGATTGATTCCAGGGTTCAAGAGTCAATAAACCCAGTATTTGTTATTATTTATTATTAAACTGTCCCCAGTGTGCCAGTTGGCATTCAGAGGCTAAAGAAAATACAATTCAGCTCTCACAGCTTCTTAAAGAATTGATTATGCAAGGGGAAAAAAAAGAAGAAAAGAACTCTTTTTGTTCCATCGTGTGAATACCAAATGGGGAAAAAAATAATGAAAAAAATGCATTCTGTATGTATATTAGCCATTATTTACATGCTCTGAAAATCTGGATTGTTGCTCACTTTTAATTTTTTGGTTTCCACCTACTTATATGCATCCATATCTGTATTTGAACCTGCATCTAAGATGAAACTTCCCACTGTACTTATTCCTCACATTGTAAAAACAATTTTACTTGAGCACTGTTTAAGAAACACACAGGCTTGGAAGAAAATGCACAATAAAATTGTCCTGAGCTAAGAAGAATAAAAAATATGTAAGTCCAGGGATATTGATTGTGTCCTGGTGCCCTGGGTGCTTTACTTAGATTAGGACTAAGGCTTCCTTCACCTGAATAAACACTTCTTCACAAGATGGATTTAGCAGTAGCAAAGAATGGGTCACTGAACCCAAGAAAATATAACCATTTCTTGACACCCAGATTTGCTGTCAGACCCCTGGGCAAGTAAAAATAAGACCAAATTGGCCAAATGGGAGGTATCGCAGTAAATAAATGTTACCAAATTTATGCTGTAATTCTCAAATTACGCATTTTAAAATAAACTATCACTAAAACACAGAGCCTAAAAGGGGGTGATTTACATATAAATAATATCATGCTTGGGTATTATAGCCTCCATCAATGATTAACACAAAGCCAGGATGATTATTTGGTGGCTATTTTACAATAAATAAAGATGTAGAAAGCTTAGTGAATTCTTCCCAACACTGCTAAAATGAAGTCAGTATTAACACTGAGATGTAGCTATCCTAACGAAAAATTTCCAGGAAAGTGTCTCTTCCTAGGCCACATTTTTACCCAAAAACTATACATTCTGTATAATTTGAAGTCAAATTGTACAGAATGCTGTTACAAAAATATGCTACTCTCACTTGAAGCTCCAGGAGAGATGTTTGCATAATCCAAAAAAGGAATTCATCACCAAAAGCCCAATAAAAACCCAAAGGTGTAAGGATGCTACTGAGCTAAGATTGATGGTATGTCCTAAAAGCACCAGCTGTGTAAAATATGAAACCATCCACTATGCTGACGTCCCGAAGGAGCCTGATGAGAGGCACATGCAATACCACATGTCCTGCATGACAGGCGAGACAACAATGGTCGACCAGATGTTCTTTTCCTTCTCATTTGCATGGTTAGGACATATGGTAACTGGGAAGAATGAAGTCATCACTTAAGAAGTGATATGAATAGCTTGAAATATAATTGTTTCAAATCATAGACCCCACACCTGTCACGGATTAATGATGTTTGAACCTCTAAAAGTAAACATGTTAAGTATAACCTAAACACCTCATGTCATGCGGTGTTTTTTTAATGCCTTACCACACATTTGCAATCCCTAAAATAAATCATACCTCTTTGGATAGTTTTAGATTGCTAAGTTTTATCTGGAGAAAAGGTTTGGTTTCCTTACACATGTTAAACTTGGGAGTATTTCAACACTTGCAATAGCAATATTTGGATGTCAGTAAGATCTAGATTTCAACACCAATGGATGATTTGGTATATAAAACATCTGGTGTGTTTGTGAGAGAGTATCAGATTTAAATCAGTGATAGCCACAGTCCTTCTCGTTACATAAGCCCTTTAGTAGTAAGTTTAGTTTCTGGTCTCTGTACCTAATGCCTAAAGTAAGACAAACATATATTTTTAAAGGTTGCCTTAAGTAAAATAACAGCAAAGAAGAAAGCAAAATTGCTTGCCATTTTGAGAACATGAGCACCCAGACAACCCAGCTCCAACTTATTGCAGCCGATCTCATACTCAGGAATATTGAGGACAAAATTTTGATAGTGATGGTGGAGCACAAATAAAACAAAAACCTTGAAATTTGACATGCCGAGAATTCCCAAGGAATACATAGAGTTGGGACTCTGTTTTCTTGGATTTGAAGAAGGCAAGAAAAACTCATTTATTCTTTCCTCTTGCAACATAATTGATTTCTATAATAGAAAAGGAAATTTTTGCCCCACCTATGGTCTTAATGCTTCTATTTTGACAGATCTCCTAAAAATCTAGTAATGTCAACATTCCTTGTGTATTTGAAGCAATACTACAAACAAGATATATTAAAGGAGTCTACCCTGCTGTAAAACATATTATAATTGATTTTTATGAAGCATCCCTTGGTCATCACACAGCAGTATTTTGGAGTCAGTATATGAACCACATCAAAGAAGAGAAATAAGGTTTGAAGTTTATTCTCATGTAAGATGTGGTTCCTAATAAGTAGAACTTCTGAGTTGAAATCATATCTCTTGTCCAATGAGGATGAGATTTTGGAAAGATAGACCAAGAGAGACACTCAGGGAAAATATGCAACAGTGTCTGTAAGAGAAACCATAGAGGAGAAAGAACTTAACTGTATCAGACATATCATAATTGAACGCTGTCAGATCAATCTCTGCTGGGAGCAGTCTTACACATTGCATATGTAATCTTCACTGTCTTTAAGTTAACACATAAATACGGACAATACGGGCAGAATTCTTGGGTCAAATCGATCCTGAAATCCAGTTGGATAGACCTACGAGACTGACCCTTCTATTTCATGGGCTTATCGACATAATTTTCCATGTCTAGGTATAGTTATGTCTAGACCAGAAGGCAACACCAATATCACAACAATGCTATGTCCAGCTGGCTCCAGGCAAAATTGTGAGTCGGTTGTGAGTTTGACCAAACACAATCACCATTTCAGTGTTCTGCTTTCCATTTTCAGTGTCTCCTCCAGTAATGGTCAGTGGTTTTTCTACCCCTCACCTCACCCCTCACCCCCAGGATGCCAGCTCATTATGCCCCTGGCAAAACAGTGCTGCCCACCCAGCCACACTGTCCCATGCTGTAGCTTTTTTGTACATGTTCTTTAATTGAAGAAATTTCCCTCTATTACTAATTTGCTGAGAGTGTTTTTAAAAAATCATGAATGGGTGTTGAATTTTGTCAAATGCTTTTTCCATGCTAACTGATATGATTACTTAATTTTTCTTCTTCAGCTAATTGAAGGGTGAATTACAATGACTTTTGAAAGTTGGAGCAGCCCTTAATTGCTTTTTAAACACCAATAGAAAAACAAAATTCTATTCAATGAGTATAATAAGTAATAAAACCCACCTCAACATTTTCTGACATGAGATAAAGATTGAAAACATTTATTGATGTCATCGTTTTAATGTGGAGAAGGCATAAAACCATTTGCATTTATAAAAACATAAAATAATATTGCTAGACATAAGGAATATTTTAATTCTTATGTGCAGTATGGAAGCTCTAGGATTCTTTACATTCTCTCTTTTTATAGAGAAAACCTCTAACTTCCTAGGCTGGAATATCAAGAGTGTAAAGTGGTATTTTTACTTTAAAAACCCACAGAAAATGTTTTTTTATTTTCAGCAGGAAATGGCTCACTTTGATGGAGCTACATCACTAACTTGTGATTGAAGAATATTACTTCTAAGACTTTTAAATCTTGTTGCATTTCCCAGCTAGATGCATAAAACAGGATCCTATTTGGTGTTTGTTCCACAAAACAGATAAAGTGGAGCCCGTATCTGGGTTGGTTCACAGGATTCAAGTCCCTTCTGTTGAACTAACACATGATGAAATATTAATAGGGGAATTCAAGGATATTAACATACCAGAGAGTATTTCTATTTTGTTTTCTTATATTTAACACTCTCACATGAAAGTTAAACTCTGAGTCAGGTGTTCAGGCATTGGACAGAAAGTCTGGAGATTTTGGTCAGTAGGCTGCATTTGGGGTCCCTCCTCAATATACTATGTGGTTGATTGCCTCCTTCAACTACATATAATGCTTTTCAGAGCCCTTGAGTAGCTGCTGTTGTTGTTGTTGTTGTTTAATTTTATCCTGAAGATTTAGTTGCAATCAGTGGGAGGGATGGGACATAGAGAGCTTATGCCACCATAGCAGAGCTGAAATTCTCAACAACTCACTTCATGATGAGTAAACTGAGGCCCAGAGAGATGAACAATGATGGCAGCAATTCCTCGTATTTGATGTAGACTTTATGGTTTACAAAGCACTTCCTCATATTACCCATTTCATGCTTACAATAATCTATTGTGAGGGTATAGTCTAATAATGCCACAGATTCCGGCAAGTTACAATTTATGCTACAAAATTATGACTGTGCTTAAAATTTCATTTTTATTTCTCTCTGCTGTTTTTCTGGATTTATACAAGTAATATAACCCAACAGACAATGTAGGAGGACAGGGATTTGCAGCATTAGAACATAAATCTGCAATTAAATAGAAAAATTTTGAGAGGTCTCAAACTGAGACCAAAAAAAACACTAGACACAGATGATACTTTCCTTGAAGTGCCCAAGGGTGATGGAGGGGATGAACCCAAAAGTCATACTAAGATGAGCTGCACTGATGTGAAAGAAAAGGAATTTGGATCAAAACAAGTAGAAAGTTTTGAGCTGAACCCCCTCATCCATATGCTCCACACACCAACGTAGAGGAAGCCAGGATATCAGGGAGAAGGGGGCTCTTTGCCATTTGTAAAAAGATTCTGTTTTTTAGCTTTACTCATGATGCCTTCCATTTTCATCCCACCTTTGTTTCTTCCAGAGCATTCTCACATGTCCAATCTTATTTCAGCCACATAGCAACATGAGATTGGCAAGACAGACACTTGCTTTACTGTATACAGATTCTTACTGCTGCCTTTACAAATGAGAAACTGAAGCCCAGTGCATTTGAGTGCCTTACTCAAGGTCACACAGCTGGTTTGGAAATGAGCAGGAGCTTGGACTCTCACATAACATGAGTCAGGCAAGGTCTTCAACATGCAGTAAAGCAGGTTAAACACTCCAGATTGACACATACATGACTGTGTCCTAAACTCCATCAACTGACAGGAAAGGAATTTAAAAGATTTTAGCCCACAAGAGAAATGACCTGTTGGGGAGATATTAGCAGAGCAGAAATTTCAACAAACGTTTGAAAAATGGCAAAGGAATGGAAGTATGGTTTTGATTCAGCAAGGAGGAGACACATCCAGGTTGCTAAAAAAAAATAAATAAATAAAGTGGGGGAGAATACTAAAAAGAAATGAGACCACTTGCTGCACAGAACCACAGCAAATCCATTACATAGTGGCACAAGTTATCAGAAGAGGCAGGAGGGCATCTCAGAGCAGACAACCATGCATGGTCCCAAGCCCACACACAACCTGATTAGAATCTTCCATCATTCTCCCACTCCTTGCAACCAGCCAACTATACCTTCCCTACACTGCTCCCTACCTACCCTCTGCACACAAACCAGAGGATTCTTTTCTGGGGAAATTGATCCCAAGTCTCAGTGGTCACCACATTCTATGTGGGAGGAGGAAGGTAGACATGAGTACAAATGGGGAGATTAACTTGTGAAGGGTGGGACTCCCCAGTCTCTTTTCCCAATTCTGATTCCAGTAAACCACCCTCCAGGCTTAACTCCTCAGGCAAGAAATGCAATGATCCTTCTCTTCTCTAGAGAAATTGAATAGCTGGAAACACATAACAAACCCAAAAAATGGCAACAGCAAAAGCAAATAAGAACAAAAAACTCCTCAGGTATTGGTGGGGGGAATAATTAGGTCTCCAGCATCAAGCCTGACTTCCTGGCCACCAGAATCTACACAGGAAGGCCCGAGAGTCTACAACCCCTGTCCTCCTACACATACAAACCAGTACACACTGAGCCCTCCCACATTTGAAAGTGTCACTCTAAATCGAATGGACAGCCTAGGGTAACCAGACTTTTTTTTTCTTTTTTTTTTTTTTGAGACAGAGTCTTGCTCTGTCGCCAGGCTAGAGTGCAGTGGCGTGATCTCAGCTCACCGCAATCTCCACCTCCCGGGTTCAAGCGATTCCCCTGCGTCAGCCTCCCGAATACCTGGGACCACAGGCACACACCACCACGTCCTGCTAATTTTTTTGTATTTTAGTATAGACGGGGTTTCACCATGTTGGCCAGGATGGTCTTGATCTCCTGACCTCGTGATCCGCCCGCCTCGGCCTCCCAAAGTGCTGGGATTACAGGTGTGAGCCACCACACCCAGCTTAAGGTGACCAGACATTTGAGGAAGGTCTCCAATAGGAGAGGGACCAAAATAGGCAAACAGAATATAGGAAACTGAGCAATAGGGGAAAAAGAGCAAACTGATAAAGAGATGGACGAATGGAGAGAAAGTTAAGAAAATTTAAAAAATCAATCCAAGGACCCTAAATGTGACTAATAGGAGCTCTAGAAGAACAGAACAGAAAAAACAGTAGGGAGGAAATTATGAATGACATAATTTTCTCATAACAAAATTTCCAGAACTAGAGAACACGAGTCTGTAAATTAAAAATGGTTGATCATAATAAAAATTAAAAGACCAATACCAAGGCACCATTGGAACTCATTCCATACCCCAAAGTACAGCACCACAGCCTACTGAGTACTTTGAACTGAAGGAGGTGGGAAGGTCTCAGAAACAAGGTCGATCTGCCCTCCTCCTGCCCTTCTGCCTTCCTGCCACCTTTCTCCCCTGAAATAAATCACAGAAGCCACAATTCCTCTTCCTCAAGGCAGGTTGTAGAAACTAGACCTGCCCTCCCCCAAAGCAAGCCATAAAACCTAGAAAGCTCACTCTCCCTCCCTCTTCTCCCTTGAAGACCCTCATTCCAGAGGGGTTCCACCCCATACCCAGGAGGAAGGAATGCTACCCAGAGAACCAAGAAGCATCTGAGCAGACAGGCTTTGCTGGGCTTCCCCGCTCAGTCTGTTACCATTAGATCTTACACTTTTGTCCAATCCCATTTCTACACAGCTGTCTATTCTTCATTGAACCTAAGCATAAAAACAGTGTTCCCTGGGTCTTTCGGTCTTCATTTCTGAAAGTTCCTCTGTCACATAAAACTTTGATTAAATAAATTTGTTAGGCTTTTTGCTTGTTAACCCATCTTTTGTTATAGGAATGTTGGTCATAACTCCTAGGATGGGTGACGAACAGGTATCACACCTTTCTTCCCCTGCAGGGCATTGTTGTGAAATTTGAAAATATCAAGAATAAAGAGAAAAATATTTTAAACTTCCAGAGAGGAAAAAGAGGACACACACAAGAAATTATGAATCAGAATAGCATCAGACTTCTCAACAGCAATTACGCAAAGTAAAGAAAATGACTTCATAATTCTGAGGAAAAATGATTTTCCAAATGAAATTCTATACTCAACATATCAGTAAAGTTTGAGTATACAATAGACATTTTCAGATGTTCAGATCTCAGAAAATTTACCTTCTTTATATAACTTTTTAGGAGACTGCTGAAGAGTAAACTATTCTAGCAAACCATGAAAAGAAGACATTGGAACCACACACACACACACACACACACACACACACACACACACACACACACACACAAAACAAGGGATCTATCCCCAAAGAGCTGCATGTGGGGTTCAAATATAGAGCAATGCACATGGATTAGGGGGAAACAACAAAGAGCTCTAGGAGAAACATTTTTAAGGGGAAACAGCAGAGTTGATTTGTTTGCATACATGGCAAATATTAATATGTATGTTGTGACAGAAACATTGGAGGCATTTGTGGGAAAATGGCAATAGTTACACAAAAATGAAGCAAAGGAAAACAAGAGAAAAGTATCAGCTCCAAAAATGTACAAGGTAAGAGCCATGGCTGTAGTGTATTACTGGACTCAGCAGTTGGCAATACTTCCGCAGTCATAATATTCTAGCACTGATTATTAATTTAATCAAAATTTGTGGTGTTACTATTTGAGGAGTCTGAGGACTATGAAATGGGGATGTTTATACAAGAGTAGGTCTTCATTTACTATGATAATAAATTAACAGGTGATGTCCAAACCAACAAACCAAAACCTTGTGGTATAAACATATTAGTTAGAAATATGACTATATTAGCCAGGCGGGTTGGCGCATATCCATAGTCCCAGCTACTCAGGAGGCTCAGGCAGGAGGATTGCTCGAGCCCAGGAGTTCAAGCTATGATTGTGCCGCTGCACACCAGCCTAGGCAACAGAGTGAGACCTTGTGTCTTAAAAAAAATTTTAAAAATTATTTAAAAAAAAGAAATGTAACGATAAAGGCCAGAAGAAACAGCTAGATTCATGGTGGTTACCTCTGGGGTTCAGATTTGGGGTTGGGTGGGATGGGACAGAATAATGTAGTTTTTCATTTAAAGCCTTAATGCATATATTTAGGCAAAATAAATACAGGTAAGGAGAGCCACCGCTTTCATCACACACAGGCACCCCTTAGAACTGTTCTCATCCCAGCCTCCCCACTGAACTCCTCCTTACAGCCTATGGAAGAGAAGGTACAAGCAAAAATCACAAGAGCGAATTCACTAAGAACTCTGTAGGGTGCTCAGACCAAAGACAGCCCTACCTTGGAATCCCTCTAACATTGTATGCCTTCAAGTGGGGAACTGCTTCCTTGTGTACAGACCCTTTCCCAGCTGGGCACATCAAGGGCTCCAGCACATTAGGGCACTGTCCAGAGGGAGACTAAATGCTGCAAGTGGACATGCCTTCAGAGACTGCGCAGAGCAGGGCATGAGTCTAAATGGACGCGCTTATTGCCGACTGAATTTGCTCATAAGCACAGGCCAGGCATACCCTGCAGACTCCCAAATCGCTGCAGGGCACTTTGCAGCCATGGGTAACCTGTGTGAGCAGATGGGGTGACACAGGCAAGCTCAGTGTCTTTCTGTGTGTGTGACCCCATTGCTCTCTTGGGCTAGGGATCTAGAGGAGCAGACCTCCCTGAATGGGGTTCAAATGTGCCGGATCACGCACCTGGCTTGGGAAGAGAGGCTCACCTAGGAATTCTCTTGCCACAGGCAGCCTTCCCAGATCCAATCAGGAAAAACAGAATGCTGAGCAACTGCCCAGGCCCCCCAGAAACTCCCACCTCACATTGTTCCATCAAGTCTGAGAAAGGGGCTGTGAGCAGCAGGCTAGGTCATGGCTGTCAGCTCCAGGAACGTGGTCTGAGCTTCACAGTTTAGGACGAACAAAGGATCCTGGGGAAATGAGTTCCGGGCTTTGGTGCCTGCTTTTCCCTATGGCCATGTCATCCGCCTTGGGCCACTAGGCACATCCTCACCTTGAGCAGCCAAGGTGTGCTCTTGGTGCCTGGGTACCAAAGAAGAAGCTCCTATAACTTCCTGGAGGGCAGAGCAGCATTTCTGTGCCTCTTCCTGTCCTCTGGCTGTTCTGTTGTCACAATGGACAAGGGGAATTTTCCCCTTAAAGGTCATTTCAGCCTCTAAGACACCAGGGAGCCCTCATTTGTGCCACTGCCCTGACCTCTCCAGCCCAGATACTCCAAACCACATGTCCATCATTTAATGAGAGATCTACAGCTCCTCTTCTAAGGAAGGTCCCTTATGCTTTTCCATAGGTTGGTCTTTCCCTCTTAGCTCAACATTCCAAAATGGCAAGGACCAAACCTTAAACATCTAAAGTCCCCAAAGAACCAGCCCTAGCCCAAGTACCCATCTAGTACTCAATAAATATGGCTTCACTAGCTATTTCAATCCGAAGGGCTAGCTTTATAAGGAAGCTGAAAATGTCATGTTGGAGGGGAGGAGGAAAACAAAGAAAAATCGACAGGTTCTTCAAAGTGCTTTTGAGAACCCCTCCTTCCTTTTCAACCCCTTTCTACCCCCATGCTTACTAAAAATACATAAGTAAGATTCTCTTAGAAGCCAAACATTTAGAATAATATATTTTCAGGAGATTGTTTTTTTCCCAACAAAGCTTGGATGCCTGAGCAGGTTGTAAATTTACAGCTGACGATTCTCTGCCAGAAGTTCTTTTGGGTGTTTACAGCTGTGAAATACAATCTTTAGGTGACAAGCATTCCACTTTGTTCTCCCAGTCTGATTCCAGCAGTCTGCGTTCCTGACAACATAACTCATCACAACAATAATGAAATAACAAGAATATTTATTCAGATTTACACACCACCTTTCACCTAAGGATCCCTCAGCAATTTCAAACACAGCTGAAATAATTCCAAACTGTGTATCTCTCCAACTTTGATTTAGAAGCTAAAAAAGGATTCAGTCTGCCGTGTGTAATTCCTTGGCAAAAATCATATACTTCTCCATAAATGGAAACAGTGAATCTGGCTCTTTTTCAAAAATCTTCTCTCTCCTTCTTAAACCTTTTTTGTTGGGAAATAAGCCATTGCCATAACCTAGACCCCACCCAAGATTTTCTTATTTTGTGCTTTCAAGATTTTTTGCAAAAGATAAATATAATATATAAATTAAGTGCCTTTTCTGCTTGGCAAGATTCAGTGAAACAACTTTTAATTGGGATAACTAATAAACAGGAAATTCTAAATAATTTATAGTTTTAATCAAGCAGAAACCCTCCCTCTCCCATTCCTTTATTTTTTTTTCAACACTTGCGCTTTTATTTTTCTATGAATTACAGCTATTTACTAACTTTCTTAACTTCCTAACCAGGAGTTTTTTAAAAAAATAAGGCCCTGCATCTGTATCACTTCTCTTTGTACACCAATATTTCTCATAGTGCCTCGTGCAGTGTGCAGATCTGTGATAAATTGTTTTTGTTTTTGAGACAGGGTCTCCCTCTGTCACCCAGGCTGGAGTGCAGTGGCACAATCTCCACTCACTGCAACCTCCACTTCCCAGGTTCAAGTGATTCTCATGCCTCAGCCTCCCGAGTAATTGGGATTACAGGTGGGTGCCACCACACCCAGCTAATTTTTTGTATTTTTAATACAGACAGAGTTTTGCCATGTTGGCCAGGCTGGTCTTGAACTCCTGACCTCAAGTGATCCGCCCACCTCAGCCTCGCAAAGTACTGGGATTACAGGCCTGAATCACCGTGCCCAGTCTAAATTGATTTATTTCTGAATTGCATCCACGAGTTAAAATATTTCCAAAGTAATATGACCACAATGTCTGCATTAGGGTACAAACGAAGGGAGAAAACAAGCAAATGTCCAAACCCTATCTTTCACCCCACTATCAGTGGTGCTACCCACCCTTATCACTGGAAACCAGATTACTAGGCCTAAGTTCAAAGGCCTCAGAGCTCTTGCTGCACAGAACTAAAGGGAAATTCCTCTGAGATCTTGGATAACTTCAGCCCTATATCTGGGCAGAGAAAATGTTGACCTTCTTGGAAAACCTTGGCCTATAGTCATTCATTAAATCTAAATTATGAATCCACTATGCATCAGACATTGTGCTAGGGGCTGAGGGTATAAGAATGTAAAGGGCATTGTTCTGCCCCCAAGGGATGTGTAGCCCAGGGTGGGAGATATTAGAGAAACAGATAAGAGAGATAAGATCAGGAGAACACTTTGTGTCATGACATAATCACCCATAAGACAGAGGTGGCTCCATCTGAACCCAGTCTGACCTCCCAACCACAGACTAGGCCATAGGCATACTTTAAAGACACCAGGCTCTAAACCCACCTGCTCACTTCCGCCATGTTCAGTTCCCATCCTGTTGCATCACATGGGGGACACTGCCTTGTGTCTTGGTGTCCTCAGAGTGGCGATTTTGTCGCCCTCTAGGAGCTTTCTGGCTTCTTCCTTGGATGCCACCTTTCTGCTCCTTCTTGGATCCACACTCTGTAGCCCACAGGCTTGCTCGCCTTCTCTTCTTACTTTAATACTGTGGCTGGATAGTATTTTAAGATATTAGCCTTTTTTCCTCCCTGTATTTATTTCCTTCCCCCAGTTCAAGCTGGTGGCAGTCTTGATACTCCATAACCTCAGGAAAGCATCCATCAGGGTCAAAACCAACAATAGCCAGCAAGTCCATCTGGCTTTTATTTCCCTGAAAAACAATGTTTAGCCCTAAAGAAGAGTTGGTGGTTTGGGGAGAAAGTGGGAGCTAATGTGAGAAGTAATACAGTGGGGGCTTCATCCTTTCTTCCCTCTTTCCCTTTTCCAGACTAACAAGAGATGTCCCTGGGTGAGAGGAGGGAAGAAGGGGAAGAGACATGCCAAAGGGTTGCAGAGAAGCCCATGCTCCTTTTTAGTCTACAGTGTTGACAGCAAAACCCCAGGTGGAAAAGTTGGGTGGAGTGCATGCCAGGCAGACAAAACCACAGGCAGCCTAACATGGCATAGCTATGGCAGAGAAGAAGGAATCCAGGAGGTTGGTGGCAGCTTTAGCAGTAATCTCCATAGATGGATGACCAAAGACCAGACCACCAATCTGCACTCTGAAGACTCCACACCACATAAGAGGAGGATAAACTCAAATCCGTGAAGTTAGGTTTTCCCCAGACTAAAAAAAGGGGTGCTCAGCATGAAGTGAAGTTGACTTATAAGCCATAAAGACATGTGACATTTCCAACACACCTGAGTTGTGTGGGTGACTTATTCTGGCACCATACTCTTCCTGGAGGCATCCAACCATGCCCAGGTCTTTATACACTGTTTAATGCCAGATCTAAATCTCAAGTTTTGTTCTCTTTCTCTGTTAAGAAAAAGACCAATATTTTAAGCTGCTTTCTAAATATCTCATTTCAAACTTAGCATGTCCTTAAAGTGACTTTATCTTTTTGAGTCTCCCTGCCCTACCCCACCAACTCATTTCTCTCCCCACTCTTCTCTTCCCAGGTAATAGCACTAGAGTCCATCCAAATTAGAAACCGCACAGATATCGCTAGTTCCTGTGTCTCTGTTTCCACCCAGCCCAGTCTATTCTACCTCAGAAATCTCATTCATATATGGCCTTGTCCTTTCTATTACCTCAGCTATGCCCATTTTCCAGACCTCACTGTCTGCCATGTTCATGAAACAGCTTCCTGTGTTTTCAGACTATCTTCTACACTATCCAAAGGATCCGTGGTCCTAGATTACTTAGGCTTCCTAATAGAGAAAATCCATATTCCTCGGCAGAGAATGCAGGACTCTGTCTAAATATGGCCTCTGACTACTTCACTCCCCATCAACTTTTACGTGTGTCCACACTCATGCACACACACGAGACTTACCACCCTCCCATGACTCAAGAGGTAACTATTGCTAAGCAATGGATCACGTAGCAGAAAAGAAAGCTGTGGTTGGGTCTGGATGCTAAGCTGGTAGAGCATAAGTAAGCAGGAGGGAAATAAGAGCAAGGAAGGGAAAGTCTTGTGATTTGCTTCTAGAATTTTCTTATGATGCAAAAAGAAAAACCCAGGAAAGGCTGTCTGAGTGGAAAGAGAGACACAGGAACTAGAGATATCTGTGCGGTTTCTAATTTGGGTGGACTCTAGTGCTATTACCTGGGAAGAGAAGAGTGGGGAGAGAAATGAGTTGGTGGGGTAGGGCAGGGAGTGTTAAAAAGATAGTCACTTTAAGGACAAAGTCACTCAGGATAATGATCAAGGTGAATAAAAATTAAGCTTCTGAAATCTGTGAGGCTGCTCTGGCCAGCCTTCCAGGAGTCCTTGTGAGATGGGACAGGGACTCCTTTTTTAAGTGGCCTGTGGACCCAAACCATGGAAATCAAGAAAAATCCTGAATTCCTTCAAAAAATATACCGGGTACCTAGCTAGTCCCAAAAGTAAGTAAGCAACTTGTTAAACAAGAGGGGAATAGTAGTCCAAAACAACAGCGAAAAAATTAAGAGTCCCGGAGATATTGCTTTCCCTATAGAACCCAAAGATAACATTTTGGCATATGTCCCTGAGTTGTCTTTCAAAAACTCAGACCTCCACCGGGGACTCCCACCAAAGGATCCCCTGGCACACCGACCTCAGATATGCGGGAAATAAATACTAAACTTTAACCACCATCCTTTATTCTAAGTTTCTTCCTGAGAGGCTTGGAAAAGGTCACTCCCTGTAGCCAGTTAACATTCTTTCATTGACCTCAAATTTTAAAACAAAGCTTTTCTTCCCCAACCAATCACAAATCAGAAAGTCTCTGAATCTACCTATGACCTGTATATCCTGCCCTTTCAGGTCTAAACCAATATGTAACCTCCATGTATTGATTAATAATTTTGCCTGTACCTTCTGCTTTCTTGTAATTTACTCCCGCCTTTAAACATCCTTGCCTGCGGTCGGCCGGGCGCGGTGGCTCACGCCTGTAATCCCAGCACTTTGGGAGGATGAGGCGGGTGGATCACCTGCGGCCGGAAGTTCAAGAAAGCCTTACCAACAGGGGGAAACCCCGTCTCTACTAAAAATACAAAATTAGCCGGGGTGGTGGCGCATGCCTGTAATCCCAGCTACTCGGAAGGCTGAGGCAGGAGAATTGCTTGAACCCGGGAGGTGGAGGTTGTGGTGGGCCGAGATCGTACCATTGCCCTCCAGCCTGGGCAAAAAGAGCGAAACTCTGTCTCAAAAAAAAAAAATCCTTGCCTGCAAGCCATCAGAGAGGTCAGGATTTGAGCATTCAGCTGCCTAGATCTCCTTGCTTGGCACCCTGCAATAAAAGCCTTTCTTTTTATTGCTGCAAACCTTGGTGTAGGTATCTGGTTTTACGTTGCCGGATGAAGGACACTGGTCACTTTTGTGGTGCTTGTAATACTGCTATTCTCATGGGATTTTTTAAGTACAAAAATGATAGTCGGAGGGGGAGTTTTCTGCAAACTTCAAAGTGCTGTATAAAATAAATAAATATTCATTCACCTTTATCTTTTACAACTCAACATTTCTTAGAAAAATACAAGTCACAGAGGATCTGTCTTATGCAAAAAAGAAATGCCAAATACTCATGATGGTCCAAATAATTTTTTTACTGAAAGAATGTTGGGAAATGGCAGGGTATGTTTTACTGAGAACGTGGGAATCCATATGAATTCAAAAACATTACACCACAGTTGTTATCATCAGGGTAGCCCTGGTGTGTATTGGCTGAATTTTTAATATTCTATCTTTTTAATCTTGCATGACTCTCCTTAGTAAAGTCGCTCCAAAAGGAACAGACACTTAATAAACATTTGAGGCTGGAGACTAGCTGTTTGTAAAACTCTGTCCATTAAGTAATTGTAGGTTAGGCTGAGTAAGATGTTTTATGGAGGCTAAAATAGCTACAGTGAGGCCTCATTAAATATGTTGCTGTTTTTATGGCCCCTTCAGCATAGAAAACAAATAACTTGTCCTTGTCCTCCAGAGACTGCCCTGTCCCCAAATCTGCTTTGCACTTGCCTTGCATGTAAATAAGATGTCAAGGGCTGGGTTTACAAGGTGTAAAAGGGTGGAACTAGTTCTTTGTTGCTTACCAATGCTCTGATAACACATGATGAGGAATGATATGTTATACCAGTATTCTCGAAACTGTGTTCTGTGAGATGGTAACATATATTCTGAGAAAAAAAAACAAAAAACAAAAACAAATGAAGGAGGCAGCCATGACAGGAGGCTCTTCCACGAGCAAACAGATTTGAAAAACAATCAGTTAAACAAAGGTAAGAAGTTTTCTTTCCTGCAGAATATTTAGTCTTTCATGGGCCAAAGTGCTTTGTGAATCTCCAAGAGGGGAATATCATACACAGAATGCCACCAAAAATATTCGAGCATAGAACTTTTTTTTGTAGAATACAGTGCAAAAGACACTAATGTTCCACAGAACACAATTTAAAAGAGTCTGCTTTATTTAATAAAGCCAAGTAACCAATGACAACCAGTTCAATCGTTTCCAGAACATCATATTTCTCATTGAAGGTCCTAAACAAGGGAACTCCTCCGCAAGCAATGTCATTACAAGAAGCATGAAACAGAATCATCTGCAAATGAAGTTTTGCGTAAAACACATTAAGATTTCACTACAGCCTGAGGATCCATAATTCAATATTTGAAGTCATTGTTCCTCTCATTGAGACTAGGAAACAAAATTGACAAAGGAGCCTGCCATGTTTTCTACACTTTGCTACAAGATGACAATCCTTACTAAAGCACAGGAAGAAAAATATGACACAGAAAAAAGCCAAGTATATGTGCTGTCCATATTTTCCCTTGCAATTATAAAAAGAATCATAATAACGCAAGCTTACTAAGTAAATGACTACAGCAAGAGCAGTCAGAGGGACCAAGAACAGAAGCCACATTGTGAAAAGCCTCCCACATGACTCCATGTTGTCATAGTGTAATGAATACTGATGGTGCCCCTCGTAGATCCCCTCTACCTGGCTGGTGCACCTATCCCCCGGCTGCCATGAGTGTGGGTTGCTAGTGGCTCCAGAGGCTTCCTCCCAGGGGAGCTGCCCTGTGTAGAATAGGGATGGCCTCCTCCATGAGGTTACATCACCCATCCACCACAGGGCAGCCTGTAAACAGTGACTGACATGGGATACAAAAGTCTGATTGACTTTCCTCAAGGTCTATGTGGTGGAATTCATGCCCCAGTGCTCCCCATGGTATCAGGCTAAAGCCAGCCTCCAACTGAGACCATAGCCTTGCTTAGCTCCTTGTCTTGCCCTTGCCCACTTCCCTCGCTCCCTTTCTCCTAAGACCCTTCCAATAAATCACATACAATTTGTTGCCTGTCTTAGGCTCTGCTCCTAGGGAACCCAGCCGAGGACATATAATTAGAACTTTAGATCTAAAGAGACATCTTTTCTCTTAGCTATGATATGAACAGAGTTCACCATGACCAGTCTTCTTACCTGCTTCAGCAACCGTTCCTTGTGGTATAATAAGAAGCCCTGGGTCTGTATTTCATACAATGTGCTTCTGTGGTATGCACATCACAGGTATTGGAATGCTTGCTAAAAAAAAAATATAGATCGCCAAAAACAAAAACAGATCTCAGTCCTACTAAATCAGATCTCCAGAAGTGGAACCCAAGAATTATATTCTATGACAAGATCCCCAGGTACCTCTGATGTACCCTAAAGTTTGAGAATGACTAGCAAGGGGCCATAGGTTATCCAACACGTTCCTCTCCTGCGCTGTAGTAACTGAGAGATACTCTCAAGGCAAACTAACTTGTCTTCTTATCTTCTGCCTACTGACAAAGTCCTCTGAGAGAAAATAACATATGAATGTCCAGGTGAAAATTTCCAATATGGTCTATAAAGGAAAAAACAAAACAAAACAAAACAAAAAAGAAACCCAACCAGATTTGTCTTAGCTAATGACAAATTACTTCAAAATGTGAATTTCATTTTATTTCTTTAAAATTGGAAAATGTGATTTGAGATGACAGTCTATGTAAGTTGGAGCAGTTATGTGTAATCATTGAAAATCAATTATGTCCAAGTACTTAGGAGTTACGGAAAGAAAGAAAATCTGAAAACAATTTTTCAAAGCTTCATGCAGAAAAGATTTACAGTAGCTCATAAATGTCTAAATTACCACATGTATTCATCTTACAAAAGTTGACTGTTGCTTTTTTACCTAAGAAGTCTCAGATCTCTAGACACACATTGATAAATATCACCGAATGCTGTATTTTTCCATACCTCTAACAAGCATGTGACAGCCACAGCTGAACACAAGTACCTCAACGAGCAGGACAATCAAAATTAACCACAGGTATAAGTTAGTGACAGAAGATCAAACAGAGCTCCAATAGTAAACCTGCTGTCCACTATGGAACAAGATGGGTCAAGAGAATCAGAGGGTGGGCAGAGACGGCCTCCAGGGAATGATGTTTATTGAGCAGCAGTTGGTTCAAGCCTAGATTGCTTGGCAGGCAAACTCCTCTCTTCATTGTTGTTGTTTTGTTGAAGGTTGAGGGGAGTGTTTCATTTGTTTGTTTGGCTCAAGAGAAATAAAGTTGTCTTGATTCATGTCAAGCAGAGCAGGCGCCCAGCTCTTCACTGGCTGACACTTCTTAATGACCGTCTGGGCAGGGATCCCAAAATGAATCAGGCCACCCATGAGAGGCTCACTCACCCCTAGAAGATTCTTAATAATTATCTGGTGCTTGGTTAATAGAGAATAACAGAACACACTTCTAATCAAAGTGAAGCACCTTTTCAAATCCCAGATGTCCAAAAAATTACCTGGTAGAAGGAGATTGGGTTGTTCAATGTGGTTTTCTCCTGAATGTTAAAACCAAGGACAGTGTGATAGCAAATCTAAGTACAAAACTCAAAGACAAGTCTAAATCTGTAAGTTTTAAAAATATATTAGGACCAATATTCTTAAGAAAAGATATACCAACTAAAAAGCATAGCAAATAACATACTTCTTAAGGAAACTCTACAGATAGTTTCCAGAACATGCAGTTTCTAAAGTTCACAGTGGTTCTAATGCATCATTTTTAAATAAACTCAAAGTTCACTGAACAATGTATTATTAGAGTGGCTCCCTTTTGGGAGAAATAATAATATATCATTCCATAAGATTACCAAGCAGATACCTGGGGACACCTTCCAAAAGTCAGCATCCTTACCTCAAATTTCATAATCAACTCCATTGGTGGACCACAGTGAACTGACTAGTGTCAGGCCTCTGAGCCCAAACCAAGCCATCGCATCCCCTGTGACTTGCACGTATATGCCCAGATGGCCTGAAGTAACTGAAGAATCACAAAAGAAGTGAAAATGCCCTGCCCTGCCTTAACTGATGACATTCCACCACAAAAGAAGTGTAAATGGCCGGTCCTTGCCTTAACTGATGACATTCCACCACAAAAGAAGTGAAAATGGCTGGTCCTTGCCTTAAGTGATGACATTACCTTGTGAAAGTCCTTTTCCTGGCTCTTCCTGGCTCAAAAAGCTCCCTCACTGAGCACCTTGCAACCCCCACTCCTGCCCACCAGAGAACAAAGCCCCTTTGACTGTAATTTTCCTTTACCTACCCAAATCTTATAAAACGGCCCCACCCCTATCTCCCTTCGCTGACTCTCTTTTCGGACTCAGCCCGCCTGCACCCTGGTGATTAAAAGCTTTATTGCTCACACAAAGCCTGTTTGGTAGTCTCTTCACACGGACGCGCATGAAAACTAGCATCAAGAGGATGTTGGCCATCTGAAAAGCTTGGTATTTTTAAACAGACACAACTAAAAGGAGAAAGGATTGCCTGAGATAGAGAACCTTGGAAATGGTGATGTTAAAGCAACTAACGTTCCAACCTCCTGCCAGCATAGAGTCCCACTGCCTTGACAGTTTCAGGGAAAGGAGGAAGACACATGAGACTGACAATTATAACACATCCTTTAACATTAATTCCTGTGGATACACAAGGACAAATCATCAAACTATCTATTTGACATGACTCAGAGAAGCACTAGGTTCAAATAACCTTGCATGGATCCATGAAGAACAGCCTGAGAGGTAGTTCTTCTACTACAGGGTTGATCTACATGTTATGTAGATAAGGGAGGCAGAATTAGAGCTAATTTCCTCCAGAGATTCAAGTCTAGTCTACATTATATTCTCATTAATTACTTATCAAAATATGGCTTAACACTTAGTCAAAGGCCAGACCGAAGTATAATCGAGCCGAGTGGCTTGATGTCAGTCCAAGCACCATAGAGTATCATTACAGTGAAGACTTGAATTACAATGCACAGCTTAGTCCTTCAGATGACACAAAGTAGGGTGGAGCTGTTTGGCAGTCATGGTATCCTAATTAAAAGCACTTGTAATTTTAAAAATAGGAAAAGATGCTCAACTTCATTAGTCATCAAGGAAGCACAAATTAAAGCACATGTGATGCAATTACATACCACTAGAATGGCTAAAATGAAAAAGACTGACAATACAAAGTGTTGGTGAAGGTGTGGAGCAATAAGCACTCTCAAACTCATGGGGGTTTAAATTGGCCCAACCAGTTTGGAAAAACTGTTTGTCAATATCTAGTAAAGCTGAGCATACACATACCTGATGACTCCACGATCCCATCTCTAGGTCTATACCCAACAGAAATGGGTACGCATGTTCACCAAATCACTTCCACCTTTAGGCTATTGTAAAGAGTGCTGCTATAGATATTCTTCACAGAGTATTCAAAAGTTCGAAAACAGGCAAAACCAATCGATGGTGTCAAGAAGTCAGAATAGTGATACTATTGGGGCAGGGAGAGAATGTTGCTGGTAATATTCTGTTTCTTGATCCAGACATTGGTTACACAGGTCTGCTCACTTTGCCAAAAAAAAATTTTTTTTTTTGAGATGGAGTCTCGCTCTGTTGCCCAGGCTGGAGTGCAGTGGCGCGATCTCGGCTCACTGAAAGCTCCACCTCCCGGGTTCATGCCATTCTCCCACCTCAGCCTCCCATGTAGCTGGAACTACAGGCGCCCACCACCATGCCCGGCTAATTTTTTTGTGTACTTTTAGTAGAGACAAGGTTTCACCATGTTAGCCAGGACGGTCTCGATCTCCTGACCTCATGATCCGCCCACCTTGGCCTCCCAAAGTGCTGGGATTACAGGTGTGAGCCACCATGCCTGGTCCACTTTGCAAAAATTTATTGAGCTGTCTACTTATAATTTGTATACTTATAATAGTATTGTATTCTATATGATATGGCCGAATTTTGTCCCCACAAAATTATATGTTGAAGCCCTAATACCCAATGTGATGGTATTTGGAGCCAGGACCTTTGGGAGATAAATGGGTTTAGATGAGGTCATAAGAATGGGGCTCTCATGATATGATTAGTGTCCTTATAATAAGAGACACCAGGGAGCTTGGTCTCTGTCTTTCTGCCATGTGAGGACACAGCAAAAAGGCGACTGTCTGCAGTCTAGGAAGGAGGTACTCATTGGAACCAAATATGCCAGCACCTTGATTTTGGACTTCCCAGCCTCCAGAGCTATGAGAAATAAATGCCTGTTGTTTAAGCCACATAGTCAAGGGTATTTTGTAAGAGCCCGGCAAAAGGAGGAAGCTAGGCATGTGTGAGGCCACCTTCATCATTTTCTTCCTATAATCAAATTGGACACAGGAAACGATTTCCTTATAAAAAGAGAATTGAAAGAGTCAATATAAGTTCCCCCAAGTTATTCCTCCTTGATTATTTGGGTCTGTCAAGTGAAGTGCTTACAGTTTTAATGGCCAGACAGTGCTTACAACTTTAGCTGTGTTTTGCCTGTGTAAAGACAAGTTTGGTATTCAACGCTAAGACTAACAAAGTTATAGAAAAATGCATAAGTGCAATTTTAACTCTATTAGAGATGCAAACCTTTGGGAACATGGATATGTGCTTTTACCTATTTTAAGTGTGAAAATGGAATGTGATTAAGAACAACCACCCTGTTAGATAATATGCATCTTTAGAAATGGACCTGTGATAAGCTTTTAGTGGTAATTTAGTAACTAGCTATAAATATTGACCATAAAACTTAGTTAGCAGAGCATCTCAGAATGTTTTTATTTATTAATAATGAAAGTTTATAGAGCTCTTTCTGGAATGGTTGTTTGGGCCCAGAATCTAACTTCACACCACTCTTTGGTCTGTGTCTGCCTGAGGCAGTGATTCATCTTAGACATCCTCTGGAGACCCCTCCAACTTCTGTGGTTCTGCAATAAAGAGATAACCTACAAGAAAGAAATCAGCATGCAAAGAAAACATCTTCATTGGAACACTCGTTCTGGTATGGATTCTCCAAATTATCTTTTCCTAGGAATTCGAGACTATTGTTCCTTCTTAAATCGGGAAGAAGAATATTTAGGTATAAATCTCCTACACTTCCTGATCTCCACAACAGAAAAAAGAATCAAACAATTTATCACTCTGATACTGAATCGAGAGTGGTTAAAAGTAGTAAATTAGTAGAGAATCTTATGGCTGTACAGAGCCACAGTAAAATAATCAGCAAGATAAGAAAAGAGAAAGAAAACGAGCAACAGAGAGAGAACCAAGGAGATTCCAGGTAAATAATTCTCATTTTTTTAGGATATTGGCCTGAGGCATTTTTGTGAATTTTAGATAAAGATATTCAGCCTCTGCAGAAACCTTTAATGAAACACCCAACCCAACAATAATGTATTTTCCTGCTGTGGCAGAAGACTGCAATTCCATTTTCCAATGGTCATGATCTATATTTCTGCACAAGAAAGAGGGCCAAGTAAACAGGATTTTTCCATAAGGCAATTAAGGTAGAACATGGATTAGGATGAAAATAAAATGACTCTTTATCTTCTTTTATGTAAATATTTTTCCTAATATACCACCTGCTGGAAGCCCGTGGCAGAATATGATTGCAAGAACACAACTGTGAAGCAATTTTCTGAATTCCTGAGTAATTCAGTCAAAAGTGGGACAGCCCTTGAGTTATCCAAGATGTTATCTCAAGCCACTGCTCTGCCCTACTTTTACAGACATGCCCCAGAAATTTCTATGTATCCATTTTTCTATTCAGTGAGATAAATTCCTTTGGTTTTCTCATTGAGTCTGAAATTTAATCAGTTAACAACCTTTCCACTGCCAAGTCTAAGTCCTCTTGGATCTCCTCACCCTCTCACCTTCATGCTGACCAGCCCCATCAGTCCTGCTGCACACACGTGCACACATGACACACTAAAATATGCCTTTGAATAGGTGCCTCTCCCTGTGGGCAATGCCCTGTTTCCTCCTCTGTGCCTACTCAAATTCTAGGCCTTCAAGACAGAACTCAAACACACCTTCTCCAGGTAACTTTGCTAGATGAAACCCACTCCTCTCTCTCTCTCTCTGTGTGTGTGTGTGTGTGTGTGTGTGTGTGTGTGTGTGTGTCTTTCTCTTTCTCTCTTGGAGACAGAGTGTCACTCTGTTGCCCAGGCTGGAGTGCAGTGGCACAATCATGACTCACTGCGGCCTCGACCTCCCCAGGCTCAAGTGATCCTCCCACCTCAGCCTCCCGAGTAGCTGGGACTACAGTCACACACCACCAAGCCTGCCTAATTTTTGTATTTTTTGTAGAGATGGCGTTTCACCATGATTCCCAGGCTGGTCTTAAACTCCTAGGCTCAAGTAATCTGCCCTCCTTGGCTTCCCAAAGTGCTGGGATTACAGGTGTGAGCCACTGTGCCCAGCCTTCACTCCACTCTCTTAACACATAAAAATCAAGGTCAAATCCTGTGAAAGTAAATTCCAGGTATTTGGCTGTTCTAGACTTTAGTTCTTTTTAACATTGCTTGAAATAAAACAACTTTTATGTGAGCATTTGGTTCTTGGTTCTCCTAGCCCCAGCCTGTATTTCCACTGCTACCTACCCCCGACCCCGACACCCCACACACACACTCAAACACACACATACACACAACAGGTTGATCCAGGGCAGCAGTCTCTTTGATTACTTTGCAGCATTTGTTCCTTGCATTTCCCTCTATCCTTCCTAGGTGAGCAAGAATACTGTTTTTTTTGCACTATAGTTATTGAACAAATAACTATAAATAAATGGCAAATTTATTTACAGTTAATTTGCCATCTATTTATAGTTAAATAAATAAATTGGCAAATAAATGTTTGCCATTTTTTTGATAGCTAGAGATAAAAGGACATGGAAACTAAACTGACCAAATAAATACTTGATCCAGTAGGCACCTAAAATGTCAACATCAATGGTTTTCTTGAGGGTGACTATCTTTGGAAGTGGGAGCTGGAGTGGGAAGGATTTTAATTAATCTACATATGGAATTACATAGCATTTTCATAAATCCCTGCTTGATTTTCCCCATGGATCAAAGACCAGGGAACCATGAGGATCCTAGTTCTCTGACCCATCAGCCTGGAGATGTGTCCTTTGGTCAGGCTGCCCCTTCATCCCCTACCAGAGTTTGGTTGTTGTTGTTGTTTTGTCTTTTTAATCTTGTTGCATACCAACCCGACCAGAGTTTCTTGTCTGTGAACACCACAGAAATAACTGCAGGAATGTTTTCATGTGCCCCTATCACAGCATTTACCCACTGTCATGTGATGATTTATTCATATGTCAGTCTCCCATGATTAGAGTTGCCAGAATTAGCAAATTAAAATACAAGATACCAGTTTAATTTATATTTCAGATCAATAATGAATAACTTATTAGTATAAGTATAACCTGAATATTGCATGGTACATACTTACACTTTTTAAAAATATTCATTGTTTATCTGAAATTCAAATTTTATCCTGTATTTTATCAGTTGTCCTATATTTTAGCTGGCAACCGTATCCACAATAGACCAGGATCATTCCTTCACCTGCCACACCCACCTTATGCCATGTCTTGTGAGCACCTCAGAAATGATAATCTTGGATGTATGTAAATAACTTCCTTTTTTTTTCGAGACTGAGTTTCACTCTTATCACCCAGGCTAGAGTGCAATGGCATGATATTGGCTCAATGCAACCTCCGCCTCCCTGGGTTCAAATGATTCTCCTGCCTCAGCCTCTCAAGTAGCTGGGATTACAGACACGTGCCACCATACCCAGCTAATTATTGTATTTTTAGTAGAGATGGGGTTTCACCACGTTGGCCAGACTGGTCTCGAACTCCTGACCTCAGGTGATCCACCTGCCTCAGCCTCCCAAAGCGCTGGGATTACAGGCATGAGCCACCACTCCCAGCCTATAAATAACTTTCATTCAGAGTTTAAATGGCATCAAGTTGCACTGAAAGTTAAATTTTCACAATAGAAAGCACAAAAATATTAAATGTTCATTTAGCCTGACTTTTAGCATGAGTAGATCCAGCAAAAAAGAAGGATGATATTGTTTACAAAGAGTATATGAGGGGCCAGGCATGGTGGCTCATGCCTGTAATCCCAGCACTTTGGGAGGCCAAGGTCGGTGGGTCACTTGATGTCAGGAGTTCTAGACCATTCTGGGCAACATGGTGAACCCCCGTCTCTATAAAAAATACAAAAATTAGCCGGGTGCAGTGGCATGTTCCTGTAATCTCAGCTACTTGGGAGGCTGAGGCAGGAGAATCACTTGAACACAGGAGGCGGAGGCTGCAGTGAGCCAAGATCATGCCACTGCACTCCAGCCTGGCAACAGAGACTCTGTCTCAAAAAAAAAAAAAAAAAAAGAGTAAATGAGAACATTTGCCCACTTTGAACAGCAGTATTCATCAACTGATTCCTTCAACTCACATTATAAGGATATGTAGAACCAATGGTCCAGGTCAGAGGGCAACCACTGTCAGGCATGCAACAACCTACACTTGTAGCTTTCCAAACAGACAAAGCTTCATGGCCTCATTTCCCGCAGGGCTATCTTATCTTCCTTCCTCCTATCCCCAAATGTTGTTTGTTGATACAAGTCATATTTTTCAAAAAAAAAAAAAAAAAAAAAAGGGGAAGATGAGAAACAGGAAAATCTACCACCAAAGAGTTGGAACAACATAAGAGAAATAAGCTGTCTAGATTCTGGTTTAGCAATGGAGAAAGGAATTAAGAACCTGATATATTTCATAACTGGAAAGATGAATATGGAGGATAAAGAATATAGAAAAGTTTCTTTAAAGCTGAAATACACACTAAAAAAAGTACATAATACAAAGCAAAATATTCAAGGCTACAGAAATCAGCAAATACCTCTTCATTGTGAAAATACATTTTTATAGAATTGTGGATCAAAGGCTTCTTCAGGAGGACTTTACTAATTTTTCAGATACCTGAGCCTTCTTGTTAGTAAATCTGTTGTCCTAACAATCCATCTTTTGTATTGTTACTGAGCAAAAGCTACTCTTAAAATTCAAATGTTTTATATAAGTTGGCTGGGCATAGTGGCTCACACCTGTATTCCCAGCACTTTGGGAGGCTGAGGAAGACAGATCGCTTGAGTCCAGGGGTTCAAGACTAGCCTGGGTAAGATGATGAAGTCTCATCTCTATAAAAAATACAAAAATTGGCCGGGCTTGGTGGTACATGCCTGTAGTCCCAGCTACTCAAGAGGCTGAGGTGGGAGGATCACTTGAGCCCAGGAGGCTGAGGTTGCAGTGAACCAAGATGGCGCCACTGCACTTCAGCCTGGGTGACAGAGTAAAACTCTGTCTCAAAAAAAAAGAAAAAAAAATTGCTGGAAAAAAATGGTCTTCAGAAGGCAGAAAGAATGAACTTATATAACTCACTATTTAGAACCCATTAAAACATTGCTTACTTCCCTTTTAAAAAATTAGTATGTATATCTAGGAAAGGAACATCAACTGGCACGTGGAGGAGCATGGATTATATAACAGCCCTTCTTCTAGTAGCTGCAAATCCTTGAACAGGTTTTTTCACTTCTATGGCATTGTCTTTAAAATGGAGATATGATACTTATCCATTTGGGGCGAACATCAGTTAACATCTATGGAACACCCAGCATGATTTCCACAATGTATCTATTTCCTTATTCATTCACATTGAGTGCCTCACTGTCATGATCATCATCATCATCATCTTTATCAATTTCAGTTATTGATTGCCTGCTATGTGCAAATCGTTTTTCACACATAATCAAGCATGGCTGATCGAGCATTCTAGTCCCTATTTTGTTGATTCTATAGGCCCTGCCCTGTTTATGATACTATATTGCCTCTAAGAATAAAAATTCTTTCATGTAAATCCCTTCGCTTCAGCATTATACTCTCTCTGTATTTTGGAGAGTCAGAGATTTATTGACATTTAATAGCAGCAAAGCCAAGGCCTTCAGAGGTGTGACAATGAATTACACTCTCTCCTGGAAATCAAGTGGTAAATTCTTAGTCTTCTGAATTTCATTGAACAAGAACCTCCCCAAGAACAAGGGAGAGAGTTGCTCAAATCTAGGCCCTGCTGATGCAGACAATTCTGGGAGTAGGGAGGACAGCTCAAAGAGGAATGGCATCATCGTGAATGACTAGGGCCCAGGAGAAGAAATGAATTGGTAGCCTTGACAGTTGACCTCTAGCTGCTACAGGAAGTGTTTGCTTTCTTCTTCTGGGCCCTAGTCATTGCCAGCGCGGTGGCTCATGCCTGTAATCCTAGGACTTTGGGTGGCTGAGGCAGTGGATCACCTGAGGTCAAAGGTTCGAGACCAGCCTGGCCAACATGGTGAAACCCCATCTCTACTAAAAATGCAAAAATTAGCCAGGCATGGTGGTGGGCGCCTGTAATCCCACCTACTCAGGAGGCTGAGGCAGGAGAATCGCTCAAACCCAAGAGCTGGAGATTACAGTGAGCCAAGATCGCGCCATTGCACTCCAGCCTGGGCAACAGAGCAAAAACTCGGTCTCAAATAAATAAAAAATAAATAAATAAATAAAATAGTGTTTAGGCCGGGCACGGTGGCTCACATTTGTAATCCCAACACTTTGGGAGGCTGAAGTGGGTGGATCACCTGAGGTCGGGAGTTCTAGACCAGCCTGGACAGCAAGGAGAAACCCCGTCTCTACTAAAAAAAAAAAAAATTAGCTGGACTTGGTGACAAGCACCTGTAATCCCAGCTACTCAGGAGGCTGAGGCAGGAGAATCGCTTGAACCGAGGAGTCAGAAGTTGCAGTGAGCTGAGATTGCGCCACTGCACTCCAGCCTGGGCAACACAGTGCGAGACTCCGTCTCAGATAACTAAATAAACAAACAAATAAATAAAACAGTGTTTACAAAAATTAAAAAAATGACTCTGCAGTTCAAATCTTTTAAAAATCAATGTATTTTGTTTCTCATTTGAAACCACCTGTTTCAGAATCTCAAAAGTGGTGCCCCCAAACTTATTCCTCAGACGGGCTCACACAGGTGCACAAAAATGTTTAGACAAGGACATTTCTTTTTTCTAAGAGGAAAAGATTAGAAAGAATCCAAATGTGCACCAATAGGAAACTAGCTAACATATTGCTTATCCATTACAACAAAATATTCTGCAATGATGAAAAAGAGTGGAATAGATCTCTATATGCTGATAAGGACATATTTCAGAGCCTAAGATGGTACCTTTGTGCAAATTGAGAAAAGGTGCCCTCTTACAGGCAGGCCCAGGCCCTGCCAGAGAACACAGTTTACTGAATTTCAGCTTCCATTCTCCCCTCAACCAAGTGCCTGTGCACAACTACATATGACAACTCTGCTAAGACCTATTAAAGGGGAAGAAGGGAGGTGGGTATAATTTGATACCACGTGTGTGTTTCAAAGACCATACACAAAAATATTAAATATATACTTTTATCTTTAAAATATTTCTGGAAGAACACTCAAGAAGCTGGTAACAATGGTTGTCTCTGGGGAGAGAAATTGAGGGTTGTGTGGGAGATGACTTTTCACTGTATTCTCTTTTGTACATTTTTTACCATGTGCATGTAACTTTCTCAATTAAAAAAAAAAAAAAAAGGAAAGTTCTTTTATTTTCTAATGGCATACCCAGAGACTGTTGTTAAGGCCAAGGGCCATGGCTACTGCTGCTATGCAACCTGTCCTACCACACACCTGGACCTCTCAGCAGCCAATATGCGGTGTCCTGGCCCAGTTCAGCCCACGTGGCTTCCATTTATCTATGTGAAGTACAGATTTTCTAAAGCATATTTTGTTGATGGAACATACTTTGCTTTTATACATTTTTCAACAATGACAACACATCTCCAAATTATTTTCACTAGGCGCTTTTCCTTTTAGCCCAGTACCCACCCTGATGCAAACCAGCCATGAATTCTTGTTTTACTTCTGCCAACCACAGTGGGAAAATAACACACCTACTCCAATGTGTGCAGCAGTCACTGAAAATTGCTGCAATGGCAGGTTCCTAGCTAACATCTGTAGACTGTGTTTCTAGCATCTTGCTTCTGGCACAGGATAAACCACTCTGAAAAGTGTTAAGCAATAAAAGTCAAAGGTTCCCAGATCCGCGATTAAGAAGTGCCCTTGATATGGTCCATTTGCTAGCAGCGTCATCCTAGGCAAATTCCATGCACACTGTATGTCTCATAGAAAATTGGTAATACTGTAATAATCATACTTCCCTCAGAGGATTAGTGTGATGGTTTAATGAAACAATGCATGTGTCTCACATAATAACCACCCAATAAATGGTTTGCTCTTGTGGCTTTTGTGGCAAGGTGGTTGTTATATGATTGGAGAGATGAGACTGAAACAATTACATGATAGGTAACAACATCTATTATCATCTGAACAATCTACACTTACCAAATGTGATCTCATATGGTACATTATCTTCAGTAAGTACAACAATATTTGTCCTTTGAGCTTTAACGTAAGGTACTTTGAAATATAATGCCATGTCCTTTATGTTGGTGCTTGGTTATGGTTTTTGCTTAATTATAAAAGCCACCCATATTAAAGTTTGGTGGAAGGTAAAAAGTACACAAAAAGAAAAGATCATCATTTCCAATCCCACTCCAGAAAACCACTATTAACATTTTAGCATATTTCCTTCTAGTCTTTTTTCCATGCATTTTAATAATTGAGATCATATGATATATATACTTTTCTACCCTTTTTCCTGTTTAGCATTTTATCCTAAATATTTCTCCATATTATTAAAAACTCCATCAATATTATCATTTTAATAGGTGGTTAGCATTCCATTGCATTTATTTATTTAACAAATATTTATTGAAAACCTATTATGTGTTAGATACTCTCTTTGATGCTAGAGCTACTATAGTGAATAAAACAGACAAGCTCTCTCTTCCCATGAAGTTTCTGTGTAGTGTTAATGGTTGTGGTACAAGTTAGAGTAAATTAAGGAGAAAATAGGAGGTAGAAAAGTGGAGGCAGTGCTTATGGACAGTGTTTTCAAGAAGGTTAGCTGTAAAGCAGCCGTAGCTGGAGGAAAAGGAATGGTCAATGCTGTACCTAATTTTACTCAATTATTGCACTGGGGAGATACAAACGTGTATTTTAGATGATCTCTTGGGCATTTTGGTAACATTTAAAATTGAGTTTTTAATAAAAGTTGCTAGTGTCATTCCTAAGCTCGTTTTGGTGAGTCTATTGCGATTTTCATGTAGTAGCTGCAATAATGTCGTGGTCTTTAATGCTGTATAAGCAGAGAAATGAGCTTAAGGGCCATAGCCACTGATACTAAGTCCTAATGCAGGATTCTCCTCTGGCTATCATGTTATCACCTCACAATAACCATTCATCTCACCATGGGGAAGAATTTGATAGAAACCCTCTCTACCTTGGATCTCATCCAACTATTTTTGGTGTGTTCGTGTGTTTTTTAAGGCAGGGGAGAAGGAGTATTGTTCTTATAGATTTTTGTACTAGAAATGTTTTCTGTTTCCTTCTCATACCCTCTTCTATGAGAAACAACCTGCTCACAGCCCTGTTAAGGAATGGTGGCCATGTTCTGAGCACATGGCCCTACCATTCCCCCACCCCAAAACACACATACGCCCACTGACCACACTTGACTGAACCTAGTGTAGACGCTGACACAACAGCAGTAATCAAGGACCTATGAACCTGAATGGCTTGACTTGAAAATTCGATTCCTCTCTTAATTGGAGTTGAAGTGACAGGGGCAAATGGCAGTGACAGTAGAAACTGAAGTAGAGTCAGAATCAAAGAGGCCTTAGTCATGGAAAGCCACAGTAAGTTGGAATTCTGGAAGGCTGGGAACTTTGACTAAACAGGATCAGCTTACCTAGTAGAGAAGAAGCACAGAGAGATGTTTATATTGAAGTAGAGACACTGGAAGATTAATTCTCAAGCTTCCAAACTCCCCAAATGAGGCAACTAAAATGTTAGCTAATATTTTAAAAAATGATTTAAATGCATCAATGAGCTGGCATAAAGTAAAGGACTCTATAGTTGCCAAAATATGATCAGATCAGGAACCCTGGCTGGTAAGTGAACATCAAAGCTAGCTTTCATCCTGAAAGTTTCTGCCAATCCCTGGAGGATCTGAGCTTCTGCTTTGAGGGGTTGCACAGAGATATAGGGACCCACCCAAGATGGGTAATCTAAATGATGACCTCCCACATAACATTGAAACCCAGAAGTCTACACCTGTAGTGCTTAAGTGAATGAAAAAGAGACCCTGATCTACAGAAGGTAGCAGCAAGGAATTATGTCTCTCTTGATCTCAGTGCTGAACGAAGGGTTAAACCATCTCCTGTGTGTATTCAGAACCACAAGCTAGTCCTCACATGGCTTGCAATCCAAATGCTATCGGTGTAGTCTGAAATACCTTAAGCACGGAATATAATTCCTAGAGTGCCCGGGTTGGTAGTCTCAACTTCAATCTAGGTCTCAAAGGATTCCACAGATAAAGTTCCGAAAGAATAAGCAGCTCTCAGGCAAAAATCACAAAAAAGAAAAACCCACAGAGAGACACCATGAGAGAAAAAAAACCCATGTAACGCTTGAAAAAGAATCTTCTTCACCCTGCAGTCCCTGTCCTTGGACAGCCATGAGATTCATTTTAATGATGCAATAAAGTCTTCCCTTATTTGATAAATTTTACAGAAATTTTGTTCTTAAAAAAAAGTCACAACTCCCTTGTTATCAACTTTTGTTTCTAAACAGTGGCTGAGAGCATGGATCTTAACAGCAGCAGTAGCAGAGCTCTGCTGCCTTGACTTACCTTTATCTTTACTGTTATTGCATTGGTTTCTGAGCCTCATGCTGCAACCTCACTCTTTTGTCATGATCAAGTGCCAATGATCTTATGCATCTCTCTTTGGTATCTGTTTGAATGACACACTGGATGAACAAGAGGAGCTTACTGTGTCCTACTGGGACTTGATTGCAGAAGAAATGTATTAGGAGACTCTTGTGGGAAATCTAGCTTATGCTAATCAAACCCAATTTGGATGATTGTAAATGCCTGGGAATTAAGGAGAGTAAAACCAAAGAGACAAACAAATGGCCAGCTAATTCCTCAAAAGGGTTGAATGTAAGAAATAACTAGTCTTATCATTTTTAGACACAATGGGAAATACTCCATAGCCGAAAGTCTGGTCTATGCAGATAAATCTTTCACATAAAGGTGAATAAAGCAACCATTAACCAGCTTTAAAAGACATTACATGGCACTATTACTAAAGACGGCATTTTGTAAACCTGTGCTCCCCTTCCGGGAATGATCACACTGTTTCAAATCCCTAGGCCTATAGACCAGGATAAAAATGTCTTTGATTCTCCAGAGAATTCTATGTTGGCTGGCCGCCAGCTGCTGCTAAGACTGGTTTTTCTTGAAAGTTTCACCAGCACTTTGGTTTGTTTTCCTGTTAAACAAGCAAACCACCTGGTTGTTGACTAGACTCTGATGGTAAGGCTTCCAGGTGAGTGGCAGGAAGACAGAAGGAACCAGAACTCCTGACCTTGGTCTCAGGCTACATTAACACTTTTTGGTTAATACAATTAATCACAGAGAAAGAAGATGCAATCGGGAGCTAAAGCCTATGCCTTCTTAACCTTTTCTCTTAACTCTGTGAGGAACTATTTTGAGCTTAATTGGACTTTTATCTGGAATGCTCAGTTGTATGACCCTTTCCTTGCTCTGCAATGAGCCAGCCACAGTACAATTATTTCCTGTGATGGTCAGATATACAGTGATATTTGAAAACAATTCATCATTAGGCATTAAGGAAATGAGAAGAGCATTTCGATTCCTCCTTTCCTTGTTTGGAAAATCATTTTCAATTTCAGATTAAGTGAAAATTTAAGGGCTAGTAGTGGTGATTTAAGGTCTAGTAGTAGTCAAAACAGTAAGTCAGGTATGCATCTACTGCAGATGAGCTTGGTGAAAATTAATCCAATCTGAACTCTACAAAATCATTTTGGAACTGGGGCATTGAGGCTATCCAGGAGTTATTTAATATCTCAATTGATATTTCAGCAAAAGACCTTTACTTCTACTTTCTCAACTTGCTTCATTTGAAAAGGTATATTTTTAATGCTACTTGGAGTTTAGCCTTAGTAACTTCTGATTGAGCCAATTATAGTAGTTGACTAATTTAAATCACCAAGTATTTATTGAACATCTACATGTTCAAGGCATTATGCTGTGACAATTAAACCAAATGTCAAGCAAAAGGAGGCATCTAAAATCAGTTGAATTTCACAAACTTCATCACTGAGGGTCTCAAACAAAACATGATAATATTTTTAATTTTGCGAATTCTGACTTTGTTTAATTGAAGGCTTCTTATCTAATATTTATCAGAGAATATACTTAACATCTTTATTCATTATAAAATATTTATCTTACTGTAAAACAAAATGCCATCTTTGTCCTCATTATCATCAATAACAATCGACTTTTACAAGGTGCCCACTGCCTATAGGGCACTGTGCAAGAGAAATACAGTATCATAAAGCTGCTACTTTCACAATGTTATTTAGGTTGGTGCAAAAGCAATTGCGGTTTTTGCAACTTAAAAGTAATGGCAAAAACCACAATTACTTTTGCACCAACCTAATACAATCTAGTGGAGGAGTCAAAATATACAAGAGGGTATTGGGAGAATCTGGATACAGAGTGGAAATACAAGGGGTTCTTTGGTGTGTTGAATCGTGCTCTGTACCGTCAGTCATAGTGGTTACAAGAACCTATGTATGCATGTGCAAAAACTCATAGAACTGTAACCAATAAAAGTCAACTTTACTGCTATAAAAAAATTAATTTTCAGTGCACAGCAGGAAAGCAGAGCAGATTTCCCATAAAGCTAACGAAGCTAAAGCTTCAGGGCTCTCACAAGCACATCTCCTTTCAAAGCCTGGTACCTATTTTATATTCTTTGTCATAAAGAGAGACTTTATGAAAATGTGGAGTGTTTATGCCACACTCCAAAATGTTTAAGCGTCAGGACCTATAAAACTTGGATTCACCCCTTGGAGGTATGACTAAAGTAATTAAATTTATTTCCATAGTTGAATATAGAGAAGGGTAAATAATAGGATGAGGCGGCAAATGCTGAATGCTGGGAATTCAGAAGAAAGAATGATGACCAAGGACCAGGAAAGTCAGTGGGATTTGGATTGGGTCTCAATAATAAGTAGTCTGACTCTATTGTTAATGTTTGACTGCTGAGAGCTTTCAGCCCCATTATAGGTATATGCCTCCTGCCCCACATCTGAGCAAGCCAATAAGAAACTTGACTTGCCCAGAGAAACCCCTCCTTTGCTGTTGGCAGTAAATTCAAACCACACAAGCCCCATCCTATGTGGGAACTTTAAACCAAACCCCACTCCCTAATCACAATAAAATCCAAGCCAGTCTACTTTCCCTGCTCTCTCAATGCATTTTTGGACTAGCTTGGGAGCCTTGCTTGCTTTCCATGCAAAGCCTCATTATGTGAGTAATGAACCTTTTCTGTCCTCTTGGTAAGTATGTGGCATCATCAATGTTGACATTCAAACCAAATTTTGGATGGGAACCAAATATTGGGTAATGGAACCAGCCAGTTCTGTTTTTATAACAGTCTTGAAAATTGATATAATTTAGATGCAAAAAGAAAAGGACATTTTAGGGAGTGAAATTGCTTATGCAAAGATATGAAAGAAAAATATGAAAATTGTGTTTACAGGGTAGGTTAATTGAAGCTACAAGTTTGCATAGAAGAGTCAGAAGGATGGTGATAAGACCAAAGTGGTAGGTAGGGGTCACTGAATAGGATGAGAAATATGGATTTTATCATTTGGACAGTAAGAAATACTAAAGATTTTTTATGAATGGGGAAACAACAAGGTCACATAGGTATTCTAAGATTGTCTATCTAGTTATGAAATGTAGAATGGCTTGGAGGCAGGGAGGTCAAGATAGAAGAAAACCAGTTAGAAAACTGTCTTATTATTCAAGCATAGGATGTCAAGGGCCTGGTTGTTGTGATGCCAATGGAATGGAAAAGGAGGGGTTAATATAAAAATATAGTGAAAGATATTTCACTATAGATGTATATCTACAGTATAGACGTTGGATCAGGTCTGTTTCCTCATTTTGAATTGGAAATATCATTACGAGCTCCTAATTTTCTCTCTCTCAGATCTGATCTCTTTCTGTCTTCCTTTTTTTTTTTTTTTCTAGAGATGGGTTCTTGCTATGTTGCCCAGGGTGGAGTGCAGTGGCCCTTCACAGGGGCAATCTTACTACTGACAGAACCAGAGTTTTGACCTGCTCCGTTTCCAACCCGGGCCGGTTCACCCCTCCTTAAGCAAGTTGGTGGTCCCCTGCTCCCAGGAGGTCACCATATTAATGCTGTATTTAGTGTGGACCCCCAATTGGCATATCACATTTCAGCCCAGAACTCCTGGGCTCAAGGGACCTGCCTGCCTCAGCCTCCTGAATAGCTGAGACTACAAGCATGTGCCACCATGGCCAGCTTTCTTTCTATATTTCCTAGCTCTGCCCACTGAAACTGCCCAAAATAATGATGACTTCAGTAGCAATGAGTATCCTAACACCATATTTTTATCTCCAAATATAATTTTACACTAAACTGAACCAGGGCTCTTTGGATAAATGTTTGATTCCAGGTCTGGGACCAGAAAGTTAGAAATTGGTCCTGAAACATCTTGTCAACACAGATAGCAATAATGTTATCAAAGACTATTGGAGTGTCAAAAGGACCCAGGAATATACCTGAAGAGGCTCCCACTGGCCAAAGAAGGGAAAATTTGAGTGTCAATGAGGATAATAATGGCAACACATTGAAACATTAAAAATTCTTAAATCCATGAGTTTACTAACATACTATGGGGAAGAAAGAAGAAAACAAATTGCCACTATTGGAGGATGCTAAGGAACCAAATTTTGTTTAGAGAATTGGTCAATAAAGGGAAGAAAATCAAGCATGTATCCCCTTTCCTATATGAGTTGTATCAATGGATAACCGAAAGTAGATGACAATGAATCTCTCTTTATGAAAGTATTCTAGCTAACAATCAATCAAACTAACAAACAAAATATTCTAGCTAACAAACAAAAATGATAGAATTAGAATATCAGCATTCTCCAATCCCTAATGAATTAATGGAGCTAGACATTTTATACTAACAAATAATAATGTCACAAAGAGACACAGCAGATATTATAGGGCTCCTAACACAATGCCACCTACAAACTTGCCTTGCCCAAATACCTGAAGGTGAATTGGGTCAAATCTCCTGATTTAACTACTAACTAACAGGATGTACAGGGGACAGATGCGCATGGTAAACAACATGCTTGGGATGCAATCAGCAAAATCCAGGCTGAAAACTATACAGGACAAACAACCTGGTTTCTTTTTTTTTTTTTTTCTTTTCCTTTTTCTTTTTTTTTTTTTTTTTTTTTTTTTTTTTTTTTGAGACGGAGTCTCGCTCTGTCTCCCAGGCTGGAGTGCGGTGGCGCAATCTTGGGTCACTGCAACCTCTGCCTCCCGGGTTCACACCATTCTGCCCCCTCAGCCTCCCGAGTAACTGGGACTAGAGGCGCCCGCCACCACGCCCGGCTAATTTTGTTTTTGTATTTTCAGTAGAGATGGGGTTTCACCGTGTTAATCAGGATGATCTCGATCTCCTGACCTCGTGATCCTCCCGCCTTGGACTCCCAAAGTGCTGGGATTACAGGCGTGAGACACCACGCCCGGCCAACAACCTGGTTTCTTTAACAAATAAATTATAAAGAAAAAAAAGAAAAGCTGGACGGGAAACCTATAGATTTAAAAAAAAAAAAAAAAAAAGTAAGAGACATTTCAGCCAATAATATGTGTACGAGGCCGGGCGCTGTGGCTCACGTCTGTAATCCCAGCACTTTTGGTGGCCGAGGTGGGCGGATCATGAGGTCAGGAAATCAAGACCGTCCTGGCTAACATGGTGAAACCCAGTCTCTACTAAAAATACAGATCAGCCGGGCGTGGTGGCGAGCGCCTGTAGTCCCAGCTACTTGGGAAGCTGAGGCAGGAGAATGGCGTGAACCCGGGGAGGCGGAGCTTGCAGTGAGCCGAGTTCACGCCACTGCACTCCAGCCTGGGCGACAGAGCGAGATTCCGTCTCAAAAAAAAAAAAAATAATACTAATGATAATATGTGTACTTATGTGGATCCGAATCCAAAAGAAAAAGACAATTAGAAGTATGAACCCTGATGGATATTGATGATATGAAGGCTCCAGTGACTCCTGTGTATATTGTGTATATTTCTAGCCAGTGATTCCAAATTTTAATTAATTTCATAAGTATTCAGCAAGTTCAGTAAGATAAAAATTCAAAAAAATTCTTTGTTTGGCTGTTATTGCCTATATCTATATTTTTTATAAAAATTTTTTCTGTTTTCAGTTTTGTTCTTAATTAACAAGTTTTATTTTTATTTGTTAACAAAATTGCAAGGATATAGTGTTAGTAAATTTTATTTTAGTTCTACAATATAGATAATTTAAAATTAATTAGCTTTAATTCACTTTTAAAAAGAAAATAATATTTAAAAACCACATGTGTAAAAAAACTAGATGGGTAGATACATGATGAAAAGAGCCAGTATCGAAAAGATAATTATCCTCCAAATTAATCTACAAACATAATTCAAGTCCAGTCAAAATCCCAGCAAGATTTTTCATGTGACAAGGTAAATCTTTAATTTATACAGAAAATTAGAGGTCTAAGAAAAGCCAAGATAATTCTGAGCAAAGAGCTCTTCCCTGCTAGGTAACAAAATTTATTATAAAGCTATAGTAACTAAGACAGTGGGATATTGGCACAAAGATGGATAAATGGGTTAAGGAAACGGAATAGAAAGTACAGAAAGAGACCTATGTATATATGGGAACTTAGTACAAGTGGTCAAAATTAATGGGGGAAAGGATTAGCTAGTCAGTAGTTGTGTTATATTCCTAAAATTATAATAACAGTAATGTAGGTTGTTTTGAAAAACACAGTTTTTTACAAATACATCTATTCACAACAAGCAAAAGTGTAAAACATGGAGTGGATACCCATAAAATATATATAACTCATGGCTTCTGGGGGACAGAATGTCCTAAACCTTACTAGTAATTTTTTTCAAATCTTTAAATATAAATTGTATAAGATGTTACAGCTTTTAGTGTTGGATAGTAAGTAAAATTATATTTGCTACATTATATTTTGTTCCTTTACAAGTTGACATCAGTGTATGTTATATAATTCAATATATAATAACAGCACAAATCATTGGGAATAAGAAAGATTTACTCCATAAATTGTTTAGGGCAATTGGTTACTATAATGGGGAGAGAGTTAGATTGACAACTTGTATCATATACCAAAATACATTCCAGAGATAAATGTAATAATTTAGATCATTAAAACAAAATTCTATACTGTTTAAAGCAAAACTTTCTAAGGACAAAACAATGGAAGAAATCACAAAGGGAAATATTAATAGATTAGACTAAGTAAAAATATTAAATTTCTACATGTCCTAAAGTGTCACCAAAAAAATTCCAAGGCAAATAAACTATGAAATATCTTGAGACTAATATAACAAAATGTTGATATCCTTGATTATAAATTAACAAGGAAGATATTAAAACCTTGGCCAAATAATGGACAAAGGACACAAGCAAGCTATATTTAGACAAAGAAATACAAACAATAACCATAGGTACAAATACTCAACACAACAATTAAAAAATACAAATTAAAATAAGATGCTCTTCTTATGTATTATTAGCAGTTATTTCAATAATTTTCATTGTTGGTGAATCTGGGTTAAACTGGCATTGACATACCTCTAGTGGGTATATAAATATATTTGTCCCCAATTATTCCTGCAAATAACATCACTTTCATAGTCTTTTCAGGTTTTTGTATTTCTCATGACTGAATAGCTCCACCCAGGCCCGTCAACCAGTCCTGTGGCCCCTACCCAGGAACCAACGCAGCACAAGTGGACAGCTTCGACTCCCTATGATTTCATCTCCAGCCCAGACAATCAGCACTCCCCAGTCCTTGGCCTCCTACCTGCTAAACTGTCCTTGAAAAACCCTAGGCTTCCATATTTTTGGAGACTGATTTGAGTAATAATAAGAATCTCCCATTAAAGCAACAACAACAACAACAAAACTTTCAGGCAAGCTTTTTATCAATAGACATCAAAACTAAGATTAGGACCCTTTGATTTGTAAATTTATTGTGTACCTTCTATGAATCATTTAAAGGAAATAATCAGAAACTTAAATAAAAGATATAAGGAGTGCTGAGGCAGTTGGATCACTTGAGGTCAGGAGTTCGAGACCAGCCTGGTCAACATGGTGAAACCCCGTCTCTACTAAAAATACAATAATTAGCTGGGCATGGTGGTGCACGCCTGTAATCCCAGCTACTCAGGAGGCTGAGACAGGAGAATTGCTTGAACCCCAGAGATGGAGGTTGCAGTGAGCCAAGATTGTGCCATTGCACTCCAGCCTGGGCAACAAGAGTGAGACTCCATCTCAAAAAAAAAAAAAAAAAAAAAAAAGACCTATTGAGTAATAAATACAAATGCTAGTATTTTTCTAAGTTCTCCATCACCGGAATGTTCCATGTGAGTCATCACAGTGAAGACTAGAAGCAACCAAAATGTTCAAAAATTGGAGAAAAAGTATGATATATGACTTCTAGTTTCAAGATAGACATTAAGTGCTCCCTTTTCATAACCACCAAAAGAACATAAAACTGAAACATAAATACCATCTTTGATAAAACTAGATGGTGATTTGTATTCATTTCTTAGGGTTCTGTAACAAATTACCAAAACTAAGTGGCTTAAAAAAGAAATGGGGCTGAGTGCAGTGGCTCACACCAGTAATCTCAGCACTTTGGGAGGCCAAGGTGGGCAGATCACTTCAGGCCAGGAGTTCAAGATCAGCCTGGCCAATATGGGGAAAATTTGTCTCTACTAAAAATACAAAAATTAGCCAGGCATGGTGGCTCACGCTTGTAATCCCAGCTACTCAGGAGGCTGAAGTGGGAGAATTGCTTGAACCCAGGGGGCAGAGGTTGCAGTGAGCCGAGATCACGCCACTGCGCTCCAGCCTGGATGACATAGCGAGACTCCATCTCAAAAAAAATAAATAAAAATTGTGGCTGGGTGCGGTCACTCACGCCTGTAATCCCAGCACTTTGGGCGGCCAAGCCGGGCAGATCATGAGGTCAAGACTTCGAGACCATCCTGGCCAATATGGTGAAACCCTGTCTCTACTAAAAATACAGAAAAAAAAAAATTAGCTGGGGCATGGTGACACGTGTCTGTAGTCCCAGCTACTTGGGAGGCTGAGGCAGGAGAATCGCCTGAACCCAGGAGGTGGAGGTTGCAGTGAGCCGAGATCACGCCACAGCACTCCAGCCTGGCGACAGAGCGAGACTCCGTCTCAGGGAAAAAAAAAAAGTATTCTGCCACAACTCTGGAAGCCAGAAGTCCAAAACAAGGTGTTGGCAGGACTGCCCTCCATCTGTAGACTCTACGAGATAACCACTCTTTGCCTCTTCTAGTATCTAGTGGCTTCAGCCCTGCCTTGGTTTGTGGTTGCACCATTCCAATCTCTACCTCTGTAGACACATTGCCTCCTTCTCTTCCTATCTGTCTTCTACTCTGTGTGCCTCTTGTATAAGGACACTTGTGGTGGCATTTAGGGCCCATCTAGATAATCCAAGGTAATCTCCTAATCTCAAAATCATGAATCTACTCACATCTGCAAAGACTTCTTTCCCAAAAAATATAATATTCACATATTCTAAGATTGTGACCTAGATATCTTTTGGGGGATCATTTTTCTGACTACCACCACAACTAGATCTCAGCCCCTTATATATGAAGATTAAAAACAGGAGCATGATAAATGACCATGCAGGGAGAAAAGAAGGTCAAACCAAAATATCTACACAGTGTATGGCAATAAATTACAACACCAATACCATAGTATTAATAACTAACATTAATTGAATAGTGATTTGGTGCACAGAACCTTGGAAGAGCTCAGAAAATAGGAGAACTAGAGACCTTTGAGGACAGGTGTGAACCAATGAGCTGAAGATGAGGATTCGTTGATAAAAATATATAAAGAGCAATTAAGCCACTCCTAAATTAGGTTCTCATTTTTATTCTGTGTGGTCAGGTAGCTACCCCTTCTTTACCCTATAGTATCTGGAGGAATCAAACCAGAAAGTCTTCGGAATTAAGAAACTGGGCAAAAAGGAGGGTAGAGATGCAGTACTATGCTGAGAACAGAGGGATCAAATGAAAATCTGCATCCTGGATTTTTCACTCAGTTCTAGAACACAAGCAGCCAATCTTACATCCCAGGCAGGAGATGGTTAGTATCCTTCTCTGAAGACAATGAACCTGAAGACACCAATATATGCTAACATATAAGGAGTTCAATTCAAAAGCTCTCTGCTCATCACTTGTTCCACAGCAACCAACCCCACACATGCACACACAGCTTCCAACCACCTTTTTAGTGCTCCATTCCTAACTATAAATAACTAGATAGACTCTCTTGTACCAGAAATTTGAGGAAAGCCTCCAACATGAGAGAAAAAAATAAACAATGGGGGGATGAGGGGAATGGTACATAGGAAAGTGAAACAATGCTGAGGGCAGAAGAAAATTTCGAACATACTACCATTCATAGCTTCAGAGAAGAAACGATGATAGCAAAAAGGACAGACTCAATTGGGGGACTGGGAAATAAGGTCTAGGAAAGGACAAAGAATTCAACAACAACAAAAAAGCAAACAAAACAAACAAATACACAAAGAGATTGGCATTAAAAAAGATAATTAGAAAATAAATTCAAAGATCTAAATTAATAGGAGAGAAGGTAGAAAACAATAAAGGGAAATTATCAAAGAAATCATATACTTTCTAGGACTACTAGTCATGAGTCTTCAGATTAAAAAGCCAATTAATGAAAGAAAGAGCTGCGTCACTACAAAAGTTCAAAACACTAAAAATAGAAAAGATTTTGAAAAGGTCTAGGGGATGGATGCGAGAGAGAACAGGTTATACTATGAATCACAACTTAAAATGGCACAAGATTTCTATCAGCAACACAGAAATTTAGAAGGCAATGGAGCAAAGTCTCAAAAATTCTGCATAAAAATTATTTCAGTCTCAAATTCCCTACCCAATCAAATTATTCATACAACATAAAGAGAAAATTAATAGATATTATTTTTAGAGCACTGTTAGGTTTATAGAAAAATTGAACAGAAATTAAGGAGCACTCATACATCCCTTTCCCTACACTTTTCCCCCACCTTCTGCCACAGTTTTTTCTGTTATTGACATCTCACATGGGTATGATACATTAGTTACAATTGATGAATGAATATTGATACATTACTATTATTTACTAAAGTCCATAATTTATATTAGGGTTCACTCTGTGTTTTACACTTCCATGGGTTTTGACAAATGTATAATCAAATGGATCCACTATCATAGTATCATACAGAGTAGTTTCACTGCCTAAAAATCCCATGTTCCATGTCTTCAGCCCTCTCACCCTTCCTCTTGAACCCCTAACAATCACTGATCCTTTTACTGTCTCTACAGTTTTGCCTTTTCCAGAATATCATATAGATGGAAGCACACCGTATATTGTCTTTTCAGACTAGCTTTTTTCACTGAGCAATATGCATCTACATTTCCTCCATGGCTTTTCTTGGCTTGATAACTTACCTCTTTTTATTGCTAAATAATATTTTATGGTATAGATGTTCCATAGTATGTTTATTCATTCAGCTATTGAAGGGCATCTTGGTTGCTTCCAAGTTTTGGCAATTATGAATAAAGCTGCTATAAATATTCATATGCAGTTTTTTTGGTTGGATATAAATCTTCAACTCATTTGAGTAAATACTAATGAGCATGATTGCTGAATTGTGTAGTAATACTATATTTACTTTTGTAAGAAATTACCAAACTGTTCTCCAAAGTGGCTGTACTGTTTTGCATTCCAACCAGCAATGAATCAGAGTTCCTGTTGCTCCATTTCATCAACAGCATTTGGTGGTGTCAGTGTTTCAAATTTTCAGGTTCTAATAGGTGTGTAGTGATATCTCGTTATTGTTTTTTGTTTTTCTTGTTTTTGTTTTTGTTTGAGACAGAATCTCGCTCTGTCACCCAGGCTGGAGTGCAGTGGCACAATGTAAGCTCACTGCAGCCTCTGCCTCCCAGGCTCAAGTGATCCTCCCACCTCAGCCTCCCAAGTAGCTGGGACTACAGGAGCACACCGTGCCTGGCTGAATTTTTTTGTTTTGTAGTGACAGGGTTTTGTCATGTTGCCCAGGCTGGCCTCAAACTCCTGGGCTCAAGTGATCTGCCCGCCTCAGCCTCTCAAAGTGCTGGGATTACAGGTGTGAGTCACTGCGTCCAGCTTCATTCTTGTTTTAATCTGCAATTCCCTGAGGACATGTAATGTCAAGCTTCATATGATACAATATCTTCTTTGGTGAGATGTCTGTTCAGATATTTTGCCCATTTTTAAATTGGGTTGTTTGGGTTTTTTATTGTTGAGTTTTAAGAGTTTTTGTATATTCTGAATACAAGCCCTTTATCAGATATGTGTTTTGTAAATATTTTCTCCCAGTCCATTACTTTTATTTTTTATTCTTCTAAAAATAAAGATGTTTTAGACAGGCAATACCTCAGAAATTTGCCTCCCTTAAACTTTTTCTTAGGAAGCTACTAGAAGGTGTGCTCCATCAAAATGAGGGTGAAAACTAAGAAGGAAACATTAAATCCAAGAAATAATACAAAAAAATAGACTAAAGTAATTTCTAGATTGATGGCAAAGGAAAATCCCAAGACAATCATTGTGAGTAAGCCTAGAGCATTGGTCTCCCACCCCAATGAGTGAAAGACAACCACTAAGGCACAAGAAGGAAATTAATACCTTTTAAATTTTATTTTTATGTTAGCCTTTAAAAATTTCTAATTTGTTCATGTTTCACCGTGTGCATTCTACTTTATTATAGAAAAAGGATATATTTTATAAACATTAATAATACAAATATTGGAGGCATGTGCTTTTTAAAATAATTGATAACAGCCTATTATTTAAAAATCTAACCAGGTGCGGTGGCTCACGCCTGTAATCTCAGCACTTTGGGAGGCCGAGGTGGGTGGATCACCTGAAGTCAGCAGTTCAAGACCAGCCTGGCCAACATGGCGAAACCCTATCTCTACCAAAAACACAAAAAATTAGCCGGGTGTGGTGGTGCATGCCTGTAATCCCAGCTACTCGGGAGGCTGAGGTAGAAAAATCGCTTGAACCCAGGGGGTGGAGGTTTGCAGTGAGCCGAGATCACGCCATTGCACTGCAGCCTGGATGACAGAGCAAGACTCTGTCTCAAAATAATAATAATAATAATAATAAAATTAAAATAAGGTAAAATATAAATCTAGAGACACCTGGCCTAGGGAGAACAAGTCCATAAGGGAGCAGGAGGTCAGAGGGCTTCAGAAGGAATTTTACACAATAAAATAGAACTGATAAATTAAATGACAGATTTGACTGTGTAGAAAATGACATAGAGTCATTTTACAGAGCTGTTAGAAAGTAGGGAGACATTGTGTGTCAAGAAATTTAAGCAAGCAAAAATGACAATTATTAACTCCAAGAAAAAATTAAAAATGCACAAGAAAATATAATCACAGTATATCACTTAGAGGTTGACAGTGAACAATATTCACAAAGTAATAATCATAGACATACTGAATATGTACTTAGGTAAAAATTAAAATATAATTACATCAGGAAGATTCGAGAAAGAAAGGAGGGTAAAAATAAGCAGAAGTCCTCACTATATGTACTAAACTTGGTAAATGAAGAAATAATAGGATATTAATCATGTTTTTAAATATGGAGGCAAATTTCAAAATAAGCTGCTAGTGAAAACTGAAAGTAGCTCCTCTTGACAAGGACAAAGGAGTTGAGGGTGAGTAGAGAAAGCATCATTCATTCTGTTTTTATGCTATTTAGCACTATTTCATTTGTAGAATATTTGCATGCAATATTTGCATAGTACACCTTAATAAAAATTACTTTAAAAATTAGAGTAACCCATATGGAATATGTATATTAAATAGTATTTTCAATAATAGTTAATAATATAGGAAAATATTCAAAATAGGGTGTTAAGTGAAACAGGGAGAATAAAAGTGGGTAAAATTTTTATAGCAAATATAGATATTTAGATAAATTTAGCAAATTCCAAACATGCATCTCTCTTGTTAGTTTAAAATCTAACCAGTGGCAGGGCGTGGTGGCTCATGCTTGTAATCCCAGCACTTTGGGAGACCAAGGTGGGAAGATTATCTGAGGTCAGGAATTCAAGACTAGCCTGGCCAAGATAGCGAAACCCTGTCCCTACTAAAAATACAAAAAAAATTAGCAGGGCATGGTGGTGCATGCCTGTGATCCCAGCTACTTGGGAGGCTGAGACATGAGGATTTCTTGAACCCAGGAGGCAAAGGTTGCAGTGAGCTGAGATTATGCCACTGCACTCCAGCCTGAGTGGCAAAGCGAGACTCCGTCTCAAAAAAAAAAAAATTCTAACCAGGCATGGTGTCTTACACCTGTAATCCCAACACTTTGGGAGGCTGAGACAGGCAGATCACTTGAGGCCGGGAGTTCGAGACCAGGCTGGCTAACATGGCAAAATCCTCTCTCTTCTAAAAATACCAAAATTAGCCAGACATGGTGGCATGCACCTGTAGTCCTAGCTACTCGGGAAGCTTAGGCAGGAAAATCGCTTGAACCAGGAAGGCAGAGGTTGCAGCAAGCAGAGGTCTCATCATTGTACTCCATCCTAGGCAACAGAGCAAGACTCTTTCTCAAAAAACAAATAAAAAAATTAGATGGAAATACATCAAAATACCTTTTAAAAATACATCAAAAGTAAATCTCATTGTATGATAAACTAAGGGCTACTTTAATCTAATTTTTTATGTTTTTCTATTTTTTTAACCACCCACAATGAGATATGTTACTTTCTTAGGCAAGAAGTGAACTTTTTAAGAACTTTTCAGACCTTCAATTACAATGGAAATTGCCAAATTGAAGTCAGGATTCTGATGTGCCCCAGACTACAGCAACCTGAAGGATACAAATTGGGTGGCATTAGGCCGTAACCTTCCTTATGCTGATTTTCACCCTGCCTGCTATAGTAGGACTCCTCTTCTGCAGAGAAGCCCCACCCACCCAAAATTTCTGGGTGTTCTTAGAGGCTGTCTCCAATGTCCTCATGAACAATCCTCTCTGGAGTGTCTGCCAGGGACCTCTGCCACCCAGCAGAAGCCCTGGGGACCTGGAGGTGATAGTATTGACCTGCGGTCTCTGGAGCTATCAATCCTCCAAAATCTCAGCCCTACACCCATCATGGGCTACAATCTATCTAGGGGCTATAAAAGCAATTCTGCCGAGACCTTGGGGTCTTATAGATATTTAGGTGAAATATCTCTAACACACACACAAACACAGACACACACACACAAACACACACACAAACCCCACTGCAGGAATCAGGACACAGAACTGGGCCAAAGTGACAGATGCTGTGTCTTGCCTCTGCTTCTTCCCTGGGGCTTCAGGGTAGAGCCAGACATGTCAGCCTGACTCTGTCTTCCTTAAGTTTAGCTCAACTTCTTTCCTTGGGGGCTCCTTGGTGTGTCCGTGAAACAAATTTAGTTGGGCTGCCCTACAGAACTGTGGAAATGCCCAGTCATGTCTGATTTCCACAGGAGAACATAGATAGGTGCTATTATGTACCCACATTTTATAGATGAAGACACTGTGACACGGAGAAGTTGAATAAGTTGCTCAAGGTCACACAGCTAGTGAAGTAGCGGCCTGGATTCAGGACAAGTGTTCTCACCTACTATACTGCACTGACTTGGCAGCATAGAGTGGAGCCTCTAACTCTGTGCCAGGCACCGTGTGACTACAGAGAGACCACTGCCCTCAGAAATTTTACCGTCTACTGATAACAACAACCACAGCTACAGATATTTGATGGGAAATTGTAAGAATAATCTTATGCCTCCTTCAAGTCCCAACTAAATTAGCACCTCTTCCGTGTTAAGTGTCAGCCCTTCCATCCAAGTGCCATCCCAGCAATGAACCTTCCTGGAGTCCCCCAGTCAGGATTGAATCTCATCCTCTTTCATACTCCCACAACATTTTAACTGTAGAAAACATAACACTGTCCAAGTGATTAATTTTACTTTCTCTCATTGGAACATAAGCTCTGTAAAGACAGGACCTCATCTAGCTGACCCTAATGTTTGCTGCAGTACTCACCAAAGCACCTTGCAGAGAGTCAATAATATATCTTTGTTGAGTTGCATTGACATTGTGCTGAGTGCTTAGTGGGCAGGCAATGATTGTTGATTGATTATGAAGTGGTGAACAATGCCTGTAAAAGACCTCTTCACAGAAGGCCCTGTAGCATAAAGTATTAGGTTGAACTCTGTAAAATGGCCATTTTTATAAGCCAAATTGTTCAAATATTGACAATTTCACACGAGCCAATTCAACATAAGAAAAATAACCTGGCGGGGCATGGTGGCTCATGCCTGTAATCCCAGCACTTTGGGAGGCCAAGGTGGGAGGATCACCTGAGATCAGGAGTTTGAGACCAGCCTGACCAAGATGGAGAAACCCCGTCTCTACTAAAAATACAAAAAGTAGCCAGGTGTGGTGGTGGGCACTTGTAATCCCAGCTACTCAGGAGTCTGAGGCAGGAGAATCACTTGAACCTGGGAGGCAGAGGGTGCAGTGAGCCAAGATCATGCCACTGCACTCCAGCCTAGGTGACAGAACGAGACTCTGTCTCAACAAAAAAAAAAAGAAAAGAAAAGAAAAATAATCTAACCGGAATAGCCAATAAACCCTGGAAAGTGTTCCCTTGGAAGGTTTTGAAATCTCCCTTCTTGGATATCTTTTATAATCTTCCTACAGCTCTTAATATTAGGTTGGTATAAAGTAATGGCAAAATCTGCAATTACTTTTGCACCAATCCAATACTGTTTTTTTGAAATATCTAAAAAGTTCAAATTTTAAACTATAAACCTTCAAATAGCCCAAAGCCCAAATAACAGAGATGAAACTTGATTCTGACGACTTTGGTGAGCCATGAGACTCTAGGGTCATGAGAACGGGGCCAATTGCCAACAGGCCACCAGAAGAGAAAGTGGTTTACCTAGCTGAGTATCTCCCATTCTTGGCCAAAAAGGAGGCTGAGACACTCTGGGGCCTGAAAAATTGGAATTTCTATGTGCAGTAAATCCTTCTGTTCCCTGGCACCCTTTAGCAGATTGATCTGCCTGTATATTGATGTTTTGGGTGCCATCCTGACCTTTGGAAAGGATGTCAATAGTTGGGGGTTAGTCCAATAGATGAGAGTGTTCTGGAACTGGCAGCTTTCTTTTGTGTGACTGGAGCCTCTGGAACTGGAGGCAGCAAAGGTAGCTGACAATGTAATTTATCTACATTTCACCTGGAAACAGTAACATGTCTTTGAGCTCCCTGGAGACCCTAGTCTGGAAAAAGGCCCAAGATACCTGTCAGACCAAACAATGCCTATCATATTTTATTACATGGCATGAAACGTAAGACTTTATGCTCCATTAGCAGAAGGTTTCATTTTCACTCCAGGAAGGTAGTTCAACATTACAACATCTTATCTTGTTCTTTCTTGTGTTTTTAATATAAACGGCCTTAAAATTTCCCACTTCATCCCCTACACCCACTGCCCCAGGCATCTAGAAGCTATATTATCAGATTTTACAGTCTGAGATAATGTGTCATTGTGAGATTCCCAATATATACGTGGTGTGTATTTTTTAAAAAAAATAAAACTACGGCCTGATAAAAAGAAGAAGTTTGCTCTCTAGTGGCTGACTTATAAAAGGCTCTGAAAACCACACAATAGGTTATCTTAGAAAAGGAGGACGTCTAACAGCGATATCTATGTAACAAGGTCTGAGTAATCATTTTGTTTTTATTGATTTTTTAAATTTTCTTTACACTGAAAAACTACATGATAGCAACTATTTGTGGATAGCTTTTCCTATTAAAAAATTTTATATCATTAAGCTAATTTCAATTCTAAATTCTGAGAGCAGCAATTAGGTTTCTGGTGTTATATTAGCCTACCGTACCTTTAGAAAGCTCTATGGATTGGTTTAATACTGTATCATTAATGTCTATTACAGACACATTGCTAAATAATATAATATCATTAGAGCTTTTTAAGCCATTTTTAGCTCTTTGCAGAAAGATTATATAAATTCAGAGAGAAACAGTATAATTATGAATATGATCCTAATTAATATCATTTTATTATTCCTTTTTCTACAGAAACTAAATTTATAAAATTTTACTATGATATGAATTATAAAGCAAGGAAAAGATTTATCCTGGGTGCTTTTCTTTTTAGCTCCCCCTTCCCCACTCTGTTTTACTTTCCCATTTTATTCTCCCACAAATCCATTCCTTTCTCCCCAAGTCTATACTATTTTTTTCACTCTCTTCAGTATCCTTCATCAGATAGTAGAAAACTGACAACATCACTGGTCCCTGAAGTTCCAGCCTTTGTTTCAAAAAAAAAAAAAAGAAGAAGAGGTTACCTAGGAAGTTTTCTACCTCCTGCACAGTAACAAATACTTTAAGGAATTTTCAGATCCATAAATATTTTTATTCTTACTTTATCTGTGGGAAAGAAACCATATAGCATAAAAGAGGCTTGAGCTTTTCAGGAGGTCAGTACTACAGCGGAAATAATGCACTAAAGAATGCAAAGAAGAGGGTTTTATGGGCTCAGGGACGCGGACATGGGGCAGTGCAAAAGGTTATTAAGAAAGGGAGTGATGCAATCTGATTTACATTTTTGAAAATTATTCTGGATGCTGTGTGGAGGAAGTACCATAACAAGCACAACAGTAGAAACAGGGAAACTTCTTTGGAAATGACTGTAGTCTTACAGGCAATAAAATATAGTTGCATGGACAAGGGTGATAACAGTAGTATTGTAAAAAGGGAATGGGGCCAGGTGCGGCAGCTCAAGCTTGTAGTCTCAGCACTTTGGGAGGCTGAAGCAGGTGGATCACTTGAGCCCAGGAGTTCAAGACCAGCCTGGGCAACAGAGAGAAACCCCATCTCGACAAAACACAAAAAAATTATCCAGGCATGGTGGTGGGCCCCTGTAGTCCCAGATACTCAGGAGGCTGAGGCAGGAGGATTGCTCAAGCCCAGGAGGTGGAGGTTGCAGGGAGCCAAGATCTCGCCACTGCACTCCAGCCTGGGTGATGGGAGTGAAACTCTGTCTCAAAAATAAATAAATAAAGGAATGAATTTCCAATTTATTTTAGAAGTATAAATGGTAACAGATTAGAGGTGGGCATGGAGTGTGACTTTTGACTGAGCTACTAAGTGGATGCAATACCACTTACCGGAATTAGAAAGGCTGTGAGGAAGGCATGTTGGGAGGGGGTGGCAGTGAGAATAATTTCTGTTTGTGTTGCTCATGGCTCAGTTTGCTATGTCTATTCAGGAGAAGATGTCAGGAGACATCTGCACAAACAAGATCTCTTCTTGTTAGAAATCTGGAGATTAGGGGAGAGGTTAGGGCTATTGATTTATACTTAGAAGTCTTCAAGGCCAGGTGCAGTGAATCAGGCCTGTAATCTCAGCACTTTGGGAGGCCAAAGTGGGAAGATCACCTGAGCCCTGGAGTTTGAGGCTGCAGTGAGCTGTGATAGCGTCACTGCACTCTAGCCTGGGTGACAGAGAGAGACCCTGTCTCAAAAGAAGAGGAAGAGGAGGAGGAGGAAGAAGGAGGAGGAGGAGGAGGAGGGAGGAGGAGGAAGAAGGAGGAGGAGGAGGAGGGAGGAGGAGGAAGAAGGAGGAGGAGGAGGAAGAAGGAGGAGGAGGAAGAGGAGGAGAAGGGAGAGGAGGAGGAAGAGGAGGAGAAGGGAGAGGAGGAGAAGGGAGAGGAGGAGAAGGGAGAGGAGAAGGAGGAAGGAGGAGGAGGAGAAGGGGAAGGAGAAGGAGGAAGAAGGAGGAGGAGGAAGAGGAGGAGAAGGGGGAGGAGAAGGAGGAGAAGGAGGAGGAGAAGGAGGAACAGGAGGGGGAGAAGGTGGAGGAGGAGGAAGAAGAAGAAGAGGAGGAGGAGGAAGGAGAAGACAAAAAAACAAGAAGGAGAAGAAGGAGGAGGAGGAGGAAGAGGAGAAGAAAAGGAGGAGGAGGAAGAGGAGGAGGAAGAGGAGGAAGTCTTCAAGATATAAGTGATATTTAAAGATGAGATCCTCAAGGAGAGAATTTGGATAAAGAAGAGAAGAGGCCTGGGTCTGACCCTAGGGCACAGGCAATTGAAACAGAGAAGGGAGGAAGGGTGAGTCAGGAAGCATAAGTGGCCAGCAACAGAAAGGAGAGCAGAAGACAAGTGAGGCAACCCTGGAGAGAGGTCGGCAAGAGGAGGACACAGAAGACATCAAAGCTGGCAATGCAGAGGTCACAGGTAACCTTGACAATAGCCCCTTCAATGGAGTGATGGGGACAGAAGCCCATCTTATTCTGGCACTAACCCAGCATATGGGCCAACAGAATTCTTTCTCGGTGCAAATACGCAAGACAGAAAAGAACTAGTAATTGACGCAAAGTATCTGGGAGACTTTTCTTTTGATAGATAGTTAAATCGACTCAACTTTTTATACGAAATCATCCTCTTTGAACCCTTTTAAAGTCAAATTAGGCAGGGAAAGGGATTCTTGGATGTCAGAAATCGAGTTATATACCATTGCACAAAGTAAATCATCTTCCCCACAGAATAGATAATGAAGTAAAAGGAAACTGAGGGCCGGGCGCGGTGGCTCACGCCTGTAATTCCAGCACTTTGGGAGGCCGAGGCGGGCGGATCACGAGGTCAGGAGATCGAGACCATCATGGCTAACACGGTGAAACCCCATCTCTACTAAAAATACAAAAAAAAATTAGCCGGGCGTGATGGCAGGCTCCTGTAGTCCCAGCTACTCGGGAGGCTGAGGCAGGAGAATGGCGTGAACCCGGGAGGCGGAGCTTGCAGTGAGCCAAGATAGCGCCACTGCAGTGCGGCCTGGGTGAAAGAGCAAGACTCCGTCTCAAAAAAAAAAAAAAAAAAAAAGGAAACTGAGATACAGGATAAAATAAGTAGAGAAGGGGAAATTCGACCTAGCAAATGTAAAAAGACACAAGGAAGAGAGAAGGAGAGGGGAAAAAAAAGAGGAAAAAAGAAGATATAAATATGAAAGGAAAGAAGTAGAGGTGGAGTTTTTATCCTTTAGGCATACCTCAAAATGAAATTTGAACCATCTGTCAATCTCAGAGGAAACAGTACCAGACAGAATAAATATGGAAAACATTTCTACTTCAGACCATAGGCCAAGGACTGGGGAACAAGGGAAGGGAGGAGCACATTAAAGGTGAGGCAGGCAGTTAGTGAGGAAACAGGGCATGATTACTTGCTTTTTCGCACTCCTGTAATGGGTCTTTGTTCAATTCACATTGCAGTTTATGCAATGTAATGCCCAGTAATTATATGATGTTGAAGACTACTGGGCTTCACTGTCAATGCTTGTTTGTGCCAACTCCACGGACCTTAGAGGCTCTTGAAGATACCACCAGTAAACGATGGTCAAGCAGGGGTGATGCCAGAACCCTCTAACTGGTCTTAAGATCACACTTCTCATTTCTACCCTGGCCTCCACCACCTGGCAACACCATCCTTCACAACCCCAGTCTCCTCTCACCAGGGGCCCCAGCTGGGGTGCGCCTGAGAGCCAAAAGTGGAAGCCTCTCTTTACTTGGTTTCCATCTGGTGTTGAGCTGCTGTTTCACCTGACCATTTCTCTATCACTCCAGAAGCTCAAAGACATCACCCTTCAGGCTCCAACTTGTTTCTCTTTTTTTGCTTTATGGCCACCAATTGTTTCACTGTTATTAAAAATTTCAGCCACCATAATCCCAGCACTTTGGAAGGCCGTGGCAGGATTGCTTGAGCCCAGGAGTTTGAGACCAGCCTGAACAACATGCCGAAATCCTGTCCCTAGAAAAAATTTAAAACTTAGCCAGGCATAGTGGTGCATGCCTGTAGTCCCGGCTACTCAAGAGGCTGAGGTGGGAGAATCACTTAAACCTGGGAGGCTGCAGTGGGCTGTGTTCATGTCACCGCACTCCAGCCTAGATGACAGAGAGAGACACTGTCTCAAAAAAACAAAACAGCAAGCAATAATTCAGAACGCTCTATAGGAGTGGGAAAGCAAGTTGCACACCTCAGTTCCCTGGACCAAACAAGCACATGCATAGTCAAAGGACGTCAAGTGTGTTTTCCTTCTCCTGCAGAGAAAAATGGGATGGTGACAGGAAGCTTCCTCCTCCAGAAGGAAGGCTGTGATGTGCAGTTCATTAGTAATGACATCTTAAAAGAAAATAATGGTTAAGGAAATGCCATTAAAATTGTTTCGTAGGCCGGGTGCAGTGGCTCACGCCTATAATCCCAGCACTTTGGGTGGCCGAGACGTGCAGATCACTTGAGGTCAGGAGTTCAAGATCAGCCTGGCCAATGTGGTGAAACCCCATCTCTACTAAAAAAACAAACAAAACAAAACAAAAAAATTGTTTTGTGACTTCTGTCTCTTATGCAGTTTAGAAGGGAAAAATTAAGAAAAGGATCAGGATTAACATTATTTGGTGGACAACTGCCCAGAATATACCAGCAATATTGCTTTTCTCAGTCTACTGTGCTCCCATTCCTGAAGCAATTAGGCAGGAGAGACTATCCCTAGAATCTTCAATCAGAATGTTCTAACTTCAACCAGAATGTTCAAACTTCAACCAGAATGTTCTTGGGAACTCTTCTGGTTTCTTACTAAATTAATTTGAAGAAGGGCAAGCTTAGGCAATGCCAAGTCATACCAGAACATTATGTTACTGGATTTTTTTTTTTTTTAGACTGTCACCCAGGCTGGAGTGCAATGGCACGATCTGAGCTCACTGCAACCTCCACCTCCCGGGTTCAAACAATTCTCCTTCCTCAGCCTCCCAAGTAGCTGGAATTACAGGCATACGCCACAACGCCCAGCTAATTTTTGTATTTTTAGTAGAGACAGGGTTTCACCATGTTGGCCAGGCTGGCCTCAAACTCCCGACCTCAGGTGATTGACCTGCCTGGGCCTCCCAAAGTGTTGGGATTACAGGCATGAGCCACCGCACCCGGCCTATATTGCAAACTAATTCTAGCAAGTTGTGCTAAGTCTCCTCTCCATCCCAGAAAAAATAAAAAATTAAAATAGCTATCTCATATTGCAGAAGCTTGGCTTGAAAAAGAGATCAAAGGGGGCAGCCAGGGGTTAGCAATTACTTTATACAATGACAGTAAGACTCACATTCTCTCCCAGTCCTTATGGCTCCAAGTAAACATCTGAGCTCCCTCAACATTTACACACTGTGGTTTCTATGGTTTTGGATGTTTGTATTTCAAAATGACATTAAGAAGGAATAGGCATAAGGGTATGGAAGACCAGGAAAGGTAAAGGAAAACAACTTTTACAGGTCATTCAGATTTCTGAACAGTTCCAAGGGAGAAATAAGCCAGGTAAAAACATGTGCTTTAATACAGCACCCAAACAGCAGTGAAGGCACCACTATGTGAGGCATATATGTAGAATCCCAGTTCACCCTCCAAATTACAATAGATTCTTAAGAGAGGTTGGTCCAAAGGTAGTGAGTTATCTCAATTGGCTGTTCACAGTCAGTTACAGATCAAACTCCTTTTTCTACTCTTTCCTCCCATCTCACTACTGCATGTGACTAGTCTTAAAAAAAGAAAAAAAGAGAGAGTGCATGATTCTGTATTGTCTTACAGTATAGAAGAAAAGATGAAGTATATAGGCTAGGGACTAAATTTGGGAGTAATCAAAGTAGGGGAAAATCCACATTCTGTGATATATTTTGTTTATTGCAACCGTTGCTAAGGAAACCACTTCCTATCCATACACTGCATATATTTCCCCTATTTGTTATTCTCACAAAGTGCACAGTACTACGTTTAAAACATGAGAACAAGAGCCTGGTAACATACACTGAGGGACAGTCAAAGCTCTTAAATAATAAAGAAGACATTAATGAGGTTGTCCCAAAGGTCAGGGACCAAAGTACATATAGCAGAAAGACAAATCTACTCTTTATTTTTAGTATTTATAGTCCAATCCAAGCTAGGGACACGTTCATGAATGCCTTTGAATATCAGTGAAGAGGTGTCTATTTCCATGGCTCTCTCTCCATCAGGCAAGAGTGGTGGAACTCATTCTTCATACAATCACACAGAATATGAGAGCTGGAAGAGCACCAGCCTAATCTACACTCCTCGTTTTACAGGGAGAAAGCAGAGACTTGCCAAGGTAACAAGGCCACTTCATGGCTTAACCGGGACTTGAAGTCATTTTCTGACTCCTAACACAGGAAACAGAATTCAGGGAGTGCTGTCTGATGGCTGGAATCTAAAGACTCATCGAATCTTAGAGTGACATAACTTCTTCAGGTCTTTCAAGTTCAACTTGCCCTAAATTGCCAAAGTTTCATTTTTATTCACACTACGAATTCAAACAATTGTGACTCCTTGCTTAATCCACTAAAAAATATCTATACAGAGCTCACTGTGTCTGAGGAGACAACAGAGGTTAAGTGTAGTTCAGAACTCACTGTAACAGACATAATTACAAAACTTGTTCAACTCTCAAGAGTACATTAAAGCTGGCAGAAACATGCTCCCAGAGCTTTTCTCAAGGCTCTAGAAACTGTTTAGCTCACTCTTTCTCTCTTCCTCTTCTCTCTCCAGTTTCCTCTCATTGTGACTTTGTGACATCCAAAGAGATGTCTTCTGAAGGAGAGAAAAAATAAGGGAAGGAACTGGAAACAGCCAAGAAACAACCTAGAGAAGAACCTGACCCTTGATGTGATAACACAGTTGATGATGATGATGATGATGATGATGATGATGGTAGTGGTGAAAATAATTTTGTACCAATTTGTCTTTCCATTGCTGAAATTCAGTATTGGTTTGTTTTTGTTTTTGTTTGAGACGGAGTCTAGTTTTCTCTCCAAGGCTGGAGTGCAGTGACGCAATCTCGGCTCACTGCAACTTCTGCCTCCCAGGTTCAAGAGATTCTCCTGCCTCAGCCTCCCAAGTAGCTGGGATTACAGGCACCCACCACCATGCCCAGCTAATTTTTGTATTTTTAGTAGAGATGGGGTTTCACCATGTTAGTCAGGCTGGTCTCGAACTCCGGACCTCAAGTGATTCACCCGCCTTGTCCGCCCAAACAGCTGGGATTACACACTTGAGCCACCACACCTGGCTTCAATGTTATTTTACAAAGCTATGACAAACTGTAGTTATCTAATTATTTTTTTCCCCTAAGAAATGCCTTAGACTCCTTGAAGTTAATTAGAAGCTCCCAAACATTAAATATATACTCCTTTTATTTGCTGGAATTACTGCATTTTCCTTTTCACAAATGCTTGGATTGAATGTATTTTAGTACAGTGATATTTACCAATCTGTCAAATGTCCATCAGCCCTGGGAAAGCAGTACTGTTCATATGTTGTCTGAAATCCATGAGTCTCTGTACTCTCTGTCACCCACCCACTCCACCATTAAATGCACACAAACACCACAGAATACCATTCTGCCTCAACCTTCTGGAATTTTTTTTAAATCCAAGAATTATGTTGCATGACATACTAAAACACTCATGCACTTGAAATATAATTAAAATTTCTCTACACTGGATGTTTTTCCTTTATGGCCCCATCTCTGAATTTGGGGCAATAAACCTGCTTCCCTTTATCAGCACACTTGGCCTTGGGCTAAAGCAGGGGGACACACCAGAAGATAAGACAAAAGCAAGAGAAGCCTCAGAAACCAAGCTGACTTTGAATTATTTTGTTTTTTTACACCTGTGCTTTCTTTTGTTTTTTGTTTGTTTGTTTGTTTGGTTGGTTGGTTTTTTTTGAGATGGAGTCTCACTCTGTTGCCCAGGCTGGAGTGCAGTGCAGTGGCATGATCTTGGCTCACTGCAACCTCCACCTCCCGGGTTCAAGCAATTCTCCCGCCTCAGCCTCCTGAGTAGCTGGGATTACAGGCATGCGCCACCACGGCTGGCTAATTTTTGTATTTTTAGTAGAGAAGGGGTTTCACCATGTTGGTCATGCTGGTCTCGAACTCCTGACCTCAGGTGATCTGCCCGCCTCGGCCTCCCAAAGTGCTGGGATTACAGGCGTGAGCCACCACACCCTGCCACACCTGTGCTTTTGAGATGACGTACCACTAGTAATACCATCAGCTGTTTGTTCCAAACGTATTTCTTATCATATGTTCAAAAACGTAATGTTGGTTCTTAGAAGCCAACTGAGAAACTAGTATCTCTGTTGCAAATGCAGCCAGAATGACTGTAGTTTCACTTCATTAATCACTGGAAGATGTGTGATATAAAACATCATAAAATGTATAAAACCTTTCCTTAATAGCGGTTATCCATAAAACAGTATCTTTTATTTGTATAAAGATTTGTATTTTTGGGCCTGGCGCAGTGGCTCATGCCTGTAATCCCAGCACTTTGGGAGGTCAAGGCAGTGGGAGGGATCACCTGAGGTCGGGAGTTCAAGACCAGCCTGACCAACATGGAGAAACCCCGTCTCTACTAAAAATACAAAATTAGCTGGGCGTGGTGGCACATGCCTGTAATCCCAGCTACTAAGGAGGCTGAGGCAGGAGAATCGCTTGAATCTGAGAGGCGGAGGTTGCAGTGAGCTGAGATCGCACCACTGCACTCCAGCCTGGGCAACAAGAGTGAAACTCCGTTTAAAAAAAAAAAAAAGATTTGTACTTTTGAAAATATTTTCTTGGACCAGGCATGGTGGCTCACACCTGTAATCCCAGCACTTTGGGGGGCCAAGGTGGGCGGATCACCTGAGGTCAGGAGTTCAAGACCAGCCTGACCAACATGAAGAAACCCCGTCTCTACTGAAAATACAAAATTAGCCAGGTGTGGTAACGCATGCTTGTAATCCCAGCTACTCAGGAGGCTGAGGCAGGAGAATCACTTGAACCTAGGAGGTGGAGGTTGCAGTGAGCCAAGACTGCGTGATTGCACTCCAGCCTGGGCAACAAGAGAGAAACTCTGTCTCAAAAAAAAAAAAAGAAAAGAAAATATTTTCTCATAATAAATAGTTAACATTTATTGAATACTTATTATCTGTCAAACATTGTTTTAAATGTCTTACACAGCACATTTAATTAGCTTGTCCACATTTTAAAGAAGAGAAAACCAAGACATTAATTTTCTATGCAAACTTTAGTTGCCCTTGTATAAATTAAGAATTATTTCACTTGAGTCTTCATCAATTCATAGAAAAGATCTACAGCTTTTGGTCTCATGCTATTATACTTCATCTGAAACCATAAGAAACCCAAAACCAGCTTATTTTCTCTTGGGGAAGATATTATATATTCAGTTTATTTGTTTGAGTATGAAAATATAGAGAAAGTCCCAAATTTTCATGTATAAAGGCCAAATGCCAATTACTATCTGTAAAAGAAAAGAACAGTTTGCAAGTTAAAAGCTTGCTTATGCTTCCATTAGTTCTATCTGACTTCAGGCAAATTGTTATTGTAAATAAAATCTCTGCCTTGAACAGAAGAGAAAGAGGATTTGTTTAACATAGATCTTGAGCAAACTACAAAACTTTAGGAATTCTCTGACTAAGCAAGCCAATGGACTTCTCTTAAAGAACTGGCCTTCAAGATAGTAGGCTAAAAAAACAAAACACATGTATTTCATCTATTTTTCCTCTTCTCACTGCAAATATTTTGGATATGACCTTTAGCACTAGCTCATGTGTGTCTGTGTTTATGTCTGTGTGTGCAGAGAGACAGAGAAACAGATGGACAGTAAGAATACCAAGCCCTGGGAGAGATAATCTGGCCATTTGCAACTGGAAGTCAGATTATTTATTTTAAAATTCAGGGAAATATTTAGGGTAATTCTAAATTCATAATATTATTAATTTTAACTTGAGATATGTAAAAAAAAAAAAAAACCCCTCCCTAATACTAGAGAAGTTAGTGCTGCTGACTTAATTCATCAAAGTAAAGTTGCTTAAATACCTTAATTTAGTCAGGTTCTCAGTTTGCAGAAGCGCACGGGTGTACCTTATTTATCCTTTTATCTCCTGTGATGAATAGCATCACGGCATGACTTGGAGAAAGCACAAGGTAAGAAAATTGAACAGCTGAGTTCCAGTTCTTTGTTGTCCAGCTAATGAGCTGGTCCATGGAGACCCTACTATAACACAAACTACGACACTCTCAAAGCTGAGCACACCATCTTGACATATAATGAGGATGCAGTAATTATTTGTATTAATAAATGAATGAGGAAATCTATAATTCTGGTAGGTAATCACAAATATTTCTCTGAATTGGAGTCAGGGGTGATATACCATTTATATTCTAATACAGTCAAGATGAAAATTGTCCTAGGCCTTCAGAATGTGTTCAGGAATTTTTGGAAAGAACTCAACTGGTCATTTGCAGATAAATCCTCCTATTTATAAATAGGGATCAAAATTAACATTTCTCATTAAACTCCTCCTCTTCCCTACCTTCAAGCCTGCAGGAAGATTTATAGCCTCCATTTTACTAAATAAGAAATTTGGCCGAGCACGGTAGCTCACGCCTGTAATCCCAGCACTTCGGGAGGCCAAGGCGGGCAGATCACTTAAGGTCAGGAGTTCAAGACCAGCCTGGCTAATATGGTGAAACCCCGTCTCTACTAAAAATACAAAAATTAGCCAGGCATGGTGGCTTGCGTCTATAGTCCCAGCTACTTGGGAGGCTGAGGGAGGAGAATTGCTTGAATCCGGGAGGCGGAGGTTGCAGTGAGCTAAGATCGAGCCACTGCACTCCAGCCTGGGCAACAGAGAAACAGAGAAAGACTCTGTCTCAAAAAAAAAAAAAAAAAAAAAGAAAGAAAGAAAGAAAAAAAAGAAAAGAAAAGAAAAAGAAAAAGAAACTAAAAATCAGAGAAGTTCAGTAATTTGCTCGAGTTCACATTAGCTAGCAAATGGGTGAACCAGAATTGAACCCAAAACTGACAGATTCCACAAAGACCAATTTCTTTCTACTATATTTTGCCACCTCGACATTTCTGTTAACATGTGTACTAAGGGAATACAGCTCCTGGGGGGCAGGAAATGAGTTCTGTCCACCATTATATAACTAGGGCTAGCACAGTGATGAATAAAAATCTATTGAATGAAGCTACTCATGGTCAACAACACCCAGCCCACCTTAGAAATGTGCCCTGGACAATGTTCAGTCCTCAGGGCAGCTGGACAGAGCGCTATCCGTAAGTAACCTCATCTGTTACCCAAGTTTGTCTACAAATGTTATCATTTTCTCGGCATGCCACACTGTAGGAAAGATTGGGAAGGCTTGCACAACTTGTCAATGTCAGTAAGGCAAGTTATGTGCTCATAGCAGTAAGAATGATTTTCAGGGCTGCAAGCAGTGGCTCATGCCTCTAATCCCAGCACTTCGGGAGGCCGAGGCTGGTGGATAGCTTAAGCCCAGGAGTTCAAGCAGCCTGGGTTACATGATGAAACCCTACCTCTACAAAAAATACAAAAATTAGCCGTACATGGTAGCATTCACCTGTAATCCCAACTACTCAGGAGGCTGAAGTGGGAGGTTCCCTTGAGCCTGGGAGGCGGAGGTTGCAGTAAGCCAAGATCCCTCCACTGTACTCCAGCCTGGGTGACAGTGAAACCCTGTCTCAAAGAAAAAGAAAAAAAAGAGTGGCCAGGAAGAGAGGATTTCTTCACTTTTTGAGTTCTAAAAGTTAGGCCTGTCCACAGTGAAGTGGAAACCAAGAAAACCAATGGAGGCCATGATAATGGATTACCTGAATCAGGAATAGAGAAAGGGTTCCTTGGCAAGGGTGAGAGAGAAGAAACCGCCTACCCGAAGCAAAGAAGTCAGAAATGGGAGGGGATCATTAAATTTGTTAAATGGAACTTAAAAATTTTCTGGTGTGGATGGTAAAATAATTATCCCATCAGAACTGTGGATGGGATTGGGAGACAGGAAGAGGGGCAGCAATGTGAGCTCTCTAGGACTAGGGTTCAAATTGGTTTTGCCTAAGTAATACAGAAAACTATGATGTATCTTAACAGAAGATCCAAGCCCCTTGCATTATTCTTCACAATGACAGTAGTTGCCATTAGTTATGTATACAGTATATCGTGTACTAGGCATCTTTACATACACCTATAATCTCATTTTTAAAATCTCACATAACTCTCTAAAGTGCATAAGTCCCCACTTACACATCAGAAATCTGCATCTCAGAGAGGCTGAGTAACTTGCCCAGTGTTAAATCCCCGATGAGGAGCAGCCAGGACTCCACCCCAGGCTGTCTGACTGGGAAACCCATAGCTTGCCACGTCTGCCACAAAAGCTCTTTCTGAGAGGCAGATATTCCCCCTCCATCTATCTGAACAAACATCTTCAAATGAGAAAAAGTGGGGCAAAGACTTATCTAATTCCCAAAGCCCTGTTATAACTTAACCAATTAATGATGGCAGAGTGCTTTGAAAATGCCAGTGCTGCACTCTGACTGCCTGGGCTTTGTTGGGGCTTTGAGGCCTCCTCTTCCCCAACTTCATCCTCAAACGTTGGGCTTCTTTGCTTATTCTAAACTCTCCCTAGGCAAGATTCCTTTTCCCTATCCATCTTACCGAACATGTCATACTAGATGTCCCACAAACATTTTAACTTAACACTTCCCAAGCCAAACCTATTTTCTTCCTCCTCACAGCCTCCCATCTTAACTCATGGGATGAAAGGCTCCACAGAGCTTCTGTTTCCCACAATGGCCTCTCATAAGGATATCAAGAGGAGCAGGGAGCCCCATTCTTGGGAGGAGCCTTCAGAACCCTTGTTTGATGGGATAGTTGAAAAACACTTCACATTAGCACTGTCTCCTGCAAAGCTCCTGGTTAATAAAGGGTGGGAGATGGACCTTAAGCTAACAAAAGTGTCTCAATAATTTTTATAAAACATGCTGAGCAGAAAAACGGGTAAGAGAAAGCCTGTTTCTTTCAAAGAATCATGAATTGCCTTGGAATGATTTGAGTGGCATAAATTGAGTCTCTGCTAAAAGACTAGAAAAAAAGAAACAAAATTTCCCAAATAAATACTGATGAATAATTAAAAGTACCTACCACCGCCTAGGCTGCTGAGCCACCAGCTTCTTACCAAGTTATAATTTGACCACAAACTTCAAAAAACCATCCAGAAAAAAAGAATGCTTGAAACAGAAGCCTTTTGTCTTTCTTTCTTTTTTTTCTTTTTTACTATCTCTGAGACAAACCCAAACAGGGACACATCTGAAAAGACAGATTGATTGAACAATATACGGTTCATTATGTGTGCTGGAGGAAGACAGTGTACTGATACAAGAAGGTGGAGGAGGGAGAAGCCTGGAGACACACAGTTACAGGAATTGCTCTGCAGTGCTGCAGTCAATTTTAATTTTGCTTCCATGTTTATATCAGAGCACAATTCATGATGGCATGTTTTCCCAAGTTCCATCTCTCATCTTCCGTACTCTTCCCCTACTTCATCACATTACCAAGCCCAAAGTTGTGTATTAGTTAGCTTTCAGTATGTAATCACTACTCCAAATCCTAGTGGCTTAAAACAACAGCCATTTATTTAGTTCATAGTTCTGTGGATTGGTCAGCAATTTGGGTTGGACTCCACTGGTTTACCGTCATGCTGCTTCCTAGCTAGGTGGCTCTATTTCTGAGGCTAAGGTGGTCAACAGAGGCTACAGGGATATCTGACCCATCATCATCCTGCAGGCTAGCCTAGACTTGTTCTTGAATGCCTCTCATGGTTCCAAGAGGAAGAGCAAAAGTACATAAGGCCCCTTGAAGACTAAGCTCAAAAGTGGCTTAGTTCACCTCCCTAGCATTCTATTGGCCAATGCATGTCACAAGTTCAGCCAAATTCAGGGGTCAAGGAAATAGACATCATCTTTGCATGGGAGTAGCTGCAGCTACATTGCAAAGGGTCATGGATTTAGAGAGGGAAATAATTATGGCCCTTTTTGAAAAAAAAAAAAACAACTATGCATCAGGGGTTTGGGGAAAGGGCCGCCATTCCTGTTCCTTTCCTTACACCTTACTCTGCTTTTCTCACTGCTGTCTACTCAGCAATTCACCCAAATCTCCTCAAGTTTTTGCTTCTCAACTCTGCAAAACTCTTCTGAAATGATCTGGTCAACAAGATTTTAGACAGCTATCTCTCTCTGCTTAGCATTTTTCTGAATGTCAAATATCTTGCTGAGACAAGACAACATTAGGAAAATAACAGACTTCCAGAGCCTTAGGAATCCAGTGTGGGTTTATTTTTTTCTAAATTAACAATACAGTTTTCATAGAGTCCAAAACCCAAACCACTCTGATATTCTTGGCACACTATTTGTTCTCAATAGCTTCAAGCTTACTTTTAAATCCTTTGTGATCCTACTGGAAATCATTAAACAGTGAGTCATAGAAACTCTCTGATGGCCTCCAATAATTATTTTACCATCCACACCAGAAAATTTTTAAGTTCCATTTTACAAATTTAATCTATTGCTGAGATTATTTGTTGGGAGGGTCTCCATTTTTTCCTTACTGTGTCTCAGGGTCAGTGAGTCCCTGGCACTCGAAGCCCTTTGAGGGCCAGCTGCTATGGTATGATAAACCAAGATGCCTCCTGAAAAACACTCATTGCTGCTGCTTCTGCCCTTTTGTACATACTGGAATTTGTTCTGAGATGTCCCTCGCTTCTCCTTTTATAAATATCCATCTTTCAGAGCTTCAAAACAGAAGATCATACTTAGCTCAAAGCTGGAGCTTGTGCTGGGGAATTGAGCTGCTTAAACCCAGGTCTCCATGTATATCTGAGTGCTTAATAAACATTGAAAATGCATAGCACCAAGCTCCACAATTCAAGTCATAGTAGAAATTACTTGAAAGACTTGTAGAATTTCTTTGCAAGTTTTTAACATATCTACATCTCCTTTACCAATTGTTATCTTCCTTCTTGTCCCGAAGAGGCAGCCCTACTCCTCTTAATGACCCATCCCACTGTGTCTTTATATCACCCCATCCACACCACAAATATCACAGCCATAGTTTCCCCTCTCTTCTCTGAATTTTAATCTCTCCTACCTTAGATCTATGCCATCTGCCTACAGACATGATCAAGAGTTTCTGTGCCCAAAATAAGCTTTCTTTCAACTGACCTGCTGCCGTATTTTGGCTACCTCTCTACCCTTCACAGCCCCACTTCACCTCCTATCCACAACTAAGCACACTATAATTTGTCTTCAGCTCCCCACCACTCCTCTGAATAAACAATGTACAAATCAAATGACCTCTTCTCAGTCTCCCACTTGTCCTCTTGGCAGCATGTCATTCTTTATAACAGTATCGGGCTGGCATGGTGGCTCACACCTATAATCCCAGCACTTTGGGAGGCCAAGGTGGACAGATCACCTGAGGTCAGGAGTTCAAGACCAGCCTGACCAATGTGGTGAAGCCCCGTCTCTATTAAAAATACAAAATTAGCCAGGCATTGTAGCACATGCCTGTAACCCCAGCTACTCAGGAGGCTGAGGCAGGAGAATCACTTGAACCCAGGAGGCAGAGGTTGCAGTGAGCCAAGATTGCACCATTGTACTCCAGCCTGGTCAACAAGAGTGAAACTCCATCTCAAAAATATAAACTAATTAATTAATTAATTAATAACAGTCTACTTCGTTAAGCTTCATTAAGAACTCAAGAGACTTCTGAGACACTGCCTTCTCCTAAGTCTCCTCCAACTTCTCTGCTCTTTCCTGGTTTCTTCCAGAGACTCCTCTTCCTCCACTTCAGTCTCAAACATTGGCCTTCTTTGCTTATTCTAAACTCTCTCTAGGCAAGATTCCTTTTCCCTAACCATCTTACTGAACATCTCATACTAGATGTCCCACAAGCATTTTAACTTAACACTTCCCAAGCCAAACTTATTTTCTTCCTCCTCACAGCCTCCCAACTTAACTCATTTCTCTTCTTGCATTCCTCAACTTAGTTAACAGAAACACCATTGATTGTCTCCCCAGTATTCATTCACTCTTTCTATAGTAATAAAAGTTTTATCTGTGTATACAGCTATCTAGTTAAAGACCACGTTTCCCACAATCCCTAGCAACTAGGTGTGATCATGTGACTAGGTAATGGCAAATGGGATGTGAGCATAAGTAGTGCAACTTCCAGGTCATGCCCTATTAGCCAATGTGTATTCTGTTGCCTACAACTAAGAATCTTGAACAATACAGTAATTGGTACCAAAAGTAAAGTTTATGAGTTTGGGGTTCTCAGTCATCAGCTCATCCCAATTGTCCACATTCTAATCCTAAGGGTCCTACTCTTCCCTATCAGTGCCTTTATCTTTACTTGAGAGACCTGGCAAGACTGAATTCAACCTATATTTTAATTCAGCAACTCACAGGATTAGACTCCAGATATGATTTTCAGCTACATAAATCCTTTACTATAAAAGATTTTTTAAATTCTTCTAGGATAATATTAGAAATTTCTTGGTATTGTTGTCATCTACTGAGCTGAGAATTTAAAGCTTGAGCCTGTTACTTTCTTTTTTTTTTTTTCTTTTGAGACGGAGTCTTGCTCTGTTGCCCAGGCTGGAGTGCAGTGGCGCAATCTCGGCTCACTGCAAGCTCCACCTCCCAGGTTCATGCCATTCTCCTGCCTCAGCCTCCCGAGTAGCTGGGACTGCAGGCGCCCACCACCACGCCTGGCTAATTTTTTATATTTTTAGTAGAGATGGGGTTTCACTGTGTTAGCCAGGATGGCCTTGATCTCCTGACCTCATGATCCACCTGCCTCAGCCTCCCAAAGTGCTGGGATTACAGGCGTGAGCCACTGCACCTGGCCTGTTACTTTCTTTCCTTACATTCTCCAGGGCACTTTGAAGAAGTAAGCCAAACCCACAGGTCTTATATTCATCATGTTCCCTCCATAATTATTTCTTGCAATGAATAGCCACTTACTCACAAAGATTAACACAGGTGATAATTTAAGTAACTCTTTTACCACAGGTAACAAGAACTATCAATATCTCATATTTTAATAATAACTGACAAGGCAGGCAGATCACCTGAGGTCAGGAGTTCAAGACCAGCCTGACCAACATGGTGAAACCCCATCTCTACTAAAAATGCAAAACTTAGCCAGGTGTGGTGGCGGGCACCCGTAATCCCAGCTACTCAGGAAGCTGAGGCAGGAAAATCACTTGAACCTGGGAGGCGGAGGTTGCAGTGAGCCAAGATCGTGCCACTGCACTCCAGCCTGGGCAAAAAGAACAAAATTCTGTCTCAAAAAATAATAATAATAGTAATAATAATTGTTATTGCCCTCAAAATCTAACCCAGTATGTATTCAATTCTAAATTTCCCATTTCCTTGTAGGTTTGTCTAGAGTGAGTGTGTAGGAAAAATGGTGTACATCAGTGTCTGGGTATCAAAGGAATAGACTACAGTAAAGAATGCTAGTTCCCTATCCATGCATACATTTTTCCCCTCCCTCCTTAGTATTATTTTTGGGATGGCAAAATAGACAGCTAAAAGCCACATTCCCAGGACCTCTAGCTGCTGAGCATGGTCACATGTCTAAGTTCTGCCCAGTGAAACAAAGTGGAAGAATCATTTGGGACATCTGGGAATCCTGCTTTGTGGGAATTGTCTCAGTAGGGTAGAATCCTTTTTTGCCCTTCTGTCTTTCCTCTTGTTTCTGGCCTGCATCACAGATGTGATGCCCAGTCCCCCAGCAGCCATCCTGGATTCTAAGGTGATCTTGAGAATGAAAATCATGGACTAGAAGAGTGGGATAGAAAGATAGAAGACGCCTGTGTTCCGGATGCCTGTGGATCCTCAATGCCTACTTTGACACTTCACTTACATGACAGATAAATTAAATCCTGTCTGATTTAATATTCTGTCATATGGGGGGTTTATGTCATATGCAGGCTCACTTAATCCTCGCTGATATATTGAATAAATGTTTTAAGGACAAGAAGATAGAGGAAACAGCATCTTAGTAATAAAAGAGGGCAGAACTAACAGCAAAGCTGCTCCAACCCGAGAATGTCCCTCACCTAAAGAATGACTTTTGTTTGACCTCTTAAAATTAATCCTGTAAAATGACTCCATTATATTATCCTCATCTTTCAGTTGAGATAATCCAGGCAATAAGTGTTTAAAGGAATACTTCTAGAATTATGCAACTATGTGGAAGAAACATAACCAAAATGCAGAGTACATTTGCCTATATATGTAGTCCCCATAGTCACCCAATGCAAGTATCAAAAATATAAGAAAAAAGACATAACAAAAACAGCTACTCCCCTCCTATATGACTAGGACCAGTTAAGATGATTTACCTCCTGCATCTGTTCGATAGGCTATTTTCTATGAAGACTTATCAGGCAAGTGGCTCTATGGTCATAAAAGGAAATGAGTGGATGACCCTGAAGTCATTTTAGTCTTCCTTCCACCTTCCTGAGAAGCTCTGGAAGTGCTACTCGGGTGGCTGAGGCAGGAGGATTGCTTGAGCCCAGGAGTTTGAGGTTACAGTGAGCTTCCACTGCTGGGGTTAAGTCTGAATGCATTTTTCAGATGCAGCAAAGTCAGCTTCTACAGTCTGGTTTATTCACCTGGGTGGATGCAAAGATTCAGCATCCCCCACTGCTTTAGAAGGTTTGAAAAGCTCAGTCATGCATATTTTAGAATACGTTTTGGACATCGTGAGTCCTAAAGGAATAGGCCATGGCGAATAATAGAAAACATCAAACAAACAAATGTTGCTTTCAAGACATACGTGTCAACAAGTCACTGATCATAAACTTTCTGCTAGAAATCAGCTTACTGCCACTACACAGAGGGTTCAGTTTTCTTTCTTGCAACTCCAAAGCAAAACTTTCCAAAAGAAGATCAGAAAAGCCCCCAGAAGATATTGAGGCTCTGGCAACAATTGATTGTTGATGAATCTGACCCTTCTGGGGAATCTTATAACCATACGCTCTCAGACACATTCTTCAGAGGAGCCAAAAAATGAGCAATCCTAAACTCTGACTTGAGGGCAGCTGTGTTGCCATGAAAAAAAATCTTTCTGTAGAAGAAAATCTTTTTGGCCATCAAACTAATTTGAATGCATGGTCTCCAACAGTCCACTCACTGAAAATCGATTCTGCATCGATCTTCTTCATGCCCTGGGCTTCCCACTCTCTGTGCTACTCACAGTTCCCTAATTGCACAGTAGTTGCTGAAAACCCTATGCCTTTGCCCATACTAGTCTCTCTGCCTGTGCCATCCTGCATCCCCCTTTCTTTACCTGGCTACTTCTTACTTGGCAACTGTGTTGTGGAACCAAACTGGGATCCACTTGCCCAGTGCGGCAAAGCCAGATACTGACATCAGGGTTGCAATGAGAGAAAATGAGGCATTTACTGCAGGGCACCAAGCAAGGAGAATCAGGCAGCTAATGCTTTAAGACCTCAATTCCCCAATGGCATTCAAGTAAGCGTTTTTAAAGGCAGAGAGGTGGAAGTGACGAGCAAAGTCATAAATCAATATATGAAGGCTATACTTTGGTTTGACCTAAAATGGCAGGTTACCTTGAAGTGGGGCAGCACACAGGTCATAACGTGGATTCAAAGGTTTTCAGATTTGCAGTTGGTTCAGGAGACGAAGGTTTGTCAGAAAATCTGGGATCAGTAGGAAGGAATATTAGTTCTGGCTGGGAGGCATGATCTCCTCCAGGTACCTCAAGAAGAAATTTAGAACAAAGAACTAACAGCAGTCAGGGTTGAGTCCTCAGTCCTCCCTTATCTGAGGTCTCCATGCCAGTGGATCCATTGGGTGGGGATCTGGGTTTCTGAAAAACAACTCAGGGACATATGTTAAGATGTTATCTTCAGTTTCTATAAGGGACAAAACAACTGTGATTCTAACTTTCTTGTCTATTGTTTTAAGCTACCATTACCTTCTTGGTTATCAAGTTGCTCATTTACTTCTTAGGACTAGCTAAGTGCCTGAAATTTTCCTTGAAGGAACTCAAGATTTTCCCCTATTTCCATGCTTAGGGGCCCACAGGCCCCTAAGAGGGGTCCCTGTTCTGTCTCAACTGCTTCAGGCATCACTTCCTTCAGGAAGTTTTCTCTGACTACCTCTGAATCAAGGCAATGAGCCTCCTCTGAGCCCCGTACACCCTGGGCATACCTACACCATGGCATTTATCACACTCTATTGCAATTCTCAGGTTATTGGAAGGCAAGTTCTGTTTTTTGAGATATGTGTTGTTATAGCACCTGTCAAAGTGCCATGCCCTGAAAAAATGTCAAGACAATAAATTGATCAATGCCTGGGTAGTAGGAGTATTGTACCGCAGGATGCCAACAGCACAGGGCTTGGCATCAGAAACCCTGCCTCCAAGGCATGACTTCATAATTTATTTGCCAAATTATTTAAAGTCTCAGACTCAGTGCCTCATCTGTAAAATGAGGATTATAATTCCATAGCATGGTTGCAGATTAAATAAAATAATATAAATAAAAGTACTTAGCTATATTTCTAATAACAACTTAATAGATGCTATTCAAATATCATGTGAGGCCAGGCATGGTGGCTCAAGCCTGTAATCCAAGCACTTTTGAAGACCAAGGTGGGCAGATCACCTGAGATCAGGAGTTCTAGACCAGCCTAGCCAACATGGTGAAACCCCATCTCTACTAAAAATACAAAAATTAGCTAGGCATGGGGGCGTGTGCCTGTAATCTCAGCTATTGGGAGGCTAAGGCAAGACAATCGCTTGAACCTGGGAGGCGGAGGTTGCAGTGAGCCGAAATCACACCACTGCACTACAGCCTGGGCTCAAAAACAAATAAACCATATATATATATATATAATTCGAGCATTAGTATTAACATCAACATACAATTTGCCCCTTTCTGCTGTGAAAAAGGACTTGGTGGCAATACAGGTAAGAGGAGATGCTTCCTATTTATTCTAAACTTTACTCAGTCTAAAGGAAAAGATTCTTCAGTTTGACTCCTTCTTGTACTTTGTTACTGACTGAGTTCCCCATGCCACCTACATGCTGCCCACCTTACTGTTTCTTATCCACAATTACAATTCCCAAAGGAAGAGAGGGCTCAGATTCCCCATTTGTAAAATAAGTCAGACTAGACTACCATTCATCTGCCTTTAATTTCTAATCTGTACACTTCAAGGTTCATATGGGCTAAGTCCTTATGTGTTCTTTACTGTATCCCCAACACCTAGAAGAGTGTTGGGCACACAGTAGGTCCTTAAAAAATACTTCTTGAGGCCGGGCGTGGTGGCTCACGCCTGTAATCCCAGCGCTTTGGGAGGCCGAGGCGGCGGATCACGAGGTCAGGAGATCGAGACCATCCTGGCTAACACAGTGAAACCCCGTCTCTACTAAAAATACAAAAAAATTAGCCAGGCCTGGTGGCAGGCGACTGTAGTCCCAGCTACTCCAGAGGCTGAGGCAGGAGAATGGCGTGAACCCGGGAGGCAGAGCTTGCAGTGAGCCGAGATGGTGCCACTGCACTCCAGCCTGGGTGACAGAGCAAGACTCCGTCTCAAAAAAAGAAAAATTCTTGAATGAATACACGCATGAATAGATGAACTAATAATGCTTAGAATACGATGATGACCATATTTGTTAATATCTTCCATAAATTATTTACAGCACTCTGGAATAAATAATTTGACCATATCAAAGACTACAAACTTTCATTTATAAGATGAATAAGTTATGTAGATTTAATGTAAGACATGATGACTAGAATTAATAATACTGTATGGTATACTTAAAATTTTCTGAGTAGATCTTAAGCATTCTCTTCACACACAGCAAAACAGCAATTGTGTGAGGTGTTGTTAATTAGCTTGATTGTGGTGATCGTTTCACAATGTATGCATATATCAAATCATCACATTGTACACCTTAAACATACAATTTTTACTTGTAAATTTTACCTTAATAAAGCTAGCTAGAGGGGAAAAATCATTTGCATATACTTTAAATCAGGATCCCGGCAGTAATGGCTCTCCAAAAGCAGTAGCAGTTGTTCCATTTGTTCTGTTAAACTGAGGACAAAATGGTGTTTGGGCTGAAATGAACCAAGTGAATGTCGAGGGTCTTCTCACTATAAGGCACCACCACCTTTGCCAAGTTGCAGAGATAGGGTCAACACCTGTTCCCTCAACCTCCTATTCTGTTCCCACAGATGACCTAACTGCCCACAACCATCGTGTTTATGATAGTGAGATAGTTGAGAGCACCAGACATTAACTGCTTCCAAAAAACAGTCCACAGTGGGATTTTCTGGGATTATATATAGCCTGCTTCCCCAAACAACCCAGATTTGAGAACAAAGGAAGAGGCCCAGTCCTCCCACAGCAGGCAGGAGAAACAGAAAGTAGACCTCCCCCTCCTCTCCCTTCCCTTGAGATAGGAGGAAATTTTGAACTCTAGTCTCTGCCTCCAATTATCAGGGTGTTCCACAGTCTTAGCCTTGCAATTTAAGAGTCTTTTCTGTTTTAGATTTCTCAAGCCCTGGGAAACGAGTTCAAAAACAGTTGTATAGTGTTGCACAATGCCATTTTCCTCACCTTATATAAAAGAGTTAGGATCAGGCCAGGTGCGGTAGCTCACGCCTGTAATCCCAGCACTTTTGGAGGCCGAGGAGGGCGGATCACCTGAGGTCAGGAGTTCAAGACCAGCCTGGCCAACATGGTGAAACCTGTCTCTACTAAAAATACAAAATACAAAAATTAGCCGGGCATGGTGGTGTGTACTTGTAATCTCAGCTACTTAGAAGGCTGATGCAGGAGAATCGCTTGAACCCAGGAGGCAGAGGTTGTGGTGAGCCGAGATCACGCCATTGCACTCCAGCCTGGGCAACAAGAGTGAAACTCCATCAAAAACAAAAAAAAAGAGTTAGGATCTCTGAATCCAAGAGGAAAATGAGTATAGTAACGGGCTTCGGCTGTGTAGCCAACCTCATATTAGAGTCTGCATTCATTTCCACTCCACCCAGAAGGGGCAGGTGTATTTAAGCGGCAGGTGATTGTGTTGGAGGAACAAAGTGCTTTAAGGCACAATACTTACATGAAAGACTATGTAAACCCAAGTCCAGAGTCATTACCTCTGTTGCTCCCTTTCCTCTGCTAAAAACTTGTAAAAGGCATTTATACCATCTGAGTCATGAACCCATTCCTGTGTACCAATTCATTTCCCTGAATGAGTCTTAATCAGTCATACTTTGAAGGGAGTAGTCAAGTCGTTAGATCTGACTAATGAACCTTTCCAAATCATGCACACCATTTACTGTAAACCACGCTAGTCCCACACAATGAAATTACATGTCATTTTATCTCCCAAGAAGCAGGGAGCTTGAATAGATGGGATACGGCTCTGAAGCACTCACTTAAACGTTGACCCTATAATCTTGGTGTCTAGTTAACATTCAGAAAAGAGAATAGCCATGCAAGTCATTGAAGGCTGCCCAGTAGGTTGGAAACTGGTAGGTGTTGAACACAGAGTACATGATTTCACACCTTTAACTGCAATAATTTACATTTTTGCAATGTTGTGACCACTGTGCATAAATGAAATACTTCATCTAATGGTTTCTCAGCTACCAAGAACATAGGCAAAACTCTGCCTTCATTTCAGAAACATGTCTCATAGTACATGCTACACAAAATTCATTCTCATCTAAGGGCAAAGCCATGGATCTGTGGGGCACTGTGGGGCACACAAAGTTGGGTCCACCATGGTTCCTTCTCTTTTGGAACCCACTTTCTAGTGGGAGATAGACATAATATAAGGCATAGCAGAGTAAGGGCCTATTGGAGAAATTATTTCTGTGGCAGACCAGAGGATGAGGACCTTAATTTGAATTAGCAGATTAGGGAAGGTGACTGTGAGGAAAAGAACCTGAAGAATAAGAAGGATTTCAGGTGGGGGAGAATGAGGATGATGGCATTCCAGCATGATGGAATAACAGCAATGATAGCATGAAGGCATGAAGCCCTCACCAACACAGAAACTCTATAATTACATAAGCTCCTAGGTCCCACTTACGTTTCTTGCCTACACAATGCTCAGCCCACAGGGGTCTTGAGAGAAGCATAATACTTCCTCTTTTTCTGTACTCTAAAGATACATGAAGAATCGCCAGCAACCCTTTACAACAGTCATAGTCAGAAGAAGCTATTCAGTGTCTGTATCGGTCCACCTCCTTGGCCACTGGTTCTTGGTTTCCAATCCATTCTGCACACTGAAACCTTATTAATCTTCCCGAAAGCTGCATTTCTCCAGACAAGAAGAGCTCATAGAGAGGAAGAACTTATAATACTCTTCTGGGCATTCTAATGTTCACCAAATAAAGCCCAAACTCTTCAACGAGGACCTGAAATTTCTCCATGATCTGGTTTCAATCGTCCTTTCTGTCTTAATTTTCCGCTACTCTGCATGTAAGCAATGATGGCATCTTATCACTAGGAAACTACATGGAACCCAGGAATTAAAAAAAGGAGAAAACTCTGTAAGAATTAGTCTGAGACAAGGAAGGAGGTGATACTGCTTCCAGCAACAAGACTTCAGATGGTGGGTAAGAGAGAGGGAGGAGAGAGCGAAACTTGCTAGGAAAGAGCTGCCGATGAGAGAAAAAAATTGTTATATCTCAGTGAAAATTGTATTTCAAATTTGAACTTTATAAAGACAAATCAAAATAAAACTTTAATAAGATTTTAACTCACACAATATTTGATCTCGTCAACCTCTTCCACGATTATTTAAAACAATCATTTATTTGTTCAGCAAATATTTACTGAGTGTCCACACTGTTCCAGACATTGCTCAAAGTCCTTGGGGATATAGCTGTGAACATGATGGATGTGGACAGCCGTGTAGAGTTCAGTAAAAACTAAAATTATGATACTAAAATGAAGTGGTTAGGCCAGAAGATCTGTGTATGATGTGCATTCACACACCCACACTCCAATGCAACAAAGCAGTGACTCTACGTAATTAGATAAGGCAATAAAAGACAGACTCTCCTATGTTCCATTGGCAGATTGCCCACCTACCAGGTTTTGCTTATCCTTCTGAACCCAGTGATATCTCTAAAGAATGTTAAAATTTCAATTAGGGATGACTTGATCTATCTCTTTATTAATATCCCTGTTCCTTCTCTTTTAACAAATTATTTTCAATTTTTTTCTAAGATATTTTCAATTGCACCTTTGAACAAGAGAAACATGCCCTGCCTCCATGAGAATTTCAGCTTTTCAGAAACTGAGTGTCTCAGTTAATATCTGTTTGGTTGACAATAAAAATCAACTTGAGCTAGCTTATTTGGAAGGAGGAACTTATTCTAAAATCACAGTGGTAATTCACAAAACCCATGAAGGCAGCCAAGCTTGAGAAAATGACCTGGAAAGCCCCTGGGAACCCAGACAGTGTTCCCTCTCTGTTCTTCCTTGTTTCTCTCAGTGCATCTGCTTCTTTCTTCTCTTTTCACACCATCTTTCTGTGAATGCTCTCCCACTGCTTGGGTTTTCACCATTTCAGTTCCAGCTGTAAAGAGCTACTAGCCATCACTGAATCCTAGCATCAAATTCCTGGGCATGAGAATCTAATTGGCTCACTTTAGGTTTACTCTGCTCCAACCAACGGTGACAGGGCCAAACATGTCCACCAAGGTCTGTCACTATGAGAAGCATTGTCATCCAAAATGTGTCTCCCATACCAGGAAAATGTGTACAGAGATTCCACAGCTACCTCCCACTGAGAAATGTATCTTTCAAAATGAAGTTATAGGATGGGCAGTGGCTCACACCTGTAATTCCAGCACTTTGGGAGTCCAAGGCAGGCGGATCACCTGAGGTCAGGAGTTTGAGACCAGCCTGAGCAACATGGCGAAACCCCCATCTCTACTAAAAATACAAAAATTAGTCAGGTGTGGTGGCGCATGCCCGTGATCCCAGGGAGGCTGAGGCAGGAGAATCACTTGAACCCAGGAGGCGAAGATTGCAGTGAGCTGAGATCACACCACTGCACTCCAGCCTGGGCAGCAGAGCGAGACTCTGTCTCAAAAAAAAAAAAAAAAAAAAAAAAAAAAAAGAAGAAGAAGAAAATAGGTTTGTCCACACATGAACCTAAAAATGAACCTAAAAGAGTTTTCCTCCAAGGGTCTCCAGAACACATTTTGAGAACTGTTACATTAAAAATTGCCTACCATCAGCATGTAAGAAAATACTTAAACAAAGCATCTTGATTTTATAGGAGTAACTTCTTTCTGCCTCCATATTAACTAACTCAACCAGTTTAGCTTGCTACATTAATCATATTATTTTGATTAATCTGATTAATCTATGAATCAATTGAATTTGATAAATTGGATTGATAAATAGTATATAGTAGTTATTGAAAAGCTTTGCAGAAGGATAGATCTGAAATGAATACTTGGCTCCTCCACAAATTAGCTACATGACCTCAGGCAAGTCCTTTAAGCATCAGTGTCAGCGTCCCCATTTTTCAATAGGCATAATAATGATACTTACTCACGGGGTATGAGGGTTTCATGGAACACTATAATAAAATGCTTAGCATAATGCCTGATATAGTGAGTGTTCAAAATGTCAGCTGTTTTTATTTTTTGTTACTTAGCATATCTGTGCTCACAGCCACTAAAGATGAATCTTTTCTTACGCTTGAAGAATTAGTCCTACAAGTAATGACTTATGTTTTGTATCCTAAGTGTCCCTACCCCACAGGAAAATGTGCTAAGTAACTACGCCACTAAGACAGTTACTGGGCACACAAGTGTTCTGGGTGCAGCTTGAGAAGGAAATCTCAGGTTACCCTGAGTCCATGTGGTGGTTTAGAAAGTGATTGGTCTCACTGAGAGGTTATGGAGAATGCCTTTAAATGTGTCTGGCTGGAAAAATTAAAATATATTTGGACCTAATTATAATAATATTAGATCTATTCCCAAACTTTTTTTTTTTTTTTTGAGAGACGGAGTCTTGCTCTGTCACCCAGACTAGAGTTCAGTGGTGCGATCTCAGTTCACTGCAACCTCCACCTCCCAGGTTCAGGTGATTCTCCTGCCTCAGCTTCCCAAGTAGCTGAGACTACAGGTGTGAGCCACCACGCCCAGCTCTTTTTGTATTTTTTAGTAGAGATGGGGTTTCACTATATGTTGGCCAGGCTGGTCTCGAATGCCTGACCTCAGGTGATTCGCCCGCCTTGGTCTCCCAAAGTGCTGGGATTACAGGCGTGAGCCATCGCACTTGGCCCATTCCCAAACTTTTATTTTGTTCCTTAAAGATTTGTTTCTTGAAGCCTTAAGTGAAATTTCCCTTTTGGTAAAAAAAAAAAAAAAAAAAAAAGCTTTCTAATTGGTTACTAATAAATCCAGTTCTATGCTATTAAATTTCATCTTTGTCTGTTCCAAATTGACAGAAAATGAGGAAATCATCAAGACATGGATTAAAATTTCTTGTGTAGCCCTGGAGGTCCCATCAATTCTCACATAAAATAAGAAGTATTCGAGAAAATGGAACCCTGACCACTGCTCTCTGGCTTACCTATGACTATCTTTACCCTCATTTCATATATTTTGCTGAGAATACAAAATACATAAGCTATTTAATTTTCTTTATCCAATGCCAGTATATTCTTATAAAATGAAACCAAAAAGCATTTCCTTAAAGCACATGCTGGGTGGCCACATATAACAAGTCTTTTATAAGAGGCAATATGTTTGCGTAAGTGAGAAGGCGGAAAGAGAAGACATCATCTTATGTGGCCACAGTAAGTTTTACACAGATCCTACTGCCTCTATATCCTGCCAAAGCTTGATCAAGCGTCTGAGTCCTAACAAGCCATGATAAAGAGCCAGGAAATAACCCAGGTATTTGGCAAGTTGTGATCACTCAATTTGAAGACTATTTTTTTCTTCAGTTATTTCTCACTCTAAAGCTCTTTCCCATAAGCTTCATAGGAAATATTTAAATTCCTCACGACTCTAAAATATTTAAAATAAACAACTAAAATCCAGTACCTTTGCTTAACTTTACTGAGAGAATGCAACAAAACATCAATCCAAAATTATATAAATCAGAACAACATTTTGAAAAAAATTGTAATCAGCAGCCTAACAAAGTACACACTGATAAGCCAATTAAAACGTTCATGTGTAGCTCAAATAATAAAATGTTTATTTATGATTTTTATCTTTTTCATAAAGGCAAAAGATTCACATTTTTGTTAGATGATTTTCACAATGGGAAGTCCACAACTTGTAGCTTCTCCTGGGTCAGTGATTTGGCAGGATATAGGTCTAGAGTTGGCCACAAATCTTTGTCACCCAAGCAAGTTTGGCCACAGTTAAAACACCAGGACTCTGCTCATTTTATATATTTTAAAATACAGAAAAAGTTGGGGACCCTTAGCACATCAGGATTCATTACTGAGCAGAACCATGAAGTATTTCAGCATCTTCTTTCCCTGCTTCCCAACGATAGCACTAACCCTAGTGTTCCATGAGGACCTAAATACTAATCAATCAAATGGAATGATAAATTGACCACAAGAAACATTACAGTTTCTACAGGATGGTGTTGTATAATGTGGAGAAAGAGAGAATGGGATTTTTTAAAAATTCTTAAACATTTTATTTCTGGTCTGCACCAAAAATAAAGACAAGGAGAATCCTTCCAAGATCATGTCATAAAGTAATGAAAATTCTCTATTTTTTCCACTCAACTCTACTCTTTTGCCACAGTTTCTACAAACTTTATAATCTACTTCAGCACCCACACTTTGAACAAATTAATATAAGGAGGATTCTGGAGGATGAAGTTTAGAAATGGGCAAAATAAGAAGAGTTTTCATTTTTCTGTGGAAATAGAAAAAATAACTAGAAAAAGTTTATTAAAATGTTTTAGTTATTTTTAAGCTTCTTGTCTGTAGAAACTATCCAATTTGCAAAGAAACATTATCCGTAGATCCTTGTAACTAGAACACATTTTTTACAATCATGATTTTAAAATAATTATGTTATCATTACTATGAACTATTTTTTGAACACTAGAAGTACTCCTGATGTATTTCTTATCAGTGGCTTTACCATATTATTTTAACAAAACAAATTTAAAAAGCAAGCCGTAAGATCACTGGACAAGATTAGATGATAAGTTTCCATTTCTAGAAATGGCAGAGTAGCTCATATTACACCAATCCTCCCAAAGTAACAATTATAAACCCTGGAAAACACACACACACACACACACACACACACACACACACAAATCTGAAGCCATTTGAGAGTGTCTAAAAGCAGGCAAAACTAGAGGTGGTCAATATTTAGAGAAGGATGGCCAGGCTCAATGTGCTTATAACCCCAGTGCATTGGAAGGCCAAGACACTAGGATGGCTTGAGGTCAGAATTTTGAGACCAGCCTGGGAAACGTAGAAAGACCCCATCTCTCCAAAAAATATATAAAAATAAAAATATTATCCAGGCATGGTGGCATGTACCTGTAGTCCTAGCTACTTGGGAGGCTGAGGCAGGAGGATCACTTGAGCCCAGGAGTTGAAGATTACATAGAGCTATGATCATGCCACTGTGCTTCCAGCCTGGGCAACAGGGTGAGACTCTGTCTGAAAAAAAAAACAAAAACAAAAAACAAACCAACAAACAAACAAAAAACCCACTGGATATTTGCCAATTTTTTCTATTTCTTTGTCTGAGAGTACTCCCAATTGGTCCCACCAAAAGGTGGCTAAAACTTGCACAGAAACCTTGCTAGCTAAGAAATCGGAAGACAAAATTCAAAGCAATAACAGCAGAGAAGTGAAAGGAGAAATAGTGGAAAGGAAATAGCCGCAGAAGGGAGACTCAAATTCTACATATAAACTCTGCCCAAATCTCTGGCCAGCCTCTAAAATATACATATGTTGGATAGATACCAAGAAATCTAGCTCGAGCTAAAAGAACTAAACAGATTTCAGTTGCCACACCACAGAGGAAAAGAATTTAGAAACTGAAATCAACTAGGTTAATTGCCTGCTAAAACACAAAATCAATACTCTTTAGAGTAACATAAGAGAATGCAGAGTCTCTATATCATTCACAATATGCACAACATGATCCAAAATTACAAGACATAAGAAAAAATGGGAAAATATGACTCATATACAAGAAAAATGACAATCAATGGAGACTCCTAAGATGATTTATATGTTGGAATTAAGAAACAAAAGTTTTAAAACAGCCATTATAATTACGCTCAAATATATAAAGGAAATATACTCATAACAAATGAGCAGAAAGAAAATCACAACAGAGAAATAGAAAAGAACCAAATGAAAATACTAGAATTACAAAATATAATATCTGCAATTTTAAAAACTCACTGATGGGCTTAACAATGAATTGGAAATGACAAAGGAAAGGGTCAGTAAATGTGAAGATAGATCAAAAGAATTACCCAATCTAAAAACAGAAAAGTCTGGGGGTGGTGGCTCATGCCTGTAATCCCAACACTTTGGGAGGCCGAGGCGGGCAGATCACCTGTGGTCAGGAGTTCAAGACCAGCCTGGCCAACATGGTGAAACCCCGTCTCTGCTAAAAATACAAAATTAGCCGGGCATGGTGGTGAGTGCCTGTAATTCCAGCTACTCTGGAGGCTGAGACAGGAGAATCGCTTGAACCCGGGAGGCGGAGGTTGCAGTCAGCCGAGATTGTGCCACTAGACTCCAGCCTGGGCAACAAGAATGAAACTCTGTCTCAGAAATAAATTAAAAATATAAATAAAAACAGAAAAAAAATTGAAAAAGAGGAGAGCCTCCAGGACTTGTGAGAAAGCAAAGAATAACATGTATAACATACACGTAATTATAGTCCCAGAGGAAGAGAAAAGAGAAGGAATGGGACACAAAAAATTTCTGAAGAAATAATGAGAGGAAGATTACCAAACTTGCTAAAGGACATACATTTAAAGATTCAGTAAACCCCAAGCAGGATAAATACAAAGAAAACTATACCTATGTACATCTTACCCAAACTGTTGAAACCCAAAGACAAAAAAAAAAATCTTGGAAGCATCAGAGTAAAGCACTCATTATATACAGGAAAACAATACAGATGATAGCTGATTTCTCATTAGGAAAAAAAAAAAAAAGAAGCCAGAAGAGAGTAAAAAAAAAATTTTTTTTTTTTTGAGACAGAGTTTCGCTCTTGTCACCCAGCCTGGGGTGCAATGGCTTGATCTCGGCTCACTGCAACCTCCACCTCCCAGGTTCAAGTGATTCTCCTGCCTCAGCCTCCTGAATAGCTGGGATTACAGGCACACACCACCACGCCCAGCTAATTTTGTATTTTTAGTAGAGACAGGATTTCACCGTGTTGGCCAGGCTGGTCTCAAACACCTGACCTCAGGTGATCTGCCCGCCTCTGCCTCCCAAAGTGCTAGAATTACAGGTGTGAGCCACTGTGTCCGGCCAAGAGTAAAATATTTTTAAGGTGCAAAAGGAAAAATGGTAAAACCTAGAGCTAGGATTCTATATCTAGTAAAAATATCCTTCAAGACTGAAGGCAGAATAAAGACGTTTTCTTATAAATGAAAACTAACAATGTTTGCTGTCTGCACCACAAGAAATGCTTAAGAAAGTTTTTCAGGCTAACAGGAAATGATAGCAGATGGAAATTTGGATTTCCCAAAACATTCTTTACAAATGGTAACTAGATGGGTAAATATAAAAAACAATATTTATTATTTTTCTCTAAAATACGTATCACTGTTGAAAGTAAAAATTATAGCATCATAATTGAGGGGTTTAAATCATGTGTATATGGAATATATATAACACCTGTAGTATAAAGGAGGAAGTTGATGGTAAAGCACAGATGGCCAGTGAAAGCGAAACTCCCTGGCAGACTTCATTTTTTATGTATAACTTACATTTAGTAAAGTGCAAAGATCTAAGTGTGCACTTGATGAATTTATGCGCATAACCACCACCGAGATCAAGATTTAAAATATTCTGACTCCCCCAAAACGTTCCCTTGTGTCCCTTCCCATTTGATGCCACTCATCTCGCCTCTATCACCATAGATTAGTGTTACCTGTAGACACCCATTTTCTCCATGTTTCCTTTTCCCACTTCTCAGTCCTCTGTTTTCCCTTGTTGCCTTTAGGGCTGTATTGGCACCTCTGTCAAAGGCTCATTAGAGGGATATGTATATCTATTCCTCAGAGCTACATAGATAAATTAATTTCTAAAACAAATTAATTTCTATTCCTCAGAGCTACATAGATAAATTAATTTCTAAAACAAGAGGCATGGAGCCGAGGAAGACAAAAGGGAGTATGAGTAGAAGAACGGGATTCTTCCCTGAACATGCCCTGCTTACTAGCTACATGGAATGAAAACAAGCACCACTTATGTTTCATCGAAACTCCACTTTCTCCAACAAGCCTGTAAAAGCCATGGAGTCTGCCTGTCATGATCCAGCAGGCAGGACTTCTGGTCCCAACTTTCTCAGATTTTACAGCCTCTGTAAGTGTGCTTCAAAGCTCTTCCCCAGGGCTGTTCCAGCAGCACCGAGTGCCCACAGCAGCCAAAGGCACCCTCACATCAAGTCCCAGAACTTGATAATGATGATGTTGGCCTTGAGTGGAGGGTTGCTGATTAGGAGACAGTAGGTGGGGGAATGCAGCAAGCTCTGAACACAAGTTAATTAATGACCACAGTGTGTGCAGTTAATGCTAACATCAAAAGCCAGCAGCATGAAGGGCTCTTTGATCTCCAGTTCAGTACCCTTTCAAGTTGTCCCCTTTATCTTGCCCAGAAAGTTCTTGCTTCTTTCTGCCTTGATTTTTAGGAAGAATTTTAATAAGAATGACCTCCAGCCCCATCCACATACCCCGTGGCAAGCAGGAAATGGGCTAGAGCAGCATCCTGAATACACAGTTAGATCCCTGCATCTCATTGTTACCAAAAGGCTCCAGTTCCCAGTGACATAAAGTGGAATCACAGCTGTCCTTTTAAAAAAAGCTTGTGCACAGGAAACCTGTATAAGAAGGTTCTCAGCAGCATTCTTGATAGGAGTCAAAAGCTAGAAACAGCTAAAATGTCCAGCAACAATAGAATGAATACATTGCTGGGTGTTCTAACAATGGAATAATATATATCCATGAAAATGGACATGACACAGCTCCATGTGACCACATAGATGTATTTAACAGGCATAATAATGGATGAAAGAAGCCAGGAGTAAAATAATAAATGCTACATAATCTCATTTATATAAATTTAAAAACATGCAAGACTAAATTATAATGTTTCTAGGGTGAATAGTTAGGCAGCAAAAGCATAAAAGAGAAGCAAAGAAACAATTACATTAAAATCAGGGAGGACAAGGGCTTCACTCCTTCAGAAGAAACTAAAAGACTTTCTGTGAAAAAAAATTAATGATACCCAATGTTAGCAAAGATGTAGGAAAAGAGGCATTCTTGTACAATTCTAGTGGGAGGGTGAATTGGTACATCATTTCCATTACTTTTGTAACCTAACTATTCACCTAGAAACACTGTAATTTAGCCTTGAGTGTTTTGAAATTTATATAAATGGGCTCATACAGCAAGTTGGCAATGTGAATTAAATGTCTTATAAAAATGCACGCTGGTTGATCCACGAATTTCCTTTTGATCTCAAGGAAGTTATCAGCTGGGTACTTCAAGATCTATACACAAACCTGTTCATTTCAACATTATTTATAAAAATGGTTTCTAGTAGCACACCCAGATATTTGGATCTTACCAAATACCTTGCAGCAGAGCTATATGGAGATGCAAATATTTTCACCAAATATTATTGAAAACATTTCTCATGTGGTCCATTTTTAATTATAGAAAGCATAAATACATATTTAAATGTGTTGTAGGATATTTCACAAAATGTTAACATGACCCTGGGCAAGGAAAAATCATGGGTGATATATTTTTCATCAATAGTCTGTATTTTATGTATTTTTTCCCAAAAATGGACATGCATTTTAACTGTATAAAAAATTCAAGGCCGGGCACAGTGGCTCATGACTGTAATCCCAGCACTTTGGGAGGCTGAGGGGGGTGGATCACCTGAGGTCAGGACTTCGAGACCAGCCTGGCCAACATGGTGAAACCCCATCTCTACCAAAAATACAAAATTAGCCGGACATGGTGGTGCGTGCCTGTAAACCCAGCTACTCAGGAGGCTGAGGGAGAAGAATCATTTGGACCCAGGAGGTGGAGGTTGCAGTGAGTCGAGATCATGCCATTGCACTCCAGCCTGGGCAAAAAGCGAATCTCCACTTTAAAAAAATAATAATAAATATAAATAAATACATACATACATACACATCTTTAAATGGAAGAAAAAGTAAAATCGGGGCAGAGTGGGGGTGTGACAGGGAAGGGGTGTATGGAGGAGGGATGTGTTCTGGGAGCTAGAGATGCTCTATTCTTGATCAGAATGATAGTCATCAGGGTGTTCCCTTCATTCTGCTGTACATTTATTCTCTAATCTTTTCAGTCACTCTACCATATTTCACAACTTTTAAAAAGGGGAGGGGGTTAAAAAAAGAAAAGTCTGAGAATTTTAACACAAGCTAGGGGAAACTGTAGTTTCAAAGAAAAAAAAAAAAAAGGAAGAAGAAGAAAAGCCTGTTCAGTTGCTGCAATGCCTAATAAAGCTGCAAATACAGCCCAAACCCACAGGCTGTCAGATTCACAAAGTGTGAATGTAATGTAGGCAGGGGAGATGAAGCATTGAGTTATGTTTCTCACTCACACACACACACACACACACACACACACACATGAAAATCTGTCCTTCTGGCCGCCCACCCTTCACCTAATCAGCACCAGTCTAGGCTGCTCAGTGGTGTGTATTCTCACCAAGGTGCTGCCCAGAAGATCCACCTTGCTCAGGGAAGCGTAGTTGGTCCTGTTCCCTTTCACTTTTGCTGGTGCCAGAAATCCTGACAGAAGCAACAGTCTCTATGGTGCCAGAAGAGGAGGCTGTAGCGCTGCCTGGAGACAAACCCTTGCAGAATATATGCTTCCAATTGGAACATGTTGCTTTTAGAGCCTCAGGGCCCTGCAAGGGCAGGATGTGCCGCTCTGATTCCCAGTGTGTGACAGCAGGGGATTCCTCCCAGTTATTCTCAGAGTCAGGCTGTGGTTTGTACTTTCTTTTTTTTTTAGAGACGGAGTCTCGCTCTGTTGCCCAGGCTGGAGTGGTGCAGTGGTGCGATCTCGGCTCACTGCAACCTCCGCCTCCCGGTTTCAAGTAATTCTCCTGCCTCAGCCTCCTGAGTAGCTGGGACTACAGGCACACGCCGCCATGCCCGGCTAGTTTCTCTTGTCTTTTAGTAGAGAGGGGGTTTCACCATGTTGCTCAGGCTGGTCTCAAAACCCTGAGCTCAGGCAATCCGCCCACCTCGGCCTCCCAAAGTGCTAGGATTAGAGGTGTGAGCCACTGCACCCGGCCGGTTTGTACTTTCTATCAGATCATTCAACTAAACTTTGTGACACCGCAGATAAAACAAAGCAGATTAATGTCGCTGATCCAAAGAGCCAGGTTCTGCTGCACTTGGACCCAATGGGACCCGAAGAGGCTTCGGCTCTCCAGCAAAGATTGGGGGAGCCAGGTTTGTCCTCACCCGTAGTTCAGGGATGGTGTTGGGTAATTTTGATAAAGTACCCCTTCCTCATAGAAGCAAAAACTCCTTTCTGTTATTTTTTCTTTTAACTTCCAAATTAAAGACACCAACATGTTGTAACAAACAACATAGAACATCCTTTAATCCAGTAAGGGGCACTGCCAACCATGAAGAAGGTCAGTTCACAAGCAGACACATAGGGCATAGACATGGCCTTCCCGTTGCAATCTTGGTTCCACCTCTCATGGTACCTCACGCTCTCTGTCTTGTGTTGTAACTATCTGTGCACTTACCATTGACTTTATCTCCTCCATTACTGGGCTGCAGGCTCCCAGAGGACATAATCCGTGTACAATGGATTTACCTTTGTTTCCTCCCTGCCTGGCATAATGCCTTGTAGTCAGTAGCTCCTCCAAATGTTTGTAGAGAAGAAGAAAGGGAATTAGCATGCCTTAATCTCTAAGCTGTACCAGTTACTATACATATGCTTAATGTATATGATCATATTTAACTCGTAAAACCAGCCTCCAAGGTGTTATTATTACCATTTTATAGAAATGGTAAAGAAACGGAGGCTCAAAAAAGTTAGATGCCTGCTTAAGATCACTGAGCCAGTTAGAGTGAGAGATGGACTTGAGTCTAGAACTGTCCCTCTGCCAAATTCCTGCTCTTATTTCTTCATTAACGAGTGAATGAATGGGGGTTAATGATACCTGTGCGATGAGTCATCCCCAGACCCCCAGGTGCTACTAACACTGCTTCCCAACCCTCGCCTGGGGTTGGCAGGGCTTTTTTAATTCACTGGATAGTCCCTAACAGGGCTGGCATTAACCCATAGACAATAGAGAAGTGGCCTTGGCATTAGTTTGTGAGATATTCTCTCTGCTCAGATAACCTCCAGGGCAAAAGTGAATGCCACTGCGTGCTTCCTCTGTCCTTAAGCATGACCACACCCATAAGGGCGAAGCAGACTCCTGAACTCACCCAAGCTTTTTCCTTAGAATGTCTTCCCCGTCATCTGCCTGACAAATGCCTGATCATCCTTCAGGATGCCTTCCTCAGCTCCCTCAGGCAGAGCTACTCACTCATTCTTCAGCTACTGCAAACTGAGTAGGGACTACACATTGTGGGGTCTAAAGTAATCAAAAGTCTCTACCCTTCAGGAACAGCAAGCCAAACAGGGAAGAAAAGAGACCAGCTGCAGTGGCTCACACCTGTAATCCCAGCACTTTGAGAGGCTGATGTGGGTGGATCACTTGAGGTCAGAAGTTTGAGACCAGCCTGGCCAACATGGTGAAACCCCGTCTCTACTAAAAATACAAAAATTAGCCGGGTGCGGTGGCGTGTGCCTGTAATCCCAGCTACTCAGGAGGCTGAGGCAGCAGAATCGCTTGAACCCAGGAGGTGGAGGTTGCAGTGAGCTGAGACTGAGCAGTGCACTCCAGCATGGGTGACAGAACAAGACTCTGTCTCAAAAAAAAAAAAATTAAATTAAATTATATATATATATATATCCCTTTTAAATAAGTTTAAATAAAAAGAGAGTTTATTGGAAAAATACATGGAAATTTCCTAGAACTCTAAATTGGGCAACACAGCCAGGCCTCAAGAGAGACAAGAACCAGGTACAGATATTAGGAACCAAAGCTTATTTTTGTTCTCTCTCTCTCCACATGTTCTTTCATCTCTGCTTCTGTCTTCTCTCTCTTCTCTCTCACTCTGAAAATACTAGCATCCTCTCTTCATTTGCACATGCATGAGCCAAACATAGATGCCCACATCTGATTTGTTTTTCCAAAATAAACAAAAAATTATAGTGACAATGAAATTTTTTTGACATTTTTGAAAATCCCTTTAGTGGCTTGCTTAATAAATGACAATTGAATCCCTACATCTGCTTCTACATTCAATCTGTTGTGATATACTATTTCAGTTGAAGTATATAAAGAAAATTCAGTCTCACAGAGAAATGTAGCTTAAAAAGAGTAAAGTATTTGTGGATAATTTTTGACAATACACCAAAACTCAACATGTGGTAGTTTCTTAAAGTTTAATTGCAATGTGGAATCTGAATTCATATAAAAGAAATTGTCTTTTTTACCATAACATTAAAATCCGCTAGTCTGTCTTGCACTTTGATTAGATCTTTAACCTGCACATTTGTCATTCATAAAATATTGGTTCACTGAGTTATACATCTCATCTTCCTAATGTTGACACATTTTATACAAATATATTTCTTAAATCTCATTTGTTGATATCACCACTGATCCCTTCAGAAAGGTCTTTAAGTATTGAAAAGCTATCAAGCTCACAGTGACAGATACAAGTTTTACAAAATTCTAGTTTTCGTTTGGAAACACAAATTCTAACATTGGCACAGAAAAAAAATGTTGTTGGTTGTTTTTCTTGAAGTGACAGGATAATCTGGTTCATTTTCAAGAAAATGTCTGCCAAATACCTGGTTTGAGACATCATAGTTTGTGCAGTCAAGTAGTAATGGTACTCCTTGAAAAAAAGCCATTAGTTTTAGTTCACCACGCAAGCAATTACTTAAGTGGTTTTCCCAGACAATTGCCTACTTCAGCATGCAGTAGATATGATGTATGCATTTTTTCCATTTCATCACACAGAATGTGAAAAAGACATGTACCCAAAAGTCAAGTTTTAATGAAATTAATTATTTTTACTGCTTCATCAGGGACATTATTAAGTAACACTGGCTTTTGCTTTTATTTTTTCCTTATTTTTTCTTACTGTGAGTGCATGGTAGTGAGAAATGTAACAACCACAGTAAGTGCTATTGCCTTGATTCATGCTAAGATGCCAGCAGTATTCCCCATCACTGCTGTTATTCCATATGTGAAAAAGCACACTTAAAAAAAAAAGGCGGCCAGGCGCGATGACTCACACCTGTAATCCCAGCATTTTGGGAGGCCAAGGTGGGTGGATCACAAGGTCAGGCATTCGAGACCAGCCTGGCCAACATGGTGTAACTCTGTCTCTACTAAAAATACAAAAATTAGCCAGGCGTGGTGGCATGTGCCTGTAATCCCAGCTACTCGGGAGGCTGAGACAGGAGAATCGCTTGAACCCAGAAGGCAGAGGTTGCAGTGAGCCAAGATGGCACCACTGCACTCCAGCCTGGGTGACAGAGTGAGACTCCATCTTTAAAAAAAAAAAAAAAAAAGGCAGATATCCTCTTAGCCTTGTTATCAAAATGGTTTTAACTTCTTGGACCCCATGAAAGAGTCTTGGGGTCCCCAGGGGCCCATGGACCACATTTTGAGAACTGAAATTCTAAACCATTCAAATTCAAGTTTCTGTTTTTGTTTTTGTTTTATTTGAGACAGGGCCTTGCTCTGTTGTCCAGGCTGGAGTACAGTGGCACAATCCTGGCTCACTGCAGCCTCGACCTTCTGGGCTCAAGCAATCCTTTCACCTCAGCCTCCTGAGTAGCTGGGACTACAGGCTTGCACCACCATATCTGGCTAATTTTTTGTTTTTATAGAGACACGGTCTCACTATGTTGCCCAAATTGGACAACTTAAGTGATTAATAAACTCCTTTGGTCCCAATTTCCATATCTAGATAGGAAAAATTTACATGGCCCAGCTCGGGTTAAGTGTCTGCCCCAGCCCTCAGTGTGGACAGGTGTGTGATCATGTGGGCCACTGTCCACTTAATAAGGATTATGGGACCAGACAGTTGGAAAAGGAGTGAACAAATCTGACAGAGCTGAGATTCAGGATAGGGTGGGGTTAAGCACCTCCACGAGCTTAAAAAAGAGTTGGAATGGCCAGGGAATTCAGCAGGAATATATCTTGGAACCTTGCCACAACACTATTAACAACTGAAGTGTGTATAGTTTTACAGATTCTAAAATGCTTTCACACGCATCACCTCATTTAATCCTTCCAACAGCCCTGTGAGATAAGCATTCCTACCACTCTACAAATATAGAAACAAAAGCTTAGGCCGGGCTCGGGTGGCTCACTTTGCCACCCAGCACTTCGGGAGGCCGAGGCGGGCAGATCACCTGAGGTCAGGAGTTCAAGACCAGCCTGGCCAACATGGTAAAACCCCATCTCTACTAAAAATACAAAAAAAAAAAAAAAATTAGCCAGGCCTGGTGGCGGGCGCCTATAATTATAATCCCAGCTACTCGGGAGGCTGAGGCAGGAAAATCGCTTGAACCCGGAAGGCAGAGGTTGCAGTGAGCCGAGACCGTGCCATTGCACTCCAGCCTGGACAACAACAGTGAAACTCTGTCTCAAAAAAAAAAAAAAATAGAAATTAGATCTTTGGACTTTAAGCAAAGGACTCACTCACCTACAGCACAGCTGTCTGCCAAGCTGCGGAAATTACACTCTAGGTGATCAACAGGTGCTCAAAAATTTGGAACAAGCATCCTGTACCTGATGAGGGTGGGGGTAAAAGAAGAAAGACTTAGGGCTCCCTGCCTAGAAGTTAAAGTTCAGAAAAGGGAATGGAGCCAGAGAGTCAGGGATTCCCCCACTTTCCTGAATTCTGGATAACTGGGTGCAGTGAAGACCCTGTGGTCTAACTCGTGTTAGGTCACTCCACCAACTCTCACGGGACAAGGAGCCTTCACTCCATGCCATCGTCACTACCAGTAAAGTGCAACTTTATGTGAGAAAAGAATACTGCTCTTGAAGAATCAAGTGTGAAAGTGTTATTTTTCTATTAACTATCTAATGTGAATTATTGTGCTCAGACTAGGAACTAAAGCTTAGACTTTGTTACATTATAAACATTTTTTTTTCTACAGTAGACCAGCTGGAGGACCTCCCACATGAGAAAGAAATGTCCAGTCTAAACAGAGAGGCATCCATTTAGGGAGCCTGGCTTTGAACCTTTCCCTGACACAATCCAGTTTCCCCTAACCCCTTTCACCCAGTATGGGTTTCTAGAATATTATTTCAAGTGTGCTGAGCCAAGAGGAAATGAAGATTAAAGTTAAGAAGGAAACTAACAGTTTGCTTTTAAAATACACAAGCAAAGCCTGGCTTTTCATAAGAGATCCAGGCTCTGAGTTCCAAAGCAAATCCAGTGAAATACCACCATGAAACGGAATTGATAATTTCCCAGAATTAGGGGTCCAATATGGGGATCACGAGCAACTTGTGAATGTTGAGATCTGAAATGTAGCTAGTCTGAATTGAGATTACACTGTACATGGAAGATACACATCAAATTTCGAAGACAGTACAAAAACTATGTAAAATACCTTATTAATAGTTTTATATTGATTACATGTTGAAATAATATTTTAGATATATTGAGTTAAATAAAATATATTATTCAAGTCAAGTTCACCTATTTCATTTACTTCTTTAATGCGGCTACTATATAATTTAAAATTCTATATGTGTCTCATGTTGTATTTCTATCAACAGCACTTGCGTATGGGGGTCAATTAAACAGCCCTGCTAACCCCTCCACATTCAGCTCTTCCTCATTTTTATTCAGAACCACATCATTTTGTTTTCTCATTAATTTTTAAATTCCTACTTACATTTTGATAAAAAAAAATTTTGAAGGGCAACTTAGTTAAATTTAGGCAAGTTGAGATGATAAAAAAAAATAGAAGAGGGAAAAGATCCAAATCCCAAGGTCTCTTTGTTTACTGAGAATGTAAAAAACAAACAAACAAAAAAAACCTGCTCATCTGTTTCCCTCTCTTGATAAAGAGAGGGATGTACTTATCTACATGACAAATTGCTGTCTCTCCTAGAAAATAAATAATGTAATCATGACAGATTAGTTCCTATTTGACATTCATTAAAAATGAGTCTGTTGAATTTAAGATCTCCCACCACATATTAGCAGATGCTCAAAAAGCTAGAACGAATTACCGGCTAAATGCTATGACTTTGTGAAAATAAATCTCAGTAAGTTCTTACCCAGGGAGTTAAACTACTGGATATAGGGAGAATGGAAGGAAGACGAGGTGGGGGTTGTGATGGGAAGGTTTTAGTTGCTGTGCAACTACTCAGTCACATTCAAATATTTTAGAAAAGTTAAATGGTATTTGGGAAGTCTAGAGAAATTTTATGTCTTTGCCTCTAGCCTTAAACAAATCTTCACTTTAGCAGACTTGAAGGTTAGGATAAAGGTTAACAAAGAACCAGGCTAATCATTTGGTGACACTAGCTGGAATACAGAGCAATACCATAGAAACCCAAGGGTTGGGGAGATGTGGGGCAGTTGCAAAACTTGTTGCAATTCTCTACAGGATCATGAGATTGCCCCTCCCAGGTTCCTACTGTCTCAAAGATGACCTTCCCCAACAGCTCCCAGGAGTGACTCATTGCTTTCTGTTGAGCCTCTCCACCTCTCCACACTCATCAGAGGCTTAATAATTACTTTATTGAACAAAGCAGGAAAACATGAGTCCAGATGAAAGTTCGAATCTTTATTAACCAATCCTCCCAGCTTTGCTTTTACCCATCCTTTATCCTGTCCCTGGAGAGGATTCCTCCTTTTTTATTGTTTCCTACTGCCTGCTGGATTTGCTCAAGGTATGTGAATTGCTGTGCAGTTTTCCCACCTGGTCCATCTTTGGCAACCTCCAGGTAGCATTTTCCAACACCATAACCCTTCTCCTCCTGCCTGTGTCTGTGATCCCTCCCTGCTCCCTGGGCAACGACCCTAGTTTGCAAGTTACTGCTTGTCAATGGGCTGGAGTTTTGTTAGGATGTTTTGAAATGAAACAAATCCCTCCCCCAAGGAAACTGACTCAGCAAAGATTATTACAAATGTCCCACAGTTTACAATCATGGGAAAGGGAAATTAGAATTGAGATTTATTCAGAAGATCCCACTTGTCAGAATTATGCAACTGATTTTAAAATATTTTAAAGAAGCCATTAGAAAAATAAAAATACTCCTTAAATTTAAATGGGTATGTGCTACAAAAATACTTAAATCTGTACAAACACAAATTTTAGCACCTAATCACATACTTTCAAAGTATGCTGCAAAATGTATATAATTAATCTTAACTCACGCTAAGATAAGGAAATCAGTATTACCAATCCTGCTACATTTTACAAATGGAGAAACTTCGCCACAGTAAGGTTTTACAAGGTGTCCAAAGCACAGAGAACTAGCATGAATTAGCCAGGGTGGCTTATTGAGGGTCAACACCAGACCAAAGATTATGGAGGCAAAAAAAAGAAAGAGGAAAAAAAGAGGATCAGGGGGATACACGGAAAAACAAAAGAAACCACCCTGAAACCTAAACCATTCCCTGGAGTGAACATGAGCCCAAAGTTTTCTTTCACAGAATGCTCAACCTTGAAGTAAGTGCAAAGAGTACATTCATACAAATGGACCAAATTGGACCAGTGGGTTCTAGAAGACAATCTTTCTTGCCTGAGAATACCCTATCTTAGCCCACATTGCCTTTTGCAGAGCTTTCTTTCCTTCTTCCAAAACATTTTTCTCTCTTCACAGTTCTTTATTTGAAAAGCTGTGGGAGACATTATAGGCTGGTAGCTAAGAACAGAAGAATCAGAAAACAGTGGGCTCAAAACCTGGTTCCACTGCTTACTAGCCATGCTGAATGCAGAAAAATTCTTAACCTTCTAAAATTGCTGGTTTACCTACAAAATGGGATGATAATAGTATCTACTTCTTAGGATTGCCGAAATGATTCAACAACATAATATTCATAAAATGTTTAGCATGGTCCCTGACCTGTTCTCAATAAATGATAATAATTACCATAATTCTGTCTTAAAACAAGAAATTCCAGCTTCTCAGACAACAAGGAGAGCAGCCAAAACATACACTGACAGGTTTTAAGGGATTTTAAGAAATTCTGCTGGGCACGGTGGCTCACTCCTGTAATCCCAGCACTTTGGGAGGCCCAGGCAGGCGGATCACCTGAGGTCAGGAGTTCGAGACCAGCCTGGCCAACATGGTGAAAACCCATCTCTACTAAAGATACAAATATCAGCTAGGCATGGTGGCGGGTGCCTGTGGTCCCAGCTACTCCAGCGGCTGAGGCAGGAAAATGGCTTGAACCCAGGAGGCGGAGGTTGCAGTGAGCTGAGATTGCGCCACTGCGCTCCAGCCTGGACGACAGAATGAGATTCCATCTCAAAAAAAGAAAAAATTCTAAGTTGGTTTGCAAGTTTGGAACCACCTGAGAAATAGACATAGAAATCAGACAGATGGAGATCAGAACATCAATTTGGTTACCAGTAAGAGCATGGATAGTAGAACATGGCTTTGATGAATGGCCACAGCAGGCTTCTATGGCTTTACCTCTGACTTAAGACAAGGCCCACCACATGCCTGTTCCTCAAAGGCAGGCCCCTTAAAACACAACAGAGAGCAGAATAGGCAGGAGGGTCTTTAAGAGAGAAAAGAAGAGGCTGTATAGAGCAAGCTCAGTTTTTCCTTCCAGGGATGGAGAGAGGCCAAGAGTACAACTCTAACAAGTTCTTCCACAGGGAAAGATAAACAGTAGAGAGAGTGTTCTCACCCTACCCCATCCCCAACGAGAAAGTATTTTCTCATTGGGGTTGCTCTACAAAAAATGCCTTGACTCCCCTGTCCCGCCAAGACATCTTCCTGCCCTAGTGTTCTCTTTTTCTTGTCCCTTCTTATCCTCCATAGTATGATTCTCCAGGTTTATTCAGGTTCAGATCAACACTCCCATATTCTGCTCCTTGAATTCTGTCCTGATGCAGTAATAGCATACAAAGATATTCACTTGCAAAGGCTTTAATTTTCATAGTCCTTTGCTCCTCACAAGTATGCCCTCACAACAAAACCCAGTTTAGAAGAACATAGTGAGAGTAAGAATATACCAAAAAGAAAGGAACCTGGAAAATATAGTATTGAGTCATCCAATCATTCCTGAGTACCCGATATGTGAATTTAGGGTGTTGTGAATGTGGCTGTGAACAAGACAGAATCCTGCCTTTTTCCCATGGGTCTTCCACTTGATGTGGGAGAAACAGGGAAGGCTATCCAAAGAGGTTTATCTTCACCTGCATGGAATAAACCAAAGACCTCAGTTCCCTCCCACCTCTTCCACTAACTGCCTGTGTGACAAAGTGTCTCTAGGCCTTCGTCAAATAAGGTATTAAAATCAGAAATAGAGGCTGCTGATTCAAAGTTCTCAAAGGTTTCCCTCTTCCTTGGATCTTTCCAAAGAGAGTCTCTTCTAGACAGTGGTGAGATCAAATACAAACATAGGTGACTTAGCAGGTGTCCTAGACAGACACTGTTGGGAAACAAAGGAATCCACAAGTCAGATACCACTTACTTTTATTTTAGACAAAACTCCTTCAAGCTCAGTGATCCTTTTTCTAAAGCCAAAGCGGATGGTGCAGCAAATTGAAAGAAGAAACTATAGATGCAAGGACAGAAGGAAGAAGCAAAAAACCATAATGGAAATGTCTGACTTAAATATTCCTGTAAAACCTTACCATGTAGAGGAGAAACAAAAGGGGAAAGATATGTTTTCAAGAAAATTAAAATTAGAAATGTTTGGTACTTTAAGGAGTAAATTTCTCTATTCTGGAATATTAATCTGTATTCCCTCATATGCAATTTACCCAGTGAATTTGCAGTTGATTTCTTTCCCAGAAGTTGCAGGCTCAAATGCTTCATGAGTCAAACAAGTAACAAATATGTAAAGTGGCTGTAGGGGGTTCAAACTCAAAACACAATAGAAACTCAAACTCAGAGCTGTTTTAAAATTGCCGAGGTCAGATTTCCGACCCCTATCTTTTTTTTTTTTTTGAGATGGAGTTTTGCTCTTCTTACCCAAGCTGGAGTGCAATGGCGTGATTTGGCTCACTGCAACCTCCACCTCTCGGGTTCAAGTGATTCTCCTGCTTCAGCCTCCCAAGTATCTGGGATTACAGGCGCACGCCACCACAGCCGGCTAATTTTTTGTATTTTTAGTACAAACGGGGTTTCACCATGTTAGCCAGGCTGGTCTCAAACTCCTGACCTCAGGTGATCTGCCCACTTCGGCCTCCCAAAGTGCTGGGATTACAGGCATGAGCAACTGTGCCCGGACTTTTGACCCCTATCTTAATCAATGTTTAGGGGAGAGAAAGGTACTCCCTGAACTTGACAGTAACGTCACCCTCTGAGAGTGACCCTAGTAGGAATCAACACATAACAGATGAGATGAACCACGAATAGAAATCACCTGTCCTGTAATTGGTCTGTAAATGTATGGTTGAGAAGATCCACTCTCTCTAGTCTTAGTCAAGGTAACTAGGGCAAAGTCTCAGGGAGACAAGACTGATTGAAATTAACGAGGCAGGAAGGGAAATTGCTGGGTTGCCTTTCCTACAACCATTCCTTTCCTCTTTTTCACCAAACCTGCCTCCCGTAAGAGGCTGTGAAAATGTTAGATACTGCCATTCACAGCCTCTCTTGCAGCTAAGAGTAAAAAGGTGATACTGTTCTAGCCAAGAAAACATGAGGGGAAATCTGCAGAGCAACATCTGGAAAATTTATTCTCTGTGATAATAACAACCACAAGAAGAAGGTTTATCCCTTTGCTGGGCACAGAGATTAAGGGGGAAATGGAGACTCTTCAAAGAAAGCACAGGCCAAAACCACATAATTTGAACTTCAAAAGGGTTATTACAAATCTATGTTTACTCTTGGAGAATGCCTTATAGATCAAAGGTTGTATCTAACCCTTTAGACACTCCAAATCAAACACTACAGAAAATTTAAAAATCATGAAACCAGGTTTGGAAAAAATAAAAATTCCAAAAGAAAACTATCATACTCACTCAGAAAAGAGTTGACAGTGAAGAGTTTGCCCTGGGACATTGAAGATCCCCAGAGAGGCCTAGAACAATCTTTATGGAGATGCTCCAGCTGAATTAGATATCCTGTTTACAGCAAATATCATGATGGATTTTGCAACTGCAGTTGATGATCTCTGTCAAAGTATTAGGTCAAAGCAAAATATAACAAAACTTTAACCACTTCTTCAGCTTTCTCCACATTAAAAAGGAACAACAAGAGACCATTCCAACATAAGAGTCACCTGTTATTTGCCACTTCAGATCCTCTCAGCCTTACCTTTCTCTGTGGCCTCTGACCTCTTGTTCCAGCTCAGCCCATATTGTGGCAGCCAACTCTGTGTAAATTTCAACCAACTTCACTCAGTGCATGCCAATAGCACCTCACTTCATGCACACCTCTGACATCCTGTCCCGCAGCTTTCCCGTTGATGCTGGGTATGTCTGCATATGTACATTCAGGGAGTGCAGGAGGATTAACACCCACTGGAAAGATTCTTTGACCAAAGGGAAACAGGAGCCAACAACTAATTCTCCCTTTAACACATCAGAGGACTGTCCTGAGAAGCAATCATATATATCCCTTTCAATAACAGTTCCCCAAGATCAAGGGATCAGTTGTTCTTAATAGCTATCCTCCAATTGCATTTCCCTCCTTCCCTGCCTCACTCTACTTTTCCCTAATTCCCGATCCCTACTAGGGAATTGCCCTCCCTAATTAAGTTGTAGCACATAAGCCTTGGCCTCAGGCACTGCTTTCTAAGCAACAAAAGCTCAGAATGTATTCGTTTTCTTATTGCTGGTAACAAATTACCACAAACTTTGTTGTGGAAAACAATCCCTGTTTATTAGTCAGGTCACAATTCTGTAGGTCATTCTACCCCAGTGCAGTTGGGTTTATAGCTCAGGTTCACATAAGACTGAAACCAAGGTGTAGGCTGAGTTGTGTTCTCATCAGGAGTTTAGAATCCTCTTCCAAGCTCACCTGGTTTGGGCAGAGTTCAATTCCTTGCAGTTGTAGGGTAAAGGTTGCCATTTCCTTGCTGTCTGTCAGCTGGGGCCTGTTCTCAGCTCCCAGAGGCTACCTGCATTCTTTATCACATGACCCCCTCCATCTTCACAGCCAGCAATGGCACATTGAATCATTCTTATGCTTCCAATCTCTTATCCTGGCCAGGCATGGTGGCTCATGCCTATAATCCCAGCACTTTGGGAGGCCAAAGTGGGTGGATCACCTGAGGTCAGGAGTTCGAGACCACTCTGGCCAACACGGTGAAACTCTGTCTCTACCAAAAAAAAAAAAAAAAAGAAATACAAAAAATTAGCCGTGCATGGTGGCGGATGCCTGTAATCCCAGCTACCCAGGAGACTGAGGCAGGAGAATCACTTGAACCTGGGTTGCAGTGAGCAGAGATTGCACCATTGCACTCCAGTCTGGGCAACAAGAGCAAAACTCTGTAGCAAAAAAAAAAAAAACTCTCTTACCTCTCTCGGCGTCTGACCCCTAGACCCAGATTTAAATGACTCACGTGATCAGTTCAGGACCACCTGGATAATCACCCTATCTTAAGCTCCACTGACTTGGAATTTTAATCACGTTAGCAAAATCCCTTTGGCCATATAATGTAACATACACCCTCACACTTGAAGGGAAGAGGATTATACAAAAGCAAGAGTCATTGGGAATCATCTTAGAATCCTGCCTATCAGACAGTTGGTATCAAGGGGTGACCCTTGAGAGCAGACCCTTAGGATGAGATTTTGGTACTAGATTACTCAGAGCTCTGAAAGCAATAGGGTTTCCAGTATTAGCGGTAAGTGGGGTGGAAGTTCCCAATGTGCAATGATATCGCAAGTACTGTCTTTCACCTGAAATTAATTGATATTAGGTGGAGCTAGAAGGTGAGGCAATGGGATATGCAATGGCTGTGGTACTTAAAAAGTATGGGAGCAGTTATGACTGAAAATTGTGGAATGGCCTTACTGCTATTAACAGAATCAAAAGCCTTCAAAAAAGAAAATGATAGACTCAGGACAAACTACTACCAATTCAAAGCTTGTTTTGAAAGCCAGAGGGCCACTGAGATAATTTTAAAAATACATTTATCTCCTGTTACTAAAGGGCAAAGCTGCTAGGGAGACAAGAATTGTGCCTCATTCTTAGTGGTAGCAGGTGTGAGGTGCAACCTCTCATTTTTTATCTTGGAAGGGATGACCTGGCATGTTCCAGACCACTGGATCCCTACAAACTTCACCAATGTAGCAATTCCCTGAATATTCATGAGATTTATCTCCCACTCTCTGGTACACATGATTCTACTAGGGCATTGGTACTTGCCACTCTTTGTTCATCAGGTCCATTTAGTAAGATGCCATATGGTGATCTGATGATTGTCAACATGACTGAAGCCCCTAAAATAGAAAGCAAAAGAATTTACATAGTCCTGGGGGCAAGGACATGAATGTGTAGTGCTGTTCTTCCCATGAAGGTGAATTACTTTTGATCTTTCCTTTTAAGGGGATTGAGAAGTATGAATTCACTAGATCAATAGCTGCTTATCAAGTGCTAGAGGTTGGGTTGATCTGAATCAGTAAAGATACCATATACAGGAGAGCAGGTATAGTTGGGATTAATACCCAGTTAAGTCTATGGAAGTCTACACTCTGCCATGATCCATCCAGATTTTGCAGGAACCATGCAGGTAAAATGAAAGCAGGAAATGATGGTAACCATAACAACTGTATCTTTTAGGTCTTTCATAGTGGTGCCAATCTCTGCAATTCCTTCTGGCATGTACTATGCTTCTGATTTATAATCTTGTCTGATGGGGCAGAACAGTGGGGAGGAATAGTTTCAGAAGCTTCCACTTGGCCTTTTTAAAGTTCTAATGGCGCAAACTCTACTGATTAGGGAACAACTATGAGGATTCTTCTAGTGCTAAGTATATCTCTAATGCCCTCAGGAACTGAGAAATAACAAGATTGGTTCACAGACCCATTGGACCCACTATGAGATAGATTTGGGCCAGAAGTCCATTTAACACATGGTCCCTAAAAGCACACACACTGTCTGCAGGTCCATGACAGAGTTTGGGGTTCCCTGGTATCAGTGTCCACCTAAATCTCTTATCTAAAAATCTTTGAATCTGAGTCTTCTCTTTTTCCCAGTGTAGTTACTCTGACAAATGTCTACAGGTCTCTCCACAAAAGGAGAGAGGGAAATATTTACCTATCCACTTGTGTTATAAAGTCCTTCCACAAAAAGACTTGTTCTCCCCTTCAAACAAAGGGATCTGGATCTCTGAATTACTTAAATCTAGCAACAGGGTGAGGGACCATAGTTTTCTTTTGCAGTGCCTAAAATTAGCCTTCTACTTAACAGCTTTCAATTCTTTTTTTAGATTAGCAAGTTGAGTTACATCCTAATTAGCTATCTGTCTATCTAATTCCTAAGAACACTGTGATTTATTAGGCTATCACTAGAGAAATCTGCAAGCTATGGTGACCTGTTTGCCACTCTAGTCTTGCTTTCTTTTGATGGTTAAGTTCTCTTTTTCCTCCTAATAGCTAAGTACCAACATCTGACCTCTACCATTCTGGAATACCATCATCCCCATTGATATTATAAGATACAATTCCATGGCAGTATGGCCTACAGAAGAGGACCACCATTGAGTTTCTCAAAGACAGGTCTCCTGTAACTGATGAATTCCTTACTGTCTTAATGAAGGGAATCTTCTCAGAGCCCTCAGGGCAACATAATCAGAGGATGAATGTTCAGCTTTTTCCCTGATCTTCTGAAGATCCACTCAGTGTCATGCCAAGGCAGTTTGGTGTCTTCACCAAATCTTCATCGGTCCTTCAGTTCATTATTGTATCCAGCTTTGGTTCAGGGCATCAAACAGATTATTTAGATGGCCTTACATGTCCTTTGTCAGGCCCGGTGGCTCACGGCTGTAATCCCAGCACTTTGGGAGGCTAAAGTGGGCAGATCACTTGAGGTCAGGAGTTCAATACCAGCCTGACCAACATGGTGAAACCCAGTCTTCACTAAAAAATACAAAAGTTAGGCATGGTGGCATGTGCCTGTACTCCCAGCTACTTGGGAGGCTGAGGCAGGATAATCGCTTGAACTCAGGAGGGGAGGTTGCATGAGCTGAGATTATACCACTGCACTCCAGCCTGGGCAACAGAGAGAGGCTCCGTCTTAAAATAAAAAAGATGACCTTACATGTCCTTCATATAATATTGAATCCCCAAGTTTATAAGTTCCCAGTAAACCCTTCCCTATCCAGACTTATATTCTGCTCTTCATGGCCCAATTCCCTCAAGATTTACTCCCTCATGTTCCCCTAGTCCGTGCTCATACATATTAATCAGATCCAGCAATTCCTCCAGTGCATATTTTTCTCCTGGAGCAAGAACTCTGCATCTCTGTTTGAGCTGTGCTGACACCTGACCCTTGTTACTGACCCACAGGCAATGAGAGGTAGCAGGGGTGGCTCTTGAGAACAGAGGCACCTGCCTCAGGCAAGCTCAATACATAGTCTCCAAGCAAGTGGAGGCTCTTCTCCTTAGCAATGAGAAAGGAGATTTTTTTTTTTTTTTTTTTTTTGCCATCCCAAAAGTTTAAGAGGATTTGAAAGATTCAAGATTTTCAGGCTTGGGCACCCAAATATTCCTATCCTAGATCTCAGGGTTGCACTCATTGCCTATCAGAATCCCGACTTTGACATGAGAGACCTGCCAAAGCTGCTAGCAGAATTGCCAAAGTTACAATTCTGCCTCCCTTACAGTTAAATCCTAGTCCTAATATTCAGCAGTCTTCCCTGCAACTACAGAAGATTAGTCTCCTTAAATTCTACCATGGAGGCCTTCTGTCCCACACCTGTGTTATCTTTTTCTGAAGGTGTCCAAAGAAATCCATAAAGGCCACATAACTTCACAGTCTTTATAATTCTCACTGTTCCTGTATCATTCAAGTGAATAACAATCATGTTAACTTAGTGCTTCTCCTTCCACTGATATCTCATCCCAATTTACCATAAATGAGTTTTAGTAATTTTGATGCAATCACATGCCAGGATTTATCACCATCCACATACTACCTGCAATGGGATTTTTATTGCCATCTGAGCAGTGAGTGACCCAGCTCTAAATTCCATGATGACAGCTTGCTTTCTAGTGGCATTTCTGATACTGTCTCACCCCAGGTTTGCCTGAGACTTGGACCCAAAACAAAGTCTGGGTGCAGGTAGTTATTTGGGAAGTGGTCCCAATGAGCAGGATTGAGGAGCAAGAGGGTGAAACCTCCTGAGATGCATCTCAGAACTGTTTGCCAGGTACAAAAGATGGAAGCTTTTGTTCATTGGCTCCCATCCCCATCTGGTCAGAGATGACCTCATGAATATTAACTCCCTTAAACTTCTTGTTTGCCCTGCATGAGTGTCCAGAAATTCTGTGGATACCACCACTCGGTGTTAGAGAAGTTCTAGGGCAGGAACTGGAGACTAAGATAAGGCACTATCAGAATAAGACTGCATGCACCTAGTCTAAACCTATGAGAACTAATTACCAAAGCAGTGGCTAGAGTAAGAGGTGCGGCCAAAAGGATGTAAGATGCACACAAGAAGTGTTCAAAACTATTATATTTGATCATTCAAGCCAAGGTGATTCAGACCAAAAATACTTATGTGTGGGGCTGGGCATGGTGGCTCACACCTGTAATCCCAGCACTTTGGGAGGCCTAGCGGGAGGATTGCTTGAGTTCAAGAGTTCAAGACCAGCCTACACAACATAGTGAGACTCCGTTTTACCAAAAAAAAAGAAAAAGAAAAACAGCCAGGCATGGTGGCATGCGCCTATAGTCCCAGCTATTCAGGAAGCTGTGGTTGGAGGATTGCTTGAGTCCAGGACGTCGAGGCTGCAGTGAGCTGTGATCACCCCATTACACTCTAGCTTGGGTGACAGAGTGAGACCCTGTCTCAAAAAAAAAGAAAAGAAAAGGAAAAAAAAAAAACTTGTATGTATAACAATGCTGAATCCTAGCCGGGCGCAGTGGCTCATTCCTGTAATCCCAGCACTTTGGGAGGCCGAGGCGGGCAGATCACAAGGTCAGGAGTTCAAGACCAGCCTGGCCAGCATGGTGAAACCCCATCTCTACTAAAAATACAAAAATTAGCCAGCTGTGTTGGTGCGTGCCTGCAGTCCCCGCTACTCTGGAGGCTGAGGCAGGAGAATCGCTTGAACCCGGGAGGCAAAGGTTGCAGTTAGCCGAGATGGTGCCACTGCTCTACAGCCTGGGTGACAGAGTGAGACTCCATCACCACCACCACCACCCCCCCCCAAAAAAAAAAGAAAAGAAAAATACCAGAAAAATCACTAGCTTCTTTTTGCTATTTTTGAAAACATTTGAAAATGTTGAACGTTTTTACCTCATAGAAGCAAGAATTAGGAGATTATGAAGTCCAGTATATTATTGTAGTTTTAAAACTACGTACAGCCGGGTGTAGTGGCACACGCCTAGTCCCAGCTATTCAGGAGGCTCAGGTGGGAGGATTACCTGAGCCCAGGAAGTCGAGGGTCCAGTAAGCCGTGATGGTGCCACTGCGCTCCAGCCTGGATGACAGAGTGAGACCCTGTCTCAATTTAAAAAATAAAAAAGGCCAGGCACGGTGGCTCATGCCTGTAATCCCAGCACTTTGGGAGGCCAAGGCATGCGGATCACTTGAGGTCAGGCGTTAGAGATCAGCCTGGCCAACATGGCAAAACCCTGTCTCTGCTAAAAATACAAAAAAAAAAAATAGCCAGGAGTGGTGCCGGGCGCCTGTAACCCCAGCTACTCGGGAGGCTGAGACAGGAGAATCGCTTAAACCCGGGAGGCGGAGGTTGCAGTGAGCCAAGATGGCGCCACTGTGCTCCAGCCTGGGCAACACAGCGAGACTCTGTCTCAAAAAATAATAATAAAATAAAAAATAAAATAAAATAGATAAAATAAAACTATGTACATGTGCTTACTTTGTAAAAAATAAAAATTCAGTTTTAAACAAAGGCAGTTCCTAAATAATAACAATAATAAAAGCATGTCAATACCACTGAATTCACCTTTTTGACTCTGACCAATAAGAGGGAAAAATGCCCAGATATAATCTAGAGTCTGTTGAGACTTAGAAACAGGGCCCCACCTGCCGTGGCTCCCATTTCAGGATCGCTGCCCAAGGCCTTGGCAACCGTGTGTAGGTGTCTGAATGCTTTAACTCAGCATCAAGTTCCAGTTGGCTCTAAATGTTTGTTCATCTTTGAGAGACCCCAGTATATATGAAACTAAATTCACAAGGCCATCTTTTTTCCTCAAACATTAGTACTTTGTTGAAAGAATACATTAAATTACCACCTTTGTACTTAATTTAGGGAGACCATCCCAACATTTTGAGAAAAGTAAACATTAATTTAACTTGATCTGTGATGTTATTAAAGAAAAATTAACCCACAAACATAAAGCCACTGTCAGCTCTTTAAAGGAGGTATGTCTCAAACTGTTCTCTAGATATTCAGCCAAAAATTTGAAGTCTTATCTTACCTTAGGGTTAGATTTAAATGTTAGCACGTACAGAGAAAAGCACACAGTCCAATTCTCTTTGACAATCCTCAGGAAGACTCTCTCAGGAAATTCTACAGAGACAGGTGTTGCTCCATTGTTGGAACAGATTGCTGTCTCTTGAGTGGAGCACTGAATGAAATAACTGACATGCAGTTGGGGTTGTGAAAATTAAGTGTCTTTAGAAATAGAACTGTGCTCAGTTTGGTGAGATTTTCACTCTATGAGAAGCCCTCGGGTACTGAGCCGAGCTAAGGAATGGCTTATTCACGTGCTTCCTGGAAGGAATAGTGGGTAGACTCTCCCATAATATTCAAAGAATATTTCTCTTTCTTTTTGTGGAATATCTAAGGTACACAATTAAATGCACATATGATACAAAATAAGTGCAATTTTGATGAAATGAGAGATAACCTAAACAGGTACAGTAGAAATACATTTTCACAGTACTACAGTCTAGATGTGCAAAGATATAATTTTCCTTGTCTATGGCTGAAATTAATTTTAGCTCTCAAGATCCCATTGTCTCTGGTAGCAGAAAACTTAGTTGTATCCATTTCAGGGATTCAAGTCACTTCCATCTTAAAGATGTCATCTTTTAAGATTCTCTTCCTGGCTGGGAATGGTGGCTCATGCCTGTAATCCCAACACTTTGGGAGGCCAAGGCAGGAGGATGACTTGAGGTCAGGAGTTTGAGATCAGCCTGGCCAATATGGCGAAACCCAGTCTCTACTTTAAAAAAGAAAAAAAATTACAAAAATTAGCCAGGAGTAGTGGTGCATGCCTGTAATCCCAGCTATCAGGAGGCTGAGGCAGGAGGATTGCTTGAACCTGGGAGGTGGAGGTTGCAGTGAGCCGAGATCATGCCACTGCACTCTGGCCTGGGCAACAAAGCAAGGCTCTGTCTCAAAAAAACAAAACAAAACAAAACAAAACAAAAAACAAAAGAAAAGATTATTTTTCTTTCACCTTTTTTAACCTCCTTTTCTTCCCAGACTAATCTAAATTCCAGGGGGGTTACATATTATCCCAGCATCAGGGGAGCATTGTTCCATGTGTTATCTCCCTCTTCACCAGCTTTCCTGAGGTGTGGCTTGTGCGGCAGCCTCTGTCCCCGCTATGTTGACGGTCAAGGTCAAGTTTAGATAATCTGTCCTCTTTGCTGGTTGGTGCTCCAGGACTGCTTGGAGACAGGGTAGTCTTCTCTCTTTGTCTCACAATGGCACTGCTGATTCTCCACCATTCAGCCACATCTCTTATCCTATCCATGCTAAACTATTCTACCATGACCTCTACTCTGAGGTCCCATTATTTCACACCATGGTGACCCTCTGATGGACACACCCATCCTCAGTTATGAACTCATTCTGGGTCCCGCTAAGACATGGAAAATAACTTTTAGACATATTCCAGCCCCATGGATGGAGAAATACATTTGGTGGAGGGGGGTGAGGGTGGCGGCACGTGAGTGAGCAAGCCAACTCTGTCATATCCTCTCCACCTAAACACACTGCACTTTCCCTTCGTCTCTATTGTGACCACCCTCCCACCCCCACCCAGAATGGCCCAGGGCACTCTTCCCAGAGCTCCAGATGGATTGAGGAATCCTCACACCTCTGAGTTTTCTGTCTTCTATCCATGTGTAACGAGAATTTTTATCTTGAGAGAAGGGTTGTAGAGTGCAAAGTCCCATTGTAACATCTCAACTCTATTTTTTCTCTTCAACTAGCTCCTCCATTTATCTCTGAGCCCTTCAAACTAGCCCAGAAAGAAGTCTTACACCTTTTCTGTCAGGCTGGAAGCATTTGGCATCGTCAGACATGCTTCTTCATACCATGTGTAAATGGTATGTCTTAAATCGAAATGATGAAGGGGCCGGGCACAGTGGCTCTCACCTGTAATCCCAGCAGTTTGGGAGGCCGAGGTGGGTGGGTCACCTAAGGTCAGGAGTTCGAGACCAGCCTGGCCAACATAGTGAAACCCTGTCTCTACTAAAAATACAAAAATCAGCCAGGCATGGTGGTGGGTGCCTGTAGTCCCGGCTACTCAGGAGGCTGAGACAGGAGAATTGCTTGAACCTAGGAGGCGGCGGTTGCAGCAAACCAAGATTGTGCCATTTCACTCCAGCCTGAGTGACAGAGCAAGACTTCGTCTCAAGAAAAAAAAAAAAAAAAAAGGAAAGAAATGATGGAGGGGGCACGTCTGTCCTTCCAAACCCTGGTTCTTGCAAACTAAAAGCTTTCTGATGGCCGGGCATGGTGGCTCATACCTGTAATTTCAGCACTTTGTGGGGGCCAAGATAGGTGCATTACTTGAGTTCAGGAGTTTGAGACCAGCCTGGCCAACTTGTGAAACCCCAACTCTACTAAACATACAAAAATTAGCCAGGTGTGGTGGTGTGTGCCTGTAGTCCCAGCTACTCAGGAGGCTGAGGTGGGAAAATTGCTTGAACCTGGGAGGCAGAGGTTGCAGTGAGCCATTGCAGTCCAGCCTGGGCAACAGAGTGAGACACTGTCTCGAAAAAATAAATAAATGAAATAAATAAAAACTCTTTGGCTCCTAGGTCATTGTATCTGCTACAGACTCTTCACCAAATTTGGGAAGTTTTCAGACATTATTTTATCAAGTATTCTTTTGCATAGTTCTCTCTCTTCTCTCCTTTTGGAACTCCCATTATGCATATGTTGGCATGCTTGATTGTGTCCTACAGGTTTCTAAGGCTCTGCTCATTTTCTTTATTCCTTTTTCTTTCTGTTCATCAAACAGAAAAATTTCAGCTGATCATCACATTTGCTGATTCTTTCTTCTACCTACTCAGATCTTCTGTTGAGCTCTTCTAATGAAAGTTTCATTTCAGTTATACTTCTAACATCCAAAATTTATATTTTGTTCTTTTTCTAAATAATCTCTATCTGTTTATTGATATTCTATACTTGGTGAGACATCATTACCATACTTTACTATAGTTCTCTGAACATATTTTAAAGTAGGTGGTTTAGATCATGCCCACCCAGGGATGCAAAAAAAAAAGAAAAGAAAAGCTGATTTAAAGTCTTTAGTCTAAAGTCCTGTGCCTGAGCTTCTTCAGGGAGCATTTCTGTTGACTACTTTTTTTTTCCTGTGTTTGGGCCATACTTTTTATTTGAAAGTCTAGAAATATTTGTTAACCACTAAACTAGACATATAAAATACAAATAAATAAAATATAAATTTAAAATGTGGTAACTCTGGAAATTAGATTCTTTGCCCTGCTCAGGATTTGTTGTTGCTGGTTTCTATTTGCTGTTGTTTAGTGACTTTTAAGAACTAATTTTTTAATATTTGTATTCTTGAGGCCGGGCATGATGCCTCACACCTGTAATCCCAGCACTTTGGGAGGCCAAGGCGGGTGGATCATCTGAGGTCAGCAGTTCGAGACCAGCCTGGCCAACATGATGAAACCCCATCTCCACCAAAAGTATAAAAAATTAGCCAGGTGTGGTGGCTGGCACCTGTAGTCCTAGCTACTCGGGCGGCTGAGGCAGGACAATCACTTGAACCTGGGAGGCAGAGGTTGCAGTGAGCCAAGATCATGCCACTGCACTCCAGCCTGGGTGAAAGGGTGAGACTCTGTCTCAAAAAAATAAAATAAAATAAAATTTGTATTCTTTTTTATGTATGGCTGGTAAGTCTCTGCTCAGTTAGCTTAGTGTTCCTCTAGTGATTGGACAGAGATTTTCTTACACTTTTGGAATGGATACTTCTCCCAGTCTTTGCTGAAGGGCTCTGTGTGCATATTGGGGCTGCCTTCAATATTTAGCCAGGCAGTTGACAACTTTGCCTTAGGCTTCACTTTCTGTAGGGCCTCAAGGGCAGCCAGAGGTGACAGCTTAAGGTTTTCTCAGGTCTTTCCCGAGCATACACACAGCTCTTGTTAGCAGCAGCAAATCCATACAAATCTGCAGCACCTCAATTCTTGCCTCCTCAGACGAAATAATTCACCTGAGGGATATAAGGCAGACCAAGGCAAGTTTTAGAGCAGGAGCGAGAGTGAACGTTTATTTAAAAATTTTAGAGCAGGAACAAAAAGGAGGACAAGCAGGAGACTTCAGAGATCCAAGTGCACTGTTTGACCTTTGACTTGGGGGTTGTATGTTGGCATGCTTCTGGGGTTTTACGTCTCTTCTCCCTTGATTTTTCCCTTAGTGTGGGCTGTCTGCATGTGCAGTGGCCTGCCAGCACTTGGGAGGGGCCACATGCACAGTGTCTTTACTAAAGTTGTGCACATGCTTATTTGAGGCATTTTTCCCTTACCAGTCAAGTGTTCCTAAAGGAAGGTCATATACCAGCTAAACTTCATCATTTTGCCCCTTAGTGCGCATGCTTGAGCCTACTCGCCCAGCTCCTGAGATCTTATCAGGAAGCTGCTGATCACCAGTTTCAGGTGTTTTGTGTCTATTGGGAGCCAGCCTTTCCCTGGCACTGGCTGCAACCAATTATTATTTTAGACAGACAGTTCAACAACTATCTGACCATCACCTGATGGTTGCCTGACATTCCTGGTGGGGTGGGAGGCCCACTCCTGCCCTGCTCCTGTCTGCCTAGCTACTTGCTCTAAAACTCTTAGCATGCACAGAGCCCTACACATGCACATGACCTTCTAAATTCCCCGGAAATATGCCAGGGCTTTTCAAAATCCCTGTAAACATCTCACTCCTCAGTTTTTCCTTTTAAGCTTTTTGTTTAACCTATTGTTTGCCCCAGCTGTTATCCATTACCTCAGGCAGCCAAATAGCTAAACAATCACGTTTAAATATTTTCAACAAAAACCCATCTCAGGGGGAAAAGGTCTTTTGCAGTGACACTGAATCAGCCCCAAGTTAGGTTAAATACAGACAGTCTTGTAAATAGGTCTTCCAGAGAACCACCAGATGGATCAGATAATGACAATTTTCTTTGAGTGAGGCATTAAAGGCGCTACAACTCTGTTCTGCCTACTCCAATGGCTACCACACTGCTGGTTTTCATTGTGATTGTGAGCTCTTAGTTCTCAGGCTGCCATGAGACTGAAGAGTAGAGGATGGGAATACACCAGGTTAAAATGCCCCAAAGCTCACTTTTCTAATTGAGATTTAGCTGTTTTCTAGTCAGAAACTTCTACTAGGTTCTCTATTATTTACCTGAATAAATGTCCCTGGATAGCTGAAAACCTTTGATTAATTTTCAGAGTTTGAGAAAAATTTATTCTGACAATCTTTTTTAGTTTTCTTGCTGCTTTCACAGAGGAAAGAATTTTCATAGGCCCTTACTTCACCATTTTCTCTGATGTTGCCCTGTTACAGACTTTTGACTTAATAGGTTTTTAAATACAGACTTTTAAAACCATTTTAAAATGCAAAGCTAAGCAATGATTATTTTGTTTTCAGGTGTGACTGCTCTCAGGATAATAACAATAATAATAAAATAATATGTATTGACAGCCAAGTGCCAAGCACCATTCTAGTAATTTTACATGTATTATCTCAGTCCACCTTCAAAATAACTCTATTACATAGATACTTTTTTGTTGTTGTTGTTGTTGAGACAAGGTCTCACTCTGTTGCCCAGGCTGGAATGCAGTGGCACGATCACCACTCACTGCAGCCTTGACCTCCCAAGCTCAACTGATCCTCCCACCTCAGCTCTTGAGTAGCTGGGACTACAGGCACAGCTCACCACACCTGGCCAATTTTTAAATTTTTCGTAGAGACAAGGTTGCACTATATTGCCCAGGCTGGTCTTGAACTCCTGGGCTCAAGTGATCCTCCCACCTCAGCCTCCCAAGGTGCTAGAATTACAGACGTGAGCCACCAAGCCTGACCAACAGATACTACTTTATACCAGTTTACAAATAGTGAAAATGTGGCGTACATAGTTTAAGAAACTTCCTTAAGATCAATAAGAACCGGCCGGACACAATGGCTCATGACTGTAATCCCAGCACTTTGGGAGGCCGAGGCAGGTGGATCACGAGATCAGGAGATCAAGACCATCCTGGCTAACATGGTGAAACCCCGTTTCTACTAAAAATATTTAAAAAAATAATAATTAGTCAGGCGTGGTGGTGGGCACCTGTAGTCCCAGCTACTTGGGAGGCCGAGGCAGGAGAATCCCTTGAACCTGGGAGGCAGAGGTTGCAGTGAGCCAAGATCATGCCACTGCACTCCAGCCTGGGCGATGGAGCAAGACTCCATCTCAAAAAAAGAAAAATCAATAAGAACTAAGTGGTGGAGACAGAATTTGAGCCCAGGCTATCTGGCTCTAGAATCAAGAACTGTGAGGTAACATGAAATTAGGAGTTACCAAAATGAAAAATACCTGTTAATATTTTAAAAACATTAACTCACTACATAGATTTTTATTTTATTGAACTCTAGATTACTTTAAGTGTAAGAGCATTTATGCCAGATGCTTCTTGATTATCATAATGCCAAATAATTGTCATATCTTTAACAAAAGCAAATATATATATAAAATATATATATTAAATATATAACCAAAAATTCTTGAAATTCCAGTTTTATTATAATTTTTGGCCAGGCGCGGTGGTTTATGCCTGTAGTCCCAGCACTTTGGGAGGCCGAGGCAGGTGGATCACCTGAGGTCAGGAGTTCGAGACCAGCCTGACCAACATGGTGAAACCCTGTCTCTACTAAAAATACAAAAATTAGCTGGGCATGTTGGCATGTGCCTGTAGTCCCAGTTACTCAGGAGGTTGAGGCAGGAGAATCGCTTGCACCTGGGAGATGGAGGTTGCAGTGAGCTGCGATTGTGCCAATGCACTCCAGCCTGGGCAACACAGCAAGACTCCAACTAAAAAAAAAAAAAGAGGATTTCCATGTAAGCAATTTTACAAATCAAAAACAAAATCCTTTACCAGGCAATAATTTCTGCCTTTTGTTTGAGCAAATATGATCACTATACCTTTAAGATCTCTTCTGGTGCTGAAATCTTTTTGAGACATTTGTTTAATTTGTTCACTTTCTTTTTCTAATTATTTTTAAATAGAGACAGCGTCTTGCTATATTACCCATACTGATCTCGAACTCCTGGCCTCAAGCGATCATCCCACCTCAGCCTCCCAAAGTGCTGGGATTACATGCCACCCTGCCCAGCCCACTTTGAATTCAACAAAAATGTCTCTGCATGTTTACTTTGTGCCAGACACTGAGGATGCGATGGTGAACAAGGCAGGTTCTGCCACCATGAAGCTCAGAGTGTAGTGGAGAAGATAGTCATGAAGAAGCAATAGGTGTGATTACTATCATGAAAGAGGAACCACAGAGAATTATGGGATCATACGACAAGAGACCAGAGCTACCCTGAAAGACTGAAAAAGGCGTCTTTGAGATGTGGTATTAAAATGAGACCTAAAGCGCAGGGCAAAGTGATGGGAAGTCCAGGTAGTGAAGGCTAGAGATGCAGAAAGCTGTGGTTTGTTCAAGAACTGAGAGCAGCTTAGGGTGGCCAGAAAACAAAAACTGACAGGGAAAGGCAGAAAGGAGACAAAAGGATACAGCTGGAGGATCCTGTTTGTTAAAAAGCATTTGTTTAGACTGCTAAAAGTCCCCAAAGAACAACGCACCATATTTATCATATAGGTAAATACTCTTTGAGCACATCATTAAGAGGTCACCCAATGGCAGCACATGCGTCTGCTTTCTGGCTGGCAGTTTCTAATGAATTGCTTGCATTCCTCAGTAAAGCTAAAATCTATCTAAAGGGAGGCTGGGCACGGTGGCTCACTCCTGTAATCCCAGCACTTTGGGAGGCTGAGGCAGGCAGATCACGAGGTCAAGAGCTCGAGATGATCCTGACCAACATGGTGAAACCCCGTCTATACTAAAAGTACAAAAATTAGCTGGGCATGGTGTCGCAAGCCTGTAGTCCCAGCTACTCGGGAGACTGAGGCAGAAGAATTGCTTGAACCCAGGACGCAGAGGTTGCGGTGAGCTGAGATCATGCCATTGCACTCCAGCCTAGGCAACAAGAGCAAAACTCTGTCTCAAAAAAAAAACTTGAAAGAGGGAAAGAGAGACGAGAAGAAACCATGCCTGGGGGCAACAATACAACTGAAGTTATTCCAAAGTTCTGTGTAACCAGATTGTCTTCCCTGGTCAGGTATTTTATAACAAACACGTTATCTATCATTTTCATGACAACCCTTTGAAGTATTACATGTCCCTCTTTAATATGAGAAAATCAGGCCAGGAGTGGTGCCTCACGCCTATAATTCTAGCACTTTGGGAGGACAAGGCGGGCAGATCACTTGAGGCCGGTAGTTCACAACCAGCCTGGCCAACATGGCAAAGCCTCTTCTTTACTAAAAATACAAAAATTAGCTGGGCATGGTAGCAAACACCTGTAATCTCAGCTACTCGGGAGGCTGAGGCATGTGAATTGCTTGAACCCGGAAGCCAGAGGTTGCAGTGAGCCAAGATCACGCCATGCACTCCAACCTGGGCAAGAGAGCAAGACCCTGTCTCAGAATAATAACAATAATAAGAGAAAAATCAAAGCTCAGGAAACTATAAATGGCTTCATTCATTTAACTTGATCTTACCGATAAGTGCCTACTATGTGGTGGTTCATCAGTGAACCTGAATCCATGGCACTTGCATTCTAGCAAGAGTTTGTTCGAGTTCAAAAAGCTAATAAACTGAAACCAAGATTTTCTAACTAGAAAGACTAGCTTTTCTCCATCTATTGTACCACACTGAACAAGAAAGTGTTATTTTTTTTTAATAATTAGCCAGTCACGGTGGCTCACTCTTGTAATCCCAGCACTTTGGGAGGCTGAGGCAGGCAGATCACCTGAGGTCAGAAGTTCGAGACCAGCCTGACCAACATGGAGAAACCTTGTCTCTACTAAAAATACAAAATTAGCTGGGTGTGGTGGTGCATGCCTCTAATCCCAGCTACTTAGTTGGCTGAGGCAGAAGAATTGCTTGAACCCGGGAGGTGGAGGTTGCAGTGAGCTGAGATCGTGCCACTGCACTCCAGCCTGGGTGACAGAGCAAGACTCCATCTCAAAAAAAAAAAAAAAAAAAATATATATATATATATATATATATATATATAGAGAGAGAGAGAGAGAGAGAGAGAGAGAGAGAGAGCCCCTGAATGGTTCACTAACAATGAATTACATTCTAAGCTTGGTTGGACTAAGTTCTCTATTATTTACTGGTAATTACAACATATACCTTGATTTCTCACTCTAGTTAGCACTATAGGAAAGACATCCAGTAAGAGGCTAGTTTACCCCCTTTGTTAAGTCGTTAGAACCATTCAGATCCTTTGAGTCTGAGATAAATCGATACTACATCCCAGCTGTGAATTGCTGCTGCTTACTTCTTGGCTTCATCTCTCCTTCTCCTTCTTTGGTCTCTTGTCTTTATTTCTACATGGAGCCTTCAGAAAGGAGACATCCAAACCCAGGTCCTGTCTGTATTGTAGCAACATTAAAGATTCCTTGGGGCCCTGCTCTCCACTCATACATGTTTGCCTTGGTGTCCTATTTCCAGATCTTTGACTGCAGTCTCAAGAGGACAAGACAAAGATATTTATTCTTCCCAGTCTTCTTTTTCTTTTTGAGATGGTGTCTCACTCTGTCACCCAGGGTGGAGTGCAGTAGTGTGATCTTGGCTCACTGCAACCTCCACCTCCTGCGTTCAAGCAATTCTCCTGCCTCAGCCTCCCAAGTAGCTGGGATTACAGGCGCGCACCACCACGCCCAGCTAATTTTTGTATTTTTAATACAGACGGGGTTTCACCATGTTGGTCAGGCTGGTCTCGAACTCCCGACCTCGTGATCCGCCTGCCTTGGCCTCTCCAAGTGCTGGGATTATAGGCATAAGCCACCGTGCCCGGCCATCTTTCACAGTCTTTTAGAATTCTTCTTGCTCCCCGCTGCTGCCATCCCAACGCTCTGAATTAGGGAAGTGTGAAATGTTGTCACATATCACACATCCTGAGATCAGAGACTCCCATAGAACTTCTCTTCCGGAAGGTTTTACTTTTGAAGACACAGACCCTTTGAATGAAGGGGGAAGACATTGGGAAGAGAATGATAAGATAGGATTGCCCTCCAGCTTCTCCTTTAGAAATGTTTTCCTAGATTTTAGCTAGGGTGGGGAAAAGTGGCTGGAAGGGGGAACAAAAGGTATTTCCATTTTTGTTGCTTTGTCCTAGTCTCAAAAATATAGGCTCAACACATACAGCCTCAACATCAGATTCCATCCATGAGACTTCCCTGTCCATATTTAATGAGTTAGCATTCTTTATAAGTCTCTTTTATATATTCTCTTTGAAACTCTTTAAAGTCTGGCTGGGCGCAGTGGCTCATGCCTGTAATACCAGCACTTTGGGAGGCAGAGGCGGGCAGATCACTTGAGGTTAGAAGTTCGAGACCAGCCTGGCCAATTTGATGAATCCCTGTCTCTACTAAAAATACAAAAATTAGGCCAGGCACAGTGGCTCACGCCTGTAATCCCAGAACTTTGGGAGGCCGAGGTGGGAGGATCAGGAGGTCAAGAGATCAAGACCATCCTAGCCAACATGGTGAAACCCCATCTCTACTAAAAATACAAAAATTAGCCGGGCGTGGTGGTGGGTGCCTTTAATCACAGCTACTCAGAAGGCTGAGGCAGGAGAATCACTTGAACCCGGGAGGTGGAGGTTGCAGTGAGCCGAGATTGCACCACTGTATTGCAGCCTGGCAACAGAGTGAGACACCGTCTCGCAAAAAAAAAAAAAAAAAAAAAAAAAAATTAGCTGGGCGTGGTGGTGCACACGTATAGTCCCAGCTACTTGGGAGTCTGGGGCAGGAGAATCGCTCGAACCGGGGAGGCGGAGGTTGTAGTGAGCCGAGATAGTGCCATTGCACTCCAGCCTGGGTGACAAGAGCGAAACTCCATCTCAAAAAAAATTTAATTTAATTAAAAAAAATAAAGTTTAAGACCATCTATATATTTGTATTATTATGTTTTTATTATCCAAATCTGGAAATAAATACCTGTAAACTACTTTGCCAGAAAGTATTTTTCTAAGGAGATGCTCGTCTCAAAACACGAATGGATTCATACAACATCCAGCAACCCTGATGGGGCCCAGCCTCTGCTCTTTGCTGTTTGTATGTCATGATTTCAGCTCACATAACATCCTCACTGTCCCTTCATGACCCTCTCACCAAGGAGACCCATATCTAGTAAAATCAATCCAGCCTGCAGTCTTAAATAAACAAATATAACTGGAGAAGACAAGAGATTAATGACTGCAACCAAGAGAACATGAGCTTCAAAATTGTGAGGCACACAACATCAGATTTCACTGCTCATAATCTAATGCACCAACTTGCTGGGATCATCAAGAAAAAATATATAATTTGCTTTCTTTCTTTGTAAATGTTAAAAATAATTCAGCATTTTCGTTGAAACTTTGGCATCAAAACAAATTGTACAGTTGTAGCTCTACATTCCACATAATTATGAAGAGTTGTTTCACTTTCAGAGGTTAGAGTATATTGTCAAGTCTTGTATTCTACCTTGAAAATATTGTATAACCCAGATGAACTGTCACTTTTCCAGCTTTACTGCCACTGGTCCTTCTGGACATGGTCTTATCTTGCTGGGACTTCTCTAGGAGCCTCTTAATCAATCTTCCTATGTTCACCTCTCCAATCCTCTCTCCGTGCAGCAGCCCAGGCTAAAACATAAATTCTTTATATCATTTCCCTATTTAATGGCTCTCTAATGGCTTCTTTTGGAATAAAGATAAAACTTAGAATTATTATTTATTTATTTATTTATTTATTTATTTATTTATTTATTTTGTGACAGAGTCTCATTCTGTTGCCCAGGCTGGAGTGTAGTGGCAAAATCTCAGCTCACTGCAACCTCTGCCTCCTAAGTTCAAGCAATTCTCCTGCCTCAGCCTCCTGAGTAGCTGGGACAACTGGCGCCCACCACCATGCCCAGCTAATTTTTGTATTTTTAGTAGAGATGGAGTTTCACCATGTTGGCCAGGCTGGTCTAGAACTCCTGACTTCAAGTGGTCTGCCCGCCTTGGCCTCCCAAAGTGCTGGAATTACAGGCGTGAGCCACCTCAACCTCAACCTCAACACTCAGCCTCAACCTGGAATACTCTTTCCCTATGCTTTGCCTGTCATTAACCCCTGCTCACCCATCAGACCTCAGCTTAGATATGAATTCTTCAGAGAGGCCTCCCCACTCAACCCAATCTAAATTATATCCTTCTATCATCTCTCTCATAGCACTCACTTTCCAAATTTAAACCTTAAATTGTATGTTTAATTGTTCCATCTTTGTCTCCCCCACTATAATAAATCTATGTCCATGTACACAGAGATATTGATGTCTTGGGACCCACTGTTTCTGGTGCCCAACAGTAGCTAGCACAATGGTATGTGCTCAACAGATAATTAGTCAAATAAACAGATGAATATTTGTGGGAGGAAGGACACAAATATTCATCTATTTATTTGATCAATTATCTAGCCCTCAAATGTCACAGCCCCCAAAACATCCCTCAGCCTCCCTGCAGAAGCCCTCCAATGGGCAACCATAAAACTTTCAATCTAATGTAGCTTTTCCTAGACATATTGCACTTTACACTGAGGCTTTTTTGGAGATAGGGCATTTTATCCATATCTTCCCTGCTCCCAGTGAATTAATTCTATAAACACCCTTAACTGACTCTGCCTCCAACAGTCCTGCTCCCTACCTCCCCTCTTTCCACCTGGTCAATTCACTCTGATGTCAGAGGAATGAAAGTTTATTTAAAACTCTGCCCCCTTAATTTGATCATTTAAGGCCTTTCGTTTTCTTCTATTTCTTGTTTGTTTGTTTGTTTGTTTGTTTCGCGATGACATCGTGCTCTTGTTGCCAAGGCTGGAGTGCAGTGGCGCGATCTCAGCTCACTGCAACCTCCACCTCCAGGGTTCAAGTGATTCTCCTGCCTCAGCCTCCCAAGTAGCTGGGATTACAGGTGCGCACCACCACGCCCAGTTAATTTTTGTATTTTTAGTACAGACGGGGTTTCACCATGTTGGTCAGGCTAGTCTCAAACTCCTGACCTCGTGATCCACCCGCCTCGGCCTCCCAAAGTGCTGGGATTACAGACATGAGCCACCTCGCCTGGCCCATTTTCTTCTATTTCCAAACTCTGTGCCTGTAAGCCACATGGGTCTGCCCTTGCTCCTTGAAGTCATTTCAAACTAGCCCCAGCCCACCAGCTCTGTTCATCAAAAGTGCCTTGAACCCAAGCTCTGCCTCGACACTTACTCTTGACTCTCCACTCCATTCTAGCATCCACCTCGCTTCCAACACTGAGCTTTGTCTCCAGTTCTAGTCTCACTCTCAACGCTTGGGTTCAATGACTGAAGGAACAGCCCACTCTGGCCTTCTTCCTTCCTAAGGGCAAAGCTTACATTTATCCTTTAGATCTCTCTACTTGACTGTTTGGGGAAACTCCCACCCTGGCACCAGGCCTCTGGCGAGCACTCAGGCCAAGTTTAAACATGTCTCCCACAAGAGAGGATGTCAGACAGATTTCGCCATCCCTGAAGCCCCATTTCCCTCTGGTTTCCATGAGATCCCATTTGGCCTTTCATTCCTTTGTTTCCTCAGTACTGAACATGCTGCCTCCCTAACCCACCCCATCCAACCACCCACTAAATCTGGTAACAAATTCTCCTTTTTATTTTTTGAGACAGAGTCTTGCTCTGTCATCCAGGCTGGAGTGCAGTGGTGCGATCTCAGCTCACTGCAACCTCTGTCACCCAGGTTCGAGAGATTTTCGTGCCTCAGCCTCCCAAGTAGCTGGAATTACAGGCGTGCACCACTGCACCTGGCTAATTTTTTATTTTTAGTAGAGACGGTTTTCTCCATTTTGGCCAGGTTGGTCTCGACCTCCTGACCTCAGGCAATCCACCCGCCTAGGCCTCCCAAAGTGCTAGGATTATAGGCATGAGCCACTGTGCCCGGCCCTCCGGTAACCAATTTTAATTCCTCAGTCAAGTTTATCTCCAAGATCTTCTAAATCCTTTCCATCTCTCCTACCTACTCACCCATCTCTCCTACCTACTCACCTACTCATGTTTTGAATACCTTGCTTGTATTCAAAACATGAGATTCTCTAGAGAAAATTGGGTAAAGGACAGATCCAGATCTAAATCCCATTCCTGTCACCTAATAGCTTTGGGGCCTTGAGCAAAATAACTTAGTATCTTAAAGTTTCATTTTTTAACAAATATCTAGGAAGTGGGAATAATATTCCACAATGTTTGGCTGCTAGCACAGATATGCCACATTGTAGGCATTTTTTAAATGTGCAACAAAGGACAAAAAGAAAGAACGTATTCATCATTTGCAGGGATGTGGTGCTATGGCTATAGCAAAGAAATGAACATCATATTGGCTGAGGTGGGCAGATCACAAGGTCAGGAGTTCGAGACCAGCCTGGCCAGCATGGTGAAACCCTGTCTCTACTAAGAAAAATACAAAAATTAGCCGGGCATGGTGGTGTGCACCTGTAATCCCAGCTACTCGGGAGGCTGAGGCAGGAGAATCGCTTGAACCGGGGAGACAGAGGTTGCAGTGAGCCAAGATTGTGCCACTGCACTCCAGCCTCGGTAACAGAGCAAGACTCTGTCTCAAAAAAAAAAAAAAGAAAGAAAGAAAGAAAGAAATGAACAACAAATTTTGACTATATAATTCTTGTAGATGCCAAGATAAACCATGACAGCAGCAGGGTAAGGAGGAATGTATGGAGAGAGAAGTTGGTGTGCAAGGCCTTAAAGAATGATTAAAATATAACAACAGGATGATGAAAGGAAGCTTTCCAATAGGGCCAACATGAGTAGAAGCCTGGGCACGGGACAGCCATGGGACGCTTGAGAGGCAGAGCAGAAGCAGAGCTGAAGGGGGCCTGTTGAGGAAAAAAGCAGAAAATATGCCTGAAAAGATGGAGAAAGGCCAGCTCACAGATGAGACTAAAATGAAACCCAGGTTTCCTCTGGCTTCTGGCTTTATCTCCATGGCCTTGAGTCTTCCTTTCTCTGTAAGTGAACACTTTGGGATGCATCATCTCTAGGCATGTATCTGTACCTCAATTAACCCAGCCCTGGGAGTGGTATAGCCCACACCTTATCCAAGTAACTAATTAATGTTTGTAAAATCCAGATGCCACCTAAAATAATTATTATGAGGATGTTGCTGGAGATTTTGCAGATGCCTTGGCTTAGCCCTGGACCTGCTGACAGAGGCAGGGACCTCCCACTCTGCTCCCTGGCCTTGCTGCACTCCACTTGTTCCTTGAATGTTTGCTTACGTCATGTGGAGATAGTTGGAAAGTATTTCCAGTGATTCTACATTTGCAAACGTTCTTGAAATCTTGGCTTCTGTATAAAGCGGCTTGGGCTTAATTTTTTTTTAAGTAAATTCAAGACAAACTTCTATTTGTCCTTAGTTTTCTACTTCTTTGAATCTCAGTATCCTTGATTAGGTTATGATAATAATATCAATACGAACTCTAGATAAGTAAAATAATACTAGTACTAATGCTGACTAGGTGCAACGTGTCAGGCATTTTACTTATATCACCACATGTATTCCCCACAATAATCCTATGAAGTAGGTACTACTATTATGAGGATAATAATTTGACAGATGAGAAAACCGAAGCATAGACATAAGTGGCTTGCCCAGAATCACAGTTAGAAGTGGGAGAGTCAGAAGTCAAACCAGGCAATCTGCATTCAGAGCCCATGCTCTCAACCAACTTGCCATACTACCTGCATAATAAATGTCAGGATTCTTACTTTACAGACAGGGAAACTGAGTTGTGAAATAATAACCAGAATTGCCTGAGGTCACTGAATGAATGAACCAGTAGCAAAGTCAGAACACTCTGGAATCCTGGATCTTTCTTGGCCCAATTTTCTATCCATCAATCTACATAAAGACATTTCCTCTGTCATTATCATTATTCCTTTTGGGTTTTTTTTGTTTGTTTTTTTGTTTTTTTGTTTTTTTTGAGACAGAGTTTCACTCTTGTTGCCTAGGCTGGAGTGCAATGGCGCAATCTTGGCTCACCGCAACCTCCACCTCCCGGGTTCAAGCGATTCTCCTGCCTCAGCCTCCTGAGTAGCTGGGATTACAGGCATGTGCCACCATGCCCGACTAATTTTGCATTTTTTGTAGAAACAGGGTTTCTCCAGGTTGGTCAGGCTGGTCTCAAACTCCCGACCTCAGGTGATCCACTCGCCTCAGCCTCCCAAAGTGCTGGGATTACAGGTGTAAGCCACCGTGCCCGGCCTCATTATTCCATTTTTAATAGATCTCAAGGCTATAAGACTTCTGCTGGAAGAAACAAAAATCAATTTCAAAAGCAAAGTTGCCCCCTGAATAAAATGCTATTTTCCTGAAGCTCAGGATTCCTAAGCAAAACAGAAATCAATCAACTTCGACCTTCTGGCACACCATAGAGTGAACTTCACATGGTCTAAAGTCTAGAGAAACAGACAAGTCCTTCCTCTTGCTTAGGAGGTCAGGGAACATGAACATCAATGGATGAGACCGCAGGCCTCTCAAGCTTTTTCAGTGCCTAAGGTTATAACATGTAAAGACACATATAACATTTTTTTAAAAATCACTTTTAAACACTTGAAGCTTCATGGGTTCTGTTTAAATCCCAAAGTGATCATTTATCCTGCCTTATCCTTCCTCCTTAACTGGAGAAGAAAATAGGATTTGGGAAGCAAAATCAAGCTCTCCACATGGGAGTTGCCTGCAGAACTGACATTCTCCCTGGCTCTCTAATACATGTTAGAAATGTTGAGGTCTGGGCTGGGCTCAGTGGCTCATGCCTCTAATCCCAGCAATTTGGGAGGCCGAGGTGGGTGAATCACCTGAGGTCGGGAGTTCGAGACCAGCCTGACCAACATGGAGAAACCCTGTCTCTACTAAAAATACAAAATTAGCCATGCGTGGTGGCACAGGCCTGTAATCCCAGCTACTCGGGAGGCTGAGGCAGGAGAATTGCTTGAATCTGGGAGGCAGAGACTGCAGTGAGCCGAGATCGTGCTACTGCACTCCAGCCTGGGCAATAAGAGTGAAACTCCGTCTCAAAAAAAAAAAAGAAAGAAATGTTGAGGTGTGGCCAGGTGTGATGGCTCATGCCTGTAATCACAGCACTTTGGGAGGCCAAGGCGGGCAGATCACCTGAGGTCAGAAGTTCAAGACCAGCCTGGCTAACATGGTGAAACCCTGTCTCTATTAAAAACTACAAAAATTAGCCAGGCGTGGTGGCAGGCGCTTGTAATCCCACCTAGTTGGGAGACTGAGGCAGGAGAATCGCTTGAACCCAGGCGGTGGAGGTTACAGCGAGCCGAGATTGCACCATTGCACTCCAACCTGGGCAACAGAGCGAGACTCTGTCTCAAAAAAAAAGAAAAAAAATGTTGAGGTGCTACTCCTGTATGTTACAATTCTATAAAACTGTATCTAGTTTCTGACTTAAGGGCTTATTGGTGTCTCTGATAGTTATGACAGTTTTCGAATAGGAAGATCAGGCTGGTCTGGACTGCCCTGAAACAGCAGCTACAGGAAAATGTGAAGACCTTATAGAGGTGGTTTCATCTCTAAAAGGTAATAGTCCTAAAACAGGCTCTGGGGTGTTCTCATGAACTACAGCTACCCTTAGAAATGACATGCTTCCAGGACAAGGGATATAAGGCAGTCAGTTTTACTAGAGTCAGCCAAGATTGAAGTAATAATAGAAATTTCATGTGGCCTGTTCAGTCTGTGGAAAATAGTCCAAAAGTTTCCCTACAGCTGCCAACCAGAAGCCCTACTAAGAGCCAAAACCAACAACTGGAAACAAAGATGCCAAAACCTTATTTCCCTCTCTGTGTTGTGTTATTTTGTGTTTTTTACTTTTCCCTTGGCATTTTGAACTTAGATGTCAGCCCTGGTTGATATAAAAGCATGAAGCTTTCCTGCTACAGCATGTTCAAAGACAGTGCCATTGAACACAGTGACCATCTGCATGGGGTAGGAGGATGCTGTGAAAAGCAGTTATTTCCACATGCACGTAAATGAGGGTTTTTCAGGAGTATGAAATAATCATTTTCAGTTTAGTTTTCAGTTCATGTGCAATCTGACTTAACTTCCCCATATTGAGGATATACTGATTATGTTAATTTTTTTCTTTCTTTTTTTTTTTTTTTTTTTTTTTTGAGACGGAGTCTCGCTCTGTCACCAGGCTGGTGTGCAGTGGCACAATCTTGGCTCACTGCAACCTCCACCTCCCAGGTTCAAGCAATTCTCCTGCCTCAGCCTCCCGAGTAGCTGGGGCTACAGGCGCCTGCCACCACGCTTAGCTAATTTTTGTATTTTTAGTAGAGACGGGTTTCACCATGTTGGCCAGGATGGTCTCGATCTCTTGACCTCATGATCTGCCTGCCTTGGCCTCCCAAAGTGCTGGGATTACAGGCGTGAGCCACCATGCCCCGCCGATTATGTTCATTGTTACTATGTGCTTGACACAGTAAAATGGCAAGCCTAATTTAGGTTAATGTCCTTTTTAGCAAGGAACAGCTATATGGAAATTCATTAGGTGGAAGATGATGTCTTTAGGAGGACTGTCATTCTAGAAGTTGGCTACTGGGGAGCCCTTCCTTTCAAAAACTAAGATATATCCTTTATCAATACTCAGGAAACTATAGCTCAGCTTTTCTCAGATACATTTAATTATTTTATTTTATTTTATTTTATTTTATTTTATTTTATTTTATTTTATTTTATTTTATTTTTTGAGACGGAGTCTTGCTCTGTCACCCAGGCTGGAGTGCAGTGGTGCGATCTCCACTCATTGCAACCTCTGCCTCCTGGGTTCAAGCAATTCTCCTGCCTCAGCCTCCCAAGTAGCTGGGATTACACTTCCACCCGGTGGCTCACGCCTGTAATCCTAGCACTTTGGGAGTCCAAGGCAGGCAGACTCCCACCACCACACCTGGCTAATTTTTGCATTTTTAGTAGAGACAAATTTCACCATGTTGGCCATGCTGGTCTCGAACCTCAGATTATCTACCCACTTCAGCCTCCCAAAGTGCTGGGATTACTGCACCCAGCCTTTTTTTTTTTTTTTTTGAGACAGAGTCTGGCTCTGTCGCCCAGGCTGGAGTGCAGTAGCACGATCTCAGCTCACTGCAGTCTCTGCCTCCCAGATTCAAGCAATTCTCTTGCCTCAGCCTCCCAAGTAGCTGGGATTACAGGCATGTGCCACCATGCCCAGCTTATTTTTTTGTATTTTTAGTAGAGATGGGGTTTCACCATGTTGGCCAGGCTGGTTTCTAACTCCTGACCTCAGGTGATCCGCCTGCCTTGGACTCCCAAAGTGCTAGGATTACAGGCGTGAGCCACCGGGCAGAAGTGTATGTTCAAACAAATACATCTTCAGAGTTAACAAAAGAAATATAAGCATGAATTTGCTCATAAATATTTCCCATTTCCTGACCTTCCTATAATTTGGCTTTCACTTAGGTTTTTAATTCTAATACAGAGAGTGCCAGGCACATAGGAAGCAAACAAAAATATATTGAAATGAATGATGTCATCCATGTTGAGCCAAACATATTATGTATATAATTAATAATAGCATGAGTTAAATTAATAAGACAGAGAAATGGTCAAAAAAAAAAAATACCATGGCTGGTCACAGTGGCTCACCTGTAATACCAGCACTTTGGGAGGCTGAGACGGGCGGATCACTCAAGGCCAAGAGTTTGAGACCAGCCTGGCCAATATGGCAAAACCCCATCTCTACTAAAAATACAAAAATTAGCCAGGTACAGTAGCACACGCCTGTAATCCCAACTACTAGGGAAGCTGAGGCAGGAGAATCATTTGAACCTGGGAAGCGGAGGTTGCAGTGAGCTGAGATCACACCACCACACTCCAGCTCAGGTGACAGAGTGCAAAACAAAAACAAAAACAAAAAAGGCCGGGCGTGGTGGCTCACTCGTATAATGCCAGCACTTTGGGAGGCAGAGGCTGGCAGATCATCCGAGGTCAGGAGTTTGAGACCAGCCTGGCCAACATGGCAAAACTCTGTCTCTACTTAAAATACAAAAATTAGCTGGGGCATGGTGGCACACACCTGTAATCCCAGCTACTCGGAAGGCTGAGGCAGGAGAATCACTTGAACCCAGGAGGCAGAGGTTGCAGTGAGCCGAGATCACACCACTTGCACTCCAGCCTGGGCGACAAGAGTGAAACTCCGACTCAGGAAAAAAAAAAAAACAGCATCATAAGCACAGCTCATTCCTAAAGGAAAAGATCACCCCTAATTTGAAAAGGTTTCTGGGCTCATTATCTTACTTTTCTTAGCTCATCATACATGTGCAATGTTTGGCCACCCTGTACATTAATCAGCTCTTACAACATCCCTGTGAAATAAGTAGATGAGGAGTATCATTAGCTCCATGTGGCAGATGGGGCAAACCAAACATGTGGAAATTAAATGACTCACCTAAAGCCACCCAGAAGCCAATGGAGGAAGTGAGATTAGAACCCACAAGCTTCTGCTTTCTGTGCAACCAACCCACAGTCCCCCATTGTGAAGCTGAGCTTGCTCCCAGATTGCCACCTGAGACGCTGGTCCTACTTAGTCACTAATGAGCAACATCCTTGCTCTGGGTGCCAGGGTGGAGAGAGAAGGCACCCGAGCCATGTTTCCTATCCTCAGAGAAAGAAAAATATCCAAACATCTTTAAACTTAAGTTTATTTTTCCCTTCTCAGTACGTAGATAAATAGTAAGTAATTTGAGAAGAAGCTTTATCTTAAAGAAAAATAAGAGATTCAAAGGACAATTGCAATGGGCCTTTTTCAGATTAAAGGGATCTAAAACATTTCTGTTCAATGAGCTTGAAATGAAGTTCAAATTCAGTTCATAAGCTTATCTCCAAATTTCATTTTTTAAAGTACCTCAAACATAAACTCCCACTCAACTCGATCAAAAGCCTCTCCTGCTTCAAGAGACAGAGCAACAATCAGCCCCCTTGTTCATTTAGCCAAGTCAGTGTTCTTAATCAGCATAAAAAACAACAGGAGCCAACGGGTGGTTTTTTAATAAAAAGTGGTTTGATGAGGCTCCAGGCTGGTGGCAGCATTCTCAGCCCAGAAAAATATGAGTCGGGTCCTCAAACACGCAAACAGGCCCAAGAACAGGGACCCACTCCAATAGCCGATATTTATTCAAGCCTCAAACCCTCTATTATGTACTAACTTCCACCTCATCTCCCTGCTTCTCCCTGCTCAGCATTCCACATTTCCCACCCTCGTTTGGATCAAGGTTCAGTGCCCCCTTTCTCACTCCCAAAAATATGTCATTTGGAATTTTCTTCCCTTCCCTTCCCTCTCAGCAATTTGGTGCTAAAGCCTTTAGGTGGGGCAGAGCAGGATAACATCTGTGACTAATGAGGGAAGCCACCGTGGTCCAGAGCTGGGTGTTGGAGCCCCAGCAGGGTGAGAAAAGTGTCTGCACAGGAGGGCTGCTTGCTGTGTGGTGTCAGAGACTGAACAGGATAGGACAGTGTTCCTGCAGGGGCAGCCTGGCTTGGGGTGGCAGAATCCCAGTGGAGTGAAGAGGGTGTCCCCATGGAAGGGTGGCTGGGTATAAAGTTTCAGAGTCCAGGTAGAGTGGGAGGACATTCCCAGGATAAGAGCACAGAAGGAGAATAGGACACTAGTTACAAAGAGGAGATTAGTCAAATAAGTAACTTATTAAGGATAATGAAAGCCAGGTTTCCCATTGTTGGAGGAGGGAGTCACAAATATTGAAACAGAAATCTGGAATGAACCCTGTAGTTGTCCAGTTGAAATTGGAAGTATCTAAATGATGTTATGGTCTTCAATATATTTATATAGATATAGGAATAAATATAGCAATGTGTGCATGCATACATACATACATATTGTAGAAGGTAGAATAGTAGACCCCCAAAGATTCCTGTATCCTAATTTCCAAAACCTGTGAACATGTTACCTTACATGGCAAAAGGGACTTTGCAGGTAAGATTAAGTCAAGAACCTTGAGATAAGGTTATCCTGGATTATCTGGGTGGGTCCAATATAATAACAAGAGTCCTTATAAGAGGGAGGCAGAGGGCGGGCACTGTGGCTTACACCTATGATCCCAGCACTTTGGGAGGCCGAGATGGGAGAATCGCTTGAGCCTAGGAGTTTGAGACCATCCTGGACAACATGGTGAAACCCCATCCCTACTAAAAATACAAAAATTAGCCTTGCATGGTGGCGCACGCCTATAGTCCCAGCTACTAGGGAAGCTGTGCTGGGAGGATCACCTGAGCCTGGGAGGTAGAGGCTGCAATGAGCTGTGATTATAGCACTGCACTCCAACCTGGGCAATGGGAGTGACACTCTGTCTCAAAAAAAAAAAAAAAAAAAAAAGAGGGGTGGGGGTCAGCGTCAGAGAAGGAGATATGACAACAGAAGCAGAAGTGAAAGAGACAGATGTTAATTTGAGAATACTATGCTGTTAGCTCTGCAAAATGGAGGAAGGGGCCACAAGCTAAGGAAGGTAGGCAGCTTCTAGAAGCTGGAAAAAGGAAGAAAAGGGATGCCCTCCTGGAGTCTCCAGAAAGAACAGCCATGTTGACACCTTGATTTTAGGGCTTCTAACCTTCAGAACTAGAAGATGATGAATTTGTGTTGTTTTAAGCTGTTAAGTTTGTAATACACATACTGTTATATTGGGTAGTTCTGTCCAGTGAGAGCTCTTGGGAGATGCAATACCCCAATAGCAATGAGCACACCTAGCTGATAAATACCTTTCTCCATTAAAAGGAACCATGGCTCTTCAGAGGAATGGCTGATTCAGGGCTGAGACAGGGGAAATACAAGACAAGCCTGGAATATATTTTCTTTTTTCTTTTTCTTTTTCTTTTCTTTCTTTTTTTTTTTTTTTAGACAGAGTTTCACTCTTGTCGCCCAGGCTGGAGTGCAATGGCACCATCTCGACCCACCGCAACCTCCACCTCCCAGGTTCAAGCGATCTCCTGCCTCAGCCTCCCGAGTAGCTGGGATTACAGGCATGCGCCACCACGCCCAGCTGATCTTTTATTTTTAGTAGAGATGGGGTTTCTCCATGTTGGTTAGGCTGGTCTCAAACTCCTGACCTCAGATGATCTGCCGCCTTGGACTCACAAAGTGCTAGGATTACAGGCGTGAGCTACCGCGCCCGGCCACCTGGAATATATTTTCATGTCAGAAAACAAGAAGTTCTCAGCATGGTGAGGGCTTGTCAAAAGGACACAGGAGTCAGCTTGAAGAGGCTGCTATTAAGACAAATCAGAGACAACTTGCATCAAAATAAATAATAAGAGTAATACATTATAAACCATTGAATAAAATAGAGACGTGAGTCCCTAATGATATAAATTAGCAAGTAAAAATTAAATGTTTGCTTAAGAATGGGACATTTTCAGATGATGGGTGCACCAAAATCTCACAAAGCACCACTAAAGAATTTACGCATGTAACCAAATACCACCTGTACCGGAATATCTTACGGAAAAATTAAAAGAAAAAAAAAGGGACATTTAAGGCCAGGCCGGTGGCTCACACCTGTAATCCCAGAGCTTTGGGAGGCCAAGGTAGGCAGATTGCTTGAGCCCAGGAGCTTGAGACTGGCCTGAGCAACATGGTGAAACCCCGTCTCTACCAAAAATACAAAAATTAGCTGGGTATGGTGGCGTGTGCCAGTAGTCCTAGCTACTTGGGAGGTTGAGGTGGGAGAATTGCTTGAGCCTGGGAGGTCAAGTTTGCAAGGAGCACCACTGCACTCCAGCATGGGCGACAGAGCAAGACCCTGTGTCAAAAATAAAAAAAAAAAAAAGAATGGGACATTTAGCTAGTTTCAAACTATCACTCCACAAAATACTAATTAATTATTTTACAAAAGGAAAGAAGTAGCTTTATAGTAAAACAAATTGGCAGATAACATTTTAGTCAGGTGATCGGAGTGAATATTATCAGTAATGGAACAAATGAAAATAGTGTGCCATCCGATATGATGCGATGAGGAAAACACAGCATCCCCTCTGTGATATTCCTGCCAAAGATACACAACCTGAACTTAATCATGAGGAAACATCTGACAAAACCGAACTTAGGGGCATTAAACAAAACAACTGGTCCATATTTGTCAAAAGTTTTAAGGCCATAAAGCCAAGTAATGACTGAGGAATTCCTCCAGACTGGAGAAGATTAAAGAGACATGACAGCTAAAGGCCACATGTGATTCTGAACTGAATTTTTTGCTCTAAAGGAATTTGGCAAAACTTGAATGTGATCTGAGTATTAGATGGTAGTAATGTATCAGTGTTAATTACCTAATTTTGGTGGTTGTATTGTGGTTATATAGGAAAATAAAGTATTGAGGTATTATGAGGAATCAGGTTGGATTGGCAAATTACTGTCATGGTTCTGGAAAAAGAATTGTACTGTGTAACTTTTTTGTAAATTGGAGATTATTTCAAAGATTTTAAAATATATATCATCAGATCCAAAATCCTTTTCTTATACTATCAGTAAGTCTTCTCCATTTAACCATTGATTCATTTCTCCTAGTAGAAATGGATATTTCTCATTTTTTCCAGAATCAGAGCACCTTCTGGCCAGGTAACTTAATCAGAGCATGGCCAGAGCCCGGGGTGCAAAATCTGGCAGGAGTAACCACAGCACTGATTGAATACTGGGCGGTAGGAGATGGTGAGGAGAGGTGGGATAAAATGGTTTTCAAAGGCAGTCAGAATGCTCTTGCTTCACTTTTTTATTTTTTTTCCTTTTGAAGCTGGGACTCCCAGGCTAGAGTGCAATGGCGCAATCTCGGCTCACTGCAACCTCTGCTTCCCGGGTTGAAGCGATTCTCCTGCCTCAGCCTCCGGAGTAGCTGGGCTTACAGGCGCACGCCACCACACCCGGCTAATTTTTTTATTTTTAGTAGAGATGGGGTTTCATCATATTAGCCAGGCTGGTCTCAAACTCCTGGCCTCAAGCTATCCACCTGCCTCGGCCTCCCAAAGTGCTGGGATTACAGGCATGAGCCACTGCGCCCACTTTTTTTATTTCCTCACATCTGATTAAAATACCCAAGTCCACTGTGGAGTGTCAAGAGGAAAACTTGAGTATCATCTGTTAGCGTTTTTGTTTTACAATCAATTTAATCTCCCTAGGACAGTCTATTAGAAAAAAGGCAGACGGACCTAGTTCTTAGACTGTCACTGTTTCCAAACCCCAGCTCTCCTTTTCTTTAGCTTCACTCAGCAGATTAATCCTATTTCACTTGTGTGTTTATGTGAATACACAAATTTGCAGCCATTGAGCTGTACCTAGACAAGCCCAAGTGATATTTCAGGATTCAAAGAAACCTGGTAGGGCGCAAAACACAGTTCGGCTCCCTCCCCCTCCCCCTCTCCCTCTCCCCTCTTTCCACGGTCTCCCTCTCCCTCTCTTTCCACGGTCTCCCTCTCATGCCCAGCCGAAGCTGGACTGTGCTGCTGCCATCTCGGCTCACTGCAACCTCCCTGCCTGATTCTCCTGCCTCAGCCTGCCGAGTGCCTGCGATTGCAGGCGCACGCCGCCACGCCTGACTGGTTTTCGTATTTTTTTGGTGGAGACGGGGTTTCGCTGTGATGGCCGGGCTGGTCTCCAGCTCCTAACCGCGAGTGATCCGCCAGCCTCGGCCTCCCGAGGTGCCGGGATTGCAGACGGAGTCTCGTTAACTCAGTGCTCAATGGTGCCCAGGCGGGAGTGCAGTGGCGTGATCTCGGCTCGCTACAACCTCCACTTCCCAGCCGCCTGCCTTGGCCCCCCAAAGTGCCGAGATTGCAGCCTCTGCCCAGCCGCTACCCCATCTGGGAAGTGAGGAGCGTCTCTGCCTGGCCGCCCATGGTCTGGGATGTGAGGAGCCCCTCTGCCTGGCTGCCCAGTCTGGAAAGTGAGGAGCGTCTCTGCCCGGCCGCCATCACACCTAGGAAGTGAGGAGCACCTCTTCCCGGCCGCCATCCCATCTAGGAAGTGAGGAGCGTCTCTGCCCGGCCGCCCATCGTCTGAGATGTGGGGAGCGCCTCTGCCCCGCTGCCCCGTCTGGGATGTGAGGAGAGCCTCGGCCGGGCCGCAACCCTGTCCGGGAGGTGAGGAGCGTCTCTGCCCGGCCGCCCTGTCTGAGAAGTGAGGAGACCCTCCGCCTGGCAACCGCCCCGTCTGAGAAGTGAGGAGCCCCTCCGCCCTGCTGCCACCCCGTCTGGGAAGTGAGGAGCGTCTCCGCCCGGCAGCCACCCTGTCCGGGAGGGAGGTGGGGGTCAGCCCCCGCCAGGCCAGCCGCCCCGTCCGGGAGGGAGGTGGGGGGTCAGCCCCCCACCCGGCCAGCCGCCCCGTCTGGGAGGTGAGGGGCGCCTCTGCCCGGCCGCCCCTACTGGGAAGTGAGGAGCCTCTCTGCCTGGCCAGCCGCCCCATCCGGGAGGGAGGTGGGGGGGTCAGCCCCCCGCCAGGCGAGCCGCCCCGTCCGGGAGGGAGGTGGGGGGGTCAGCCCCCTGCCCGGCCAGCCGCCCCGTCCGGGAGGTGAGGGGCGCCTCTGCCCGGCCGCCCCTTCTGGGAAGTGAGGAGCCCCTCTGCCCGGCCACCACCCCGTCTGGGAGGTGTACCCAACAGCTCATTGAGAACGGGCCATGATGACAATGGCGGTTTTGTGGAATAGAAAAGGGGGAAAGGTGGGGAAAAGATTGAGAAATCGGATGGTTGCTGTGTCTGTGTAGAAAGAAGTAGACATGGGAGACTTTTCATTTTGTTCTGTACTAAGAAAAATTCTTCTGCCTTGGGATCCTGTTGATCTATGACCTTACCCCCAACCCTGTGCTCTCTGAAACATGTGCTGTGTCCACTCAGGGTTAAATGGATTAAGGGCGGTGCAAGATGTGCTTTGTTAAACAGATGCTTGAAGGCAGCATGCTCGTTAAGAGTCATCACCACTCCCTAATCTCAAGTACCCAGGGACACAAACACTCTGCCTAGGAAAACCAGAGACCTTTGTTCACTTGTTTATCTGCTGACCTTCCCTCCACTATTGTCCTATGACCCTGCCAAATCCCCCTCTGCGAGAAACACCCAAGAATGATCAATAAAAAAAAAATAATAAAAAAAATACAACAACAAAAAAAAAACAGTTCGAAGTAGAAATTAGACTTGTCCGTGCCCAAAAGGTGCCAAAAAACATGCCACCCATTAAAAATACATAAATGTCTTGTCTAAATAATAGCTATAAAAGATAGTTTGGGGACTATACAGAAATATAAATATGGACCCCGCATTGGAAATTAGGGATTTTTTTTTTTTTTTGTGAGACGTAGTTTTGCTCTTGTTGCCCAGGCTAAAGAGCGTGATCTCGGCTCACCGCAACTTCTGCCTCCTGCGTTCAAGCGATTCTCCTGCCTCAGTCTCCTGAGTAGCTGGGATTACAGGCATCCTCCACCACGCCAGCTAATTTTGTATTTTTAGTAGAGATGGGGTTTTTCCATGTTGGTCAGGCTGGCTCAAACTCCCGACCTCAGGTGATCCGCCCGCCTCGGCTTCCCAAAGTGCTGGGATTATAGGCATGAGCCACCGAGCGCAGCCTGGGAATTATTTCTTATTGTCTTAGATGTGATACTGCTGTCTGGGTATGAAGGAGAGCATCTTTAATTTTTGGAAATGTGTGCATGTGTGTTAAAGTATTGCAGTATAAAATATCTGTAATTTTCTTTAAAATGGTTCTGAAAATGTATATATACACATATACATATATATGAATCAAATATGGTGAAATGGAAAAATGTAATGATTGTTGAATCCCGGTGCTAGGGATATGAGTGCTCATTATACTGATTTTGCAGGCTTCTAAACTCCTAGAGTGAGTTTATCTTCCATATTTTCACATTATTTCTCCTTACCTTCTCACAAGCCTGCCTTAAAAAGGACTTTTTTTTTTTTTTTTTTTTTTTTTTTTTTTAGGCCAGGCGCGGCGGCTCACGCCTGTAATCCCAGCACTTTGGGAAGCCGAGGCAGCGGATCACGAGGTCAGGAGATAGAGACTATCCTGGCTAACATGGTGAAACTCCGTCTCTGCTAAAAATACAAAAAAATTAGCCAGGCGTGGTGGCGGGCGCCTGTGGTCCCAGCTACTCGGGAGGCTGAGGCGGGAGAATGGCTTGAACCCAGGAGGCGGAGCTTGCAGTGAGCCGAGATCGCATCACTGCACTCCAGCCTGGGCGACAGAGCGAGACTCTGTCTCAAAATTTTTTCTCTGGGTTCCAACGATTCTCCCGCCTCAGTCTCCCGGGTACCTGGGATTACAGGCACGCATAACCACGCCCGAGTAATTTTTGTAATTTTAGTAAAGACGGGATTTCACCATGTTAGCCAGGCTGGTCTTGAACTCCTGACTTCAGGTGATCCGCCCGACTCGCCCTCCCAAAGTGCTAGGATTACAGGCGTGAGCCACCGTGCCCAGCCAAAAGAGATTTTTTGAGAATTGTAGATGTCATCCTGTACTGCATACATTTTGGGAATAATTTAGCTGCTTTGTGCCTATACCAGGTTCTTTCGGAGGTACTCAAAATCATTATGCTCCTACTTTTTTTTCTTTTTCTTTTTTTTTTTTCTTTTTTTGAGACGGAGTCTCACTCTGTCGCCAGGGTGGAGTGCAGTGGCACAATCTCGGCAAACTGCAACCTCCGCTTCCTAGGTTCAAGTGATTTTCCTGCCTTCAGCCTCCCGAGTAGCTGAGACTACAGGCACGTGCCACCATGCCCAGCTAATTTTTGTATTTTTAGCGGAGACGGGGTTTCACCATGTTGGCCAAGTTGGTCTCGATCTCCTGACCTCATGATCTGCCCGCCTCAGCCTCCCAAAGTGCTGGGATTACAGGCTTCAGCCACCGCGCCTGGCCTTTTTGCTTTTTTTGAGACTCACTCTGTCACCCAGGCTGGAATGCAGTGGTGCAATCTCAGCTCGCTGCAATCTCTGCCTCCTACTTTTTTTTTTCTTTTTTTTTGTTTTTGTTTTTTGAGTCTTTCTCTGTCACTGAGGCTGGAGTGCAGTGGTGCAATCTCGGCTCGCTCCAACCTCCGCCTCCTGGGTTTAAGCGACTCTTGCATTTCAGCCTCTGGAGTAGCTGGGACTACAGGCGTGTGCCACAACACCCGGCTAATTTTTTTATTAGACACAGGGTTTCATCGCGTTGGCCAGGCTGGTCTTGAACTCCTGGCCTCAAGTGATCTACCTGCCTCGGCCTCCCAAAGTGCTGGGATTACAGGCATGAGCCACCATGCCCAGCCTATGCTCCTACTTTATAGACTTAACATTTAAATATCTTATGGGTATATTCCCTTTATCATCAGTACATCTAATACAAATTCTCTCTTCCTAGAAGGAAGGTGGGAAGTTAGATGGGGTGGTTTCCCTTCTTTTTCCTGCCAGTTAAAAAAAGTTTCTTATTTCCAAAGCATGTAGATTGTGCCTCCCAACAGGCCTCAATGCCTTTCACAAGGCCTTTTCTCTTCCCCCTGCCCATAATACTCAGACAGATAAAGACAGACAATCACACACACATAGGTTTCACTTGCCATTCTCAGCCCACTTCAGTTGTCACGTCCTGGCTCCCCCAGGCACAATTAATTGCTTGGTTTTATGTCCTTGTAGCAACAGTTACCACTTTGGTAATTCACCCATTTGTTCATCTGTCTTCCTCATAAGCTCTGAGCTCTTCAAAAGGAGGAACCATGTATTATTTACTTTGTACAGTGACTAACATATAGCAAGTGCTCAATATAAGCTTGTGGGTGAAAGAATAGATAAGTGGATGAGTAAATGCCTTTGAGCTGGGGTCTGGGGAAGATCTAATGACTTGTAAGACCATGGGGGCTATCAGCATTTCTAATATCTCCCTTCGGATCCTGATACTCAACCTTCAGATCTTGAACTTAATGTGATTGAACAGCAGCCACTCCGCATGAAATTAAAACCAAAAAATATTAGAGGTATTTAAAGCATAGGGCTTTTTTCCTACCAAATTTCTCTTTTTTCACAGCTTGAAAATTAGAACTCTAAAAGCCATGCAGAACATTCATTCAATACTTCCACGGGATGATAAAAGTCACAAAATATTCACAGGGCACATATGGACCCTCCAGACAGTTGGTATTGGTGACCAGGCAAAAGTATTAAACTCAGAAAAATCCATCTGGAAAGACAGGCATTTTTTAAATTATTATTATTATTATTAGAGACAGAGTCTCACTCTGTTACCCAGGCTGGAGTGCAGTGGTGTGATCTTGGTTCACTGCAACTTCTGCCTCCCAGGTTCAAGTGATTCGCCTATTTCAGCCTTCCAAGTAGCTGGGATTACAGGCGCCTGCCACCATTCCTGGCTAATTTTTGTATTTTTAGTAGAGAGAGGGTTTCACCATGTTGGCCAGGTTGGTCTCAAACTCCTGACCTCAAGTGATCTGCCCACCTCAGCCTCTCAAAGTGCTGGGATTACAGGCATGAACCACAGTGCCTGGCCAGAAAGGCATTTTTTTAAATCAAATGTCAGCAAACATTTATGCTAGGCTGTATTCTAAGGGATTTAGGTATAATATCACATTTAGACCTGTAGCAGTCCTATAATGTAGGGTCTATGATCATCCCCATTTTATAGATGTGAAGGCTGAAGAATGAGGCAGTGAGCACACTCACCTAAGAGTCAGTCTGAATGAACCCAGTCTTGCCCTGGAGCCTGTGCTGTATACCACATTGGACGTCAGGGTATCTGGCCATGTGCAGAGCTGCAAGACCCACCAAATATTAGCTACATATTATCAGCCATCTAGTCAACCCACTGAAGGTCTAGAGAGGCACACTGAGGCCCAGAGAAATGAATGACCTTACCTGGATTATATAGATTGTTCCCAGAAAAATTGGGCTAGAAGCAGGATCCCTGGTTGCCAGCCCAATGTGGTGCCTTCCCCCATGACACAGGACCTTGCCTCTGGTCTGTTTATCATATGACATCTGCAGGTTGGTTTAGCGGTAGTTAATGAAATTAGTCAGTGTTTCTCACAAATGGATCTCAGAGTGTCCATCCCACCCAGACAATTATGTTGAATATGCTCAGGAGAAGGAGAAGGAGGAGAAGAAGGAGGAGAATGAGGAGAAGGATGAGGAGAAGGAGGAGGAGGAGGAGGAGGAGAAAAGATATTGAAGGCTGTTTCCCTCTCAGTAAGGTTCAGTTTTTTTCTCCACAAGTTTTAAAAAAATGGGAATCTCTTCTAGAATGTTAACATCTGCTAGATGTTATTAAATACCAATTTTCTAGCAACTGAACCATTGGACATTCTTGCCTAAGTGAAACAAACCCTACTTGTGCTTCTCCACGGGTACAGAGCTTTAATTAAAGGCATGTGATTAAATATTTTCCAGTTAACTTAGAAAAGAGAGCCACAAGGTAAACAGACAGTGGATTAACTGAATTTTTTTTTAACTCTTGATCTTTCTGCATTTATTTTCAAGTTCATTTGTCATTTAATTTGTTGTCACAAATATTTTAGATTTTCCAGATTTAACATTAAATTTGAAATTAAACATAACATAATCATGAATTCCAGATTTCTTAAAACTGGAATACCGGATACCTAACTAGCAATTTGCAGTTTTATACTCTGCCCTCCACCCTTTCAGGCAACAGACAAGGCACTAACATGTTTCAGAAATTTGTTAACAGAGAAAACAGTAATTTGTGCTGTCATCTCCTAGGTGAAACAAACACCCCTGTGTCTTCTGTTCTCTCTAGGAAGGATGGAGGTGACCTCCTCCCTTAGAAGCCTCCTCCATACTGAGAGGAGGGAGAGTTTTCCCAGGATGTACCTCTTTCAGACATTTTTAAAAGCTTAGTTCTTCCTTCCAAATTTGGTGGGCTATTTAATTGAGACATGTAAAATGTGAATGTGGGTTGGGTGCAATGGCTTTTGCCTATAATCCCAACAATTTGAGAGGCTGACGTGGGAGGATTATTTGAGCCCAGGAGTTTGAGACCAGCCTGGGCAACATGGCAAAACCTCAGCCCTACAAAAAATACAAAAATTAGCCGAGCATGGTGGCACGTGCCTGTAGTCCCACCTACCAGGGAGGCTGAGGTGGGAGAATCACCTGAGCCAGGAGGTAGAGGCTGCAGTGAGCCATGATCATGTCAATGTACTCCAGCCTGTGTAAAAGAGTGAGAACCTGTCTCAAAAGAAAAGAAAAAAAAAATTGAATGCATTCAGGACAAATAAATGCCATGAAATCCAGATTCTCTGACTCTTCCTTCAGAACCTATTTGCTCTCCTGCTGAAGAGGTCCCCCAGGATTTGATCACAGCCTGGTGTCCCAGTATCAGAGAACCCAACCAACATTAGCATTATAACTATCAGAGCAATGACCATTGTTTGAGGGCCCACTGTGAGCTTACTGTGTTATCTGATTCAGCATGAGTGGATCACCTTCTTAGAAATAGGACTGTCGGCCAGGATGTGGTGGCTTATGCCTGTAATCCCAGCACTTTGGGAGGCTGAAGCAGGTGGATCACGAGGTCAGGTGTTTGAGATCAGCCTGACCAACATGGTGAAACCCAGTCTCTACTAAAAATACAAAAATTAGCCAGGCATGGTGGCGTGCACCTGTAATCCCAGCTACTCGTGAGGCTGAGGCAGGAGAATCGCTTGAACCCAGGAGGAGGAGGTTGCAGTGAGCCGAGATTGCACCACTGCACTCCAGTCTGGGCAACAGAGCAAGACTCTGTCTCAAAAAAAAAAAAAAAGGAAAGAAATAGGATTATCCAGGCTGAGGGTGGTGGCTCACACCTGTAACCCCAGCACTTTGGGAGGCCGAGGCAGGTGGATCACTTGAGGCCAGGAGTTCAAGACCAGCCTGGTCAATTTGGTGAAACCCTGTCTCTACTAAAAATACAAAAATTAGCCTAGCATGGTAGCAGGTGCCTGTAATCCCACCTACTCGGGAGGCTGAGGCATGAGAATCACTTGAACCCAGAAGGCAGAGGCTGCAGTTTGAGCTGAGATCGCACCACTGTACTCCAGCCTGGGTGACAGAGCAATACTCTGTCTCAAAAAATAAAATAAAAAAAGAAAAAAAGAAATAGGATCGTCCATGGCCGGGCACAGTGGCTCATGCCTGTAATCCCAGCACTTTGGGAGGCCGAAGTGGGTGGATCACCTGAGGTCGGAAGTTCAAGACCAGCCTGACTAACATGGAGAAACCCTGTCTCTACTAAAAATACAACTTAGCTGGGTGTGGTGCTGCACGCCTGTGATCCCAGCTACTCGGGAGGCTGAGGCAGAAGAATCGCTTGAACCCGGGAGATGGAGTTTGCAGTGAGCCGAGATCGTGCCATTGCACTGTAGCCTGGGCAACAAGAGCGAAACTCTGTCTTGAAAAAAAAGAAAGAAAGAAAGGAAGGAAGGAAAGAAAGAAAGAGAAAAGAAGAGAAAGAAATAGGATTGTTCAGTAAAATCAGGCATTTTTGTCCTGTCCAGGCAGTTCTGCCTTTACAGGTCAGAGAAAGAAAGGAGAAGAGTTGGTTTACATCCACTTTCTCTTTTTGAGAAGAAAGTCACCCTCTAAACTGCCACATAGGCTATTTTGCTGGGAGCTCTTCCATTGTCTTTTTAAAATTTTAATGTGTAGTAATCTTGACTCTTGAATGAGGGACCATCAGAAAGAACTTCCTAGTCAAGTTGTAAGGGGGCGGAGGTGTAGACCTTGTTCCAGGTTCTGCTCATTTCTTCCCCTGCCCCTCCCAGACCTGTCACAGATTCAGGGCTGGTCAAATCTTGTCCCAAAACCAAAGAAATCTGCCCCAGAAGACTTCTGAGATTGTCACAAGATTTCTAGTTATCAGAACCAAGGCCATCCAGGCCTCCAACTGAATCTAGATAAAAACCATCTGAATTGAGAACATTCTAGAAACAGAGATCAAGGACAGGATGATACTTTGTAACTATGGGAGGGAATATGGCTTCTCATTTTTCAAGAGAAAATAAAAACAAGATTTCTTGACGTTCTTTCCACTGAATGCTAAAGAAAGCTTCATTGTTAGCTGTCTCCTCTCCCAAACAATAAGGAAGCAAACAAAACAGAATAGAACACCCCTGTACTTCAGAGGTCTTTTTTCTCAGTGCTGCATGTTTTATGCATTATGAACTGAGGTTATCTTTTTCTTGTTAGGGTTTACATAGAACCGAGATAGCCATTAGATATTCTGATTATTAAAGAAGTTAGAAATATTTTTTTAACTCTAAAGGGGCTTCTCTTATTTAATTCTTTTAAAAATCTATTACTGTAATGCAGAGCATTGTCTTTGTCATTATAAAGAATTTTTAAAAATGATAACTAATACAGTCTTATTTTTGAAATTGTCTTCTAGTTCAGAAGGGAGAGGGAGAGTAAACCAAGAATATGAAAAAGCAAGAAAAGCATTAAGTGCGAAGGGATCTTTTAAAAACTTGTGTTAGGAGTGGTGGAAGGTAGTATTTCGTAGTGTTCCTAGGATTTCACTAATGAGCAGATTGAGGATACAAATGATTAATAAAACACATTATCTTGGCCTGAAGCATCTTCCAGGCTAGTTGAAAGACAAGCATGTAAATCAATTGATTACAGTTAAAAAGACAAGAGCTTTAAGGAATAGAAATGACATGCTGTGAAAACTGAGAGAAGAGAATGACTAGGTCTGCTCAGGAAAATCAAGAAAGGCTTCACATAGAAGATGACATTTGAGCTGGGTCACCAAATGTGGTAGTTTTAAAATATGTTCACAAATTTTTAGATACTTCTCCTTTCAAGAGGTGGAACTTAACTCCCCTCCCTTTGAGTGTGGACTGGACTTAGTGACACTCAGCCTCCCAAGTAGCTGGGATTACAGGCACCCACCACCATGTTCGGCTAGTTTTTGTATTTTCAGTAGAGACGGGGTTTCACTGTGTTGGCCAGGCTGGTCTCGAACTCCTGACCTCAGATGATCTGCCTGCCTTGGCCTACCAAAGTGCTGGGATTACAGGCATGAGCCACAGCACTTGGTGTCAACTTCTTTGTGCTGTCTACTAGTGACACTAATAGAAAATGGCAGAAGTGACAGTGTACTTCAAAGATGAGGTTATCAGCAGCATTATGGTTTCCTGTTTACTCTCTTCCTTGGATCACTCACTGTGAAGGAAGTCAGCTGCCATGTCACGAGGACACTCAAGCAGATCTATGAAGATGACTACATGGCAAGAAAGTAAGGCCTCCTGCCCACAACAGCCACGTGGGTGAGCCATCTTGGAAGTGGCTCCTCCAGTCCCAGTCAGGTCTTTGGATGACTGCAGCCTCAGCCAACATCTTGACTGCAACTGCATGTGAGACCATGAACTAGAACCATACAGCTAAGCCACTCAGAATTCCCAACCCCAGAAACTGTGAGGTAATAAATGTTTATCATTGGTTTAGATCACTACCTTTTGGGATAATTTGTTATACAGCAATAGATTCCTAATACCCCAGATGAGTATCAATTTGCTCTATTGGCAGGTGGGAGGCATCCAAATAGAACTGAAAGGGTCCCAGTGAGTGGTTGAGTATGGCTGGAGTGTAAGACATGTAGTTGTGACTCTTAAGCTTTTAGTGTATTAGCAAATGCCCTAAGTATTCTTAAAAGTGGAATTTCCTTAAATTAATGAATATCGTTGGCCAGGTGCAGTGGCTCATGCCTGTAATTCCAGCACTTTGTGAGGCCAAGGCAGGAGGATCATTTGAGACCAGGAATTCAAAACAGGCCTGGGAAACATAATGACACCCCATCTCTACAAAAGAAAAGAAAAAAAAAAGAATATTGTGGAATATGGCTACTCACTGCACTTTGGGGGAAAAAAATTAAATTTTTTGCCGTGACCTGAAAGCTACTTCTCTAGTTCACCCTGTGTCACAGTCCTCCTTGCTCACTACACCTGAATCACATTGGCTTTCCTTATTCCATCTCCCCCCCAGGAGTTCTGTGCACACAGCTGCTTCTGTTTAGATAGCTCTTCTCTTTACCTTCCCTCTGGCTGACTCCTGCTTCTCTTATAAGACACAGCCTGCATGTGCCTTCAAGGAGATCCCTTTTCTGACCATCACAACTGTTGTTCTTCTCCGTAGTGCTTGTTTGTTTCTTCCATCAGAGGAATTACTCTCCAAACTCATGTTATTTGTGTTATTTGTCTGTTTGCATGTTTTTGTCTGTCTTTCACTCCAGACAGTACATTCCACTATGCAGGGGCCACTTGTTGATTGCAGTATCTCCAACACGTGGCATGGTGCCTAGCGTGTGGTAAGTGCTCATAAAATACTGATTGTAGCTATCTTCCCCTTCCTCTTGTGTAGTAAAACCTTTATATTAGGTATTCCAGTTTCTTTTTTGTTTTGTTTTATGAGATGGCGTGAGCCATCACGCCCGGCCAGATATTCCCGTTTTAAGACTATTTGTCGGCCAAGTATTCCCATTTTAAGACTATTTGTCGGCCGGGTGCAGTGGCTCACGCTTGTAATCCCAACATTTTGGGAGGCTGAGGTGGGCGGATCACCTGAGGTCAGGAGTTCGAGACCAGCCTGGCCAACATGGCAAAACCCCATCTCTACTAAAAATATAAAAATTAGCCAGGAGTGGTGGGAGGTGCCTGTAATCCCAGCTACTTGGGAGGCTGAGACAGGAGAATCGCTTGAACCCGGGAGGCAGAGTTGCAGTGAGCCAAGATCATGCCACTGCATTCCAGCCTGGGCGCAGAGTGAGACCCTGTCTCAAAAAAAAAAATGTAGATTAAACATCTTGGCAGCAATACTTCAGATACAAGGCTGTACAGATACAAGGCTGATACAAATACAGACACAAGGCTGTACTTCATACATACATATATATATGTATGTAACTCACATGTATCATATGTATATATGTATTTATGTATATCAAGAGGTACATAATTTAGTGTCTCTCTTTTGGTGATGCCAAAATTGGTCACTGGGTTTAGGTGGTAACTCCCAGATTTCACCCTGTAAAGTTGTGTTTTTCCCCTTCAGAGTGACTGCCAAGCCATCTAAGGAGTGATCTTTTGCCATCACAAATTGGAGACATAGTAATATCCCACCCATAAATACTTTAGCATATGTCATTAAAATGTAAAAACATTTTCCTTCATAGCTAAAATAATATTATCTCACTGAACAAAATTAATACTAACCCCTTAATATCACCTAACATTCAGTCCATGTTCAAATTTTCTCCCAATTCCCAAAATGTCTTTTATATCTGATTTTCCAAACTGGGATCTAAACCAGAGAAGCCAATTTTTAAATGATCATAGGAAAAACCTTAAAATATATATTACCTTAGATACAGACTTTTCCTTTTAATTTCATATTTTATCCACTAGTTAAAAAGAAATGTTGGCCGGGTACAGTGGCTCACGCCTGTAATACCAGCGCTTTGGGAGGCCGAGGTGGGCGGATCATGAGGTCAGGAGATCGAGACCATCCTGGCTAACACAGTGAAACTCCATCTCTAGTAAAAATACAAAAATTAGCTGGGTGTAGTGGAGTGCGCTTGTAATCCCAGCTACTCAGAAGGCTGGGGCAGGAGAATCGCTTGAACCTGGGAGGCGGAGATTGCAGTGAGCTGAGATCGCGCCATTGCATTCCAGCCTGGCGACAGAGCAAGACTGTCTCAAAAAAAAAAAAAAAAAAAGAAAAAAGAAAAAAGGAAAAAAAGAAATGTTATTGCTGTCATTGCAGTAGGTGAATGTCATATGCATGTAGTTAGGAAATTTACAAATCCTGTTCTAAAATTTTTAACTGAACCGGGTGTGGTTCAGTTTATAGGCTCACGTCTGTAATCCCAGCACTTTGGGAGGCTGAGGTGGGCTGATCACTTGAGTCCAGGAGTTCGAGACCAGCCTGGCCAACATGGTGAAAACTCGTCTCTACTAAAAATACAAAAATTATCTGGGCATGGTGGCACACACCTATAATCCCAGCTACTCGGGAGGCTGAGGCACAAGAATCACTTGAACTCTGAAGGTGGAGGTTGGAGTGAGCTGAGATCACACCGCTGCACTCCAGCCTGAGCCACAGAGCCAGATTCTGTCTCAAAACAATGAAAATAAAAAAAATAAAAAAATAGAATCCTCATCTGGCAGTTCTGGTTCCAAAAAAGTAAAATAAAATTTATCACTAATAACATTATATCCTCATGATTTTTAAGTTCTTACTAACGATAAAGAAATATTAAAATCACTATAAGATTGAAATATGTTCATTCATAAGTTGAATCCAAGTAGTAAATCTTGCCCAGTGGCTAAGAATCAGAAACAGAATCAGCGCCTTGGGTGTAAGCACTATCTCAGCAGAAGAAAGAGGGAAACTAGTAGCTAGGTTCACACTAACATCAAGGATGAGAGAAATGATACATTTCGACTTCTCAGTGAAGAGGACTGGGAGCTAAAGGCTTACAGAATCTCCTTTCTCTTTATAATGACACTTTAAACTTTCCATGCCTTCCTCCGAGTCTGTTCATTTTACTAAAAGAACAAAGAGTATTCATTTTCACATCACACCCTGCCCAGGTGTGGAAATTAACAAGTCAAAGTGATATTTCCAAGATATGAAATCATGTATCTTTCATCCCTTTGTACCCGCAAAGTATCTGAGCTATGCAAAGACAATAAACTACAACTTTATTTCTTATCAAATATTTCTGATGAATAAGAGGGAAACATTCATGTTTTAAATTAGCCTTTTCATTAAGTACTAGGACTTATGTTATTTAAATGAAGCAAGAAAATTTGTTCATAATTTTTTGTTTCTGTTTTTTCTTCTTTTTTTCTTTTTTGAGATGGAGGCTCACTCTGTCGCCCAGGCTGGAGTGCAGTGGCACTACCTCAGCTCACTGCAACCTCCGCCTCCCAGGTTCAAGCGATTCTCCTGCCTCAGCCTCCCCAGTAGCTGGGATTACAGGCGTGTCCCATCACACCCAGCTAATTTTTGTGTTTTCAGTAGAGACGAGGTTTTACCATGTTGGCCAGGCTGGTCTCGAACTCCTGACCTCAGGTGATCCACCCACCTCGGCCTCCCAAAGTGTGGGATTACAGGCGTGAGCCACCATGCTTGGCCTTGTTTCTGTTTTTTGGTCTGAACGTTAGTGGTCACTTGTTTGATCAGTAACACTGAAATATGTCACAATCATAACTCTCCTTTTATATAGACACTTTAATCCTGAGACCACAAAAATCTTTATAAGAATCTGTTTGCAGGTAATATTGGTCACTTTGAAAATAGGAAAGCTGAAGACAGGAAATTGCCTGCACACTCAAAAGTACATGAGTCAAGAAGCAAGTCAAAACTAAAACTAGGTCTTATCAGTCTCAGCCTTGGCCTGATCAAAGTCTGAAGGACTGACTTTATATCTTAAAGATACTTTGTTCTTCCTAGTCTCATGATATTGACCCAAAATATTTTGTGTACTTTATCACTAAGGTAATGAGTTCTCACTTGATATGTAGACCATTTTTTCTATAATTATATGAAACATCTATACATAAATGAATCAATGGCATGGTTTACATGTGTGTTTATTTTGTCTGTTTCTTTTTAGTGACTAGACACATCCAAGAGACAGAAGAGTCTATATAGTTAGGAACAAAAGAGAAACAGACATTGATCATTTTGATAATTTTTTGATAATTTATTGTTCTGTTCTCGGGCTACAAAGGTAACATATTTGTTGTACAAATTTTGAAAACCTAGGAAAAGCACTAAAAGGCAAATGCAAATTAACCATTTTCCTACTTCCCTCTCTTAGAGAGAGCTACCATTATCATTTTTTATTTATCTTAATAAACTCCTTCTCATGCATGTACTTGTCACCTATTATGTGGAATCTCCCTGTCCCTAAAGACGTAGATAAATTTTGCTCAAATCTCTTTCCAAGGCTGTGGAAAGTCCAATAATCTCCTAAACATCTCTAAATTCTTCCAGGCTGGGGGCAGGTGGGAGAGTGAGGGGAATTTGAAGAGGGCTGTCACAAGACACCTTTAACTGATTTCTTGCCTCTACTGATTCCTATACTCTGCTCAGGCAGTCTCTTTGTGGTTTACACTCACACACTAAATGTAAGGCCCTGCTGCGTCAGACTTTACTCAAGGCTTGAGAAGATTTGAGAAGATGGAGAGAACAATAGAGGTTTATTGCAATATAAACAACTTACAGTTGAATATTTAATGTCCTGTTCTTAAACTCTCTTAGTTTCTTTTTGACAACTTGGACTGTAGCCTCTTGACATTTTGCTGGGCTCTTTTTACATCTTCACTGACTGCCTTGAACCCGTCTACAACTCTACTCCAAAAAACACCTCTTTCCGTTTTGTAACACTAAGCTATTCAGCTTTATCTGTATCTCTAATTTGGAGTCTAGGGGCAGAGTGCATAGGTTAAAATCCTGAGACTTGTTCTTGGGCTAGTAAACTCTCTAAGCCTCAGCCTTCTCATTTGTAAAATAAGAATATTGGCTCTCCCTCTCCCTCTCCCCCTCCCCCCCTCCCCCTCCCTCCCCCCTCCCCCCCTCCCCCTCCCCCTCCCCCCTCCCCCTCCCCCTCTCCCCCTCCCCCCTCCCCCTCCCTCTCCCCACGGTCTCCCTCTCCCTCTCTTTCCGTGGTCTCCCTCTGATGCCAAGCCGAAGCTGGACTGTACTGCTACCATCTCGGCTCACTGCAACCTCCCTGCCTGATTCTCCTGCCTCAGCCTGCCCAGTGCCTGTGATTGCAGGGGCGCGCCGCCACGCCTGACTGGTTTTCGTATTTTTTTGATGGAGACGGGGTTTCGCTGTGTTGGCTGGGCTGGTCTCCAGCTCCTAACCGCGAGTCATCTGCCAGCCTCGGCCTCCCGAGGTGCCGGGATTGCAGACGGAGTCTCGTTCACTCAGTGCTCAATGTTGCCCAGGCTGGAGTGCAGTGGTGTGATCTCGGCTAGCTACAACCTCCACCTCCCAGCCGCCTGCCTTGGCCTCCCAAAGTGCTGAGATTGCAGCCTCTGCCCGGCCACCACCCCGTCTGGGAAGTGAGGAGCGTCTCTGCCTGGCCGCCCATGGTCTGGGATGTGAGGAGCCCCTCTGCCCGGCTGCCCAGTCTGGGAAGTGAGGAGCGCCTCTTCCCGGCTGCCATCCCATCTAGGAAGTGAGGAGCGTCTCTGCCCCGCCGCCCATCGTCTGAGATGTGGGGAGCGCCTCTGCCCTGCCGCCCCATCTGGGATGTGAGGAGTGCCTCTGCCCGGCCGCGACCCCATCTGGGAGCGTCTCTGCCCGGCCGCCCCGTCTGAGAAGTGAGGAGCCCCTCCGCCCGGCAGCCGCCCCGTCTGAGAAGTGAGGAGCCCCTCCGCCCAGCAGCTGCCCTGTCTGGGAAGTGAGGAGCGTCTCCGCCCGGCAGCCGCCCCGTCCAGGAGGTGGGGGGCAGCCCCCACCCGGCCAGCTGCCCCACCCGGGAGGGAGGTGGGGGGCAGCCCCCGCCCGGCCAGCCGCCCCATCCGGGAGGTGGGGGGCGCCTCTGCCCGGCCGCCCCTTCTGGGAAGTGAGGAGCCCCTCTGCCCGGCCGCCACCCCTTCTGGGAGGTGTACCCAACAGCTCATTGAGAACGGGCCATGATGATGGCGGTTTTGTCAAATAGAAAAGGGGGAAATGTGGGGAAAAGATAGAGAAATCAGATTGTTGCTGTGTCTGTGTAGAAAGAAGTAGACATAGGAGACTCCATTTTGTTCTATACTAAGAAAAATTCTTCTGCCTTGGGATGCTGTTGATCTATGACCTTACCCACAACCCTGTGCTCTCTGAAACATGTGCTGTGTCCACTCAGGGTTAAATGGATTAAGGGCGGTGCAAGATGTGCTTTGTTAAACAGATGCTTGAAGGCAGCATGCTCGTTAAGAGTCATCACCAGTCCCTAATCTCAAGTACCCAGGGACACAAACACTGTGGTAGGCCGCAGGGTCCTCTGCCTAGGAAAACCAGAGACCTTTGTTCACTTGTTTATCTGCTGACCTTCCCTCCGCTATTGTCCTATGACCCTGCCAAATCCCCCTATGCGAGAAACACCCAAGAATGATCAATAAAAAAAAAAAAAATAAAAAAAATAAAGCTTCTACAAAAAAAAAAAAAGAATATTGATAGAACCTCCTTCACACGCAAAGCACTTAGCTCATCTCCTAGCACACTGAGTAAACGTGAGCTACTTTCATTACTATTGGGAATATTTCATCTGGGCTATACAGAGCCTGGAGAACCTGTCTGGACTTCTGTTGATTACCCCTTTCCAGTGCCCAGAACACTTATGTAAAGGGAGAGTGAGGCTTTGAGATTAAGAACACACAGTCTGGGGCCAGGCACAGTGGCTCATGCCTGTAATACCAGTACTTTGGGAGGCCGTGAGGGGTGAAACGCTTGAGCTCACGGGTTTGAGACTAGCCTGGGCAACATGGTGAAACCACATCTCTACAAAAAATACAAAAATTAGGCGTTGCACGGTGGCTCACGCCTGTAATCCCAGCACTTTGGGAGGCCGAGGCGGGTGGATCACAAGGTCAGGAGTTCAAGACCAGCCTGACCAACATGGTAAAACCCTGTCTCTACTAAAAATACAAAAATTAGCCAGGCGTGGTGGTGTGTGCCTGTAATCCCAGCTACTCAGGAAGCTGAGACAGGAGAATTGCTTGAACCCGGAAGGTGGAGGTTGTAGTGAGCCAAGATCGTGCCATTGCACTCCAGCCTGGGAGACAGAGCAAGACTCTGTCCCAAAAATAATAATAATAATAATAATACAAAAATTAGCTGGGTGTGATGGCACGTGCCTGTAGTCCCAGCTACTTGGGAAGCTGAGGTGGGAGGATCACCTGAGCCCAGGAGGCAGAGGTTGCGGTGAGCATTGATTGCACCACCACACTCCAGCCTGGGTGACAGAGTGAGACCCGTCTCAAAAACAAAAACAACACATAGTCTGATGCTGGAATGCCCGTCAACCATAACTGGGGTACAAGATGTTTATTAGGGATCAACACCTGTGGAAGGCAGGGGAAGGAAGCAGGATTGGGCTGAAGCAATCAACCATCCTGGTTTGTATGCAACTGAGGGTTTACTGGGGCAAGGAATGCTAAAATCGGGAGATGACTGAGTAAACTGGGACAGTGGTCACTCTCGTTGAGGAAACTGGTTATAAAGCCTGTGAAGGAGGATCTAAACAGTGAGGATCTGGACAGTGCATCTCTGTGTCTAACGAAAGCACCAGTTTGTGCCTGGGTTTTCTTATCTGCAAAATGGCAACAATAATGGTAAATGCCTGACTGCATTGTTGTGAAGGTTAAATAAGTTGCCATGTGTAAAGTGATTAGAGCAGTGCCCACACAGTAAGCTCCTAAGTATTAGCTATCTTGCCAGATCAAGTGTCCTCCTGTCAGATCCTGAAATTCTTGATCTTTGGTCTCCTTTGTCAAACCACCACACTAGTGTTCATCATTACCTCAGTCTGGTTGTAATGTACAACCAGACTGATTAAATTTGGATTCATGCTGGTTTCTTGATTACAGCCAAAACACTGGGGTAAGAGGGTCTTCCATTTCCCTCTCACTCCCATATTTTGACTGATTCAGGAGACCCCCTCAACTCCTTGTGCTATCCTATTTCTATTATTGAATAATGGAAAGAATTAAGTGAGGAGAAAAGTGACACAGAAGTAAGGGCAGAAGAAATAATTTTTATTTATTTTATTTTATTTTTTGAGACCAAGTCTTGCTCTGACACCCAGGCTGGAGTGCAGTGGCACAATCTTGGCTCACTACAACCTCTGCCTCCCGGGTTCAAGCGATTCTCCTGCCTCAGCCTCATGAGTAGCTGGGATTACAGGCACGTGCCACCACACCCTGTTAAGTTTTGTATTTTTAGTAGAGATGGGGTTTCACCATGTTGGCCAGGCTGGTCTTGAACTCTTGGCCTCAAGTGACCCACCTGCCTTGGCCTCCCAAAGTGCTGGGATTACAGGTGTGAGCCACCACGCCTGGCCCTATTTATTTTCATTTTTATTTTGGAGATAAGGTCTTGCTCTGTCACCCAGGCTGAAGTTCAGTGGCACATTTGTAGGTCACTATAGCCTTGAACTTCTAGGCTCAAGCAATCCTCACACCTCAGCCTCCCAAGTAGCTAGGGCTACAGACTCACACCACCACACCCAGCTAATTTTTAAAATTTCTTGTAGAGCTGTTTTTAAATTTTTTGTAGAGATGGGGTCTTGCTGTGTTGCCCAGGCTGGTCTTGAACTTCTGGCCTCAAGTGGTCCTCCTGCCTCAGCCTCCCAAAGTGTTGGGATTACAAGTGTGAGCCACTGTGCCTAGCTGATTTTTTTTTTTTTTTTTTTTTTGAGACAGAGATTCGCTCTTGTTGCCCAGGCTGGAGTGCCTGGCATGATCTCAGCTCACCGCACCCTCTGCCTCCCGGGTTCAAGCAATTCTCCTGCCTCAGCCTCCCAAGTAGCTGGGATTACAGGCATGTGCCACCACGCCTGGCTAACTTTGTATTTTTAGTAGAGACAGGGATTCTCCATGTTGGTCAGGCTGGTCTCGAACTCCCAACCTCGGGTGATCCGGACGCCTTGGCCTCTCAAAGTGCTGGGATTACAGGTGTGAGCCACAGCACCCAGCCTGAATTTTTAAGTTAAAAGTAGCTTTCAAAAAAAAAAAAAATTAAGTATGAGACTTTGGAAGCCAGAGGGGGATGCATAAAAGGCAGAGTGACTAAAGATCATTTTTAGCCTGGGTAACTTTTGTGATTATGAAGCTGATGAAATAAATGATCCTCACTCTGACTTCTGTTTTCTCCAAAATAAACCATGTTGTGTAATTCCATCAGGTGATCACTGGTTGCTTGTTCCTCCATTCTGAAGAAGCTAAAGCTACTAAAAGTCATGTGAATCACTTTATGAGCAAGAGCAGGAAAGAGCACTAGGTTAAAATTTGGAGTATGACATTTTCAGTATGAGAATACTTCCCTCCCCAAAGAGTTGGACACAAATTACTTTTTATAGCAGCCCTTGGCTTTTCATTTAGCCAGGAGGGAAGTATGAGGTAGCAGGGCTCCACACCCTTTTACCTGGATGACATCCCTCTGTGTCATTTAAACAGATGCTACTTAGAATAAGGAGGTGGGTTATTTACTCTCTATTCTCATCACCTGAACTAAAGCAAGCACGCAAACAAGCCAAGCAAAAGAGCAATCTTAGAAGTCATTTTTTAAAATGCCTAGACCTCTTTTGGCTTGTTCTTCTGTTGAATTCCAAGCATTATTTGTCTAGGTTCCCTTGCCTGAACTGTTGGCAGCAGAGGTGCAATTTTATCCTTGAAGTAGGGTGTTCCGCGGGCACTGAGCCAATGCAGTTGGCTCATTCACTTCCTTCCCTGCTATGTTTCTTCAGGGCTTTCTACATGTCAGAAACCTATTACGCAATGATTCAGAAGAGGATACAGGAAGTATTGTTCCTACTGTAACATTGGCTGCTCACCTCTCTCTAGCCCAAACTGGTTTACTTCACCAAGGAAGCCACAGAGTTTTCTTCATTTCAATTCCTTTCTGATTTCACAGTTACCCATGATGGAAATCTGAAGTAGAAAGGACTTCGGCCAGGTGCAGTGGGCTCATCCCTGAATCCTAGCACTTTGGGAGGCCAAAGTGAGATGATCGCTTGAGCTGAGGAGTGTGAGACCAACCTGGGCAACACAAGGAGATCCCTGTCATTACAAAAAAATAAAAAAAATTAGCCGGGCATGGTGACACACACCTATGGTCCTAGATACCAGGCTGCTGAGGTGGGAGGATCACTTAGACCCAGGAGGCTGAGGCTGCAGTGAGCTGAAATCATGCTACTGCACTGTAGCCTGGGCGACAGAGTGAGACCCTATCTCAAAAAAAAAAAAAAAAAAAAAAAAAGGCAAAAAAGAAAATGCAAGGTGGCTCACACCTGTAATCCCAGCAGTAGTTTGGGAGGATGAGGTGGGTGGATTACTTGAGCCCATAAGTTTGACACCAGCCTGGGCAACATGGTGAAACCTCATTTCTACTAAAAAATACAAAAAAAAAAGCTGGGCATGGTGATGCACACCTGTAGTCCCAGCCACTCAGGAGGCTGAGGTAGGAGGATCACCTGAGTCCAGGAGGTCAAGGCTACAGTAAGCCATGATTGCACCACTGCACTCCAGCCTGGGCCACAGAGTGTGACCCTGTCTCAAAAAAGAAAGAATAATTTGAAAAAGAAAAAGTAAAAAAAAAAAAAAAAAAAAGAAGGACTTCCATGTCCACTTTGTGGGGAAAGTGATTAGGACTTTTGCAGCTTCTGATGGAGAGCCTGGGCTGTCTGTCATGCAGGGCAGGGCTGCTTGTCTGATTTCCACTACCCATGCTGCTGAACTTCTTTTGCGCGGGGGGCCCGGCTAAGCCCTGTCCTAAGGACAGGCACATTCACGTGTTTCCCTTGTGGAGGTGTTGGTGTGCATCACTGCATCCTTTCTCACTCTTCTGGTTCTTCTCAAGAACCAGAGCACACAATTCCTGTCCTAAAATCTTATGATTTGAGGCACCTGGCCCAGGTTAGGGATGCCTACTCTGCATCTCTTTCCAGGAATCATGCAGACACCTTGATCTCAGAGCCCACCCAACTGTGTGAACCATTCCCAGGAAGCCTAAAGATCCTGTTTCTTTGTAATGAGCCAGACCTGCCTGTCCTTACAGGCATCTCCACACAGGCTCAGGGTTCTGATCAGAACAGTAATGGGGCAAAGGGGACCTGCACTGGAAATGTGTGTGCACAATCATGACAGAGGATGGTCTCTGCGCAGAAAGCCTGCCAGAAACCAGAGGGAAGAGAAAGAGAGAGCTGCAGGTTCAGACTTCTCCCTTCTATCATGCGACTCAAAGATCCTCTTACCAGCTGGAGGGGTGCCCAGCCCAGCTTCTCATTCAAGGACACAGGAGATAAAATGACTGGGTTGGTGTTTAAGCAGATGATTCACTCACCTTTTTATAGTCAGGAGGACGCAGGAAAGTTTTATTCTTTCCATACATTTTGTACTTTATCCTTACATTCTATTGATTAAAATGAGAAAAATGAAAAAGAAAGCGCAATATCTGGGAAAATTCTTTCATATGCTGCAGACTCAAATTTATTGTATCCCCATAAACCAAAATCATCTTATCTCAGAACTGCTTGAGCTTTATAATTAATGCATTGTTAAGGTTTCACATTGACTATACCTGTACCATGAGACTTCTTATATCCTACAAAGATGATTGGATAGATTCAATATCTTTTTCCCTCACTACCTCTTTTTTTCACTCTCCACTTTCAATATAACCACTGCTAAATGATCTGACAATCGATTTCATATACATAAAAACATGGTGCTTAGTTCCATGTTTTTATGTATATGAAACTCTGGGGTGTAGGGGAAGAAGACGTGTAAGAAGGTATTCTGGCAAAGACACGCTGTGTCAGTTCCCTCTGGATGTTTTGTAAAACTGGTTGTGAGAAAATATAAGAGAGGGTAGACACTGCATGACAGTGATGGAAACAGGCATTGATGAAGGAACCATCTCCCTGAAAGCCATCTATCTTCCAAGTACATCCTGAGTCACGTTTCTCCTCCACATCTCCTGCTATTCCTCCTCATGTAGCTTGCCTGCCTACCACATCCTCAAGATTTGTCTCTTTTCTCATCTAAGGTTCAGCTACAGATACGAAGAGTAAACTGAGACCCTCAGATACCTTTTCCATGGTCAAAGCTCCCCAGAATGCATCTTCAACTTGAAATCAAACTTAAAGGGCTTACCTGCCTTCCCTGTAAATTCTTTTGGGCCACTTGGGCAGCTTGTGAAATCTGTCCCTCAGAACATTGCTGGGTGCCTCTGTCACATTCACCAGTTTTTCCTTTCTTTGTCCTTTGATGACTTTTGAAAAATGTACAAGGGTTCACTATACAAGGGGCAAACCATGTTTCCAAAAGACATCATAAAACTGAATCAAAAAACAAAACAAAACAAAACAAAAAAAAAACAAAAAAACAATGAAAATCTTGTACCTACAGAACTCTAAGGCATTTTTTGTAATTTTTCTAGAGAAGAGATGTTTAAATGCTATATGCAGAACTCAATCTGTGGACATAATATTGGTTTATGATCTTTTATGAACCATAAGCTGGAACTGTTAAAATAAATTCAGGTGGACAGATGCCAAATGACAAAGCTGGGGTGGAAAGTGGTGGCAAGAAGGGATTTTTACTGCTCCATTTCCTCACAGAAAAACTCCACCCAATAATTTCTGCAAAGCAAGACTAAAATACATTGAATCCTCTGCTGATCTCTAAAATCTTGAGCTTCTGCATTAAGGTGAGGAACATATCCTGATTGAAGTCATTAAAATAAACACTGGTACAAGTGCCCGGAGAAAGCTGGCAGTGGTACTGCTGAGAAATTCCCTAATTTGTTCCATTTTCCTAAGACTCAGTGCTTGTGCTGACATTCAGAATCTACGTGCCAAAGAAGTTCCTGTATTCTGTTAACAGACAAATACACTGGGGTGTAGGAGAAGAAGACGTGTAAGAAAGTATTCTGGCAAAGGCACACTGTGTCAGCATAAATTTTATAGGACAAGTTGACTGTTTTAGGCCATACTTTTCTAGTTGTTGAAAAATACCATTATAACAACAACTGTGAAACATTGAAAAATAAAAATAATGCTTCAGAAGTCCACCAGCTTGATCCTAAACTGTTCTGACTGGCTTGAATGATGACTAGGTACAGCCAGTGATATCTATTTGCAGATGTCAATTTGTGTGACTTGATTTGCACGAGGGGAGAGGAGAGAGAAGCCTGTGATTTGGAAAAAGAATAAAGAAACAAAAAAGAGCCGAGCACAGTGGCTCACGCCTGTAATCCCAGCACTTTGGGAGGCCGAGGCAGGCGGATCACGAGGTCAGGAGATGGAGACCATCCTACTAACACAGTGAAACCCTGTCTCTACTAAAAATATAAAAACAAAAATTAGCCGGGTGTGGTGGCGGGGGTGCCTGTAGTCCCAGCTACTCGGAAGGCTGAGGCAGGAGAATGACGTGAACCCAGGAGGCGGAGCTTGCAGTGAGCAGAGATCGCGCCACTGCACTCCAGCCTGGGCGACAGAGCGAGACTGTGTCTCAAAAAAAAAGAGAGAGAGAGAGAGAGAAAGAAAGAGAAGAAAGAAAGAAATAAAGAAGGAAGGAAGGAAGGAAAGAAAGAAAAAGAAAGAAAGAAAGAAAGAAAGAAAGAAAGAAAGAAAGAAAGAAAGAAAGAAAGAAAGGAAGGAAGGAAGGAAGGAAGGAAGGAAGAGAGAGAGAGAAAGCAAGCAAGCACCCTGTTTGATTCCTCAGCTCATTCCCAGTACACACCTCTGAGCCCCAGAGACAAAAGGGCTTCATACAGTTGTTAAAGGAAGCATTTTTATGAGAGACATCTGTAAGGCAAATGGGCCTACATTGTGGTGCTGGGTCGAGGGGTGACATGGAGTGAAAGCATTAGGAGGCAGCACACATTTATCGTGGACAACAGTCTTGTCATGCTTGGCACTGACATAGGTATGGACCTGCAAATGGCTTCTTGGGCCATAGCCAACAACATAGGAGGCAAAACAGAGGAATATGAGAGAACTGTTTGTGAGCACATATGAGATCATCCTTGGGGATTCTGGGAGAGACATCGGGTGAGGCTGGAAAACCTGCATTATGTAGGTTGAAACAAGAGCCAGTAAAATTTAGGATTTGTCATTAATGTGACCAAATTGGCTGGGCACAGTGGCTCACACCTGTAATCCCAGCACTTTGGGAGTTTGAGGCTGGTGGATCACCTGAGGTCAGGAGTTTGAGACCAGCCTGGCTAACATGGTGAAACCCGTCTCTACTAAAAATACAAAAAATTAGCTGGGCCTGGTGATGGTGATGGGCACCTGTAATCCCAGCTACTCAGAAGGCTGAGGCAGGAGAATCACTTGACCCCGGGAAGTGGAGGTTGCAGTGAGCTGAGATTGTGCCACTGCATCCAGCCTAGGCAACAAGAGCAAAACTCCATCTCAAAAAAAAAAAAAGTGACCAAATTTATATCTACAGGCTGGGGAAACATGATGAACAAGAAAAATAAATCACTTTTTTTTTTTCTCTAGACGGAGTCTTGCTGTGTTGCCCAGGCTGGAGTGCAATGGCGTGATATCAACTCACTGTAACCTCCACCTCCCGAGTTCAAGTGATCCTCCTGCCTCAGCCTCCCAAGTAGCTGGGATTACAGGCGCCAGCCAGTGCACCCAGCTAATTTTTGTATTTCTATTAGAGATGAGGTTTCACCATGTTGGCCAGGCTGGTTTCAAACTCCTGACCTCGTGATCTGCCTGTCAGCCTCCCAAAGTGCTGGGATTACAGGCGTGAGCCACCATGGCTGGCCAATAAATCACTTTTAAGACTTTTTTTTTTTTTGAGATGCAGTCTCACTCTGTCACCCAGGCTGGAGTGCAATGGCACAATCTTGGCTCACTGCAACCTCCGCCTCCTGGGTTCAAGCGATTCTCCCACCTCAGCTTCCCAAATAGTTGGGATTACCGGCACCCGCCATCATGCCTGGCTAATTTTTTGGTATTTTTGTGGAGATGGGGATTTCACCATGTTGGCCAGGCTGGTCTTGAACTCCTGATCTCAGGTGATTCTCCCACCTCAGCCTCCCAAAGTGCTGAGATTACAGGCGTGAGTCACCGTGCCCGGCCCACTTTTGTCTTTCAGCCTAATGTAAAATCATGAATATAGGTATATTGTTCAAGATTTTTGGTTGTGGCTGGGCATGGTGGCTGACGCCGGTAATCCCAGCACTTTGGGAGGCCGAGGTGGGTGGATCACCTGAAGTCAGGAGTTCGAGACCAGCCTGACCAACATGGTGAAACCCAGTATCTACTAAAAATAAAAAAATTAGCCTGGTGTGGTGGTGTGCACCTGTGGTCCCAGCTACTCAGGAGCCTGAAGCAGGATAATCGCTTGAACCCGTGAGGCAGAGGCTGCAGTGAGCCAGGATCGCACCACTGCCCTCCAGCCTGGGTGACAGAGAGAGACTCTGTCTCAAAAAAAAAAAAAAAGATTTTTGGTTGCAAACAACAGAATCCACTCTTGCTAGTTTAAAAATAAAATGAACCGGGCGTGGTGGCTCACGCCTGTAATCCCAGCACTTTGGGAGGCCGAGGTGGGCGGATCATCTGAGGTCAGGAGTTCAAAACCAGCCCGGTCAACATGGTGAAACCCCATCTCTACTACAAATACAAAAAATAAGCTGGGCGTGGTGGCTTGTGCCTGTAGTCCTAGCTACTCAGGAGCCCAAGGCAGGAGAATCACTTGAACCAGAGAGGCAGAAGTTGCAGTGAGCTGACATCACGCCACTGTACTCCAACCTGGGTGACGGAGTGAGACTCCGTCTCAAAAAAAAAAAAAAGAAGGAAAATAAAATAAATTGAAAGTATTAAAGGGTATTAGATAGCACATAGACTGTCTGGAAGGGCCAGAGAATCATGTTCTGGGCTACTTGGCAGGAAGTTATATCCAAATCATACTGCTGGACTGTTATAGAAGAGAACGCCGCTGGCGTTGGCACTGTGGCTGCACTAACTCTCTGCTGGGGATACCAACACTGGTGCTGGGCCATTTCTGTGCCACTGGCAAGCTCCATAGCTTCACCAGAAAACAGATTCTGCATGACACCTGCTTTCTCATGGTTTTTTCTTCTGCATTCAGTGTTGCATGGCTACATCTGATTGCAGAAACTAGGTCACATGCTTGCATCTTGGCCGCAAATAAGACTAGAATAGAGAGTTCTAGTTTCACCTTGAAAAACAGAACTCAAAATATAGAAATTCCCTTGATATTGGAAGGGCTTTTAAGAGATGATAAGAAGCCACAAACATAAAAAGTGTCTGCTAGGGCAGGCACAAAATGATTAGGCCACCAAACCCTTGAAAAGCAGCAGGAGGCCTCTGTTTGCAAGGAGACTTCTGTTCATGATTGGAACAGAAAACAGCCATAAAAGGATTTTTCTGTAACAAAAAAAAAGTCTTGCAGGAGGCACTCAATCTATAAATTGTTTTTTTCCCACCAAATGCAAGGAGAGATTCAAGGTCTCTCCCTCACACCTTGGCTTTGGCAGGTATTCCCAGAAGCTTTGCAGACATTATTAGCACACTGGAGGACAGTCATATCTCCACCTTGACACAGATTTGGAAAAGAGTAGGCAGAAAAAAAATGAAAGCAATTTAAATGTAGTTCTTAACATTTGTGTGGTGCAAAGCAAAAGATCTCCATACCAGAGTTTAAGTAACTGCAGACAGAGAGACTGAGAACTCTATAATCAGTGGGTCCCATCAGTTGAGAGTGCTATGGACCAGCACAGAAGTAGATCAGCAAAAGGCACAGAATCTGGACAATATAGGAACAAATTCTGGAACTGAACTAGGACAGTGACATTACCTTAGCCAAAATCCTCTAAGGCAGAAATGCTCAATAGATTTTATCTTACGTACCAAGATCTATGGTTGTGGCAACCTCAGTTACCTTGTTAAAGACTACCAAGAGGCTGGGTGTGGTGGCTTACGCCTGTAATCCCAGCATTTTGGGACGCCGAGGCGGGCAGATCACCTGAGGTCGGGAGTTTGAGACCAGCCTGACAAAATGGAGAAACCCCGTCTCTACTAAAAATACAAAATTAGCTGGGTGTGATGGCGCATGCCTGTAATCCCAGCTACTCAGGAGGCTGAAGCAGGAGAATCGCTTGAACCCAGGAGGTGGAGGTTGTGGTGAGCGGAGATCACGCCATTGCACTCCAGACTCCAGCCTGGGCAACAAGAGCGAAACTCTGTCTCAAAAAAAAAAAAAAAAAGACCACCAAGAAAAATGTCCTTATGTAAACCCATTTTCACATGGTTGATACTTATAAGGTTGATACTTACAATTTCGTATTCTACCTTTTTCCTCATTCATTGAATCAAAAACGTCTTTTCATGTTGTTTAATCTTGTTAATTATCCCTTTTAACATCTGCATAGTATTCCACCAGCTGATGCACTCTAATTTACTCAACTATTTCTCCATTATTTTATACTAGGATTAGCTCTAATAATTTGAGAAAGATAAGTAGAATTTTTAAAATAAATTCTTTCTGTTATTCTAAAGAGATTAGCACAGAAATAGTACCTGAGCTTTTCACGGATATGGTCATGTCAACCTTGGGCCTATAGAGATTCCACAAGTACCTTTAAAGGAAAAGTGGCTTTATGAGAAATCAGGCTCCATACTTTCTTGGAAACTTTAAGCAGAAAGACTTTAGGAAGTCCTGACATATGTTCCCAAGATGGCAACTACATACTACAATAAGACCTCTCTTCCTGAACTGAATATCTCTAAGATATCCTTGGGGAAAGAGACCCAGAATGGGGCTGGCTCTCATTTGCAGTTCTGAAAACCACTCACCTTGAAAGCTCAGTCTCCGGAGTCTGGATAATTAGTGGCGAGAATGCCGAAAGCTGCTCAGCCTGTTGTGGGTTTTGAGATAAAACCTCAATTTCCATAATCGTCATAAAGAGCAGAATAGTCTTTCTACCCCAAAATATATTCAATATGAATTGTGAAGTGTCTTAGGAAGAATTTGCATGCAAGGAACAGAATTCCACTAACTCAAATAAAAAGAGGGTTGATTGAAAGGCAGAGGTTATTATGGGGGTCACAGTAAGCCAGCGCTGGAGATACAGCTGCTGGGCATTATAGGGCCAAGAAGGGGATTATGCAGATTTTATTTCTCTCTCTCTCTCTCCTCTGCCTTTTGAGGTACATGGCCTCTCTATTTGACTCTGAGTATCAGTCGGCCCCATCTTTGTGCTCTTTTGTTTGCAGATGAGCTTTTTCTGCTGACTCATGGTTTCTCAGCTTCCCTTCACTGTGGCTAGCATGAGGTTTTGGCCTGCTGTGGCAGGCCAGCTGGGCATGACCTTGCAGCTTGGCTCCACACAGCTAAATGACTCAGCCTCTTTGTCCCTATTCCAAATTCCTGGGAGAGAATTCGATCAACCCAGTTTGAGTCAGATGTCTACTCCTGGGTCAGTAACTGAGACTGATGGGGCACAGTCACATGGCAGGTAGTACTCTCTCTTCCAAGTTAGGAGCGGGGTAGAGTCTCCAAGGCAGTATATGGGTAGGGAGGAGGGAATGTTTGACATCTCTGGGGCAGATATGGGGCTGAGAGAGGCATGCACGGTTGTGATTAAAAAAAAATGCATGGGGTTTGGAAAAAAAAAATCTGCCATTTCGTAGTCATGAAACTATAGACAACTTTCCTAATCTTCCAAAGACTCATGTCCTTAATATGTAAACTGAACAAAATGACCTCACAGCTCTCAGGATCTATTACTGCTATTTTCATTTTAGGAATCTCATAATGTAAGGAATGACCAACTCTAATATCGACAATTTGGCAGGTTTTATATGAACAAACATTGAAAAAATTGTCTTTGCAGTAAGTCCAATGGTGTATTATTACCAACGTTACCATTACTGTAAACAGTTTTGGAAGGCTGCTCACATGTGCTAACAATGTTGAAGTCCCCAGCTAGGCATTCAGCAAATGTTTCTTGCTTAGGGGGGATTTCTAAAGGAAGAGGAAAGCAGACCTTCCTCTGAGGTTTGCCTGTTAAGGTGTTAGAGGCTTGAAAAAGTAATGTGGTGAATAGATGCCTCCATTTCAACAGAAGATTCACTCAGTTCTAATGCTGAGGGTGAGCAATGCTCTAAAATGCATTGTTGGTGAACTGCTGCAAATAAAGAAAAAAGACTATGTTAATTGAAATTTCTATCTATGCCAAATTAATACAACTATCCTGCAGTGTATGAAACTGAGGCATTCCTGTAAAGTTGTCTACAAAGCAAGATTAGTTTTTCCCCATTGAAATCCATTGTGGCATTGAACGTTTAGTATGTTCCTATGAAGAAAGGAAGGATCCAAAGGGAAACACTTAGAAAAGTAACAATTATCCTGGTGAGGATCTTAATTTCTCAACCTACTCAAGTTTCTTTTAAAAATCTGGGCATCCGGCTGGATGTGGTGGCTCACGTCTGTAATCCAAGCACTTTGGCGGTGGAGGAGGGGTGGGGAGCGTGGATCACGAGGTCAGGAGTTCGAGCCTGGCCAACATGGTGAAACCCTGTCTCTACTAAAAATACAAAAACTAACCAGGTGTGGTGGCACGTGCCTGTAGTCCCAGCTACCCAGGAGGCTGAGGCAGGACAATTGCTGGAACCCAGGAGGCAGAGGTTGCAGTGAGCCAAGATGGCGCCACTGCACTCCACCCTGAGCAACACAGCAAGACTCCATCTCAAAAAAAAAAAAAAAGAAAGAAAGAAAAAACATCTGAGCACCCATACAAATCCATGTTTGATAGCAAGTAAATATGTCTCTGGAATTACCCCAGGCCACCTCCAGTTTCCCAGCTGGGCCTCTAGGTCTTCCTATATCCAAGCCCTCACTCGGTTGCATACCTCATTTCTCATCATTTACCTGCCTCTTCTTTTCATATATAAATGTAAAAATATATTATTTTTGGCCTTGAGCTGAAGAGTTAAATTCGATTTAATTAAGTTCATTAATTCATTTATAGCAGAAGAGAAAGGCCCTTGGGTTGCAGGTAAGCCAAATTCTTCAAATAGGATGGTCCTTAGGCCAGGTGTGGTGGCTCATGCCTGTACTCTCAGCACGTTGGGAGGCTGAGGCAGGAGGATCACTTCAGGCCAGGATTTAAATACCAGCCTAAGCAAGGTAGTGAGACACTCCCCCATCTCTACAAAAAAGTTTTAAAAATTAGCTGGGCATGGTGGAATGCATCCTGGTTCCAGCTACTTGGAAAGCTGAAGCAGGAGGATTGCTTCAGCCCAGGAATTTAAGGTTGCAGTGAGCTATGATCATGCCACTGCACTCTAGCCTGGGTAATAGAGTGAGGAAAAAAAAAAAAGGATAGTGCTATATACTCTGTGGTGCTCCTCTGACTTTTCTCTTGTCTAACCTAGAGAGCTCCTCCTAACAACCCCAGGCCCTGGGCAGGGGCAGACTTTATTGCCACCTGCTATGCCTGATTGTTACTGGGAAAATATTGGATTTTTTGTTTTCCTTCTTTAATTTTAAAATAGTAGGTATTTTCCTTTCACATATGAAATCTGTACTCTTTTTTCCTCCCAAAATTGAATATCTCACTGCTTTTTCTTCTGATTATAAAAGTAATTCATGCTTAAAAAAAATTCAACAATATGAAAAGGGATAAAGTGGAAAGTGAAAACTTCCCATAATTCCATTCCCAGAGGCCACAATTATTAGTTTCATATGTTTTTTCATATCAGATGGGTAATATGCCAATGTTGTAACAAGGTTTGAGGATGGCCCATCTCACACATGTGCATGATCACCCAATCATCTTGCTCATGAACTACAAAAGGATCTAATATGTATTCTTTCAGATACATATTACACACACACACACACACACACACACACACACACGCAAATATATATATGTGTGTGTATACATATATGTATGTACCCCGAATATACTATGTATAGTACATAATACATACTCTATATGTTAACAAAAATGGGGTCATATTATCCACTCTTTTCTGTGCCTTGCTTTTTTTATTTTTCTGAGATAGAGTCTTGCTCTGTCACTCAGGCTGGAGTGCAGTAGCATGACCTTGGCTCACTGCAACCTCTGCCTCTTGGGTTCAAATGATTCTCGTGCCTCAGCCTCCCAAGTAGCTGGGACTACAGGTGTGTGCCACCATGCCTGGCTAATTTTTGTATTTTTAGTAGAGACAGGGTTTTACCATGTTACCCAGGCTGGTCTTAAACTCCTGACCTTACGTGATCCACTTGCCTCTGTCTCCCAAAGTGCTGGGATTGCAGGCATGAATCACCATGCCTGGCTTTTTTTTTTTCTCTACAATTTGTCATATACATTTTACATACCGATCCATCTCATTCTTTATAATTTTTATAATGGTCTCTCAGCATTCTTTTGTACCATAATCTCTGCCCTCCGCTGAAGGGCATATAGGATGTTCTAAGTTTTTCTTAAATACTGAAATACTGCAATAAACATATATGTAGATATATGCCTATGCATGTTCTGATTATTTCCTTAGGATAAATTTGTGTAAGTAAAATAACTGGGTTAAAGCTTATGCACATTTAAAATATTAAAACATAATGCCCAATAGGACACCAGAAAAATCATATCACCTTCCTCTCTTAGCAAGTTTCCTTCAGTTACCTTTATTTTTCATTGTTGCCAATCTGACAGTCCAAAAAAAAAATTAGTACCTCACATTGTTGTACTAATTTGCATTTCTTTGAATATTAGTGAAGACGAGTATCTTTTCAAGTGTTTGTTAGCCATTTGGTTTTTTTCTTCTACAAATTGTTTGAAATTATGTGTCTGCACTACTCAATCTGTTTAATCCCCCCATCCCATATATACGTACATTTGATTGAGAGTATCAGGGGCAGGTATGTGATAGGAGCTGAGCCAATAAATTCCCTCTTCCAGGAATTTGGGTTGGAGAATAGGGCACCTCTAGTCTGCTGTATTTAAGCCAGGAAATCATGCAGTGCTGTCTGGGTCAACAATTTTTTATCATGTACATCATAAAAAGGAGAAAGTAGGTTTGCAGAATGAAAAGAAACAGGGATACCTTGGAAGCAGAAGAGATGAGGGCTTGTGGCCTTGATCACATCCTTTCTCCAGGCCTGTGAGAAAGTTCTGTGTCCTTAAGCTAGTTTGATTGGATTTCTGTTAAGATAAGCAGTATCACAAGTTCTCTTCATAGGAATGTTAGGGTGGGGAGGGAGGAAATGGTTTTGAAAGAATATTCTGATCTTTATTTTCCTCCCTCCTGGTTCCTAAGAAGCCCAAAGAGACCCTAACAAATCTGGGATCCCAAGCTTTGAGGCAAGCCAAAGCAAAAAATTGCACAATGGACCACATGTGTCATCACTGTATTACTCCTTCAACTTGCTCTTCTAGGATTCCCCATCTGATCAGTTGCCACTCAGCTCCCTGTCAGCCTGATCTCAATACTGCAGCGTTACCATAGTATTGGCTCTGTTTATTGAGCACTCACTATGTACTTGCTAAGTGCTTTGCATACATTAATTATTTGACCATAGTGCGTATATTATTGCTCAATTTGACAGAAAAGGAAATGATGGCTTAGGGAGGTTTAGTAAGTTGCCCAAGAACACTCAGCTAGAAAGTGGAGGAGCAGGTTTCCAGTTTCTGCTGTCTGATTCTGCTATACCTCCTGCTCCAGGCCAGCTTGGCGACTACAGCCCAGAACTTAGGGGACATTGGCTTCTAGGGCAGAATCGTGGTCTCCAAGATTACGACTTCAGGCGCCCTCTTACTACCACCTTCAGATCCTTGTCTTTCTTAGAACAGGAGGTACACTAATAACCTAGCAGCTAGCACATTTCTGGCCACAGGCAGCGCAGCCTCCCTGCCCACTTCCAGTGTGAGGTTTATGCCGGGACCCTTTGTTGAGTAAGCAAGCTCTGAAGGTTGTGCAGGTACGTCCTAAAGATGGGCTGGGTTTAACAAAGGTGTACTCACTCTCCTCTCTACACTGTCTTCCCTTAGACACAGGCTTCCCATCCCCCCTGTGGTCTATGTCCTCTATAATAATGATAGCAAACACTTATATAGAGTTGGTCATTCAAAGCCCTCTACATATACTAGCTCATTTGCTCCTCATATCAGCCCTTAGAGTTAGATACTATTAATATCCCTGTTTGGGAGGCCAAGGCAGGATGATTGCTTGAGGTTAGGAGTTTGAATCCTGCCTGGGCAATATAGTGAGACCCTGTTTTTACAAAAAATTAAAAGATTAGCTTGGCATGGTGGCATGTGCCTGTAGTTCCAGTTACTTGGGAGGCCGAGACGGGAAGATCACCTGAGCCCAGGAGTTTGAGGCTGCAGTGAGTTATGATTGTGCCACTGCACTCCAGCCTGGATGAAATGGATGATAGAGTGAGACTCTGTTTCTGAATAAATAAGTAAATACAAAAATAAATAACCATCCCTATTTCAAAGATAAGGAAATGGAAGCATAGACAGGTTAAGTGACATGCTCAAGGTCACACAGCTAGTAAACAGCAGCCAGGATTCCAACCCAAGTATCAGACACTCCTTTGAGTAGTTGATGAAAGCTAAGACTTGCTCCTTAGAAAAATGCATGTATTTGTGATTTTGTATAGTGTCAGGGTTTCATGTCAAGGAATCCCCCTATTGTAGGTCGAGCACTTTGCATAGGAGGGCTCAGAAAATTTAGATGTCCTCAGGGGCCAGGCAGGAATGTTAATGAGTGAAGGGGCTAGATGTGAAGAAAGACAGTGGGCCTGCAGAGTTTTTTCTTCCCAAAAGCACTCTGATGAGAACAACCAACCAAAGCAAATCCCCTATACTGGACCAGGAAAACTCACTTGTAAGCTGACCTCAATCAACTATTATACAATCAGTTGGCGCTTCTGTTAGAACACAGCATAGGCCCTTATTTGCTATAGACTCCCAGCAGGTCTGTCTGGTGATCCTAATATTCTGGTATGTTGAACTGCTCTCCCAGCTCAGGGTGGACCTACAGCTTATTCCAGGCAGAATCCCCCCATATGAACTCTAGAGCTGATTTCCACTTGACTTTCACCAAACCTCTGGGTATCCAGGACCCCAGCTACTCTTACTTGGGCTTCTGATGGGCTAAGGATGTTTTGAAGGTGCAGTTGTTCAGGTTGCATGAGGCAAATGGTGTTACTCCTGCAGACAGTCATGAACATGGAGAGGGAATAGCTGGCTCTCAGAGACTCTGGATTTAGGCAATGGCAGTTCCCAGCTCCCAGGTGGCTCCTGGACTCTGGAAGATGGCCCACTGTAGCTGAGATGTGTCTGGTTTCTGTCTTCCTGGCCTCTTCAGCCCAGTCCTCTCGTTTTTGATCCCCTAATCTCCCTCTTGTCTTTGTTCTTCCCTACACCCACTCTCAGGAAGTTAGAAATATTTTTCTAGTCCTGGGAAAGCTGCCCTCTCTCAATACTGCTGCTATTTTTTCTCAGTGGCACTTGCTCCATTTTGTTATTACTGCCTCAAAGCACTGGGCATAATTCGCTTAATAGGTTTAGGCTTTTTGGAAACACAAAAGCTAGAAACCATTTCTGCTTTCCACTTGGTAATGTTCCTCTTCTGAAGCAATGAATCACGTGCTCGAATGTGATGCAAGGAATACATGCTTGAATGGAATGGAGTGGGAGAGAAAAAGAAGGGTGGAAATATGGGAGAAAAAAGTTACCATTAATTATTAAAAATATTATTCTATCACATATTCATCTTAAGACTTTTTTACACTTTTTTCTTTTATTTTAAATTATAAAATAATTTTCTTTGACAAATTATAATTTTATATAATGATGGGGTACGCAGTGATGTTATCATATATGTATATAATGTGGAATGACTGAATTAAGCTAATTAACATATCTGTCACCTTAAATACTTATCATTTATTTCTCCTAACTGAAACTTTGTACCCAAGACCCCTTTACATTCTCTCTTTTTTTTTTTTTTTTTTTTTTTGAGACAGAGTTTCGCTCTTGTTGCCCAGGCTGGAGCCCAATGGCATGATCTTGGCTCACTGCAACCTCAGCTTCCCAGGTTCAAGCGATTCTCCTGCCTCAGCCTCCTGAGTAGCTGGGATTACAGGCAGGCACCACCACGCACGGCTAATTTTGTATTTTTAGTAGAGATAGGGTTTCTCCATGTTGGTCGGTCTGGTCTTGAACTCCTGACCTCAGGTGATCCGCCTGCCTCGGCCTCCCAAAATGCTGGGATTACAGGCGTGAACCACCGCACCCAGCCTTTTTTATTTTTTATTTTTTTGAGATGGAGTATCGCTCTGTTGCCCGGTCTGGAGTGCGGTGGTGCGATCTCGGCTCACTGCCACCTCCACCTCCTAGGTTCAAGCAATTCTCCTGCCTCAGCCTCCTGAGTAGCTGGGATTACAGGTGCCTGCCAACACGACTGGCTAATTTTTGTAATTTTAGTAGAGACAGGGTTTCACCATCTTGGCCAGGCTGGTCTTGAACTCCTGACCTCAAATGATCCACCCATCTCGGCCTCCCAAAGTGCTGGGAATACAGGCATGAGACATCGCGCCCAGCCACATTCTTTTTATTTACTTATTTATTTATTTATTTGAGACAGGGTCTTGCCCTGTCACTAATGCTGGAGTGCAGTGATATGATCACAGCTCACTCAGCCTCAACATCCCGGGCTCCAGTGATCCTCCCACCGCATCCTCCCAAGTAGCTGGGACCACAGGCGAGTGCTACCATGCAGAGCTAATTTTTGTACTTTGGGTAGAAATAGGGTTTTGCCATATTGCCCAAGCTGGTCTTAAATTCCTGGGCTCAAGCTATCCTGCTGCCTTGGCCTCCCAAAGCACTAGCATTATAGGGGTGAGTCACCACACCTGGTCCCCTTTATGTTCTTGACAACCCCCAAAAACTTGTTTATGTGGGCTATATTGTATTGATGTTTATTGTTTTAGAAATTAAGATGGATAAATGTTTCAAGTATTTACTAATTCATTTAAAAATAACAATAAACCCATGACATGTTAACAAAAATGACTTTAAAAAAACCTGTGTTTTCCAAAACAAATGAACAAACAAAAAAGATTTACTGAGAAGAATGGCATCATGTATGTTTCTGCAAGTCTTTTTAATGTCCAGCATAAGAGAAGACAGTTGGATTCACATCTGTGGTTCTGTACTCAATGTGTTGTGATATATCACATGTCACATAGCTTCTAGAAAACTCCCCGATACACTGGTGAGCAAACGAGTGAAAGACACAAATGACATCTTAGTATTTGGTGAAAATACCTTTACCCAGAGGACCGCCTGAAAGGACCACACTTTAATAACTGTTTGATAACTGTTCTTTCAAATCATGACATATACGCAGTCTGGAGTGCTAGTCCTGGCAGGAAACATACATAGTCATCATCTTAAGGAGGCAATACATGGTCAAGGGCACTGATTTTGGAAGCAGACACTTCCAGGTTTGAAGCTCAGCTCCTCAACTTCCTACAGAGTGGCCTTGGGAAGGTTACTGAACTTTTCTAAATTCCAGATCTCCTACCTAGAAATAGAGAATAGTACCTACCTTACTGAGTTTTTGAAAGATAATGTAGTATTTTCCAAACTTCCTTAGTCATAACATTTGCCAAGTCCGTGTAAGACCTATACTATTATCCTCTTGGTGTTTTTCTGTTGCTCACTTTTTAAACTTCAATAAATGTTTTAAAAGGAAATTTTATATCACTGTTATAAATGCAACACTACTTGCCCTAAATTGAAGGTGCAATGAAAATTAAAGAACTTGTTGCCTGAGAAAGTGTTAAGCCTAAGGCCTACTCTTTTTTTATAACAAAAGGAAGTAAGTTGATGTTAGAAAGTCATTCAAGACCTGCACCAAAGGGAGACTCTCTGCCAGGTGTAATTAGGAGTCAGAGGCTTAAAGAAGGAACGGCTTTCTCAATATGTGATGCAATTTGATTTCTGCCTAGCCCATGTGCCACTAAACCATCAACTACCTGAAGCCATTTCCTGTATCACCCCACACTTAGGAGACAGTGAGATCATGCATGTAAGCACTAAGCTCAATGCCTGGCACAATGTAAGGACTCTGCCATGTAGCTTTTGTTATGTTTTCTAATTCTTTCTTTTCTTTTCCCACAGGGGTTAAATGAGTCACCTAAGCCTGCAGCTATTACGTGAACTATGACTACAATCTGTGTCTTATATCCCCTTGTGGGTAAGGGCATGGACTCTAGAACTGGGCTTTGCCACTTCAGTGTTGTGTGACCTTGGGCAAGGGACTCAACCTCTCTATGTCTCAGTTTTCTCATCAGTAAAAGAATGATACAATAGCAGCTAATTTATAAGAGTAAATGAGTTAATACACATAAAGCCCTCAGAACAGTGCCTGGCACACAGTCAACACTCTGTATATATTAGCTAATAGTGTTCTTTTTCACCATGCTGGCTTTGATGGTGGTAGTCATTAACAGGCAGCTACACTACTATAGAGAAATTTTTCTCAAACTACCTGAAGGAACAGATTTTTTCCCCAATCCATATTTACCAATAATTTAGTAAATAGAACAAAATTAATTACTAGAAAAAAGAAATAAAAAAGAGAAAATATGAAATATAAGCCCATATTTTTTATTATTTGATTCAATAGACATATATTTTAATAAATATAATCAGAGGCAGGCCGGGTACAGTGGCTCATGCCTATAATCCCAGCACTTTGGGAGGCCGAGGTAGGCAGATTGCTTGAGCTCAGCAGTTCAAGACCAGCCTGGCCAACATGACAAAACCCTGTCTCTCTCTGAAAAAAAAATAAAAATAAAATAAAAAATAAATAAATTAGCTGGGTGTAGTGGCATGTATGAGGTAAGAGAATTGCTTGAGCCCAGGAGGTTGAGACTGCAGTGAGCCAAAATGGGACCACTGAACTCCAGAGGGTGACAGAGTGAAACAAAACAAAACAAAAAAAATCAGAGGAAAGACAGGAAAAGATAAATTACAAAAAATGTACATATTGTTAATTGAAAGCCTAGGTATACACAATTAATAGAGTCTTGCTTCACTACTTTCTTGTTATTCCTTATTTGTGATGAAACAAAAAGTCATGAAGGAAATAGCAATTCTCTATGTTAAATGCTGATATGTACACTTGAAACAAACACCTTGTATACTACTATTTAAATTTTTTCATGGCAAAAACCACATTTACCTTTGCACCAACCTAATAAGATCCTAAAGGCACGTTTCACACTGTTGACTTGGGTGGTAAAGAAACTCTGAAGGAAGGAGATGGATTAAATTTTACAGAGCATCATAATGGAAATAAGTAGAAGTGGTTAACTAAAATTTTTTTTCTTTTTTTTTTTTTTTTTTAATACAGAGTCTTGCTGTATCACCCAGGCTGGAGTGCAATGGTGCAATCTCGGCTCATTGCAAACTTTGCCTCCTGGGTTCAAGCGATTCTCCCATCTCAGCCTTCTGAGTAGCTGGGATTACAGGCACACACCACCATGCCTGGCTAATTTTTGTATTTTTAGCAAAGTCGGGTTTTCACCATTTTAGCCAGGCTGGTCTCGAACTCCTAACTTCAGATGATCCACCCGCCCCAGCCTCCCAAAATGCTGGGATTACAGGCATGAGCTACTGCTCCAGGCCTAAAAAAATTTTTTTAAAGAGAGTCTCACTATGTTCCAGAGGGCACAAAACATGTCTCCTACAAAGGCCTCATTTTTTTTTTTTTTTTTTTTTTTTTGTGGCGGAGTCTTGCTGTGTTGTCCAGGCTAGAGTGCAGTGGCATGATCTTGGCTCACTGCAGCCTCTGCCTCCCAGGTTCAAGTGATTCTCCTGCCTCAGCCTCCTGAGTAGCTGGGATTACAGGCACCTGCCACCACAGCCAGCTAATTTTTGTATTTTCAGTAGAGACAGGGTTTCACCATTTTGGCCAGGCTGGTCTTGAACTCCTGACCTCAAGTGATCCGCCCACCTTGAGCCTCCCAAAGTGCTGGGATTACAGGCATGAGCCACCACACACACCCTCACTGTTTTGTTTCTCCATGGAACCTAACACTTGAGTACCAAGCTTTAAAAGATGATTGATTATTGCAGTATCACGTTTCTGTTCTAAGTGATTGAGTTCTCCAAGAGTATTGTGAAATGACATGGTCCACATGACTTATTTGCCTTTTCTAAGTAATGTCTTTCATCTTTTCTCTAAAACAGCTAGCACTTACCTACAGATCACTAAAAATCATTCCCAAATTATATTAACCACATCTTTTACTTCACCTAAATAGACAGAAGTTCAGGTTCCTTTCATTCCTCTTGGTTCCTTGACACTCAAAATGTGAACCATAGACCAGGGGAAGCAATGGCATCACCTGGTAGGACACCATTGGCATCACCTGGTAGAATCCAAATCTGCATTATAACAAGATCCCCCAGGTGACTCACAGGCATCTTAAATTTGAGAAGCTCTGCTCTAGTTCACTTAACTTCTTGGCAGATGTGTCAGTGACACTATGCCACGGTCCTCAGGTGTGTGGCAAGCCCTCTGTGAGGCCACAGAGATACTAAGATAACTAATAACTAAGACATGACCCCTGTGATAGAAAGTAATAGTCTCTACTCTGCTCCATTTTAGACTGTGTGACCTTAGGCATGAGCCACAAATTCAATAGTAAAATGGGATTAACACTATGACCATGTAGGATTTTTATTAGGATAAGCTGAGAACACACCTGGGCCATGGTGGGATCCTCTGTAAACAATAACTTTTATTAGGTTGGTGCAAAAGTCATTGCAGGTTTTGCCATATTCCCCTCACATATTGCCAACCTAGGCTGTAACTCACCTATCTAGGCAGGATTAAAGTGACACACACCCTAAAACCCAACTGCACTGATTGGGAACTTTAGATGTTATCTGAGTTCCCTCTTTTGCACTCTCTCTAGTGATATTTGTGTACATTTCTCCTCCACTAGACTATAAGCGTAAGGGAGGGGCAGTGTCTTCTTCATCTTGCTAGCCTCCGTGTTGTCAAACAGTGTCTTAGACATAGCAGACTCGCAGTACATGGTTGTTTAAACAAGAAAGACTACTCTAGGTGTTCAAAATAATTTTTGTGTGCACCCCAATCTCATCTTTCACGTCACTTTTCATATTCCAAAATAAACTGCCAACACACAGATTTAATGAACCCAATCACTATTATCTTCTGTTGTAACCTAAAAGGCACAGTAGGTTTTAGAGGTTGGAAATTAGGCCATAATCCTGACAGTCACTACTCCTGTACTGCATGCTTATCAGAGAACATTCAATTGGGCTGGCTGATTCTCTTCTCAATGAATACTCATGGACTTTCTTTCAGAAGGGTTGTGAATTTTTAAATTGACAATTGTGCATGACCAAAACATTAAAAGTTGAGACTCCATTAGAATTGGAATGTCAGCTGGAGAATGGTTGGGAATATTAGTTTGACAGTTTTGAGTCTGAACTCCCACTCTTCTTTGCGAAGACATGTAAGAAGTCTCTGAAACACAATAGAAGATAATAAGGAACATCCTAGAAAGGCAGTCAGAGGTGAGAATTAAACTCACTACCCAGGAGGAAGACAAAATTGAATAAAAGTCATTGGCAGCATTCTGCTTGGGTGTGTATGTGGTGGGGGCAGCTGGCTCAGAAACTGGACCTCAGCAGCCGTAACTGGACTGTAGGCAATCTAATAGACAAAAAGGCTTGGGGAGATTTTGGAGTTTTCCTTAGCATGATAATAATAGACATGGCTAACTAAGGGTTTATTATGCACTAGACAGTATCGTGTGATGTACTGGCTTTTAATTTCCAGATTGATGGTAACTGGGATGACTTTTTTTCTCCAGAAAAAAAATTGTATTTTATTTTTCCAAATTATTATGATAAATGGGACTTTTGAAAAAGAATTTTCAGACAAGCTTGTAAGATAGAAAGTAAGCTTTGAAGGTAGGAATGTCTTATTCCCATGGACCCACTCCATGACCCCACTACTCAGAGGCAAACCATACCAGGAGTGTGAACTGTCTCCTTTAAGTACAAGATGGGGACAATTCCTTGTACTCATCTGGCCACAATATATAACAAACTGTGGCACACAAGTTTCAGATAAAATCTAGCAATTTTTTGAGTACTCTATAAAGCCCTAACTTTAACACAAGCCCTGAGGACTGCAAGGGACCAATAATCAGTCCCAAGGTGATGCTTGTTATCAGTGGGTGGGGTTAGGAAAGCTGCTCCTGGGGTAAGAGTTGAGCCTCTTTTATCATTTCCTTCACACCATGCACCTGGCTAACCCTTATAACAATGGGCTTGCAGAGGAAGCCCAAAATATTGGGGAAGTGCAGGCATCATCTCATTCTCTCAAAAAGCCTCATCAGAGAAGGTTTGTGGTGGCATCATGGAACCACAGGACAAAAGGCACAAGAGGGAACGAGAGCCTGACACAGACAGTGACACCAATTCTGAGTCAGGCTTGGACTTAAGCAAGACAACGGAACAGACAGCTGCAGTAGAAGGTGTGAGGGAATTCTAAAACTAAATGATGAGGCGGGGCTAGAGACAACCTTTAGGGGCTTGAGGTCCCCCACCAATGGGGAGATAGTGTGTGAAGCTTTTCATTATTCATCAAATGTTTACTGTTTAGTTTATAGCTGGCACTCTGCAGTGAATAGAACATGCATGGTCCAAAGTATTTCATGTATTTAACTTTCCAAACAACTGAAACTTTAAATTATCTGAATCTTAAATACCTTCTATGGGATATTTTCTTTTTCTTTTCTTTCTTTTTTTTTTTTTGAGATGGAGTTTCGCTCTTGTTGCCTAGGCTGGAGTGCAATGGCATGATCTCTGCTCACCACAACCTCTGCCTCCCAGGTTCAAGTGATTCTCCTGCCTCAGCCTCCTGAATAGCTGGGATTACAGGCATGCGCCACCACGCTTGGCTAATTTTGTGTTTTTAGTAGAGACAGGGTTTCTCCATGTTCGTCAGGCTGGTCTCGAACTCCCGACCTCAGGTGATCTGCCCGCCTCGGCCTCCCAAAGTGCTGGGATTACAGGTGTGAACTACTGCACCCAGCCAGGATATTTTCTTTTATTATTATTATTATTTTTTAAAATTATACTTTAAGTTTTAGGGTACATGTGCACAACATGCAGGCTTGTTACATATGTATACATGTGCCATGTTGGTGTGCTGCACCCATTAACTCGTCATTTATATTAGGTATATCTCCTAATGCTATCCCTCCACCCTCCCCCCACCCCACAACAGGCCCCGGTGTGTGATGTTCCCCTTCCTGTGTCCAAGTGTTCTCACTGTTCAATTCCCACCTATGAGTGAGAACATACGGTGTTTGGTTTTTTGTCCTTGCGATAGTTTGCTAAGAATGATGGTTTCCAGCTTCATCCATGTCCCTACAAAGGACATGAACTCATCCTTTTTTATGGCTGCATAGTATTCCAAGGTGTATATGTGCCACATTTTCTTAATCCAGTCTATCATTGTTGGACATTTGGCTTGCTTCCAAGACTTTGCTATTGTGAATGGTGCTGCAATAAACATACGTGTGTATGTGTCTTTATAGCAGCATGACTTATAATCCTTTGGGTATATACCCAGAAATGGGATGGCTGGGTCAAATGGTATTTCTAGTTCTAGATCCCTGAGGAATCGCCACACTGTCTTCCACAATGGTTGAACTAGTTTACAGTCCCACCAACAGTGTAAAAGTGTTCCTATTTCTCCATATCCTCTCCAGCACCTGTTGTTTCCTGACTTTTTAATGATTGCCATTCTAACTGGTGTGAGATGGTATCTCATTGTGGTTTTGATTTGCATTTCTCTGATGGCCGGGCAGAATATTTTCTAATATCATGTTTGTTACACATTTTTTGAACTGCATACTAAACATAGTTTGTGCTTTTCTTGATGATTCATGGTCACTGTCTTGTGCTCCTTACTTAGGGTTGCCAGATAAAATACAGGGTACCCAGTAAAATCTGGATTTCAGCTAAATACATGCAATATTTGTGACTTTCTTAAAAAATAGAGATAGGGTCTCACTATATTGCCCAGGCTGGTCTGAAACTCCTGGCGCAAGCAATACTCTTGCCTCAGTCTCCCAAAGTGTTGGGGTCACAGGCATGGGCCACTGCATTCCAGCCTGTGACATATTTATACTAACAAATTATTCCTTGTTAATCTGAAATTCAAACTGAATTTGAATTTGGGCATCTTATATTTTTGTTAAATCTGGCAACCCTACCACTGTTATATATGATATTATAATAATACAAGGGAGCCTCAGCTGCAGTTGAGCCGCGGTAGGGCTAATTGTCCTGACAGGGAGGTGTCTCAACGTTGTTGTTCTTTTTCAATTCTGTAGTTATTTTTGACAGTCTCTTTTATTGCTATCCAATGATTCTACTGCTTGTTGTAGCCAGTGTATAGCACCTTTAATTCTCTTTTCTCTCTCCTAGTATATTCTTCCAGTTGGTTTGGACTGGAAAATAAGATCCCCAAGCACATTTGAATTTTCTGTCAAGTTAAGAGTAAACAGTTTTTGAAGAAGGGTGCAGGTACTTGAGGGCACATACTTAAGAAAAGTATGCAAATTTAAAAATAAGGACTTCGGCCGGGCGCGGTGGCTCACGCCTGTAATCCCAGCACTTTGGGAGGCCGAGGCGGGCGGATCACGAGGTCAGGAGATCGAGACCATCCCGGCTAAAAACGGTGAAACCCCGTCTCTACTAAAAATACAAAAAATTAGCCGGGCGTAGTGGCGGGCGCCTGTAGTCCCAGCTACTTGGGAGGCTGAGGCAGGAGAATGGCGTGAACCCGGGAGGTGGAGCTTGCAATGAGCCGAGATCCCGCCACTGCACTCCAGCCTGGGCGACAGAGCGAGACTCCGTCTCAAAAAAAAAAAAAAAATAAATAAAAAATAAAAAAAAAAAAATAAAAATAAGGACTTCATAATATCTTAATGTGACTGCCAGAGATTATCCTGTAATTTCTTTTCAACGTTCCTCAGGCTAAGTGAATCATGGTTTATTTCCTGGAGTGCATAGGGCATTGTATAAGGAGAACTCAGTCGCTGATGAAGAGGTGAAAGCTATATTAGGTTGGTGCAAAAGTAATTAAAAGTAATGGCAAAAACTGTAATTACTTTTGCGCCAACTGAATTGATAAAATAATTTGCAATTGTGTTTTTTACACTTGAACGGGATGCTGAATGTTCTTGACAATCTTTGGGGAGAGTCAGATACTGGTCTGGCTTGAGTAGTTAACAGGTAATCTTGCCTTGAGACTGGATCGCACTAGGTGACCTCTTGAAATAACTGGCAGATATATGGTTCTGCTTACTCTGTGATCTACCCAATCGACTCAAAATAATGACCACATCCAAAATTATGAAAACTGAAAAATTAGTCAGTATCATATCTACAACAGAAAGTACTGTGTATTCCAAATATGGTGCTTAGAAGAGATTTGGGCCAGCTTGCAAAATCTTATGCAGAAGGAATTACAATGTCTCTTCTTCCCTAACTGCACTCATTTACACAACGATTAAACAATTTTTCTGCCCTAGACAATCCTTGTTCTGAATATAGATTTGAAGTGGCTCCTGAATTAGAACTGCCGTTCCTAATGCTGAGCCTATGATTATTCAAACTCAGTATGAGAAGTCAGCAAACACCTCCCCACACCTTATATATTTGCATTTATCTTTATTTGACATCAGAAAAAAATTGTTTGAAAATGATTTAATATAAGCAGACAATCTTCAGGCTCAGGATGATGAGGTCTTATGTTACCCAGCTATGTCTACTTTTATTGGCTTTAGTCAAAGAATGACTCATCAGAATCAGATCCTGGAGAATATTTTGGGAGGTGTTAGGAAAGTCTAATACCAAGCAAGACCAGTATCTTGGTAAAATAGTTTAATTTTCTTCAGAGGCTTCTGAGATTGTACAAATCAGAAAATACTTGCTAGGTCATGGTAAAACTATTCTAAATATGTTAAACCTTTAAAACTTGTTACAGGCTTTTTAGTTACAACAAGAGCAATTCTGGTCTGTGTAGGTCACTGGAGCCATTAGCTGTACAGTATATTTAGATTCATGTGACCTGATTCAACTTATTAATGTGTTAAATATAGTTTTCTTTTTCTTATTTTTTCTTTCCTTTTTTCTTTTTCTTTTTTTAAACATTTTTATTTTTTGTAGATATGGGGGTCTTGCTATGTTGCCCAGGCTGGTCTCGAACTCCTGACCTCCTCCCTGCCTTGGCCTCCCAAAGTGCTGGGACTACAGGCATGAGTCACTGCCCTCAGCTCTTTTTCCTCTTTAGTACTTCCTTCCCCCCGTCTCCCATCTTAAGGTCTGCTGTCTTTTTCTTCTTGATCAACAAAATAAATTCATTTTTCAAATATATTGTGGTGGCTTACACTTGTAATCCCAGCACTTTGGGAAGCCGAGGTGGGAGGATGGCTTCAGGCCTGGAGTTCAAGACCAACCTGGGCAATGTACTGAGACCCTGTCTCTACAAAAAATTTAAAAATTAGCTGGGTATGGTAGTGCAAGGTTGTAGTCCTAGCTACTTGGGAGGCTGAGGCAGGAGGATCACTTGAGTCCAGGAGGTCGAGGCAGCAGTGTGCCTTGATTGTGTCACTGCACCCCAGCCTGGGTGACAGACCAAGTCCCTGTCTCTAAAAAATAAAAGTAAAATATACTATGTCATGACTTACGGCTTTTAAGTATTATCTTTATTTTCAAGTTTAGCCTAATAAATACTTTTGTAGGTTTTTTTTTTTCAACAGCTTCCTTCTACTCTAAAAGGGTTGCTATAGTATTTTAGCAGATCTATAAAGGAACAAGGATAATGTGGGCTACTGGGGATAGTGTGATAAAAAATGTTTAAGAAATATTCAGTGGACATTTACTGAAGCGTGCAAGGTATTATACTATTGGTAAGGAGCTAACACAATGACAGGAGAGGCAGATTCATGAACAGAATTTTATTGCAGTGTGGTGAGGATAATGATGAAAATATGCAGATAGGTGTCTCTTTCTCTGTGAGGCTATAAAACTAACTTGGCTTTGAAACACTGCGGAGGGCTTCCTGGAGGAGTTAATGCCTGGCTTGAGTCTTAAAATATAAGTAGTCAGGCAAGAAGTGTGGAGCAGAGAGCCTAAGCAAAGACATAGGTGAATAGGGAAGGGTCTCCCTTGTCTTTTTAGTTTCTGAAGTAGCTTCCTGAGTCATTGGTAGAAGGGGAGGCACCCCAGCCCTGTCACTGTTTAATCTTGACAGCCTTTTGCAAATATACTGTGCAGCGGTGACCACACAGGCAACTATTATGACTAAACTATCAAGTTTACCAGATATCCCCCACCACCTTTAAGTACAACAACACTTTGCTGACTGGGTGCAGTGGCTCGGCCTGTAATGCTAGTCTGTAATGCTAGCCTGTAATGCTAGTGGGAGGATCACTTGAGGCCAGGAGTTTGAGACCATCCTCGGCAACTTAGACCTCTGTCTCCACAATTAAACAAAAAAATACTTTCCTCATTTTCTAGGCATTCTGGTATATTTCAAATGATAGCCTGATAACCACAATCCTCTCTGTATTAGTTTCTTACAGTTGCCATAACAAAGTACCACAAACTGGATGGCTTAACCTACAGAAATTTATTGTCTCATGGTCTAGAGAATACAACTCTGAGAAGGTGTTTTCAGGGTTGGTTCCTTCTGAGGACTGAGGGAGAACAACTTCTCTCCTAGCTTCTGGTGTTTTGCTGGCAATCTTTGGCATTCCTTGGCTTGTAGAAGCATCACCCTAATCTCTATTTTCATGTTCATGTTCATGTGGGTCAAAATTCCCTTGGGCCCATGCCTGGGTTCAAATTCCCACCCCCACCCAGTCTCCCCTTCACCCTGGCCTTTTTTTCTTTTCTTTTTTTTTTTTTTTTTTTTGAGACAGGGTCTGGCTATGACACCCTGGCCGGAGTGTGGTGGTGTGATTACAGCTTACTGCAGCCTCAACCTTCTGGGCTCATGCAATCCTCTCACCTCAGCTGCCCCGAGTAGCTGGGACCACAGGTGACCACCACCATGCCTAGTTAATTTTTTAAAAATTTTTGTAGAGATGAGGTTTCTTATCATTGCCCAGGCTAGCCTCAAACTCCTGGCCTCAAGTGATCCTCCCACCTCGGCCTTCCAAAGTGCTGGGATTACAGGTGTGAGCCACCGCACCTGGCCCAAATTTCCTTTTTTGTATAAGAATACCAGTCATATTGGATTAGGGGCCCATCCTACTACATTTAGCTAATTACATTTGAAATAATCCTATTCCTAAGTAAAGTCATATTCTAAGGTACTGGAGGTTAGGACTTCATATGAATTTTGAAGTCCTTGAATTCCCTCAAACATAGGGAATTTAACTCACAACATCACATTTCAAATGTAGGTTTTATAACTTATGGGCAAATCTTAATTTCAGAAAATATTACCAAGTGTTTAGAATTTACTAGAAATTTACCTAGTAGGTGTCTTAGTTAAGCTGCTGTTTCATTAAATGCTTATCTTTTTCAAAAGATTTTCCAAATGTAGGAAATGTAGGATATTTCCAAATATCCTAAATTAAAACTAGAAGGGCTTACTTGTTGACACAGTGTGATCAGGACTGCTGATCTCTGAAGCACTGGACAATTCTATAAAATTGTCTATAAAAAAGAATATATTGAACTACTTCTAAATATGGTTTAAAAATAATAGACAAAATGGCTATAAAACATCTGTTACTGAATAAAGAAGAATACATGAGCACTGGAAATCAGTATTTATAATCATTTGACAGTTGGCATTCACAAAATTGTTTCATATTGCACTGGTGATAGTTTCTACATATATCACTTTTTTTTTTTTTTTTTTTTTTTGAGACGAAGTCTAGCTCTGTCACCCAGGCTGGAGTGCAGTAGCTTGATCTTGGCTCACTGCAACCTCCGCCTCCCGGGTTCAAGCGATTCTTCTGCCTCAGCCTCCTGAGTAGCTGGGACTATAGGTGTGCGCCACCACGCCCGGCTAATTTTTTTTATTTTTAGTAGAGACAGGGTATCACCATGTTGAACAGGCTGGTCTCGAACTCCTGACCTCGTGATCCGCCTGCCTCGGCCTCCCAGTGCTGGGATTACAGGCGTTAGCCACCGCGCCCGGCATCATTTTCTTTTCTTTTCATTTTTTTCAGACAGAGACTCGCTCTATCACCCAGGCTGGAGTGCAGTGGCAACATCTCGGCTCACTGCAACCTTCGCCTCCCGGGTTCAAATGATTCTCCTGTCTTAGCCTCCCGAGTAGCTGCGACTACAGGCGCGCGCCACCACGCTCGGCTAATTTTGTATTTTTAGTAGAGACGGGGTTTCACCATTTTGACCAGGCTGGTCTCGAACTCCTGACCTCAGGAAGATCCGCCTGCCTCGGCCTCCCAAAGTGCTGGGATAACAGGCGTGAGTCACCATGCCCGGCTACACAGATCACTTTCTAAATTAGCGCTGTATTTGATTCTTATTTTAGGTATGTGACTAAAAGTACAACTTCTAGAAACACTTTTTTCCCCTTCCGCTTACAAAATGGATCCATCCAATATCTATTACCTAAACATTTCACTGTCTTTTGATTAGTTTTGTAACAAAGTTCACAATATATGCACCAATATTCAACAGAAGTAATGCAATGTCTGATACCACTTGCTTTTTACCCAACGCAAAACAATTTGATTCTGTAAGTCGTTCAAGTCCTATTCATTTACAGAAGCAAAGCTGGCTTTACAGAATTTCATTAGTGGATGAAGCAGCTACCTCCGAAGGGTAGAGCATCGAGTTGAATCAAGGATCCTGTAACCTGATACTATTACTGTTGTTCTGTCTGCCAGTCCTAAATAGGTTTCATAATCTCATTATCTCCTATCCTCTCCATGTGAAAGGTCTTGTTTTGGGTACTGTCGCTACCGAAATTAAGCTAACTTTGACTAGAGATTGGTTTATTATATTTCCCAGATCTGAAATCACTGTGGGAGCAACTATACGGAGAATCTTAAAAGATTTCTATGTCGCTTAGCCTGCTTTTGCCACGGGTTCGCTTTCCCATCTCCCACTGTCTCAGAACCTTCTCTTTTTTTCTCTTTTGCTTAGTTCCTCTTACACTCAAGCTGTGTAGGGGGATTTAAATTCCAACCCGGAACTCGGAATCGCGCGCCTTGCATGACGGAAGTCGTAGTTTCTGTGACTCCTCCCTTCCCGCCTTTCAAGCCGATTCCTCCCGGTACCTAAAAACTACAACTCCCAAAATGCATCCCCGGTTTGGCCCGCCCCCGTGCGCAAGCGCTCTGAGGCCGCCGGATTTGAATCGGCGGCGTTGTTATTGACGCCATATTGGGGCCGGCGGCGGGTGGGAGAGTTCTACGAGGGAGGGGAAGCGGTTGGACGTGTTCGCTTGGGTTCCTGCTGCGGCAGCTACCTCGCAATCTCTCTGCATCGATCGCCGCTCGCAAGCTACTGACCGTACTCGGGCGTATTAGGAGCCGCGTTCCAGCCTCACACCCCACGGTGCTGTTTTCGACTTCAGAAAGGATCTAGTCTCAGCACAGAAGCGCCTCAGGCGCGGCGCAAAGCTCGAGCGGACGGCGGGGGCGGCCGGAGCCTCTCTCGGGGGAGCCGCGCCTGAGGAGGCGGAAGAACCCCCCTGACGCGACTGGCGTGTGCTTCTGCCCGCCACCGCCCCTCCCGCTCTCACCCGGGCCGTCCCTGGCCACTGCCCCTGCCGCGGAGGCAGCGGCGGCAGCGGCTCTCCTTTCCACAGCCGGCGCTCCGCGACCCGCTTGGCTCCTGAGCCCGTCGGGTAGGCTCTCCTCGAGTTCCCGCTCTTCACCCCTTCCCTCACCCTCTTCTTTCGTCACCCGTCCCCGACCCCACCCGAGCCCGGCGCCTCAGCTGCCCCCGGCCATGGCGTGCGGAGCCACTCTGAAAAGGACTCTGGATTTCGACCCGCTGTTGAGCCCGGCGTCCCCGAAGCGCAGGCGATGTGCGCCATTGTCGGCGCCCACCTCGGCCGCTGCCTCCCCGTTGTCGGCGGCCGCGGCCACCGCCGCCTCCTTCTCCGCTGCGGCCGCCTCGCCGCAGAAGTATCTCCGAATGGAGCCATCCCCCTTCGGCGACGTCTCCTCCCGCCTCACCACAGGTGGGACCCGGCCCCGCGGCCGCCGGGGTAGTGGAGAGAACTGGGAACAGGGGTCCTGGGGTGTGGGATGCGGCCCCTGGGGTGGGGGTGCCGGACTGTGTGGTTCTTGTTCTTAGCAAAGTAGTAGGGCAGCCACGTTTTTCACTAGGTCCTCGTAGCCCGAGGACCTAATAAGACACAATAGAAATGGGCTGATGTCAAGGGGATAGTGTTTGGAGGTGGGTAGGGGCTTTGCCTTGCCCGTATTGGGTAGAACAGGGACATCTTTTTCTTTGGGCCGAATGATTGGAATTGTTTCCGTAGTCGCTGGAGCCCCAGCGGAAATGATCAGAGAGGACGATATTATTCGTAAATTTAGGCGAAAGGGTCACATTTCACCCCAATCTGGATGTGTGCTTGCCGTAATCGATTGGTTGCAGCTATTAACTCTGGGACTGGGTGGTTTGAGGCGAGGCTACAGCCCCTCCTTCAGTTCAGACACGGCTGATTTTAGTATAGTGGGGGTGGGGGGTGGGGGATGGATGTCACTAGGGCGAGATCTAGGCCTGTCATTAATCACCCACAAGAACGCCACTTTGGCTGAGTCAAGACCTGTTTCCCTAGCAGGGTCAACAACAAAGAAAATGCTCTTCCCGAGTACTGTAATATGATCACACTATAAGTCTAGACCTTGAGAAATGTTGAACTTTTAATAAGCATATTGCATTGAAAATTGGGGCTGAGGAGTTGCTTTTATTTGGAAATGTTTTATTTTTGCCCAACAAAGTATGCTGGGGGAAAACAACCTAGCCTTGAGAATAATGAAGAAATCAACCCAAGATTCCAAGGGACTTCAGACTTTTGCTTTTCATCTTGAAACATTTCCTGAGAGAGACTGGGGAATGTCTTTTGGCTGCTTTGTAGGGCATGTGTATGCCCAGTTTTTTCTGTACTTTGAAATCCTTGTGTGCCCCTGGCACAATCCTAGGATAGGCTTTTGTGGACTAGAAGTGTAAATGTTTCCTTTGTGTGTAGCATGCAAAGATTTCTGTGTGAGCCTTTAGTAATAATATCACCCTTTAGACAAAGCCTTTCCATAGCTTGATTTAAATGTCTCGTTATCAGTAGCTTAAAAAACCGAAGTATATACCTCTGTATTTGGTGACTTCCATTTGAAACTGACTTTAGTGTTTTTTTTTTTTTGTCACATTTAAAAATATTTTCTAAATCCATGGAGTGACCCTCGAATATGCAAGCTACCATTTTTGCTATTAAATATTTGGTCTAATTTAAGGACATACTGTTTTAGAGTTGTAGTGAGTTTTTACGGAAATTCTTAGATAAATTTATTTAATGACCTTACTAAACTGTGTTTTAATTAGATTGAAAAGGCATTTGTTGATTAATTGTTAGGCTTTACTTTGGGAAAAAAAAAAGGAAACAGCCAATGTCAAGAATGAGCTACTGGTGGTTGACATTTTTGGAATTTGTCTTTTAGTGAAATGGTATCATTGGAAATTGAAATGGATTCTGTACTTAACTAATAAAGCCATTTCAAAATAAGGTCATTAAGGAGCTAACCAGCAATACATTTCAGTCGAGGGAGTGAATTAATACAGTGCTAGGTTTGGGAATTAAAGTACTATATCTCAATGTCAAAATAATCTTGGGCATGTATGTGAACAATTGGGGACTATACCATGTTCCTCCCCTTTAAAGCACACTTATTCAGAATTGTGATCCTTTGTAAACGACTTTTCATTGGCATATCTGTAGCGTTGGTTAATACAGTTGGCTCCACATTATCTCAAGTTTAAATTAATTGGACTGTTGTAGTAAAACGACTGGAATTATTGGAATTGTTTAAGCCAGCTGATTGAGATTCACATTCACTTTCCAAAATACTGCTATTTTCTTCAAGGTGTTTTTTTTTTGACATCTACTTTGGAAGTTTGATTATATCCTGAAACCTAAAATCACATCCTTATTGATTCTGAGTCTGCTAAAAGTTATTTCCAAACTAATTTGAATATTATCGCAAAAAGTTTACTTGAGAAAACAAGTTGAAATTGAAATTTTGACTTGCTAAAATTACATTTTTTAAACGGTAGTTTTGAATGACATTCTAAATGTAATTTAGTTTGACTTTGTGTTTATATGGCCAATTTGGGGTATGGTCCTGTATGTTTTTTGTAATGTCATAATGGGAGCTGCAGTGTTGTGCAGGTATCAAAGAGCTTCCCAGTTTTCATGTTAGTAAACTTGGAAATAATTTTCTCATGCACCTGATTTTTAGCTTCCTATTTTAACACCGATTATTCTTAAACTTTATGGGAGTAAATACCCATCTGTCATTAACTAAAATGAGTAGTTAGGTTTGGAAGTAGACAGTGGCTTACCAAATTGAGATTGGCAAACTTGTGGGAACTCTTTGTTTTCCTTTCACATCTGTGAGTTCAAATATAATACAAATTAATGTAGAACTAGAGTACTAAAGTGACTTTTTTTCAGAGCATGTATACACTTTATTTTATCATTGTTCTCCTCTAGATACTTTCAGTTTCTGATGGCATAGCTGAAGTCATGTTGTGGCTTTATTAGTTTCAGGAACTTGGATGTCTGTTTTAAACCTTAGCTATCATTTTAGTCATCCCAGGAAGTTTGACTTGACTATTCTTATTTAAATATTTTTCAAACTGTTGCAACTTAATACTAGGAAAAAGGAAGGACTAGCTGAGCTGACGGAAGTTAAGCTTGCTTTCTTAACCGCAAGGCTTAGAGCCTTTATTATGCTAATTGGCATTATGAATTTTTTAGGGACTCCTTAACACACAGCTATCCCAAACCTGTTTTTTAGGACACCTAAGTGTTACTAATTCAGAAATGCTGTTCAGGGTCTAGGGATGGTTGACAAAGTATAGCCATATTTTTGTGTAGCCTGAGAGCTAAGAATGTTCTTTACATTTTTTAAATGGTTGGAAAAGAATCAAAAGAATTATTTTGTGACACGTGAGAATTATGTGAAATTCAAATTTCAGTGTCCATAAATAAAATTTTATTGGAACACAGCTGTGCTCATTCTTTTTTTTTTTTTTTTAAGTATTGTTCATTGCAGGTGACGATGGCAGAGTTTAATAGTTGTCACACACAGTATATTGCCCCGAAAACTCCATATTTGCTCTCTGGTGTTTACAGAAAAAGTTTGCTTACCCTCATGTGGGGTGTCAGCAGTGAGGTTTATAATACCCCTGGGTATGGAAAAGGAAAAGTGATCAGTGGAAGTAAGGGGAGGGGGAGCAGAAGCATTGAATATCGTTGGTGAAATGAATGCCTCTAGTAGCTGCATCAATACTTACCCTGGTAAGTTAGTTGAAAACCAAAGTATGCTTTACTATTGGTTTTTGAAACATCTCATAATACTACCATTTAGCCAAAAGATTGTCATGACATTCCCAAGAAAGAATTTTAATAAAACCAAAATATTGCAACATTATAAGAGACCGTCAATCAAATCCAGCACATTGTTTTCATTATGTAGTGAATGAATGGTCTGAAGATACCCTTCTGTGAATGTTAATGTATTTGTGAGTTTGTTAGGCACATTAATTCACATTGTTTATGGCTTGGTACCATTAATCTGCCTTAGGAATTGAATTCTGTGAAGAGTTAAGTTCCTTTGTAAGAACTCATTGTACTTGCTGGAAACTTGCCATTAAAAATGGAAACTGCAGCTTGTGAATGGGGAAGGGTTTACAGGAACATAGATTGTTCACCAGACATTGATGCATGCCTGCAAACGGAGACACCAGCTGGCTTCAATGAAATATAAATGGTTCTAGGCGAACAAATGAGACGTCTGTTGGAGGAGGCAGCATCTCTCTTCAGATGTCATTTACATTGAGCCAGAAGTATTTTTTAATATTTTGTGGTTATTTAGACAGCTGTTAAGTTGCTCCTAGTTTCTCACTGGATTTGGCAAATAAATGTTTTTAATGGTCTTTGTACTTTGAGTCTTAAACCTGATATTCTATTTAGGACTGTGTATGTAGCTGCAGTTACTGCATATTTCTGTGATTTATGCATTTAAGAATCCTGTAAGTTTATGGCCATTAAAAACTGCAGTTGTATTCATTACTAATATAGAGCTTTTTTTTTTTTTTTTTCTTGAGACAAAGTCTTACTCAGGCTGGAGTGCAGTGGCATGATCTCAACTCATTGCAACCTCCATCTCCTGGGTTCAAGCGATTCTCGAGCCTCAGCCTCTGGAGTAGCTGGGATTACAGGCGTGCGCCACCACACCTGGCTGATTTTGTTTTGTATTTTTAGTAGAGATGGGGTTTCACCATGTTGGCATGGCTGGTCTTGAACTCCTGACTTCAGGTGGTCCAACTGCCTTGGCCTCACACAGTGCTGGGATTATAGGTGTGAGCCTGTGCCGCCGGCTTTTTTTTTGTTCGTTTGTTTTGAGACGGAGTCTCACTCTGTCGCCTAGGCTAGAGTGCAGTGGCGCAATCTCAGCTCACTGCAACCTCCACCTCCTAGTTTCAAGAGATTCTCCTGCCTCAGCCTCCTGAGTAGCCGGGATTACAGGCGCACACCACCACGCCCGGCTAATTTTTGTATTTTTAGAAGAGATGGGGTTTCACCATGTTGGTCAGGTTGGTCTTGAACTCCTCACCTCATGATCCACCTGCCTCAGCCTCCCAAAGTGCTGGGATTACAGGCGTGAGCCACCGCGCCTGGCCTCCCTGGCTTTTTTTTTTTTTTTTTTGGATGGAGTCTCACTCTGTCCCCCAGGCTGGAGTGCAGTGGCACAATCTCGGCTCACTGCAAGCTCTGCCTCCCGGGTTCACGCCATTCTCCTGCCTCAGCCTACCAAGTAGTTGGGACTACAGGTGCCCGCCACCATGCCTGGCTAATATTTTGTATTTTTAGTAGAGATGGGGTTTCACCGTATTAGCCAGGATGGTCTCGATCTTCTGGCCTCATGATCTGCCCGTCTCAGCCTCCCAAAGTGCTGGGATTACAGACGTGAGCCACTGCGCCCAGCTCCCGGCTTTTTTATTAAGGTAGGAAAATAAAGCCTAACTTGAGCACAGCAACACATAGGCTAAACATGGCTAGATTAGAGGTTAGCCCCTCTTTAGGTGTGGAAGGTACTATTCACTATGGTTGCCACGGAGACATAACCTGAGATGTAAAGGAGAATAATATAAATTTCTTCAGTTTTTTAATGGCTTTATTGGAAAAAGAATGTAGTACATACTAATCGGGTCTTTGTTTTGTTTTTGTTTTCTGAGACAGTCTTGCTCTGTCCCAGGCTGGAGTGCAGCAGCACAATCTCGGCTCACTGCAATCTGCCTCCTGGGCTCAAATGATCCCCCTGCCTCAGCCTCTCAAGTACCTGGAGATACAGGCATGTGCCACCATGCCCAGCTAATTTTTGTATTTTTTTGTAGAGATGGGGTTTCACCATGTTGCCCAGGCTGGTTTCAAACTCCTGGGGCTCAAGCAATCTGCCCGCTTCAGCCTCCCAAAGTGCTGGGATTACAGATTTGAGCCACTGTGCCCGGCAGGTTTTTTCTGCTAAGTGTTTTGATAGATCTAGAAAGACAGTGATAGAAAGCTTTCGTTTTGAAAGATTGAGAATAAAAGCTTCAGTGGAAGTGCCCAGTTGTGAGTATCTTTCCTATTTGAAAAGAGATTTTTCTCTTTATAAAAGAAGAATGTGAAGTAATAGCATGGGTTAAGTTTGGGCCTCTTGAATAGTTGGTTCATGAAACTAGATAATGGTATTAGGAGTGGGAGTAGGTATTTTCAAGTACCTATCACTGAATTAGTTAACCAGCAATTTGTAGTCTCTGTAGTCCTTGTGTTAACCCTATGCCTAGCACTGTTGATTCAAAGAACGTTCTCTATATATGTGAAACTACAGGGAATTTCTTGCCTTTGAGAGCACCGCCTGCTTTTAAAAAGGTATGAGAGAAAATATTTATTTAAGCCTATACAAAACTATCAGGCATCTTAAGTCTTGACATTTCCCAAGGTTCTTAGAGTTGCTATGGTTGGAAAAAAATGTAATTTCAGTTTTACCCTGTAATTCTGTACCAAATTTTCTTTTTAGACTGTTCTATGACATTGTCATAATGTGTAACATTTTTGACAAAAAATGTGACTCCAACGAGTCGTAATAAATACTGCAATTAGTTTAAGACTTTGAATAATACTTTTCTGAGGAACTTTAAGTATATTTCTCTCTTCATTTTTCTGGATAATGATGAGAACATGGATTACATGAATTACAATATTTTAAGTAGCCCCATGTATAAGAATTTTTCTATTATCAGGTATTTGCTCATTGGAAGAAACATTTTAAAGGGTTTCACAGGATTTTTAGAAGAAAATACTTTTTAATAAGAAGTTGTGATTTATTTCCAAAGAAATTGAATTATTTGTTATAGCAAGTTTCTCACATGAGATGATATTGTATCTATATTAAGCAGGGAATCCCTGCAGGTAATTTAAAATTCTAGTGGATGTTAGTTTTTCAGCTTTGATATTTATTTTGGGCCTATTAATCAGAATTTTACAGTATAATAGATTTTGTAATATTTTTGGTGATGAGGATTTTACAGTATAACAATTTTTGTAATATTTCTTGTGATGGTAGGCTTTGTTGGGTGGTAAACTTTCTAGCACTAAGAAAGCAGCTCATAATAATATACTTTTAGTTTGTCTTGGGGTGTAGCTTTTTTTCCCTTTAGTTTTTATCTGTCACAAGTGTCACAGGCAGATCATCTTGAGATGTACTAGTGGCTATTGTGATTTTATTAACATTGTAATCTTTCCATTAAATACAACTTCTGGATTTGACTTTTTAGGTCTTTTGATGTACCTGGATTTCTTAACATTATTAAAACATTTAAATTCTTCTTCTAGAAGTCACTTGTTCGAACCCTTATGAACCTCATTTGAGTTCTAGATACTGCACTGGCTAGGCAAAGAAGAGTAAGAGTCTCTCTTGAGAGACTGATGATAGAGCAGCCACTGTTGATACTTTATTAGCTAGCACTTTATGCTTTATCAGTATACCTATTTTCATTTCTTATTAATATTTTTCCACATTAGTATTCATTTCCCCTTTGATAGCCTAAATATTGAAATTGGTTTACTGATTAAATCACTTTTGAAACAGTTTTTTTCCTTAAAGTGTTAAGGCTTGTTTACTAAGTTTCTGAAATTGTGTCAGTATATGATGTGTATTCTCACTTTGGTTAGCATTCATTTTCATTTCTGTTAATGTTAATTCTTGTAAAACTCCCTCAAAAAAATCAAACTAGTTGGAATGGTTTGAGAGAGGGACTTGGATTTTTCTTTTGTTTATTTTTGTTGAACTGATGAGTAAATGAAGAGTAGAATGTACAGTGAAGTTTGAAGAAAGCCAATTTTTCAAACATTACTGTCCCCCTGAACTGTGCCTTTTAATTATGATAGGAGATTGTCTTGTTCCTCCTACTAAAATATGATTATCTAGAAGAACTTTTCTAAGTGGTATACTTGATTTAAAGTATAGAAGATTTTAGTTGCTATGATAGAGAGGGGGACTTGATGTTCACTGTGACAATCTTTCATAGCCCAGGGTAAAATAGTGCATTATCAGAGCCTGGCATTGTAATTAGTTGTACATGTGTGGAAATACTGACCTATCAACTTGGAATAATTCTTCACTTTTTTTTTTTTTTTTTTGAGACAGAGTCACAGTCTGTCGCCCAGGCTGGAGTGCAGTGGCGCAATCTCAGCTCACTGCAACCTCTGCCTCCTGGGGTCAAGCGATTCTCCTGCCTTAGCCTCCTGAGTAACTGGGATTACAGGTGCGCACTGCCACACCTGGCTAATTGTATTTTTAGTAGAGACAGGGTTTCACCATGTTGGTCAGGCTGATCTTGAACTCCTGACCTCGTGATCCGCCCGTCTGGGCCTGCCACAGTGCTGGGATTACAGGCGTGAGCCACCGCGCCCGGCCATTTCTTAACTTTTAAAACACCAATAAAGCATTCTGGCTAGATATAAATACCTGTCCTAAGATGAGGCATTTTAGAGTCTTGAAGCATCCCTTATATACATTTCTGGATGTAACATGAAGAGGTGTTACAATTTTTTTTTATAGCTAGTCATTGCTGTTTCAGGGGTCTCATTAGATGAGAGTTATGCTTCATTTTGGTTATTGCCTTTTTCTTTTTTTGAGATGGAGTCTCACTCTGTCGCCCAGGTTGGAGTGCAGTGGCGCAGTCTCCGCTCACTGCAACCTCTGCCTTCTGGGTTCAAGTGATTCTCCTGCCTCAGCCTCCCGAGTAGCTGGGACCACAGGTGCCCACCATCATACCCGGCTACTTTTTTGTATTTTTAGTAGAGATGAGGTTTCACCATGTTAGCCAGGATGGTCTTGATCTCCTGACCTCGTTGATCCGACCACCACAGCCTCCCAAAGTGCTGGGATTACAGGCGTGAGCCACTGCGCCCGACCAGTTATTGCCTTCTTGACAATCCCATTTTTTGAAGTTTCAGTGTATGAAAGTATAAATTATGCATAGTACTGATGTCTATTCTAACTCCTGTTTTCTAAAAATTAACTTTCCTCGTTGTGATATTTATTTATTTTTGAGACAAGAGTCTTACTCTGTCACCCAGGCTGGAGTGCAGTGGCACGATCTCGGCTCACTGCAATCTGCCTCCTGGGTTCAAGCGATTCTCCTGCCTTAGCCTTCTGAGTAGCGGGGATTACAGGCGTGCGCCGCCACACCCAGCTAATTTTTGTATTTTTAGTAGAGACAGGGTTTTGCCATGTTGGCCAAGCTGGTCTTGAACTCCTGACCTCAGGTGATCTGCCCACCTCTGTCTCCCAAAGTGCTGGGATTACAGGCATGAGCCACCGCGCCCAGCCCATTGTGATTTATTTTAACATTAAATGCTAATAGAATTTTGATTAAGTGTAGTAATGTACTACTGGAGAGGGTAGTAGATGTTAAGAACTTGGGCCCTGAGGTCAAACCTGGCTCTGCCATGTTCAAGCCGTGTGACATTGCAGAAGACACTGAAGCAGAGCCTCATTTTTCTCATCTCAGGAAATGTGCACATGATGATAGTAGCATATGCCTCTTAGGGTTGTGAGAATTAAGAGCATTTACTGGCCAAGTGATGGAAATGGTCTCAAGAAGGCAACCTCAAATGGGACTTTTACTCACCAGCAAGTTTGCCTTTCAGTGACTAAGCCTGCCTTCTACAAAAGAGTTGCCATCAAATCACAGTTTTTTCATTGTTTTTAGTACCAGCACTACTGACATTTGAGCCTGTCCTGTTCTAGTATCATCGAGGATTAAACAATTATTAAAGCACTGTATATAGTGAGGGAAAGATTCCACTTTTCTCCAAAGTAACTTTATCCTCTTGATTATTCCATTTCTTCTCTCAATTGGATCTTTGCTTTTGGCTTTATATATTCACAAGCCTTCCATGAGAAAGTAAAAGAACAAAACATACTCATTTTCCTCCAGCTATCTTCCAGATTTCCTCCACTTCAAAATCAAATTCAGAGAGCTTTCAAATAGTCTGTTTGCTTCCATTTCTTCAGTTCTTAATTCCTGACATGCCTCAAGCAGCTCCTGTCAGGTCATCAGTGACTTCCATGACACTCAATCAGTCCTCCTCTTATTTGACCTTTCTTTCAGCATTCTGCCTGCTGGCACACTCCTTTCTTTTTGAAATGGCCTTTTTCTCCTTTGACTACAATTTCCCTCTACTCCCTAGCTGTTCTTCTCTTTACCTGGGCATTAAACCTTGCAGTTCTTTAGTTCTAGCTTTAGCTCCATGCTTATGTCACTTAATAGCTCCCTAAGCAGTCACATGCCTGCTCCTGACTTCAGTTTCCATTTACAGATGTCTCTTTAATTTGTATCTTCAGTTGGTTCAGACAGTTCCTCTTTAGTTGCAGCCATGGGAAATGTGGACTTTTTTTTTTTTTTTTTTTTTTTTTAAGATGAGGTTTTGCCCTGTTTCCCAGGCTGGAGTGCAGTGGTGCGATCTCGGCTCACTGCAACCTCTGCCTCCTGGGTTCAAGCAATTCTCCTGCCTCAGCCACCCAAGTAGCTGGGATTACAGATGTGTATCACCATGCCCGGCTAATTTTTGTATTTTTAGTAGAGACAGTTTCACCATGTTGGCCAGGCTGGTCTCCAACTCCTAGCCTCAAGTGATCTGCCCACCTTGGCCTCCAGAGTGCCGGGATTATAGGTGTGAGCCACCACGCCCAGCCTAATTTGGACTTTTTATCGTCAGATCTTGGTAGCCTTCGCTCCACCACTAGAAGTCAGAACTTTTGTGAAATCGATTGACTTTTAAATGTTCACAACTAATTTACAAAATACATGGGATAAATAAGAGATGTATGTAGACTTCTAATGAGTGTCTTATGGTGTGAGAGGTGGTCTTTTTGTTGTTGTTGTTGAAACCGTCTCACTCTGTTGCCCAGGCTGGAGTGCAGTGGTGCAGTCTCCGCTCGCTGCAACCTCCATCTCCTGGATTCAAGTGATTCTCCTGCTTCAGCTTCCCTAGTAGCTGGGATTACAGGTGCCCGCCATTATGCCCGTTTAACTTTTGTATTTTTAGTAGAGATAGGGTTTTACCATGTTGGCCAGACTGGTCTTGAACTCCTGACCTCAAGCCATCTGCCCACCTTGGCCTCCCAAAGTGCTGGGATTACTGGCATGAGTGACCGTGCCTGGCCTGAGAGGTGGTCTTAATTCCTCTTTTTAATAAGTGGTCATGTTGGTAAAGTAAATGAATTGCTTCATCATCAGTCACATAATGACGAATATGAATTTCCTTTTTTAAAGTGTATAAGGAGAGATGAAATAATCATTGTATATAGGTTAATGTCATGTAATGAGTTTTCCTAAGTAGGTCCAATCAAGTTAAATTAATTTGCAGAATATTTTCCTCCTACAGGAGGGGTATGTCTGACTTAGAATTACACTTGATCTTAGCCAAAAGGCTGAGAAGCAATGAACTGACAACTGCAAAAACCATTCAGGTGAGGGTGGCAAAATGATTTTAAGTTAGCTTAGGTATTTTCCTACTTGTAATAACCTTGCTGCTAATGTCTTGCTTTCCTTCCTCTCCACTCCTTAGTATGTCCAATAGTAAACCACTTTTTAAAAAATGTTCAATTAAGAGTTGGTTTTTTTTGTTTTTTTGGTTTTTTTTTTTTTGAGATGGAGTTTCGCTGTTGTTGCCCAGGCTGGAGTTCAATGGCGTCATCTCAGCTCACTGAAACCTCTGCCTCCCAAGCTCAAGCGATTCTCAGCCTCCCAAGTAGCTGGGATTACAGGCTCCTGCCACCATGCTCAGCTAATTTTTTTGTAGTTTTAGTAGAGACAGGGTTTCACCATGTTGGCCAGGCTGGCCTCCAACTCCTGACCTCAAGTGACCAACTGCCTTGGCCTCCCAAAGTGCTAGGATTACAGGCGTGAGCCACCGCCCGTGGCCAAGAGAGTTGTTATTTTAAGCAGGGGCTAGAAACTTTAAATACGCATAGTTCCAGATGTGTAAATGATTTAAAGTAAACTAGGAGGGAACTAGTGAATTCCAGTCCTGACCGGCAGCATCACCTCATAAGGAACGTAGAATCTTAAGCTCCACCCTTCAGAGTCTACATTTTAACAAGATCTGGAGGTAATCTGTGTGTGCATTAAAATTGTAGAAGCACTTGAGAACTTAGGCCCAAAAGGTAACAGTCACTTTGAATCTTCAGCTGAGTTTTGCTGTGTTATCTGGTTTTCCCAAGAGTAGTCAGAAGTCTGACTTTATGTGTAAAACCACCCAGTTTTTAAATGGCCACAAATTAACATGTTTTTAAAAAAATCATGTCCATGGGGCTGAGTTTGGCCTGTTAGTCATCAGTTTTGCAAATCCTGGTTCCAGGTATGCTTTTTTTGTTTGAGACCGAGTCTCACTCTGTTGCCCAGGCTGGAGTGCGGTAGCACTGTCTCGGCTCACTGCAACCTCTGCCTCCGAGGTTTAAGCGATTGGGATTACAGGCATGCACCACCTTGCCTGGCTAATTTTTTTGTATTTTTAGTAGAGATGGGGTTTTGCCATGTTGGCCAGGCAGGTCTCGAACTCTTGACCTCAGGTGATCCACCCGCCTCGGCTTCCCAAAGTGCTGGGATCATAGACATGAGCCACCGCGCCTGGCCCGGGTATGCTAATTTTTTGGGGGGTGCCTGAACAAGTTGTTATAGGAGATTGTTTTGTTCTTCAGCTTGATCGTGGTGTACTGGAGTCCTCAAAGAGTCTGCCTTCTCAGTCTCTGCAAGCTGGCTTAGGTTCTGCATTTATACTTATATAATATTTAACTGTATAAAAGGCATTCATTTATCTTCCCTGCAGGAGGAGGAACAACTAGAATCACTACAAGGTCAAATTCTTTCATTTCACTGGTACTGTATAGCTAGTGCTACTTATTTGAAGTAAATTACTCAATTTGTTAAAACCCTGCAGGTAAATACACATTACATTGGCCCTGTGGCTGTGGTTAATTGGAATAGAAGCTGAACCTTCTGCCTTGGAACCAAATGTTTCTGTAGCATGCACATGTTGGGTTTTGGATTTGGGGCAGTTCAATTTCCCCTTCTTCTCCATTTATTGTGTGTTTTTTTTATTGAGACGGAGTTTCACTCTTGTTGCCCAGGCTGGAGTGCATTGGCTTAATCTCGGCTCGCTGCAACCTCCACCTCCCCCCGGGTTCAAGTGATTCTCCTACCTCAGCCTCCCGGATAACTAGGATTACAGGCACATGCCAGCATGCTTGGCTAATTTTTTTTTGTATTTTTAGTAGAGATGGGGTTTCTCCATGTTGGTCAGGCTGATCTTTAACTCCCTACCTCAGGTCAGCCGCCTGCCTTGGCCTCCCAAAGTGCTGGGATTACAGGCGTGAGCCACTGTGCCTGGCATTTTTTTTTTTTATTTTTTTAAAGACACGGTCTTGCCAGGCACGATGGATCAGCCTGTAATCCCAGCATTTTGGGAGACTGAGGCGGGAGGATCACCTGAGGTCAGGAATTTGAGACGAGCCTGGCCAACCTGGTGAAACTCTGTCTCTACTAAAAATACAAAAATTAGCTGGGCATAGTGGCGGGCACCTGTAATCCCAGCTACTCTGGAGGCTGAGGCAGAAGAATCGCTTGAACCCAGGAGGTGGAGGTTACAGTGAGCTGAGATCACACCATTGCACTACAGCCTGGGCGACAGAGCGAGACTCTGTCCCCCCACAAAAACAAGAAAAAAAACTCAAGGTTTCACTCTTGCCTAGGCTGGAGTGCAGTGGCGCTATTGTAGCTCACTGTAGCCTGGCACTCCTGGGATCAAACTATCTTTCTACCTCATTTTGCCAATAGCTGGGGACTAAAGGGCAAGCCACCGCACCTGGCTAATTTTATTTTTTATGTTTGGTGGAGATAGAGTTTTCACTTTGTTGCTCAGGCTCGTCTCCAACTCCGGGCCTCAAGTGATCCTCCTGCCTCGGCCTTGCATGAGCCACTGCGTGCAGCCATGCTTTCTTTGTTATTACTCTATTTTGATAGCTTGTAAGTTATTTGAGAAAATACTTAAAAGTAGTTAAGAGCTACATAACAATAGCAACAAGGTTAATGTATCCCCTTAGTGTAATATAAGCTGGAGGTGTAAAACTTACATTTACCTGCAGAGTTATAACAAATTGAGTCGTTTCTTTCAAATAAGTAATCATTGGCTATATGTACCAGTGAAATAATAGTATTTTAAAGTGAATTTAAAATGGTATCAGCTCATTCTTTATAGTCCAATAGCTCTTGGTTGGATAAGAATATTGTCCTTAAGATTCAATCAAGGAGAACATAACTGTTTTAGTTTCTGCAGAGATGATCCTGGGAAAATAGCCAATTAATAAAGATGGGTCTCCATAGCAACTCCAAGTAGTGTGTTTTTTTTTTTTTTTTTGAAACGGAATTTTGCTCTTGTTGCCCAGGCTGGAGTGCAATGGCTAATTTTGTATTTTTAGTAGAGACAGGGTTTCTTGGAGTTGGTCAGGCTGGTCTCGAACTCCCAACCTCAGGTGATCTGCCCACCTTAGCCACCCAAAGTGCTGGGATTACAGGTGTGAGCCACCACGCCCTGCCCAAGTTGTGTGTTTTAATTTAGAAAGTAGTCATGACAGTATCTAGTATGTAGTTCAGAACTGTACATTGCTCTGTTATTTTGGAACAGTGTGTCTTAGTTTTAAGTCTTAATGACTATTGCAAGTTTTCTTTACTTAATTATGTACAGGTTTCCATATCATTTGTGTTCCTGACTAGAACTGGCAGACTTTCAAGATTTTTTTTTTTTTTTTTTTTGAGTCTAAGTCTTGCTCTGTCGCCTGGCTGGAGTGCAGTGGTGCAATCTCGGTTCACTGCAACCTTCACCTCCCGTGTTCAAGCAATTCTCCTGCTTCAGTCTCCCGAGTAGCTGGGATTACAGGCGCCCACCACCATGCCTGGCTAATTTTTGTATTTTTAGTAGAGACAGGGTTTCGTCATGTTGGCCAGCCTGATCTCGAACTCCTGACCTCAGGTGATCCGCCTGCCTTGGCCTTCCAAAGTGCTGGGATTACAGGCATGAACTACCGCGCCCGGCCACAAGATTTCTTTTTCAATTCCATTGTTTGAATTGTCTTTCTAGGTCCACTTTCATTTTGTGTTTTCCAAAGATATTCCATGGAGAAATAAATGGTATTGACCTATAAAATGGTACAGAGGGGCCCCATACACCTAAACTTAAAACTGTTCGCGAAACCGTAATGTTTGATCTAGTAATGATGTCTGGAGGAAAATAGTAAAGCTTTGTGGGTCTGGAGCAGAAGTTTCTAGTTTCACATGTCAGATTTTTAGAACTTAAATTTATGGACCCTAGAAAGATATTTTGACACCCCACCTCCCTTCCTTTGTGGTTCTCCTTAAACTTATTTTTAGTTGCTTCTAATTCCATGTTCTTCCCTTTGCTTGGTCTTATCTTGATGCTGTTTATCTTGCCCCCATCAATTCCATTATGCTTTTTATCCCATAACTACATTCTCCTGTTTATATTGTTGACCTTATTCATGGTGTCCAGCATTTCCTAAGTAATCAGTGGCAACTAAAAAGAGGCCTTTTCTTTCCACATTTACCTTATTTATTTATTTTTTTGAGACAGAGTTTTCATTCTTGTTGCCCAAGCTGCAGTGCAGTGGCATGATCTCAGCTCACTGCAACCTCTTCCTCCCGGGTTCAAGCAATTCTCCTGCCTCTGCCTCCCAAGTAGCTGGGATTACAGGGGCCCGCCACCACACCCAGCTCATTTTTATATTTTTAGTAGAGATGGGGTTTCACTGTGTTGGCCTGGCTGGTCTCAAACTCCTGACCTCAAGTGATCCTCCTGCCTCACCCTCCCAAAGTGCTGGGATTAAAGGGGTGAGCCACTGCATCTGGCCTCCTAATTTGTTGTTAAAAATATTCCAAAGGAATAGGTGCTGACCTGTTGATACTGCCTACCTGCTAAGGAGAATTTTATTAGCAATTTTAGTGTCATGTACTAGGTTTGAGAATGAAAATGCTGTGAGTTGTAGAACTTGCTAATAATGACTTCCATTTAGCAGTATTTTATGGTAAAAGAGTAAGGTAGTTTTTAGGATTTAGAAAAAGAATATATAGCCATTTGTGTGCTTTAGCTTTTCTTGAAGATAACTCTAGATATTTTGCTCTAAATGGTTGCTGCAAATTCAGTCTATGCCTCATAAGCCAAATAGGAAGGCATATGATTAAAACTGGAATATGCAACTGATAATACAAGTGAAGCTTGGACTTCTTTTTTCTTTAATGAACTGTAAATTGTGTTGGCAAGACAATGTCAGATATTACATGTACCTTGGATAAAATATTAACTTGCTGGTATGATAAGAGATGGCCAGATCTAAGTAGCTTAAGACTAAGTAGGCAAGTACTTGACTGATATATGGAAGGCCTTTATCTACCTGGTATGAAAGCAACTCAGGTTAGCCAAGTATCTAGATCGAGCTTAGCAATGTAGTTGTAGAATATTGAATCTGAGGAAATTTCTTGAGTTATCAGCTTCAAGACTGTTTATATCCCTGAACTGAAATAAATTGAGCTTGAGGCCATTGCAGTTAGCTGTTTGCTACTTGTGCAGTTGAGATCTTGGCCAAGTTAAATTGGACCCTTCACTGCATAACATTGTTGATCACATGTTACCAGTATTAGAGCATTTGAGGGCACAGTGTGGCTTAGATGACATAGTTGCATCATATTAGATGTAAAAAGCAATGCAGGCAATAGTATTAAAAATTCTTCAGCTCTTTAGCTGACAATATCAAGTGTTGGCAAGGATGTGGAACAGCTGGAGCTGTAATACTTTTATGGTAGGAATGCAAAATGACAAAATCACTCTGGAAAATGGTTTAGCAATTTTATTTTGTAAGAACAAAATAAACCCTTCATTTGCCATATGATTAGGCAGCCCATTCCCACTCCTAGGTATTTATCCAAGAGAAATGAAAACATGTCCACCAAAGACTGGTACTTGAATATTCGTAATAGTCCCAAATTGGAAACAGCCTAAATGTCCATTAACAGGAGAAAGGCTAGCTGTGTGTGTATATATACATACATATGATGGAATACTCACCAATAAAAAGGAATTTCTGATTCATGCAACATACATGAATCTCAAAAGCATTTTGCTGAGTGAAAGTAGTTCAGACATAAAAGTCTACACTCTTTATGATTCTATTTATGTGAAATTCTAGAGAAGGCAAAACTATGTAGTAATAGCAGATGAGTGTTGGTGGACTGTATGGGGGAGTGGTGATATTGGTAGTGAATTAACTGCAGAGAAGCCCAAGAGAAGTTTTTGGAGTGATAAAAAGTTATTTATCATAGTTACGTTAGTTCCAAAACTGTATGTATGTACTTGTCAGAACTCAAATGGATTGTACATTTAAATTGGTGAATTTTGTCATTTGTAAATTATACCTTAAAATTGTTAGTGATGTCCCTAAGTATCTGATGGTATGGAGTTTTACAAAGATAAAATTTTTAAAAGTTTTACCGTTTCTTAATTCTGGGTTAGCTTTCATTTGAGATTATCAAATGAACAAATTGAGGTTGTTATTATACAAGCATTCTTTTGGTACATTTTAGTTGTGCTTTGGTTGACTTGTGAAGCAGAAGTAAGACTAAATCTGAGAACAGCTATGTGGTGATAAAAGAACGTATATAAGTCACACAAAAGATAAATATTAAGGTCAAGTTACTCCAAACTAGTACCTCTTAACATCTCTGGTTATAAATAAATTTTATGATGTTTTGAATGGCACTTTTGATCAGGATAATGGTAGCTTTGGACAGAAAGTGATGAATATGAGTGAAGCTTACTCTCTCTCAGCAAAATAGAATGGCTGGGCACGGTGGCTCACACTTATAATCCTAGCACTTTGGGAGACCGAGGAGGGTGGAACACCTGAGGTCAAGAGTTCGAGACCGGCCTGACCAATGTGGTGAAACCCTGTCTCTACCAAAAATACAATTTAGCTGGGCATGGTGGCTCGAGCCTATAGTCCCAGCTACTTGGGAGGCTGACGCAGGAGAATTGCTTGAACCTGGGAGATGGAGGTTGCAGTGAGCTGAGATCACGCCACTGCACTCCAGTCTGGGTGACAGAGCAAGACTCCATCTCAAAAAAGAAAAGAAAAGAAAAACCCTTTAGATTGTTGTTACTGAAAAGAGGTCTGTTATTAAAAAATGAGGATATTTGTGTTTATCCTGGTTGATACTGGATGTTACATTAGTTTTATTGGGTACCTCTGGTGAATATTAGGAAACCCATTTATATCAAGGTATGCTTACCATTCAGTAGACAACTGTTTCATGCCAACACTGATAATTTAATAATTTAACGACTGTCACTCGATTGGAGTAACTTTGTTTTCAAATTACAAAGTAGTTCAAATAAATGGAAAAGAACTGAAAATGAGCATAACCCGTATTAAACAAATGTTAACAAATGAAAAATGTTAAATACAGCTAAAGCACCCCGACATAACCATCCTGAAATTAATCATTATAGACCTGTTTATGTACACATGAATGAGTGATTTTGTACTTAAACTGCACATTCGTGTATGTATAAACAGGTCTTTTTATACAACAAAATTTATGTAAATGGTATCTTTAACTGGATATGTCTTGCCACTTTTTTTTCAGTTTAAATAATGAAACAGGCAGTATCTAAAATGTTTAAGGAACTTATTTGTCCTCCCAGAGTCTCTCAAAAATTCTAAAAGTTCTTCTCCTAGGGAAATAAAGTGAGAAAATAAGTGACAGGATTTTGTAGATATGGTGGTTATCTACGAAAACCACCAGTATTAAATTTTAAAAAGAATTATTGTATGTAAATCTTTAGCTTTCTTTTTTGTGTGTCATAAAGACACGGTCCCTCTATGTTGCCCAGGCTGGTCTCGAACTCTTGGCCTCTAGTGATCCTCCCACCTTGACCTCCCAAAGTGCCAGGGTTACAGGTGTTGAGCCACCACACTTGACCAATATCTAACAGTTCTTAAATTAATGCATCATTGTAGAATTGAATGTTAAGGCTACACTCCACTCTATCAGTCTTTTTATTGCCACCTAAAAATTTCATTTTTGTTTAATCTTGCTTTGGATTTTGGTTAGTAAACTTCTAGGGATGTAGTTTCACATTGATAACCTGTTAACTTGGGAGCTATGGAGTATGGAGGTGTAGTGAGGAAGTCTGGAAGGGGAGTGGAAACCCCTAGGCAGGGATTTTCTGGAGGGGCCAGATGGTAATTATTTTGAGTTAGAAATCTTTCTGAAATGAATCATAGTGGCCTAAAGGATGTGCCAGATATAATTTTACTCATTTGTGTGATTGTGGTTCAAGATAATTGCACTGTGGTATAGTGGTTCTTATTTATTGAGGACCTGTCATGTACCAATCACTTTACATGGTCTCCCCCTCACCCTACCCTCCAGCCCCAAGATTCAGAATGCTGTAGTATTCTTAGGTTTTATTGAGCTTAAAATAATTGGCCATGGCCATTTAATGTATGATGACTTTTTAAGTTCCCATCTACTTTGTCATTTTGTTGACCTATTATCACTTCAGACTGTTGTGTGCTTGAATATACATAATCTCCCAAGCCCCTTCTTATTTATGGGCTTGGAAAAGGCATAAAGGCAGTAAAGGCAGTTGGAAAAGCCTGTTAGTGTAATAGTTCTATGTGATGAATAAATGAGCTTTAAGTTTGGAACTCTTAAGAATCTGAGTAAAATAGGTGTTTTGGTTCACAGACTCCTTGACCATTATTTTGACTGAAAAACTTTATTTTTGCTAGTCAGTGCTCAGCAAGAATATTGTTGAACAGCTGAATTCCAGTTGGTGTGTATGTGCTAAGTGAATGTCCCCATTTATGCTGAAATGAGTTCCTACCAAAATGTCAGTTTTCTGGATATTATTTGAAAGGAGTATTTTGGGTAGATTGGTCTACTAAATAATGTTGGAAAGCCAACCTCTTTTTTAATGTGAAAGTTTTTATCTTGCCAAATTTTAACTTTTTTATTTTAGAACAAATTCTGTACAACATAAAACAAGAGTATAAACGAATGCAGAAGAGAAGACATTTAGAAACGAGTTTCCAACAGACAGATCCGTGTTGTACTTCTGATGCACAGCCACATGCATTTCTCCTCAGTGGACCAGCTTCACCAGGTAATAACATTTCTTGTCATTTACAAAGTTTATTATTTAGAGTGGGAAAAGTCTAATCCAAGTTGTCTTTAGTCATTTAAGCTACTGTATCTCCTCTGAGTTTTAAAAAAACATTTATACAAGTAATGCATGACATCTTAAAAAATAATATGGTACAAAATAAGGAGTTACCACTGGATTCCCACTAACCAGAGACAACCACCTGCATATAATATCCCCAAAGTGGACATCCTGTAAGTACTATGATTTGTAGCCTTTATTAAAAAAAATTAACAATAGGCCAGGCACGGTGGCTCATGCCTGTAATCCCAGCACTTGGGGAGGCCGAGCGAGGTAGACAGGTCACTTGAGGTCAGGAGTTTGAGACCAGCCTGGCCAACATGGCAAAACTCTGTCTCTACTGAAAATAGAAAAATTAGCTGGGCGTGGTGGCACGCGCCTGTAGTCCCAGCCCCTCGGGAGCCTGAGGCATGAGAATCACTTGAACCCAGGAGGCGGAGGTTGCAGTGAGCTGAGATCATGCCACTGCACTCCAGCTTGGGCGACAGAGTGAGACTTTGTCTCAAAAAAAAAAATAATAACAATACTGTATGCTCCTTTGTTAGGTATAGATGTACCTTGTCATGACTGAACACTTAATGATAGATAATTCAACTTAGAAGTTTTGCTGGTATAGTATTTTAAGAACTATCCCTGTATACATACCCTGCCTCACACACTTGTCTTATTGGGCTAGATTTCTAAAGGTGGATTATTATTATTTTTTGATCCTGTATCTGTTTTTACCTACTTTTTGTTGGGGGGAATGTTTGCAAATAACCTTCCTTTTTTTTAAAAAAAAAAAAAAGGGGGGGGGCGGGGAATAAGGGCTACTTGAAGCAAAGAGAAAGTTGAAGGTTTTGCTGAGAGAGAGCCATCAATAGTGGCTCTTATCTTTAGTAAAGTTCTCAGGAAAATAGCTTTTCTTGTGACAACAGTTGCCTTTGTTCAACGCTTTCTCTCCTCCCCCTAGCAAGGGAAGGAAAACCTGGCAGAATAAAAAAATTTGCGGCTGGGCGCGGTGGCTCATGCCTGTAATCCCAGCACTTTGGGAGGCCAAGGCAGGTTTATCACGAGGTCAGGATATCGAGAACATCCTGGCTAACACAGTGAAACCCCGTCTCTACTAAAATCCAAAAAATTAGCTAGGCATGGTGGCAGGCGCCTGTAGTCTCAGCTACTGAGGTAGGAGAATGGCATGAACCCGGGAGGCAGAGCTTGCAGTGAGCAGAGATCGCGCCATTGCACTCCAACCTGGGTGACAGAATGAGACTCAAAAAAAAAAAAAAAAAAAAAATCAAAGACCATAACATAGTCAAATAAAATTAGATTAGGAAACATGAACTTGTTCAAAACTAAATACTGCCATGCCCATTGTGGGGGCCAGGTATTAGTGGTTGAAACATAGAGGTGAGGGTTGGGCACTAGACTGTATTAGCAGGAAACCAAGATCATTATTTCCTTACTCACTTTACTTAGAAGATCAGTTAACTGGCAGTCTTAAGTAACAAAGCTGGGAATGTGAAAGTAAATTAAGATGGCTTTGGATAATTATGGAATAAAGCTGGTGGGCTTTGTTATTGTGGTATGCACAGTTCTAATAAGCATAGTTAACTAGCTCCTGCCATGCAGGTTATAAGGAGCAAGTTAAGAGAGTAAGTAATATTGGTGGTACCAGGGCAAATTCACAGAGCGAGATGAAGAAACAATTGGTAACGAATGGTGCACTTGAATATGTATAAAATACTTTTAGCAGTATTACAGTAGATGTTATTACTACAAAATATTTTCTCTTTTATTAAAAATATCCTAATAGGTATAAAAATGCTGAAGGAATATTTGAAATTGACAGATGCTGATGTTGCAGCTGCTTTGGGATTCTTAGTGTGATGACAGTGTAGTTCTATGGTATAGAGTTTTGAGCATAGCATTATCAGCTCAATGCTTGAGCTTATTTTTCCATGCGAATTGTTGTTAACTTAATGGGAATTAGTGGTCAATGAGTTCAAAAACCTTTAGAATCATTTATGCTTCTCCAGCAAAGTAGATTTCAGAATGTCTTGTTTTGTTTTGTTTTGTTTTTGAGACAGGGTCTCACTCCGTTGCCCAGGCTGGAGTACAGTGGTGAGATCTTGGCTCACTGCAACCTCCACCTCAGCCTAGCCTGTAGCTAGAACTACAGGCACGTGCCACCACTCCCAGCCAATCTTTGTATTTTTATTAGAGACATGGTTTGCCATGTTGCGCAGGCTGGCCTTTAGCTCAAGGGTTCCACCTGCTTCGGCCTCCCAGAAAGTACTGGGATTACAGGTATGAGCCACCACACAAGCTAGGTTCCAGAATGTTTTTTAATCTTTTCTAAAAAGGATTCATGCTGTACCTTCTTTTTTTAAACATAAAAATTTATTGTGCCAACATGAAATTTCTTTTTTTTTTTTTTTTTCTGAGATGAAGTTTCACTCTTGTTGCCTAGGCTGGAGTGCAACGGCATGATCTCGGCTCACTGCAACCTCCGCCTCCTGTGTTCAAGCGATTCTCCTGCCTCAGCCTCCTAAGTAGCTGGGATTACAGGCATGTGCCACCACGCCTGGCTAATTTTGTATTTTTAGTAGAGACTAAGTTTCTCCATGTTGGTCAGGCTGGTCTTGAACTTCTGACCTCAGGTGATCCGCCTGCCTCGGCCTCCCAAAGTGCTGGTAATACAGGCGTGAGCCACCATGCCCGGCGTATTTTCTTTTTCAATAAAGGAAAACCCCTTTCTAAAGGTGTGAAATGATGGTAGAATAATTACCAGTTCATTGTGTGTAGGCTCTTAAGATATTAATGGTATGGCTTTGAAGACTAAGTGTCTTTTTACAGGCATAATGATTTGTTATTCTGGGACTAAATAAAATTAAATTTAGACCTGAGGTGTTCTTCATTCCTAGTGTAGGAAAGTAATTTAGTCACTAAAATACTTCATGGTATGGTATTTTCCAGAAAGGAGATAAGATGTTTTGTAATGGGACCCATCATTGTAATGTTTAAGTTTTATGTCTTTTTTAAATTTAATTTTTAATTTTTTGTTTTTATTTTTTTGAGATGGAGTTTCACTCTCTTTGCCCAGGCTGGAGTGCAATGGCGTGATCTCGGCTCACTGAAACCTCCGCCTCCCGGGTTCAAGTGATTCTCCTGCCTCAGCCTCCCGAGTAGCTGGGATTACAGGTGCCCGCCACCATGCCTGGCTAATTTTTTTATGTATTTTTAGTAGAGGCAGGGTTTCACCATGTTGGCCAGGCTGGTTTCAAACTCCTGACCTCAGGTGATCCGCCCACCTCGGCCTGATTACAGGCGGTGAGCACCACGCCCAACCTTTCTTATGTCTTAAAGTTTTTTCTACTCACCTTTAGTCTTTTTTATCTTAATTACATCTTGCCGTGTTTTTCCAGCGTCACCAGCTGATGGAATTATTATTTTGGTTGTTTTAAGACTTGTGAAATGCTGTGCTTAAAATCTGATTTTAAAATGCTTTTATATCAAGATTGAAGAGATCCAAATAAAACCTCTTCATTTAGAAACTGCTTTATATCATGGCTCTAAACCAGGTGCTATTTTTTGTCCTCATTGTACATAGGGACTTCATCTGCAGCATCCTCACCATTAAAAAAAGAACAGCCCTTATTTACTCTACGGCAGGTTGGGATGATCTGTGAACGTTTGTTGAAAGAACGTGAAGAGAAAGTTCGAGAAGAATATGAAGAAATATTGAACACAAAACTTGCAGGTATGAGGTGTGTTTATTAGAGTTTCTGAGGAACTCAGTTGTGTGAAATGCATTTTCCACGTGTACTTTAATTTCACTTTCTATACACTGGTGCGGTATATTCTCTGAGAATGAGAAAATTTCAGTTCAGGAAAGAAAATTAACCTTCTTATAGCTCATGCCCGCCTTGGTAACCTGAGGAAAAGAGTATTGGCTAGCCGTGTAGATCAGCAGTAATATTAGTAGGTACCCTGTACTAAAAACTGATGTTAGTAGTTTACCTCAATTTGGTTGTGGATTTTTTGACTTTATATTTTTCATAACGTTACCATCAATGTAGACATTTAAAATATCTAATTGGCTGTCACTGTGTAAGTCATTGGAGTATCAAACTGGAGTCCTGTTTTAGTTATCAAAAAATTCAGTAAAATTTGATAATTTAAGTAAATAAAATTTATTATGTATGGTAACATAAATAGAATGTTTAGCCACAGATTTACTGTTTATATAGATATGTAAGCTTTTTTATTTTAAGGAATTAATATAGAGGTGTTAATGTAGAGAAGATAATTTGCTTAGATATATAACAACTTTTTCTGTGATACTTGATCAGGTTTTAGGTAGTGTTTTGTTGTTAGCTTTTGTTATCCTATTCTCATTGCAGTCAGTTGCCATTCATAGACCACATACAATAACTTTCAGAGTAGAAAGGTCTTTTTATTGAAAGTCCTTTGTTTTTAATTTTTTTTTTTTTTTTTCCTGAGACGGAGTCTCACTCTGTCACCCAAGGCTGGAGTGCAGTGGCGCAGTCTTGGCTCACTGCAAGCTCTACTTTCCGGGTTCACGCCATTCTCCTGCCTCAGCCTCCTGTGTAGCTGGGACTACAGGCACCTACCACCATGCCCGGCTAATTTTCTTGTATTTTTAGTAGAGACAGGGTTTCACCGTGTTAGCCAGGATGGTCTCGATCTCCTGACCTCGTGATCTGCCCGCCTTGGCCTCTCAAAGTGCTGGGATTACAGGCGTAAGCCACCATGCCCGGCCAATTGTTTTTTTTTTAAGATGGAGTCTCACTCTGTCGCCCAGGCCGGAGTGCAGTGGCACGATCTTGGCTCACTGCAACCTCTGCCTCCCGGGCTCAAGCGATTCTCCTGCCTTAACCTCCTGAGTAGCTGGGACTACAGGTGTGTGCCACCATGCCCAGCTATGTTTGTGTGTGTGTGTGTGTGTGTGTGTGTGTGTTTTTAGTAGAGACGGGGTTTCACCATGTTAGCCAGGATGGCTTTGATCTTCTGACCTCATGATGTGCCCGCCTCGGCGTCCCAAAGTGCTGGGATTACAGCTGTGAGCCACCGCGCCCGGCCTCGTTTTTTTTTTTTTTTTTTTTTTTTGTTGCCCAGGCTGGAGTGCAGTGGCGCGTTCTTGGCTCACTGCAAGCTCCACCTCCTGGGTTCACGCCATTCTCCTGCCTCAGCCTCCCGAGTAGTTGGGACTACAGGCGGCCTGCCACCATGCCCAGCTAATTTTTTTGTATTTTTAGTAGAGATGGGGTTTCACCGTGTTAGCCAGGATGGTCTCGATCTTCTGACCTTGTGATCCGCCCGCCTCGGCCTCCCAGAGTGCTTGGATTACAGGCGTGAGCCACCGCACCCGGTCCCAGCCTTTTTGTTAGGAAATAAATAAATCTCACCTAGCCTTTATGTCAGGTCATGTGATTGGACTAAAACCTAGGTTTCCTGACTAATAAGTTGCATGCTGTTTTTATTTGATACACTATTAGTACTACTGAGGTTATGTAAGTGATTTTGTCAACTTAGAATTGTTTTACTGTATATTTTGTGTTTTCAGTTTATCTGGCTCTAATAAGGCATTTTACAAATGTAATTGACAAGTACCTTTATTTATAGAACAATATGATGCGTTTGTGAAGTTTACGCATGATCAAATAATGCGACGATATGGAGAACAGCCTGCTAGCTGTAAGTATTTCACCTTTGAAGTTATAAACTGAAAATAAGACTGTCTTTTAAGGAGAAGACATTATAATTATTTTCATACTCAAAAAGAGAATTCAACAAAATTACTGAGAATGTATGGAGGAAATAGGCAGCATAACTTTGCAAGTCTTTTGGTTACTTAAATACCTAGGGGCAAAATTGGGAATCAAGATCTAGTATTCGTTTGGATTTTGACCTGTATTTTGCACTAATTTTCTTTTTCTCACCCTTTAGATGTTTCATGAATCACGTATCCTGCATTTGTGGGCTGCCTTGTTCCTTGTTGAGTTGTTGCAAGAGGTCCCAATTATGACATGCAGCAATGCCAATACCCCTTCTGTGAATACAGGTTATTTCAAGCTTTCGTCAGTGGCAACCACTCTTAGGCAGCAGCAACTGGTTTTGGAAATTTCCCTGATGTCAGTACCACCTGGATGTGGACCTTTGCTACCTGTATTAATACCAGTGGCCTCATTTTGCTGTATCATTACAATTTGGCTTCTTATATTAATGTTTGAAAAGGATTAAAGCTGGTATTCTAGAACATGCCCTTCACTGGTTGTGTAAATAAAACTGTAGAATGACACTTCAGATGAAGTTAGTGTGATTTTAATTGTGCACTACAACCGAGCTGTAACCAGTTACTAATTTTAGAATGTAATCCCAGGACAATATTAAGCAAATAGCCTGCAGTGCTTCCTGTGAAATAGTGAAGGAGGAGGGCATTTCTGTATTCCAGGACTTCTTGGGGTTTCAGAATGGGTTTGTATGATTTTTTTTTTTTTTGTAGTTTTATTTATTCTATCAGTCTTTTTAACAAATGTTTATTGCTGCATTTTTTTTTTTCCAGTGTATCATTGTTTTACTGCCCTTGTAGTACTGGAATTTAGTTGGAAGAATAAAACATTTACTTCTATTTTGCTTGTTTCTTAATGTACAGATGGGGTTAGTATTTGAATAAAGTTGGTGTTTTAAAACGTAAGCATTTTCCAGGAATCAGTGAAGTTAATTTTCTAAGATTTGAGTGCTGTTTCAAAACACTGAGTTCTGATTCTAAATGCCTTCTTCTGCTGGGCGCGGTGGCTCATGCCTGTAATCCCAGCACTTTGGGAGGCCGAGGCGGGAGGATCACGAGGTCAGGAGATCGAGACTATCCTGGCTAACACAGTGAAACCCCATCTCTACTAAAAAAAAAAAAATATATATATATATATATAAATTCCTTCTTCTGTAACTTACTGCCTGATAGAATGTTACAGGTATTTTAATTGCTATAGAATTACCTCAGATATCAGTAGGATCCAGTTTTTTCTTTTAAGAACTTGATATGCAAAAGCATGATTCAGCAAATTTGACTCCCTTTCCATACATGGTTTCTAGACATAGCTTTCTTATAATGAAGTAAGCAAAAACATGCTTCAGTGAATTCATTTGTTGAATTCTAGTAGCATATTTCCAAAATTTAAGACAATCTTAAATACACATTTATAACTGACCAAGTTAGAAGAAAAAGGAATTTTTTTTTTTTTTTTTTTTTTTGAGATAGAGTTTTGCTCTTGTTGCCCAAGCTGGAGTGCAGTGGCACGATCTCGGCTCACTGCAATCTCTGCCTCCCAGGTTCAAGCGATTCTCCTGCCTCAGCCTCCTGAGTTGCTGGCATTACAGGAATGTGCCACCACACCCGGCTAATTTTTTGTATTTTTAGTAGAGACAGGGTTTCACCATTTTGGCCAGGCTGGTCTCGAACTCCTGACCTCAGGTGATCTGCCCACCTCGGCCTTCCAAAATGCTGGCGTGAGCCACTGCGCCCAGCCAGACCTCTTTTATTTTTAGCTTTGGTAATTACATTTCACCAATTCTCTGTTTAAAACAAGCCTAGAAAGTGGTTTCACAAGGTGCCCAGGCAATTTATATGCCAATTAGTGGTTGAGAAACATTGGTATAGCACAGGGTAGCAATAAGGTGCATGATTCTATGCCCTTCCCCCCTACTTTTTTTTTTTGAGATGGAGTCTTGCTCTGTCACCAGGCTGGAGTGCAGTGCTGCCATCTCGGCTCACTGTAACCTCCGCCTCCCGGGTTCAAGTGATTCTCCTGCCTCAGCCTCCCGAGTAGCTGGGACTACCGGCATGCACCACCACGCCCAGCTAATTTTTGTATTTTTAGTAGAGACGGGGTTTCACCATGTTGGCCAGGATGGTCTCGATCTCTTGACCTCATGATCTGCCTGCCTCAGCCTCCCAAAGTGCTGTGATTACAGGCGTGAGCCACTGCGCCTGGCCAATTCTACCCCCTTTTAATGGTCTAGAACAGAGATTCTCAACTTCAGCACTACTGGCAGTTTGGGCCAGATCATTCTTTGTCGTGGTGGCTATTGCTGTGCATTATAGGATATTTAGCCACATCTCTGGCCTCTACCACTAGAGGCCAGTTAAACCCCCTCCCACAATTGTGATAACCAAAGTGTTTGCAGACATTGCCAAATGTCCCTGAGGGACAAAACAGTTCCCAGCTAAGAACCACTGGTTAGCAGGATAGCCTGTAGTCCCAGCTACTTGGGAGGCTGAAGCACGAGAATCGCTTGAACTCAGGAGGCAGAGGTTGCAGTGAGCTGAGATCATGCCACTGCACTCCAGTCTGGGTGACAGAGTGAGACTCTGTCTCAAAAAAAAAAAAAAAAAAAAAAAATTTTTTTTTTTTGCTCCACAGCCAAATTTCTGCATTATCACTTATGCAAAAGTCCTAGCTTATGGGCTACTCTGACTTTAGATGGGTCCGGTAGTTGATTAGTCCAAATAACCAACCACACATGATTTCAATAGATTATTTTAGCTACCTAGGGATTCTGAATTCCCCAAATCCCTGAAATTGCTTGTAATAAGTATCTACAGAATTGTGTTAATAGTCATCTTATTCTTCCAGTAAAAGGCAGTACTGATACAGTACTGTACTATGATGTGTTTAGTAAATCTTTAACAAGTGCACATAGGTATAAGCGTTTGTACTTTTGGAAAAATAGGCAATCTGAGAAAAATAAATATTGGAGGTTTAAACTACTAAAGCTGTCTTTGGCCTATGGCAAGCACTTGACACGACCCTAAAGAAAATGGTAGAAGGTTCTCAGGCTCTACCTATCCCCAGAGACTGCTTTAGACAATTGGTGGGAGGGGAGAACTTTTGGAATCTGTTTAATATGCTGCCTAGGTGATTTAAGCAGCTAGGGTTGGAAATGACTTGTTTTTGCCCTGTTTGGGTTCTCTTTACTCCTTTCAAACTCTTACAGTAATTGGTATTAAATGAATATTCTACAAAAGCACCCGAATAGTCTATGTCTACTCATGGATACATGGCTCCCACAATTCTCTTGCTCCTGCATTTGCCCCAGGTAAGGAGCACGAGATGCAAACCTATGTCTCAGGCAAAGATACAGCTCCAGCAGTCCTCTCCTCTCTCTACTGCATCTATTTTCTTTCTCTACTAAATCATTTCCAAAAGCATAATAAGCATGTTATTAAAAAATCTTTTGATCCTATATCCCTTGCTAGTGATTATTTTAGTGCTCCCCTTTATAAAAGCAAAACTCAGTTTTCTAAACTTCCTCCAGTTTATTACCCCTTCCTTTTTTTTCACCAACTTGTTTTATTAGGAAAAGAAATTCAAACAGAAAAGTTGACTTTCCCACTTAAAATACTTCCCTAATTTAACATCGAGTCCTTATTTCAGATTTTTCCATGTGTCTCTTTTTTAAATAGCTACCCTCATCCCCCAAACACGATTCAATTAAGATTCCTACTTTCTGGAAATACTAGGCCTGTTGTCTTGTTGAGTTTTTCTTTGTACTGTCATTAATTTTAACTTCTGATATCCCTTTGAACTTTCTGTAAACTGAAAGGTCTAAAGTTTTCGCAAGTTTCGGGTTAAACTTGTTGTGCAAGAGTGCAAGGTGATGCTATGGTCTCCATATTGCATCACAACAGTTACGGCTTTTCCAGGCTGTTAAGTTTGGACACTTGGTTAGGTCATCTGATAGGTGATTAGAGTTCGTCTCCTCTCTGTTACTCTTAGTAAAAGGCAGCAAAGATTTCCACATTGTTAAATCTAATCAGCAGCCAGCATTTGACCTTGAAGCACTCTTCAGTTGGCTTGCAAAATACTACACTTGCTTTGACGTTTCTCCTTTACTGGCTGCTCCTTCTCTGTCTTGCTGTTGGCCCAATCTTCATTTCCCTGCATTTTGCTAAAACATAGGTGTGCCCCCGAGCTTGACCTTGGGCTGCTTGCCTCCTCTCTTAGTACTCATCTTGGTGATCTCATCATAAGGACATCAGATTATATTAACGTCTTCATGTGACATCTTCAGTTAGGTATCTAGTAGACACCTCGAAATTTACGTCTAAAACTTACTTTTGCCTCTGAAATTTTTCCTCTCAGTCATCCTCAATCACTTAATGGCCACTCCATTCTTTGTTTCTAGGCAGAAATGGTCTTGCACTCCTCACATCCTTCATCTGATCTTAGTTCCACCTTAAAATATTAACATCTCTACTGCTATTACCCTAATCCAAGACACTATCATAGCTTGCTTGGATTATTTCTGTGGTTTCCTAACCGGTCTTTGTTTTGCCTCATTTTGTCTCCTCTCACCCATCCTATTCTACTCTCATAGCAACCAGACTGATCCTTTAAAAGTCTAAGTCTTGTTTAGATGGCTTCCTAAGTAAAAGTAAAACTTCACAAAGGTCTGTGGAGCCCTAAATTACCTGCACTCTACCCCACCTCATTCAATTCCTATTGAATTCCTCCTGCTCACTCTACCTTGTCCACATTGGCCACTTTTGCTGTTTTTCCAGCATAGGATTTTTGTTACTGCTAGTGTCTGCCTAGCATGCTCTTCTCCCACAAAACTTCATGGAAAATTTTTTCACCACTTTTGACTTTTTGCACAAACGTCATCTCAATGAAGCCTGCTCTGACCACTCTTTAAAATTGCAGCCTGACATCCTGGTGCTCTGCCCTGCTGCTTTCTTTGTTTTACTTCCTGTGCTAAACGCAGTGAAGGCAGGGTTCTTTGCTCACTGGCATACAGTGCCTGGCACATGGCACATGCTTGGTACTTTTTGAATGTATTTCACCCTACTTCGATTCAGGGTTTTCAGATCAGTATTTCATTAAATGAAAGATTTAGTAAGGCAGAATACTTCCTTTGTAAGATATTTTGGTAGAGGTTTCCTGAATTACAGAATGGACACAGAATTGAACTGGCATTTCATAGGCTGTCTTGAGGGTTTTGTGCTCCATTAATGATTACCACAAAGGAGCTTCATGTTTTAATTTTATAGCTCTTTTGTGTATTCATTGTGAAAATAGGGCAGTTTTCGACTGGGCACGGTGGTTCATGCCTGTAATCCCAGCACTTTGGGAAGCCTAGGTGGGTGGATCGCTTGAGCCCAGGAGTTCAAGACCAGCCTGGCCAACATGGCAAAACCCCATCTCTACTAAAAATACAAAAATTAGCTGGGCGTGGTGGCACACACCTGTGGTCCCAGCTACTTGGGAGGCCGAGGCAGGAGAATGGCTTGAACCCAGGAGGCAGAGGTTGCAGTGAGCCCAAATCGTGTCACTGCACTCTGGGTGACAGAGTGAAATTCTGTCTCGAAAAAGAAAATAGGGCAGTTGCCATCCTGCTACTTTCTTACATAATCTTTAGTGAGGAAAGTCAAAGTGGTTCAGGGCATGACATGCGTTTATGTTGGATAAATTCAACTTAGTGCCCAGCAGAGGAAAAGTAAGGCATGGCTACTTACTCTACTCAGTGAATCTGTGCCTTATATATGAATCTGCTGGTCTGTGTGAGGCCAGTTCCTCTGTACCTTACAGTGTAAAAAGCATCTTGCTGTATGAGTGTTGTTCAAAGTAATAGTTTCTAAACACTGACAATTTTATCTGGTGCTCATATGCATCATTTGAAACTACATTGTACGTAGTGATGGTGTCCTTGTATTGGAAGACCTTCCCTGTTGCCAACTTCCTTACCTTAAATAGATGGAAAAATCATTAAAATCACCTATTCTTTCCCTAGATTTGTACCAACCATTGTTTAAAAAATGAAACACATGGTTGGAGGCAAGACTAGAAGAAGAATGACTAGAATATTGCGAAAAAATATTGAGCTAATTGCTATGAAGGTAAATCATGGAATCTCAGTGACTTAACATGAGAAATTTATTCTTTGATCATATTCATTTGGTGGGCTGTGTTCCACACCCTCACTCAAAGACCCTTAGAATGACAGAGGCTCTGTCTTTAATACATGGATTCCAAGGTGTCAAGGCTTCTATTTGTCCAGTTGCTTTCTATGGTAGTAGTGGTACTTGTGTTTGCATATAATAAATTCCTTAACAAACATTCAAGCTGACAGTCCTGTGTACATATGTACAGGTGTTTACATTCTGTTGAATAAGAAATCCTGGCACCTTTTAAATGAAGATGAAAAGATACCTAATCTAACTTAACTACCTACGCTGGTCATTGTCTTTCCCAAAGCTCTGCAGGGCTAGGTGCTTTCTGCTCTGACTTGCAGTTGATTATTTATGGTACCTTGGGGTTTCCCCTTCCTTTTAGCCTTGGCAACATTTTGACATTTTTTGAGATATATTTCATCTAGCTTTTGTTTTGTTTTGTTTTTGAGACGGAGTTTCACTCTTTCTGCCCAGGCTGGAGTGCAATGGTGTAATCTCAGCTCACTACAACCTCCACCTTCTGGGTTTAAGCGATTCTCCTGCCTCAGCCTTCCATGTAGCTGGGATTACAGGCGTGTGCCACCACGCCCAGCTAATTTTGTATTTTTATTTTATTTTTTTGATACAGAGTCTCGCTCTGTCGCCTAGGCTGGAATGCAATGGTACAATCTTGGCTCACTGCAACCTCCGCCTCCCAGGTTCAAGTGATTCTCCTGCCTCAGCCTCCCCAGTAGCTGGGATTACAGGCGCCCACCAACACGCCCAGCTAATTTTTGTATTTTTAGTAGAGATGGGGTTTTACCAGGTTGGCCAGGCTGGTCTCAAACTCCTGACCTCACGTGATCCACCCGCCTCAGCTTCCCAAAGTGCTGGGATTACAGGCGCGAGCTGCTGTACCCAGCTCATCTAGCATTTTTATGTGCTTAAAGCAGGGAGTGAGGTGGGGAGGGTGAGCAGCTACCCATTAATGTCATCTCAGCCCACCACGCTGCCAGAGGTCTAAGGTGTTCTTTATTCTAAGCTCATATTAATACCTCCTTTTACATTCCTGAATGAAGGAGGTTTGATTATGCAGGCTGAATATCCCAAATCCTAAATCTTAAGTGCTCCAAAATCTGAAACTTTTTGCGTACTGACATGCTCAAAGGAAATGCTCACTGGAGCATTTTGGGTTTTGGATGCTGAACTGAACTTGTTAAGTATAATGCAAATATTTCAAAATCTAAAATCCAAAACACTTCTGTTTCCAAGCATTTTGGATAATGGATACTCATAAAACTCTTCAAAGCCTGTGAGCACACACACGGGCACACACACATAATCCTGCAATGACATAGTTCTAAGGTTTGCAAACCAAGTTTTTTCTGGACATGGACTTTCCCCCCATATCTGCATGGTAATTTTGTATGTTAGTGAGTAGCCTTAAAGTCCCATAATTCTCTTGGGAGTAGAGCATTAAATAATGAACTTTAGCTATCTTTGTTTCATTATGTCTTGCTGAGTTTCTGCCATAGAAGAGATCGAGATGTCATTTCATCTGGGCCTTACTTTGCTCATCTGAGTTGTATTTGTTTGGGATGTGATTTGTAGAGGCCTTACTGGCTCCATGACAGGTCATCCCGAAGTAGAATATTTACTGCCTAAATAAAGCCAAACAGTTTGGGACTTTTTTTTTTGACACGGAGTCTCACTCTGTCACCCAGGCTGGAGTGCAGTGGCCGATCTCAGTTCACTGCAACCTCCGCCTCCCGGGTTCGAGCAATTCCCCTGCCTCAGGCTCCCGAGTAGCTGGGACTACAGGCATGTGCCACCACACCTGGCTAATTTTTTGTATTTCTTAGGAGAGATGGGGTTTCACCTTGTTGGCCAGGATGGTCTCGATCTCCTGCCCTTGTGATCCACCCGCCTTGGCCTCTCAAAGTGCTGGGATTACAGGTGTGAGCCACCACGCCTGGCCTTTTTTTTTTTTCTTTAAAGTTGTAAGACTACAGGAAATGGAGAGGCAGAGACAGTTTTGGAACCTATGTAGTCACCAGGAGAAACAACCTGTAAGATATTCATGTTACTTACTGCCTACTACACTAAAGTGAGGAATGCCAATGCAGGGAATTGGGAGAGGAGGAATGAGGATTGCTAAAGCAACTGCAAATAATTTATACTCCTGGATAACGGAATTTATTACATTTACATACTCTAAGTTCAAGAATGATTTACTCACAATTTAGTAATGACTTTGGAAAGTACAGTAAAATGTGTGAGCAGTTTTAGTTACATTATTATTTGTTGGAGTCTAAAGTACTCCACAGGTGTTTTGATACATGCCTGTTTGGGGTTAGCAATGTACTTTTCTGGTTAAACATCAATGGGGGTTACACATTTATCTTCTCAACAAAACAGGCTCCTCTAATATATGTAAATATGACTGGTCACCTTTTTCTCTTAAGCTAAATGTGATAGTTCTGGCTTTGCTTATTTGCTTTCTAGCAGCCTCCCCATGTTAGTCTTGCCACATGGTCAGTCTTCTGTTTGGTAGGTTTTATAAATCCTAAAAGTTCTAGTTCAGAAACAGCTCTAATAAACCGAGCACTGGAGGCTTTAATTAAGGAAACTGGCCGTGCTGTATTTTTGACAAAAAGGGATTAAAATCTCAATGTTAAAATACTAGTTGGTAAAATGAAGTAGATAGTTCAGATATAAACTCCTAAATTAAACTATAACTGTTACTGGAAAACATTAATTAGAATCCACTATCAATAAAACATAAATGGAAAAGTACTTAATGCTTCCTAAATCTAATGTTCTACATAGTATGGAAATTGCTCCCCGCCCCCACTTCTAAACGTACATTAGAAAAATAGAGAATTCAGACCAGGTCAGTGGCTCACACCTGTAATCCCAGCACTTTGGGAGGCCGAGGCAGGCAGATCACCTAAGGTCAGGAGTTCAAGACCAGCCTGGCCAACATGGTGAAATCCCATCTCCCCTAAAAATACAAAAATTAGCCAGGCATGGTGGCAGGCGCCTGTAATCCCAGCTATTTGGGAAGCTGAGGCAGGAGAATCGCTTGAACCCGGGAGGTGGAGGTTGCGGTGAGCCGAGATCGTGCCACTGCACTCCAGCTTGGGCAACAATAGCAAAACTCTGTCTCAAAAAAAAAAAAAAAAAAAAGAATTAGGCCGGGTGAGGTGGCTCACACCTATAATCCTAGCACTTTGGGAGGCCAAGGCGGGCGGATCACAAGGTCAGGAGTTCGAGACCAGCCTGGCCAACATGGTGAAACCCCGTCTCTACTAAAAATACAAAAATTAGCTGGGCTTGGTGGCAGGCACCTGTAATCCCAGCTACTTGGGAGGCTGAGGCAGGAGAATTGCTTGAACCCAGGAGGCGGACGTTGCAGTCAGCCAAGATCGCACTACTGCACTCCAGCTTGGGCGATAGACGAGACTCCGTCTCAAAAACAAACAAACAAACAAAAAAAACAAAAACCAAAAAAAGAGAATTCAATAATGGCAGTTTCATTTTTGGTAAATTTTAAAATATAATCTTGATATAAATTTGATACCAAAAGTTTTAGGTTTGGTCTCATTTTGGATTAAATTCAAAATAAAGATTCAGAAATTTCAGTTATTCTAGCACCATATGGTTAATATTAACAAGTAATACGGTTGTTTGGAGTACGCCTTTATAAATATCTAGTGTAGACCTGGAGAAATTATAAACTTATATTTTATGTGTAGTTGGACATTGTAGAAATGGTTTTAAAAGGATACTGGATAATTTCATTCATTTCTTCTGAGGTTGCAGAATTTGCATCCATTTTTTCAGCAGCTGTCACAACTGTTGCAAAAGCCTTTTGAATAGACAAGACAGAAGAAAATAAAAATGTCTACAGTTGCCAAACATCTTTTACTATACTTCTTTTAATGGCTGTTGATAGCTGGCACATATTCTTCATTATATCAAATTTAAGATTGTCAAAACTACACTGATGATCACTTTAAACCACTTATATATTAAAAGATAAAGTAATGGTTCCTGAATAATCTTGTTTCAGAGAACTAAGAGTATGCAGAGAAAAGAAACGAAGCTAGTCAAAGGTAAAAGAACAAGAAAGCCCTGTTTCCTCTACTAATCTTACTCCAGGAAAATATCTATTTTTCTTGGAAGCAGCCAATTATGGATATTTTTTAATGGTGACAAGACATCTGTAAGGCCTTTAATAGAGTTAAGATCTTTGTAATACTATTCTGAAGACAGAAAGAATAGTTGTTTATTTTAAAGAATAACAACAGTTGTTTATTGCCTTGCCAAGTATTCCTTATACTTCCTGATTGCTAAATCTGTTGTGTAGTTACTTCAATTTTTTTTCTTTTAAGCAAGAAGAGAAATGCTAGTTAATAATATACTTTATTTTGTGAAATAACAGAACTGACCTAAATTGTTTAGTTTTTGCTTAATGCTAACTATTGGGTTAGATCACATACTTATTTTGACCTAGCATGAACACAGAATTGGCTTGGTTAAGGAATTCAGGATCAGAGGGCAGGGGATTGGGAGTGGGGACTGTTGAACTACCACTTCCTAAGGAACTTTTAAAGTTTGAAATGATTTATGCTTTCCAAATAAAAGACAAGGCATTAAACACAAGATAAATTCCAAAGCACTAAAAGTATAAAACTATTCTGAGAAAGTCATCATGGATGGTTAGAAAAATATCTAGCTTGTTCTTTTCCCTACAACCTACCTCTGACCAGTCCACGAGGTTGATGAGCCTGCTACACTCTAGGTGCAGTTTGTATGCTATGCAGATGTCTGGGGCGATATTCGGAATGCAGCCTTCTTCGCTTTTCAGTGCTTCATTCTAACAATTAACAGTAAACTAAGATGACTAACTTTTATAAATTATTAGGAATAAAATCAGACATTAATGAAGCCCCCAACCTAAACTGAGTAAACCAGTAAATGGAATCTTGGTTTCCCTTATTTAGTGAGTGAGTCTATTCAATAGTTAGCTAGTTCTTGTTTAGGTTTATGTCTTGGTCATAACCCCTCTAGTTCTTAGTCACTAGAAGAATATTCCCAGGATTAGAAGATAAGCATATTTTTCATTTCAATCCATAAATTACTAATTTCTCAGACCTGAATGCACTTAATGTAAAAAGTTTATGGAAATCTTTAGGAATACTTAATAAAATGGTACTTCCAACACTTATAATTAGCTGAATTCTAACAATTACTATACTGTATTAGTAAATACTAATACCACTTACCAGGGGTATAAATTTCTTTTAAAGAAAAGACTACGTTGTCAACACTGCAGACCTTAAGCCCTATAGAAACCATCAGTGTTTCTTCAACCTATTTGAAATCCATGGCTTTTACTGAGAAACACAAAGTCTTACATACACACCCTGCTCTGATATTATAATATCAGGGGTATATTATAATATATCCCACCCAAAGACAACTGAAATCATACCAGTTCTCTTCTGTGACCCACCAGCCAAGAAGAAGACAGATTTTGTAAGTTTTAATTTATGGTTTATATATTAAAATTAACTGATTTTTTGGTTAAGTATGAAATTATTCAGTGGTTTTCACCATCACTGAAAACCATTGACTTATATCGTCCTACTCAATATTCTTGTAATACTCTGCATGTTTGTGTGCCGTTTTGCAATGAGAAGCCAGTACACTGGAATGCTCTTCATAGGTCTTACGGAGTTGTTTCTTAAGTATTTATTGTGGCAAGATTTCTGGGTATTTAACTTACCACTCTTTCATGTATATACAGCTTATTGAATGTTTAAAGTGATCATTTTGCCCGGTCATAAGAAAGCTAGTTTCTAAAATTGTGAGCTGTCTTGAACTATTGTTTAAAGAGCTTCCAGGAGTTGATAACTGTGTCTGGACTTTAGCAAGGGCAGCTGAAGTGTGCTGCCCCAGGAGTTTTAGTGGCAGACTGCTGGTTATCCTCTACACTCAGCTCTGCAGATGCTCTCAGAATAGACCTTTCTTTGTTTTAAAATCCAAGATGAAGTCCCAAAGTATTTCTCTTTCCCACTAGAAACAACCATTTCGGTCTTTCAGTAATTTATTAGGCCATATTGTTTAATCCCTGTCTGCTGTTATGTTTACAGGAAACATTTCTTTTATTTTCACAAGAGTGGTAACATTATACTCTCAAGTCTTTGTGCCTATGATCTGACTTTAGCATGTGAAGGGCAAAGATTACACATGGTCAAAAACTGGCAGCAACAGTTGACTACTAATTGCTATCTTTATGGGGTTAGAAATTTTTTTCTACAGTCTAAAGAATTTTTAAAAATATATGAGACGTGCAACCCTGAATTGCCGACTCTCTGCTCATTAAAACATAACTGCAAATTTAGTATATTTTTATGACAATGACGCCCAGAGTCTGAGCTAAACTATCAGAAAACTAAATGTTCATCTTACCTTGAGATAATAGTAAGGATTGTTGAGTGCAGTATGGAGGGCAATTCGCGGAGCAGCATTTAAATGCTCACGAAGGGCATGGGCAGCACTGAAGTACACCACCTCATGGAGAGGCTGTGTCTCAGGAGGCAGAAGGTATTCTCTGAAACAGCCAGTCAGGCATCCATGTTTAGATAAGCACAGGTTTATTTTCTTTATATATAATATATATATTTTTTCCTTTAAGCTCTGTTGGACTTCAATTTTCACTATAACATTTTTGTCAATCCTCTCTCTGTAGAGGACTGAACCATTTACTAAAAGCAAAATTAACAACCAAAAACAAACGAATGAAACAAACCCAAATATCAGCTCTAATACAGTTTCACTCAGAACTGCATCTCTTCCATATAATAGTTTTTAAAACTACCTCTAGACTCTTTATAAGAAGCTGTATATTTCAGTTCTGAGTTAAACCTTTAGGAACAAATGTATATATACTACATTTCTGCTTAGAAATCTTTAAGATAGCATTTCTTAAAGTAAATGAGAAAACAGATATCTACATTTTCTAGCACAGCAAACATTTAACCTTTGGCAATATTAAACACAGGCCTGGAATTAAGAGTTCAGGAAATTCTTCTTGGATCACAGAAAATTTTTAGTTGATATCTTTCATGGAAATGACACCTCAAAAGTTGTGGGGTTTTTTTGTTTTGTTTTGGTTTTTTTTGAGACGGAGTTTCACTCTTGTCACCCAGACTGGAGTGCAGTGGTGCAATCTCGGCTCACTGCAACCTCTGCCTCCCAGGTTCAAGTGAGTCTCCTGACTCAGCCCTCAGCCTCCTGAGAGGCTGGGATTACAGGTGCCCACCAACACGCCCGGCTAATTTTTGTATTTTTAATAGAGATGAGGTTTCACCATGTTGGCCAGGCTGGTCTTGAACTCTTGACCTCAGGTGATCCATCAGCCTTGGCCTCCCAAAGTGCTGGGATTACAGGTGTGAGCCACCGCACCCGGCCCAAAAGTTTTTTATATATTGGAATTACTTATTACGTTAGAAGGCAGAAAAGACTAAATCTTAGTTTCAGAGTATTGAAAAACAAATCATTAATAAAATTTCACTTATAAAAAATCTGCCATAATTTGGGATTTTTTTCACCTATGAGCTAGATGATAAAACAATTTTAATAAATTCGGAACTAAAAAATATGGCATTAAAAATTTGCTTTGCATGTATAATGAGCCCATCAGGTGGTCTGTGCCATGACAGTGATACTATACTGGATGCCTGGAGGGTGGCAAATTGGAGGGGAGAAGCTTTGGCACACATAACCCATAGACAGAGTAATGTCACTAACTGGATTAAAGTATATAGTTAACTCACATGACTTCATAAAGAAGATTTCTGGGGCTTAGTCCAGTCCTGAGCCTAAAGTATTTTGGCCACATGACAGCTTGTGTCAGCTCCTTTTCCTACCAGTACAAGCAGAGCAAAGCAGCTACCTCAGCCCAGTCACTGGGGACATTATTCCCCTTCTTCCAAGTATCCTTTCTCTTCTTCTGGAGAGGATACCACTCCCTAGAAATCCCCTACACTTGCTTTGTCCCGATGTGGCCAGGAGCTCTGAAGAAGAGAGGAAGTGGAAAGGGTATTCAACATGGACATCACTCTTCACCATCCTCCTTTTCTCCCCCATCTCAAGAGCTAATGACCCCTTGCTCATTCTAATTCTAGGTGCTGCTCCTTCTCCAGAGTCAACTGGAACAAAACTTACTTGCAAAGAGTGTATGATTTTGACTTGATCCTCACTAAGAAACAATATTCTATACCTCAGATACTGTTAACATCTTAATTACTCAAGGTTAAGTTAACTTAGCTGTAGCTTCAGGAAATAGTTTCTGTGATGGCTGGCTACCAATTTGTAATTTCTGACCATAAACTCTTCCTACACTAACCTCAGGCAGTTATTTCCCAATCATTATACATGGCTGTCATTAAAAGATCTTGTTGCAGTCCCTGCTATGTAATAAGGATTGGATATCTAACAAGGCAATCAGATAGAGTCAACTTCAGAAACTCAAACTATCGCCTCACATTTTAACATTTTTACATGTGATATATAGAAATTCAGGCATTTCCCAAGGCAAAAGACCTCTCTAGATATCCTCAAAGAACCATCAGAGCAAAAATAAAATATCTGCCTTAATTTTGTTTCCACTGGCTACATTAGTTGAACAACAACAGTAACAAAATACATTATACATTAGAATTTTTATCTGACTGCAGACTTGGAGATTGACATAGAAATATACTTCTGTGACTTATTTATGTGAGAAGAAGTAAGCAATGAGTCTGGCACTAAAGCACTGCATTATGCTCATTTTGGATTCAGACCAGACAAATGATAGGCCTTCCCTGAAAGAGGTGGTTCTGAAGGAACTGGAGGAATTAGTATCAACAAGGGCTACAAAGTTGAAGCTTGCTATTGGCAAAAACAGTAACTTAGAAAGTGGCAATTTATTCTCATCTCTCAAGATCTGGCAACTTATTCTTGCCTGCCAGTATTTTTGCCAAGAGCTGCTCATGGTATACTGTGAACTCTGCCTCCTGAAGTCTCCTGCTTATATTTGTCTTTAAAGGACATCCTTTCTCCATAACTCCAAGCTCTGCCCAGACATCTGTGGTGTGGCTGTTGAGGGCAGTGTAGAGAAATGGAGAGGGCCTTTTGGCAGATGTCAGGAGAATGAGACTGTGTGACCTTGCATGAGTCACAGCCCCTCTCTGGCCTTTAGCTGCCACAGGGCTGACTCTTCAGGTCTCTTTTAGCTTTAACATGCTACAATTCTAATCTCTTCCCTCCTGGGACAATCTTGGTAAAGACACTAAATCCTAGTATGGAAGATTTTGTGATTTTACAACAAAACACATTTAATTATACTGAGCATTATTTCAACAACTGCTCAGAAAGGTAAAAAGTCAGACATATTAGGTGAAGGATCATGACAGGGAAACGGCTGATGTGATTTCAGAGCCTACAATTTGGAATTTGTAAGAACTCTGGAACCTGACATTTGGCCTAAAATTGGCAAATCACATTGCAAAATTATTTTTAGTGACTACCATGTTCACTGCCTGGTAAAAGGGAAGAGTCAAGAGTTTGGGGCTAGACTCTACAAGAACAGGAAAGCCCAGTAGGGCAAGGTTAACTCTGTGGGTTCTATGTAATTTTTGACCAGTATTTGGCCAATATTGCAGTTCATCACTTTTTTTTTTTTTCTCGAGATGGAGTCTTGCTCTGTTGCCTAGGCTGGAGTGCAGTGGTGCGATCTCAGCTCACTGCAACCTCTGCCTCCCGGGTTCAAGCCATTCTCCTCCCTCAGCCTCCCAAGTAGCTAGGATTACAGGTGTGCGCCACCATGCCCAGCTATTTTTCGTATTTTTAGTAGAGTCGGGGTTTCACCATGATGGTCAGGTTGGTCTCAAACTCCTGTCCTCAAGTGATCTGCCCACCTTGGCCTCCCAAGATGCTGGGATTACAGGCGTGAGCCAATGCGCCCGGCCTTGGTTGATCGTTTTGGACCTTTTCATGGCATTAGCAATTTCTCCCCAATGACTAGGAACAATGACTCTGTCCCCACATTATTCTGGAAAACTAAGCTTTTCACTTTCAGAAAAGACATGTAATTTGTCAGAAAAGCACTCTTTCTCTTTAATAATTGTGCTGCTATTTTCTCAGTACTTTATTCAGTGCCTAGCCTGCTGTTGGGTTTAAACTGCCATTAAAAATTACAATAAACAGGGCCGGGCGCGGTGGCTCACGCCTGTAATCCCAGCACTTTGGGAAGCCGAGGTGGGTGGATCATGAGGTCAGGAGTTCAGGACCAGCCTGACCAACATGGTGAAACCCCGTCTCTACTAAAAATACAAAAATTAGCCAGGCCTGTTGGCACATGCCTGTAATCCCAGCTACTCGGGAGGCTGAGGCAGGAAAATCCCTTGAACCCGGGAGGCGGAGGTTGCAGTCAGCCAAGATCACACCACTGCACTCCAGCCTGGGCGACAGAGTGAGACTCCGTCTCAAAAAAAAAAAAAAAAAAAAAAATTACAATAAACAATGATAACAGGTTCTCCCCCCCCCGCCCCACTTTTTAGGTATTAAATCGTTTTCTTTTGCACACTTCTCATTTTTTTCTGTAGCATGCCCAACTTCCACCAAACTTAGGTGGGTGATTTTACACGGCTACATAAAGCTGACTTTTGGGAAATCCATGAATCAGAATGATCTGGGTTTCCTAAAAAGGAAACATCTTAAAATACAGGCTGGATTGGTAGACTTCTAAATTTACCCAGCACATGTCTCAACATAAATTTAGTGCTGATAATGAGGTGCACTGGCATTGTTTAGAATTAAATGTTCTTTCTTCAGGATAAAATAGAGCAGCATGGCTAGTCTGCTCTACTTTCTGGGCTTGGCTCAGATCCAGCATTTACTCCTAGCAAAGATAAAGTGTAATACAAATACTTTATTATTAGAAAGAGAAACATTCACTTTCTATCTCATCTCTCCCCACCTGACCTAATGAAGTAGATCAAATTTAAGCCTATATTCTTAACTGAGATTAAAAGAATGAACTAAGTCATTTGATTAGACATCTTGATAATGATGGAAAAAGAATAAAAATTACAATTCTTTTTTTTTTTTTTGAGACGGAGTCTTGCACCGTTGCCCAGGCTGGAGTGCAGTGGCACGATCTTGGCTCACTGCAAGCTCCGCCTCCTGGGTTCATGCCATTCTCCTGCCTCAGCCTCCCGAGTAGCTGGGACTACAGGTGCCCACCACCACACCCAGCTAATTTTTTGTACTTTCAGTAGAGACAGGGTTTCACCTTGTTAGCCAGGATGGTCTCGATCTCCTGACCTCGTGATCCACCAGCCTTGGCCTCCCAAAGTGCTGGGATTACAGGCGTGAGCCACCACGCCTGGCCTAAAAATTACAACTCTAAGCTAGATGGAGAGACCTGAAAAGCATAAAGCCTAACCTAGGAGAAAAATGTTCTGGATTGGCTATAGACAGCTATGACACCAGTGTTATTTGGAAAAACAGCATGATTTTTAGCTCTTAAGAGCTAAATTTAGACTTACCTCACTAGACAGTCAATGAAGTTCACAACATTTTCTCTGAGTACTTCAAATTTGGTTTGCTTCTTACTTCTTCTTAACTCCTTCATTTCCAATAAGGACTATAGATAAAAGAACATAGCTTTTCTGGTGATCCTCAGACAGAAAACCCCTCAGAGGGAGCTCTGTTGGTAAGTTCTATAGAAGCACCTGATGCCCTTTCCATAAGACAGGATGTACAGAGAAAGATCAAAATGGGTTTTGTTTATTCTTTTTATTTTTAAGGTCTGGCAAGAATCTCGCCTCAAAGGTGTTTTGCTTTATAATATACAAGCAAATTTTTAGGGAAAGAAGAAAAGGGCAGTTCACTTTACTACTAAATTACATGGCAGAGTGCTCACTATTCAGTCCATTAAGTCATTTAAGAAAAGGACTTAACAGGATAAAGAAAAAAATCTTGCCTTTTTGCCATACTAACAGAATAGATTCCATGTGTTTTATTTTACTTAGATTGAAATTTTACTCTACATTTATCATAATTTGGTATCACAGTACAAAGAAGGTTCTTCATTTCGACAATCAAGATCCTAAAGTTAGAACTATCTGAAAAAGAATATATTGGATATACTGTGGCTCAATTTCTGCTCTATACTTGAATATGCATTTTAAAAAATCAAGGAAAGTAACTAAAACTAATTAGTTAGGCTCTTTTAAATCTCTCAGTTTGATCAAACAGAAAAATACATCAGATAAATAATCAGATTTGTGCAGCCATGTTCCCATTTTCTCTTATTGCTAGCTGATTCTCTTTCTCTTGCTGAGCCCACAGGAATGGTTTCCACCTATGTTAGCTAGTAGGTTCCAGAATGTGTATATGTAGAGTAATGATGGCAATGGGACTAACAGGATGTTCAACTTAGAAGTGAGTTAAAAGTCTGCTTTGTTCCTGGTTGTGGTTTAAAAATGAAAACAAAAACATCCAGGCAGAGTTAATCTAGAGCACAAACTGAAAAAAGGGAGTGTCACAGGATGCAGCTGGAAGGGAAGAGAGTGACCTGACCTTCTGAAGATGATAGAGGTCTGTCTTCTGAAGCCCCTTTGGCTGTGACCCAGAAGCATCTTCTTCCTCTTTGGTTTCTGCTTTTAATACAAAACCAGTAGACATCAATGAGGGTAAATCCAAGTCAAGGGAACAAACATTTCTACTACTCCAAAGTAAAAGTTTCACCTATATATATTTTTTTAATGTGGCAAGGGATCAAGATTCCATCTGATAAATGATTTCTTACAGAAGCTGAAGGCCAATAATATATAACTTGTGCTGTAGTGATGTCTTCAAAAAATCAGCTACTGAATTTTAAAAGTGTAACCACAATGAAAACAAAACAAAATACAACCTAACAAAACTCCCTCAAACCAACAGCAAAAAGTCTCAAAAAAAAAAATTTTTTTTTTTCAGATGGAGTCTTGCTCTGTTGCCCAGGCTGGAGTGCAGTGGCGCCATCTTGGCTCACTGCAACCTCCTCCTCCCAGTTCAAGTGCTTCTCCTGCCTCAGCCTCCGGAGTAGCTGGGATTACAGGTGCCGGCCACCATGCCTGGCTAATTTTTGTATTTTTAGTAGAGAAGGGGTTTCGCCACGTTGGCCAGGCTGGTCTCGAACTGCTGACCTCAGGTGATCCACCCGCTTTGGCCTCCCAAAGTGCTGGGATTACAGGCACGAGCCACCATGCCCAGCCAGTCTCAAATATTTTTGATGTTATACATAGCTTTTTAAAAAAATAATAAAAACTTAAAACTGTTTTCCTTTGATTATGTCAAGATTGTAAACAACAAAATTTGAGTATGAGGAGGGTAGTGTGTAAAAGTTTTGAAATAATCCACTAAAACATAAAGTGCATCATGGTTCTTTAGCAAAGGGAAAGAAAACCATAACTGCTTAAATGTACAGCTGTGCTCCTTCTAGAGAGCATAATGCTCTCATATTCTTCTTCAAGTGCAGGTTGGGTTTTGTGAACCCCACACACATGGTTTGTTTGGCCTAAAACTATGACAGGAGGATGCAGCTGGAGAATATGCATTGGCTTAAAGAATAAACTGCTTTTTAGCTACAGCTAATTTCTGGTTCAAAAAAGACATAACTAAAGGTTAAAATGTCTACTAGATTCTTTGTCCCATGTCATTAACATGTAGTTTGCTACATGTTAATAAACCTAATATGCCTTTGAAATATATCTAATATGGGCTGAATGAAGTGCCTCATTCCTATAATCCCAGCACTTTGGGAGGCCATGGTGTGAGGATCACTTGAGACAAGGAGTTCGAGACCAGGCTGGGAAACATAGTGAGACACTGTCTCTATTTAAAAAAAAAAAAAATAATAATAATAATTAGGCTGATGAGGGGGCTTATGCCTATAATCTCAACACTTTGGGAGGCTGAGGCAGGCAGATTGCTTGAACCCAAGAGTTCGAGACCAGCCTGAGCAACATGGAAAAACCCCATCCCTACAAAAATACAAAAAAATTAGCCAAGTGTGGTGGGACGTGCCTGTAGTCCCAGCTACTTGGGAGGCTAAGATGGGAGGATCACTTGAGCCTGGGAGGTATAGGCTGCAGTGAGCCTATCATGCTACTGCACTCCAGCCTGGACAACAGTGGGAGACTCTGTCTCCAAAAAAAAAAAAAAAAATTCAGCTGGATGTTGTGGCCCTTTTCTGTAGTCCTAGCTACTCAGGAGGTGGAGGCAGGAGGATTACTTGAGCCCAGGAGGTCTGAGGGAACTGTGAGCTATGACTGCACAACTGCACTTAAGCCTGGACAACACAGCAAGATCCTGTCTCAAAAAAAATCTGATATGACACTCTGTCCTACTTAACTCTTCCCAACTGTAATTTTAAACCCAAACTGTAATATGTAATAAATGTTAAGGAACACAGATAGCATATAGCCAAATATTTCTACTCATCCAACGTGGGGAGTTTTAGTTTCAGTTTATTATTAATAATGAGTCACTTTTGAAAATCAGGAAATAACAGACATTTCTTCAAGACAGTGGTTGTGCTTTAATTTGTAAAATTCTTTATTCTTTAGGCTACTAATCATCTTAATCTTCGACCTTCCCATTTCAAAAGCTGCATTCCTTTATTTAGCTCTAGCATATCACAGAATTTGTTTACTAGCTCATATTATATGAACTCTAATTAAAAATGTATCTAGATTACCTCGTTAATGGTGCCCAGCAAAAAAAGAAGAAAAAATTATATGTGCAGTTTATTTTTACAGCAATCTCCATAAGTCCCATTTTGTAAAAGACTGAAATTTACACAGTATTTACCTTCTATTTTTCTAAGCCTTTTACCCTATTTATGTACTTAAGGTTGGCCCCTTGCTGATCCAGTGATCACTATTAGGGCGTATTTATATCGTGAATTAGCGACAGAAAAACAATGAACTAGTGGTTAAGAGAGATGGGCTCTGGTCTGAGTGCTACCACTAGCTAGCTGTGTGATCTCAAACAAGCTGCCGTCTTCTCCTAGACTTTAGTTTCTGGTTATATAGCTGAACTCAATGATCTTAATGATACCAACATCCAGCCCTTAAAAGTTTTTGTGTTCTGAAGAGTGGTTGAGTTCATGCTGCAGTGGCAAGAGCAATGCCCACACATAACCTGAAAGAAAATCCCTTAGTGCCTGCTGATGACTTCCTCACTCTGGCTGCTCAGGCCACTCTAGTCAGGCAAACATTCTCTTTCATCTTCCATGACTGAGCACTCATCAGGTGCCTCACATTGTAGCTATGGAGAGATATGGGAAGATTTTTGCAAAAGCAGTTTCCTAAAGCCAAAAGATTTTTAAGACAAAGAAGCACTTGCCAAACATAAAAAAGGATTAAAACAGACATTTTAAATAAGATATTTTCAACATGTCATGTCCAATTCTATGTGATTATATATGAAAAAACTACCTGTTCCCCCAAAACTCCATTAAAAAATTGCCCTAAATTTGGGAAAAGTAAAACGTACACACCAATATATTTTATTGTTGTTATTGTTCTACTAAAAGAATACCATACTTTGGTGCTAGAAACAGAGCAAGAGAAGAGCCCATGAAAAGCTAGTATTTAGGGAACAGAACATGGCTACCTATATACAATCAGACACCCTAAGCATTCAGGATATATAAATGATCATGTGGAGGTCAAGCAAAAGAGAGAAACTGTAACCCTCCAACAGTGAAGAGTGCCAGGCTGCTTCAGTTAATTTAGGACTGAAAGATTCCAGCTTTTGTAAATCCGATTAAAGTAAGCCTCATGCAGATTTTGGTAATCAACATACCAATGAGCCTCACTGCTGTGAAAGCAGTTCATAGCTATTAATTTTTCAAGCTTACAGATGATTTATGCAGTGCTTTGGAAATCTATAAAGAACTTGATGAAATGCTTAAGAAAAAACCTCTAAAAAGAGTTCTTAATTATGACACCCTGCTACTCTTTCCAATCTTTTTGATTTCTTTTTGTTGACTTTTTAAAGACAAATCCCCCAAACTGTCGATCTGGAGAAAGATTTTCTTTTTCTGCCCATTTGATGCTCTCCATTGTTTAAACCAAATCTAGAAGAGAAACATTTGGCCTATTTGTGATTGTTAAAATGTGATACTATGAGGCTTGGCATACTGACTGATCATGAACTACTTTATCTCTTTATCTCTAAGCACATCAGAAGGTGGGGTTTTCCATGCCATTTTAGTTAAATGACTGTCATGGCCAATAGAATTGGAAGGATATTACACTCTTACCATCGAGGCTCTGAAACTGGGCCAGGAACTCCTCTATTCTCTTAGCTGTGCTGCCAAGGTGGTTTTCACAATAAGACTTAAAAACCTTGAAACATTTCTCAAGTATGGTCATCAGTTCATCCTTTGCCAACATCCTAGAACAGAGTCAGTGACAGGAAATGTAATATAACTAGAAAATTAACACTTAAAAAACATTTTATTTAATATACATATTAAATGTTTCCGCTCAGAAGATAAAAGAAATTCTTCATTAGTAGCTACCAACATTTTTTGGAGAGATTTTCCTCCATATATGTGACATTCAGAAGAATTCTTGAAGGGTTCTCATGATAAAGTTTAGCTTAGAAAATTTACAAAGGTCTGGATTCATAGTGTGGCTCTAACATGATGTTTGTAATAAAGAATAAGGTTATTATACATCTCTGATCCTTGGTTCGTTGTCTGTAAAATGGAAATAATAACTTGCTTATTTCACAGGTTAGATGGAGACTTAAAAATTAAATGAGAAGAAGCAGTGGAAGACTCTAGCACAGTGCTTACCACACAGTAGGCATTTAATGATAGTTTTCCTTTCTTTTGATCTAAACGTACATATGAAATAAGAAATGTCTACAGAAGATATGACGTGCTAAATGTAAACTTGTTTGAAAGAACCAAAATAGTACACTCATTTCTCTAATTATCACCATTTAAACTATGCTTTACATCTCCTATGGGCTTTATAAACATCAGTCAGTAAACCCACTGAACTTTAAATGAAGTAGGCAGATCTAATTGTTATTTATAGCACAGGCAGAGTGGTTGAGTAGCTCATTCACAGCTATAGAAGAAATCTTTGTTAGAAATGGAGAGAAAATACAGATATTCTAAAGTTAGGATCTTGTTCTTGGAGTTTACAGGATTTCTCCACTAAGATCATACTCAGTAATGGCATCAAAAGGAATCAGACCAATATTAGGAATTTTTAAGCAGTGGCATTACACAAATATTCAAATTATTCTCAGCAAATGCATCTAAGTCATTAAAACTATGATGATTAAAAGTTCTAATATTTCCAGGCACGGTGGCTCACACCTGTAATCCCAGCACTTTGGGAGGCCGAGGCGGGTGGACCACGAGGTCAGGAGATCAAGACCATCCTGGCTACCACGGTGAAACCTCGTCTCTACTAAAATTATAAAAAATTAGCCGGGTGTAGTGGTGGGCGCCTGTAGTCCCAGCTACTCGGGAGGCTGAGGCAGGAGAATCGCTGGAACCGGGGAGTCGGAGGTTGCAGCGAGCTGAGATCACGACACTGCACTCCAGCCTGGGCAACAGAGTGAGACTCAGTCTCAAAAAAAAAAAAAAAGTTCTAATATTAACCATGAAGTAACAGACAAATCCAGAATGTGGGCATTTTGTAATACAACTAATTCACTTATATTTGACATCTTTCATAATAAAAAAATGAGGAGAAATACTAATATTGCTAACTTGGGAGAAAGAAACAAAGCTAAGTAGACTATGATTACTGAGAAATTGAACTGGTTACTTGAACTAAAATTTAAACCCCAACAACAACAACAAAAAGTAGACAACCACTAAATATGGCAATTGTTAAGGGTAGACCAAATAGTAAATTTCCACAGGGTTTTTTTAAAAGTATAAAACTTTATCTTCCTCTTTCTACAATAATTATCTAAGATATAATCTTTATCTGTGAAAGGCAGCTAACTGGTCAAGGAAAAATAAGCCAAGACATTTCATACTTGATTACAGTTGAGATTTAAAATTTGTGGCTTTCTATTGCCCAGATAGAGTTATGAGAAGAAAGTTAACTCAAAGTCAGATACACTTGAACAATCTGTTAAACCTGACCTTTAGGCCTATTCAAATAGACAAGATTAGCATTTCTGGTGTCCAAGGAATCACCGGCACTGACTTGCTTGGAGGGGAAAGACGGGTGAGGTTCTGCTGGCAGAAGATCTAACCCAAGTTAGCAGCATGTGAAGGATTAGCTTCCCAGGATAGGGGCAGCAACAGCTCTTGTCCACTTTGAGCTCCAAATAACTGAATATCAAGGAAGGCCAAACCTAGCCTATTATCCAGGAGACCAAAAAAGAGGGCATTATTTCATATAACTTTGGAAGCAAACTTCATTAGTCATAACTCTTAATGTGTCACTTGGAGAAGGTACTCAGATGTAAACTGCCAGGGATTCAAATAGTTATTAGTCCTCTTATTCTTTTTTTGTTTTTTCTTTGAGACGCAGTTTTGCTCTTGTTGCTCAGGCTAGGGTGCAATGGCGTGATCTCGGCTCACCGCAACCTCTGCCTCCCAGGTCCAAGCGATTCTCCTGCCTCAACCTCCCGAGTAGCTGTGATTACAGGCATGCACCACCATGCCCGGCTAATTTTGTATTTTTAGTAGAGGCAGGGTTTCACCATATTGGTCAGGCTAGTCTCGAACTCCTGACCTCAGGTGATCCGCCCACCTCGGCTTCCCAAAGTGCTGGGATTATAGGCGTGAGCCACTGCACCCAGTCTAGTCCTCTTATTCTTAGCCAAAGATTATGTTTTGCTCCCAGAGCAGAAAGATCTTACACTTTCTCAAGTATTCTCTTGTTTAATGTAAAATGACAAGACTTGAGATAAGGCTGATTAGAAATAATAACTTAACCAACCCCAATAAAGTCATTATTTAAAATTTTTTTTCCAGTAAAATTATACACACACAGAATCAATGCTGCCTGCTATCATCACTATTATTCAGCATCATTCTGGAGTCTAGATGCTACAATAAATTAAGAAAAAGAAATGGTATAAATGTTAAGAAGGAGGATGAAATTAATCATTTCATATGATGTGACTGTAAAGTTAGAAAATCTAAGAACTGCAAATAAAAGAGAGTGTAAAAGAGCTGGGCGTGGTGGCTCATGCCTGTAATCCCAGCAGTTTGGGAGGCCGATGGGAAGACCACTTGAGCCCAGATGTTTGAGACCAGCCTGGCCAACAAAGTGAGACCCTCATTCCTACAAAAAATAGAAAAAATTAGCTCAGCCTGGTGGCGCACACTTGTAGTCCCAGCTACTGAGGCTGAAGTATGAAGACTGCTTGAGCCTGGGAGGTCAAGGCTGCAGTGAGCCGTGATCATGCCATTGCACTCCAGCATGGGTAACAGAGACCCTCTCTCAAAAAAAAAAAAAAAAAGAGAGTGTAAAAAAGTAAGTGAATAAAAAATATATATGCATGCATATATACATATCCATATAATGTAATCAATATCTTATATTAAACTACATAATGAAAAAAAAGCCCATGTTCAAAATGGTAACAAAACCTACTAAATACACAGCAATACACATTATAATATATGTGTATGACCTATATTAAAAAAGCCCTGAATAAATGAATAGACATTTTAACACTCACTATTGTAAAGATACAAATCTTTCCAAATTAATCGATATTCTTAACAGTTTGAAACAAAATTACAGAGGGTAAATTTTATTTTTATTTTTATTTGAGATGGAGTTTGGCTCTTGTTGCCCAGGCTGGAGTGCAATGGTGCAATCTCAGCTCACCGCAACCTCTGCCTCCTGGGTTCAGGCGATTCTCCTGTCTCAGCCTCCTGAGTAGCTGGAATTACAGGCATGCACTGCCACGCCGGCTAATTTTGTATTTTTAGTAGAGACAGGGTTTCTCCATGCTGGTCAGGCTGGTCTCGAACTCCTAACCTCAGGTGATCTGCCCGCCTCGGCCTCTCAAAGTGCTGGGATTACAGGTGTGAGCCATGGCGCCTGGCCGTAAATTTTAAAAACTAAAAATTATTCTGAAATGTATCTGGAATAATTGTTCTAAAAAACAGGAACAATGTGTGTACACTTGAGTGTGTATGGTAGGGCTGTAAATACATTAAACAGTGTTAAGCTATGATGATTAAAATTGATGGTACTTGGGAATAGACAGGTCAACAGAAGAGAATGAGTTCAGAAAGAGATCTAGGTGTACATGGGTGTTTGTTATGTCACAGGGATAGCATTTCAAATCAGTGAGGGAAAAGATACTGGGTATCAGAATTAACTATTTTAAAAAAACAGGTCACTATCTCACCTTATACACAAAAATGCATTTCAGATAGAATAAAAATGTAAGTACGGTCTGGGAGCAGGGAAAAAGAACTAGCTCATCAACCATAAAATACTAGAAGAAAACCAAGAAAGATATTTAAGCCTGATAATATCCAGCAGCAGCAAAAGTGTAGGGAAATACACACTGGTACATGGTTGGTGTGAGTGTACACTGTACAACAATGTTTATATTTTAGACTCAATATGTTTACATCTACCTTTGTTTTGTGGAAATAGTTATACAAATACACAGACTTACCACTGCTCATGATTATTGTTTGTAATAGTGAAGAATTAGAAACAATCTAAATATGTATCAAAAAAGGGTCTGATTAAATAAAAAGCACTTTAAAAACATGATATTATATAGTGATGAGAAACAATGAGGTAGGGCAATATGTAATACTAATGATGACAGCTAACATTTATACCCACATATGTGTATCAAGTGTCATTTGATACAATACAATGTAAATACTATTATTATTCCCATGTTAGAGATGAGAAAACAAAGGCACAGAGAACTTAAGTAAACTTGTCCAGAATCCAATAGCTGGTAATTGGCAAAGCTGGGGTTTGAACCTAGACAGTTCAGCTTGACATCCATGCTCTTACTGAGCATGCTATATTGCATCTCAAAACATGGCATCTGTGGTAGAATATTAGGCACAAACCAAAATAACCACCACAACAAAAACAAAACAAACACAAAAAAACAAAAAATGCAAGTGTGGAACACCATATATAGTATTATTTAATATACATTTGTGTGTGGAAAAATATCTGAAGTGCAAATAGCTAACAGTGGATGACTGGTTTTCGAGGTTATATAATACAAGGGGTAATATCAGAAAAATACTTATTTTTTCACTTAGATTAT